>NC_000005.10:140078659-140703659 GCF_000001405.40 Homo sapiens
CCCAGTATATATCTAGCTTTGAATCATATGTCTTCTATGTGAGTCAACTTCTTGATTGGTGTTCTTGTAAAAAGATCTCCTGGACCTGGGATCAGCAAACTACAGCCTGTGGGCCAAATCTAACTCCCCTTCTATTTTGTAAATAAATTTTTATTAGAATACAGCCACACCCTATTGTGTGGCTGTATCATTTACCTATTGTGTGGCTAATATCATTTACCTATTGTCTATAGCTACTTTCCTGATACAGAGTTGAGTACTTGCAACAGACACCATATGGCCCACAAAGCCAAATATACTTCCTAACTGGCCCTTTATAGAAAAATTTTTGCTGGGCGAGGTGGCTCAACCCTGTAATCCCAGCATTTTAGAAGGCCGAGGCAGGTGGATCATGTCAGCCCAGGAGTTCAAGACCAGCCTCTGAAACACAGTGAAACTCCATCTCTACTAAAAATACAAAAAATTACCCATGTATGGTGGTGCACAACTGTAGTCCCAGCTATTCGGGAGACTGAGATGGGAGAATCACCTGAGCCTGGGAAGTCGAGGCTGCAGTGAGCCGTGATTGTGTCATTACACTCCAGCCTGGGCAACAGAGTGAGACCCTGTCTCAAAAAACAGAAAATAAAAGAGAGTTTGCCAACCCTAAAAAACGAACGAACAAACAAACACTTAAGACTCATTTGGAATTAAGCACAGTAGTTTTAAAATACGTCCATATTAACTTGCTATTTTGACAACTGTTATGTGCCAGGCACTTTTCTTGACACTACATGATTTGGGGGAAGCTAATGGTTTGGGCTTCCTCATATGTTGGGTTTGAACTATCTGTAGATTTCCAGATAAAGATTAATTTGCTCTTTTAGCAAACATTGATTGAGAACCTAATATGAGCCAGGCACTATCATACACATTGGAGAAGCAGAGGTGAAAAAATATGTAGCGTACTATGAGAGACATATCGTGGCTATAGGATTAATAATAGCCATAAGGTCCACTCAAACATCTTGCAAGGTCCTATGCTATATAAGCTACACTACAAAAATAATAATAATGTCACTCTAATTACTCAGCCCTTACTCTAAGATAGACATTTTGTATAAATAAGCTCATTAAATACCATTAACAACTCTATAAGGTACACATTCATATCCCCAATTTACAGTTGGGGAAACTGAGGCTTATATAAGATAGGTGACTTGATAAAAATCTCACAACTAGTAACAAATAGTAACTTGCTTTGAACGTCCATAAATTATCTGATGCTCCTTCCTTTAAAAGGTGGAGCTTGGCTGGGCATCATGGTTCACACCTGTAATCCCAGCACTTTGGGAGGCCCAGGTGGGAGGATTGCTTGAGCCCAGGAGTTCAAAACCAGCCTGGGTAACATGGCAAAATCCTGTCTCTACAAAAAACACAAAAAATTAGTCAGGCATGGCCAGGCGCGGTGGCTCACGCCTGTAATCCCAGCACTTTGGAGGCCAAAGCGGGCGGATCACGAGGTCAGGAGATCGAGACCATCCTGGCTAACACGGTGAAACCCTGTCTCTACTAAAAATACAAAAAAAATTAGCCAGGCGTGGTGGCGGGCGCCTGTAGTCCCAGCTACTCAGGAGGCTGAGGCAGGAGAATGGCATGAACCTGGGAGATGGAGGTTGCAGTAAGCCAAGATTGCACCACTGCACTCCAATCTGGGCAACAGAGTGAGACTCTGTCTCAAAAAAAAATTAGTCAGGCATGGTGGTGCATGCCTATCGTCCCAGCTACTTGGTAGGCTGAGGCAGGAGAATTACCAGAGCCCAGGAGGTGGAGACTGTAGTGAGCTGTAATCACATCACTGCACTCCAGCATGGGCAACATGGGCAACAGAGTGAGATCCTGTCTCATTAAAAAAAAAAAAAAAAAAAAAAGATGGTGGAGCTTAATTTTCCTTTCTTTGAGTGTGTGCGGTACTTGGCAATTTTCTTCTAACAAAGTACAATGTAAACAAGTATGCCTTCTGATACTAGATCATAAAAGGTGGTAAAGTCTTCTCGTTGTTCTCTCTCAGATCACTTGTGCTAGGGAAAAACAACTGCTATGTGGTAAGAACATTCAGGTAGCCCTGTGGAGAGGTCCATGTGGCAAAGAACTGAGACCTCTTGCCCACTGCCAGCAAGGAACTAAGGCCTTCTACTAACAGCCATGTGAGTAAGCCTTCTTGGAAGTGGATCCTTCAACTCCAGTCAAGCCTTCATATAACTGGAGTCCTGGCCAACATCTTGACTGCAACTTTATGAGCGAGTGTGAGCCAGAACCGCCCAGCTAAACTACTGAATTCTTGACCCATACAAACATTTATTATCTCACATTATTATTTTGGGGTAATTTTTTTATTCAGCAATAGATAGCTAATACAAAGCTGAAAGATATACACATTCTAGAACAAGGGGTCCATAAACTTTTTCTTGAAGACCCAGATAGTAAATATTTTAAGCTTGTGGGCTATATGGTCTCTGTTGGAGCTACTCAACTCTGCCATTGTAGCAGGAAAGCAGCCATAGACAATAGGTAAGCAAATTGGCATGGCTGTGTTCCAATAAAACTTTATTTGCAAAAACAGGTGGCAGGCATGTGAATTGTTGTTTGCCAATCCCTGCTCTAGAGAAAACAATTATAATAATATTAAGCAATTATTAGAATGGAATAAAGGAAGCTGTGGGATTTCTCAGCTTAAGGCTGCAAAGGAAGCCCTTGATTAGGAAAGGGTATGTCCAGTTGGACATGGTAGCTCACGCCTTGAATCCCAACACTTTGTGAGGCCAAGGCGGGAGGATCACCTGAGGTCAGAAGGTTGAGACCAGTCTGGCCAATATGGTGAAACCCCATCTCTACTAAAAATACAAAAATTAGCCAGACATGGTGGCACATGCCTATGATCCCAGCTACTTGGGAAGCTGAGGCAGGAGAATTGCTTGAACCTGGAAGGTGGAGGTTGCCATGAGCTGAGATCACACCATTGCACTCCAGCCTGGGCAACAGAGCAAGACTCTGTCTCAAAAAAAAAAAAAAGTTGGGGGTATGTGCACAACATAGTCACAATTCTCTTTTTATCTTTTCCTGTAAGAAGAGAAATGAAATAATTCTTCTCAAGAAATCTGATGAAATGAGGACTGAGCACCAACCAGATAAGAGAATGAGCAAACTGCTTGTATGATCTTTTTTTTTTTGCCAAGCTGCTAAAATCTTTCAGCACCATTGCCAAAGCTGTGTTTTAAACAAGCAAAGCAATTTGGTTAAGGGCGGAAAGAAGATTATTTCCTATTAACACCTGGAAATACAACCAGGAACTAAAAAGCAGTTGATAACTGTAGTAGAAATTAAAAATTGACCCAAACTTTACTTAAGTCTATTTCTTAACATTATGGTCTAAGTGTGTCACATCTTCTTTGTGTTCAAATCTGCAAATTTACCAAACCATTATTATGGAAAAAACTCATAACAAACTGGAATTACATGCTACTAGATATCTGTTAGAAAGAAGCCTGACTGTTTGGACCTTACCATCATAGCCCAGGATCACTATTTGTAGTGGCAAGTTCTCAAACTGCAGATTTGCCATGCAGCAGGCAACCCCAGACCTAATATAATAACAGCTAATATTTATTGAATACTTACTAAACATGAGGCACTGGCTAAGTACATCACATGTATTATTTCACTTAATCTTCCCAATAATCCTATAAGGTCGGTGTTATTATTATCCCCATTTTACAGATGAGAAAAACTGGGGCTCAGTAAGTAATTTGTCCAGGGTCACTCAACTAATAAGTGGCCGAGTTAGAATTTGAACCCAGGCGGTCTACTCCTGAAGCCCATGGTCTTAACTGGTGCCCTCTGCAAGCCCTGAGAAGACAAGGTTAAGTATAACATTGTACGATCGCTATGACCTCACATTTTCCTTCACACAAGATCAATTTAGTTGGGTGAAGATAATTCAAATCCACTAAACAATTGAAAAACACTCTTAAAACACAATAGCAACAATCATACATTACTATACAGTGGAGTAGTATCTAACAGAGGGTTGTTTCCTAAATCAACATGAAAGGAAAAAAACTAAATATAGGCTAATTATCCCCAAAATTCCTTAAATTGCTCATAAAGTGCAGTTCTGTAGACTCAGATTTGTAAGGAAACAACAGATTCACATCTCCCTTCTTATGCTCACTCTAGGATATATCCTCATTTAGGGGGATGGATGAAGATTTATCTTCAAAATTTAAATTCTCCCTCCTCTCCTTTCCTCCCTCTTTCTCACTGAGTATATATAGTTGAATGTAAATAATTTTAAAATAGTACTTATGACGTTACTCTGCTGTAATACAAATCTAGAACAGAACATAAATGCTAAGGTGCCCCAAAGTAAAGAATATTAATAAATCCTCATAAATGCTAAGGTACCCCGAAGTAAAGAATATTAATAAATCATCATACATGCTAAGGTACCCCAAAGTAAAGAATATTAATAAATCCTCTATTATCAAATGCAGCACAGGAATAAGTACTTCAGGGGTATTTTGACACATCTTTGTCATGGCATATCCACAAAGTCCATTCTTTTAAGCAGGCCATCTTAGCCTACCCTGTGCATGAACCTTATCCAGGCAACAGAACCTGTGTCACAAGCAGAGCAAAGTTCTCTTTCCTCCTCATTGTCTACAATTGGTACAGCAGTTGATAGGGCTTTTTGAAATGACAGATAAAGCTGTCGGGTTCTGAACTCAAATAGCTGGGACCAAGAAGTTTAGAAGACACTGCTTGGAAAAAGAGAAGTGAGGCAACAAGAGGGCAGAAAAAGACAATTAAGGAGGATCTGCCAGGGAACTGGTTTCAGAGGAAGAAGGCAAAGAAAGGTGGAAAATGAGAAAAACCTCTCTGCAAAAACCGTATGTCCTACATATTCCCTCGTTATATTAAGCCAAGTTCAAGTGCTTGTTCATAAACAGAATCATCATAAGGTTAAAAAAGAAAAAAAGGAGGGGTCGAAACAAGGCCAGGACTAGAGGGAGGCAAGTGAGCACTCACTTGGGGCATTAAATTGAAGAGGGCTCCAAAATACTCAGTAATCAAGATAAATAATATTTTAATGCAACAGCTTATAAAATCAGATAGGCAAACTACAGCTAGATACCTGCTTTACCAATAAAGTTTTATTGGAACCAGGATCAGGGTTAAGGAGAGGCAACTGGAGAGAGGCTCTTACAAGTGCAGGATAGAATTCTGTCTTTATTTAAAATGTTGATATTTTGTTCATCATGGATTTTTTCACTAATTTTGATATTTTGTTTGTTTGCTTGTTTTTGTTTTTTGTTTTGAGACAGGGTCTCACTCTGTTGCCCAGGCTGGAGTGCAATGGCAAGATCATAGTTCACTGCAGCCTCAAATTCCTGGGCTCAGGAGATCCTCCTACCTCAGCCTCCCAAGTAGATGGGACCTCAGGCATGGGCCACCATGCCTGGCTAATTTTATTTTGTTCTTTTTTTTGTAGAGATGGGAGTCTCACTGTGTTGCCCAGGCTGCTCTCAAATTCCTGACCTCAAGTCATCCTCCTGCCTCAGCTTCCCAAAGTGCCTGGATTACAGGTATGAGCCACCAAGCCCAGCCTAATTTTGATTGTTTTAAAATTAAGGCACCAAAACATTATTTATCTCAACTACTGATAGTAGAAATTTAAAAGTTACTGATAGTAGAAATTAGGGGGAGTTTTTCACTCCCCTTAAATTTTGGGCTTCGCTCATGTCACCCTAGTCCTGGCCTGGATTGTAAAAGAGAGAGCGGGGAGGTAGGAAGACAATCGGCGATTTAAAGATTTATGCAGAGACTTGGGGTCAAGACCTAAAGCAGGAAAGTTGGAGATTCCATTTTATCCTGCTGTATTGCATTCTGTGCCCTGGGCGCCCTCATGCCAGTGAAGGCCGTGCTTTCATTGAGCTCCTTCACTTGCCTTGGCAGCTGCACTCACTTTTATATGCAGGTTCTGGAATGCTGGGAGCTGTATGGCAGCCAACATCTCTCCTCTCCGTTCTCAAACATGACGTTCTCTGCAATTCAGTTACAGACACCTCTTTCCTTAGCCTTCTCACCCAGGGAGGCTGATCAAGGAACCTAACTAAGAACTAAGCCTCATTTGCCTTCTCTGGATATGCAAGTGAATTTGCATATATCTTGTGTCCATTTGCATTCCCCTCACATGGGGCATTTAGAATAAAAACAACATTCATGAATCAAAATGAAGCTAGTTCCATTCTTTCTCTGTCAAAGTATAGAGTAAGTAAAAGGATACTGCAGTGTGAGAAAAGAACCGAAATTATATTTGCCAGGGTTATGTGTAGTTTTAAAAGCAATCCAATTTGGTGGCATTTACCACCATGAAATTGGCATTTAATATTTATAGGTTTAGCCTTGGAGAACATAATCACTCATGACTGAAACAGCCACCCCTTTCCTTACCATTCTTGTAGAAATTTGAGCCAAGAGCCCTTAAAAGCTGAAGCTGTCCTCTTTTCCTCCTCCAGGTTGCCACTTAAAGTGTGGAAAGCCTAAGGGTTCCTGATGACTGATTCCTCCATTTGAGACAAAGTGGCTGAGGAACAGATTAAAAAGTATGAAAAAAAAGGAGTATTGCTCCTCATGCCCCCTGAGCCCCTTTGGGAGCTGAAAGAATTAAGGAAAAGAAAAGAGTAGGCTGGTATGAATGCTGCACAGAATTTCCTCTAAAGAAACCAGCCAGTGGACAGTGGACTACTAGTCTCAAAAGGAGATGGAGCTCAATATGACAAAAACTGATATTGTAAATAACAAGGGCAAGTTCATTATAGAGTTGTTTTTTAAAAATAGAACTGATAGGTAAGACTATGTCAGTATGTTTCCAGTCCTGTTCAAGCAAAATGGTACCTGACCAGAGGGTATGAACATTGCAGTCTGTGTGACAGGGAGATAATACAGTGAAAGATGACTCAGCCGGGTATGGTGGCTAACGCCTGTAATCCCAGAACTTTGGGAGGCCGAGGTGGGCAGATCACCTGAGGTCAGGAGTTCAAGACCAGCCTGGCCAACATAGTGAAACCCCGTCTCTACTAAAAATACAAAAATTAGCTGGGTGCGGTGCCGGGCACCTGTAATCTCAGCTACTCGGGAGGCTTAGGCAGGAGAATCACTTGAGCCCAGGAGGTGGAGGTTGCAGTGAGCCTAGATCACGCCACTGCACTCCAGCCTGGGTGACAGAGACTCTGTCTCAAAAGAAAAAGAAAAAAGAAGGATGACTCAATCCTTCACACCTTGAAAAAAGTCCTTTCAGTGCATTTAACCTCCTTATTTAAAAATACCTGGTTATTAGATAACTTTCTGGTTACTGGTTAATTGGTAACCAAGAAAGCAGTGCACTGAACAGTGGATTTCCATTTTCAAATAAGCTTATACCTGCTACTGTAATTTAATGAAGTGGCATCCTGGTTTTTGATGAAGAGTTTTATAAATTTGATTCATATAAACTGATGCCCAATTCAACTCTTGATTGAATTGACAAAAATCAAGCCCCTGAGCATGTTACTGAGCCTCATCATCTCTTCCTTTAAAATGTTATATGCATCTAGAGAAATATTATGACAAGCATGCAGAGATATATGAACAGAGAGGTTGCTTAATCATTGTTCTAATAGTCAAAAAAGGAAAAAGTCTTGGAAGTTATTTAAATGTCCATTAGTAGGAGATGAACTAAATATATTATGGGAAACTTATACCATGTAAAACTCTAACACTATTAAAAATAATAATATAGATTTGTATTTGATAATACAGAAAAAATTTTGAAGATATATTATTAAATACATAATGTACATCAGAACAAATAGTATGATTCAACTTAGGTAAAACTAAATATATATTCATGTGTGTATGACATTTGTTTGTGATCAAAGTTTTGTGGAACAATAGCAGTATCAATATTAATAGTTGCCTGTTTAGAGTGGGATTGAAAAAGTATTAGGGGAACAGGGGACTTGTACTTTATAAAGTACTTCTGTAACACTTTAAATATTTACAATGGCCATGTGGTTCCTTTTATAATGAGTATTAACTTGCAGTAACTAACATATAATAATTGAAGTAATTAATATACTACATATTTATATGA
Source organism: Homo sapiens (assembly GCF_000001405.40). Classification (NCBI taxonomy): domain Eukaryota; kingdom Metazoa; phylum Chordata; class Mammalia; order Primates; family Hominidae; genus Homo; species Homo sapiens. The sequence goes on from NC_000005.10 coordinate 140,086,833, forward strand.
ATTTACTAGTTGATATGTATACATATATTATACACACACACACACACACAAAGTGAGTGCAAGAGTAAGCACTAATTGGACCAGGTGTGACGGCTCATGCCTGTAATCCCGGCACTTTGGGAGGCTGAGATGGGAGAATTGCTTGAGGCCAGGAGTTCAAGACCAGTCTGGGCAACTTAGCGAGACCCCACCTCTGTTTAAAAAAAAAGAGAGAGCACTAATGTATGTGAAAGAAAATATGCAGAAGACAGACTGTGAGAAGAAGAGAGGGAATAAGTCCCAGTGACACTATCCAGCCCCTAGCTCAAGGCATAACTAAGACAAATTACCCCTAGATTTTTCCATCATGTTAGTCAATAAGTTTCCATTGGTACTTAAGCTATTGTAAGTTAGATTTTCTGTCACATGCAACAAAAGAATCCTAAATGACTTGGGTCAGTTATTAAGGATTCCATGTGGCAAGGTTAGAAATTAGGGCTTTATCTTATGAGATGCCACTTGCTTAAAAGTTAACAATAAAGCAAAGTTTTAAAGCAGATATAAGGTATAATAAAAGTTATTTGGTGAATATCATACTTTTTGTTATCAAGGGAGGAAATTACCACCAAGAGTAATTTGTTTTGACGGGATAGCATAACAAGAGTAGAAATAAGATTAAGTCCCAAACTTGGCTGGGCTCTGGAACTAGAATACTTGCCCTCCATGTCATTCTATTGTAGCTAGATCTTAGTGCTTCTCAAATGTTCGATCCTATCTTTTACTTAGCCCAACTTTGATAGAGAAATTATTAGGCTTTGAGCAATTGAACTTCTTCTTCTTTTTTTTGTTTGAGAGGGAGTTTCACTCTTGTCACCCAGGCTGGAGTGCAATGGCACGATCTCAGTTCACTGCAACCTCTGCCTCCCAAGTACAAGTGATTCTCCTGCCTCAGCCTCCCAAGTAGCTGGGACTGAGTAGCTGCGGTGGTGCCCACCACCATGCCTGGCTAATTTTGTATTTTTACTAGAGACAGGGTTTCACCATGTTGGCCAGGCTAGTATCAGACTCCTGACCTCAGGTGTTCTGCCCGCTTTGGCCTCCCAAAGTGTTGTGATTACAGGTGTGAGCCACCACGCCCAGCCTGGGAGCAATTGAACTTCCTAGAGTATGGTTTATCTTCATAATATTTTCAAGATAATATAGGTTTTCAATGAATATGGTAGTGATAATGCTGCCTATTTTAACAGCCAATTAAATGTAACAGAAAATATAATGCCATATGAATGGTGCATCTAAAGCCACTGGATGTGAAATTCATATTTTCAATGTATAGTAATAATCATGTGATAGCAATAATTATTGATTTGTGAAAAAAGTTTAAAAGGAAAAATTAAGAAAGTTGGGTATTACTCATGGTTCTTTAATAGTTTTGTGTGATTGAGGATGGGCATGGTGACCCACGCCTATAATCCTAGCACTTTGAGAGGCCAAGGAGGAGGATCACCTGAGGTCAAGAGTTCGAGACCAGCCTGGCCAACATGGTGAAACCCCATCTCTACTAAAAATACAAAATTAGCCAGGCGTAGTGGTGCATGCCTGTAGTCCCAGCTACTCAGGAGGCTGAGGCAGGAGAATCGCTTGAACCTGGGAGGCAGAGGTTGCAGTGAGCCAAGATCATGCCATTGCACTCCAGCCTGGGCGACAAGAGTGAAACTCAGTCTCAAAAAAAAAAAAAGTTTTGTATGACTGAGTAAATCACTTTCCTTTTCTAACTCAATTTCCCTACTTAAAAAATCGGAAAATAGGCCAGGCACAGTGGCTCACACCTGTAATCCCAGCACTTTGGGAGGCCGAGGTGGGTGGATCACGAAGTCAGGAGATCGAGACCATCCTGGACAACACGGTGAAACCCCGTCTCTACTAAAAATACAAAAATTAGCCGGATGTGGTGGCACACGCCCGTAGTCCCAGCTACTCAGGAGGCTGAGGCAGGAGAATCGCTTGAACCGGGAGGTGGAGGTTGCAGTAAGCTGAGATCACACCACTGCACTCCAGCCTGGGTGACAGAGCAAGACTTGGTCTCAAAATAAAAAAAAATTAAAAAAAAAGGAAAATAATAATACTGCACTCATACTCCTGATACAAGGAGATTTAAACATGGCTTTGACCGTCTTCATCTATATTTATCAGGCACTTGAAGAACATCAGGGAAAGCTATTCTAGGAATAGAATAATAATAATGAAAGATAAAATGTATTGACTACCTACTATATTCTGGGTACTATTCCAAATGTTTTACATGTATTAAATCATGTATGCCCTACAACAACCCTATGAAATAAATCTAATTATCATCCCTATGTTACTGAGGCTCAGAAAATTTGTGATTCTTGCCCAAAAGCCAGAGCTAGCCATGATTTGAACCCAGGCATCTATAATGTCTCTGCACTTAGCTAATCATATGGTAAATAATCTAGAGTAAAATAATAAGCATGAAGAAACAACTCTGAGGAGTCAAAAGAGATGTCAAAAGTTTTTAAATGTTTTTTTGTTTTGCCATAAGGGATTCTCTTGGGCTAAAGAACTATTGACTTTTTATTTCAGGCACAATTTTAACAAGTTTGTCAATGTTTTTCAAATCCGTGGGAGAAGATAAGGACAAATAAAAATGCTGATTTCAAAGAGAAAAGAAGAAAGGGACAGCAAAATGAAAACACTGACAAAAATAACAAGATGCACAGTAAGTATGGGCCTCTTTAAGATAATGCAAACATACTTACCTACTACAACAGCCAATGAGGATATCACTGTGGTACAGCATAAATAACTGCCACTCCCAGTAACTACACTGAAGCCATCGATTAGAAGTTAAATGATGTATTTTAAAAGTCATCACTCTGTTTAAGAGAGGGTCAAGGTCCAGACAGAAGTCCCTCTCCCAGAGAAAGATTCCAATTAAAAGAAACCTGAGGATCCTAGAAACATCCTAGAAAGGATTCTAACCAAGCAAATGGGAAGTCCAGAACTCCCAAGGGAGATAAACATCTTCTCAGATAATTTTTTACTATCTTTGATGGACAAGATTAAGAGGACATGAGTTAAGAGGAACCTAGCCTCACACATTGTAGAAAAATAAGGACTGAAATAATCCTGGTCCTTTTTTTTTTTTTTGAGATGGGTTCTTGCTATGTTGCCCAGGCTTGTCTCAAACTCCTGGGCTCAAGCCATCCCCACAAAATGCTAGGATTGCAGGTATAAGCCACTGTGCCCAGCCAATCCTGGTTCTTTAAGTTAGAGCAAACTCCTCTCTTCTTCCAGGAAGATAATATTGGCTGCCTTGAGAAGAAAAACAAAAGATGCTTCTTTGCTTTAATCCAACATAGATGTAAGAACAAAATCTGATAAAGGTATCACAACTAAATAAATGCTACTGAGAAATCTTACTTAAGAATAATGATGGAAAATAGTAACTAAAATACTAGCAAACAAAATTCAGTGACATCTTAAGAGAATTAAACACCAGACCAAGTGAGATCATATCAGGAATGCAAGGATAGTTCAACATTAGGAAACTTATTGTGATAATCATATTAACAATCAAAAGAGAAAAGTATATTACCTTCTCTTTTGAGTGATTTATTGATTCATTCATCCCGACAATTATTTATTAAGCACCTACTATGTGCCAGGTGCTATACTAGATGCTTGGGATATGGCAGTGAGCCAAAATGGAAAAAATCTCTGCCCTCAAAAGCTTACATTTTCATCAAGGGAGATATACAACAAATGATTAAGCAAATAAATAATAACACCTGGTAGTGATAAGTGCTATGAAGAAAATAAAGCAGGCTAAAAGAGAATGATGGGAAGGATGCTATTTAATATAGGTGACTGGGGAAGGCCTCTCTGTTAAGATTATACTTGAGCAAGATCTAAAGGAGGTAAGAAAGCTAGCCAAGGGAATATCTGGGGGAAACTCATTCCAAGTAGAGAGAAAAGCAAATGCAAAGGCCCAGAACTGGGAGAGTGCTTAGCATTCTCCTAAGGTCACTGAAATGGCTGGACTAGAGTAAGCAAATTGGAGACTAGAAGAACACAAGATCAGAGAGGAGGAGGGCAGAGGAAACAAATCATATATGACCCGTAGGCCATAGTAAGGACATTGGCTTTTATTCTGATTGAGACCTATTATCACTAGAAGGTTTTGAATAGAAGCATGACATGATCTGGGCTCTGTAATAAAAAGACTGTTCTGACTGCTAGGTTGAGAACAGACTCCAGGGATAAAGGTAGAAGCAAGTGACGAGATAGGAGAATGCTGCAGCAGTACAAGTAAGAAATTATGGTGGCTGGTATTCAGGATGGCAGTAGTGAATGTGGTGAGAGGTGGTTACATTCTAAATATGTAACGAATTCTATTATACTATGAAGCTGCTGATGTACATGAAAATATTTAATCTGTATCAATTCAGTTTCTCCAGAGAAGGATCCTCTTATCTCCTCCCTAGGGATAGCAACAGTCTGGCTGCTAGCTTTCTGAAGCTGGGTCAGGAAAAATGCATAACATTCTGCTTTAGAGTTCAGTTTTATGTTTTTATACCATATCCTTGTTTTCATACCCATTCCTTAGAGCCTGATATACCCAAGTCCACATCCTTTCTAGTTCAATTTTTCCAAAGAAGATACCTTCTGTCTCCTGTATGGGGAAAGAGAGGAAAGTGTCTATTTGGGGTGGAAGTAGGAGTAAGGATCTGGGTCCTATCTGATCCTTATATAGACCTTCCAATAATCCAGCCCCTTTCAGCCCCTTCCCTCCTTGCACATATACTTCACCTGCTGTGGCTTTCTGAGGTTCCATAAGACAAATTAGTGTGCTTCTTGCTGGTGTTCTCTTCCTCTGCAGTACCTAGGTTTGAATTTCCTCTGCCTTGCTAAGTCATTTTTCATTTCTCCATCCACTTTTAGCCTTCATATACTATGCCTTCGGGTTAAAGATGTTTCCTAATGTCATTGAATATGGAGTCTGTGTTTTTATTTCTTGTCTTCCTCATACAAATATCTTTAAACATGTTAAAATATGCCTAATATCACTTAAATTAGAAAACAGCATGTTAAAACTTTAATAAGTTACTACTTTCCACCAACAGATTAGCAAACATCATTTACAAGGTTATTGGCAAGCTTCAGTTGCTTGCTGGCTGTTGGCTGGAAATCTCAGTCCTCTGCCATGAAAGCCTTTCCATAGGCAAGTTGCCTGAGTGTCCCCAAGACCAGGAGGCTGACTTCCCTCAGAACAAGTGAGAGAAGAGAGAGCTCAAGACAAAGGCTGCAGTGTTTTTTAAAATAGCTTTTTAAAGATATAATTCATATACCATACAATTCATTTATTTTCAGTGTACAATCCAATGGCTTTAGTATATTTAGTTTTGCATCCACCACCACAATCAATGTTAGAATATTTTCATTACTTCCAAAAGAAACCCCACACCCAGCCATCACCCCCAACCCTACCTTAACCCTAGAGCCCTAGGGAACTACCAATCTACTTTCTGTCTCTCTATATTTGTCTATTCTGGACATCGCACATAAATGGAATCATACAATATCTGGTCTTTTGTGACTGACTTATTTTACATAGTATGTTTTTAAGGTCTAACCATGTTGTAGCATGTGTATTTCATTTATTTTTATTAGGCGCTCTTTTCTTTTGCTGTCTTCTAGTGAAATTCCTTTTTATTTCTACTTATATATTCAGATTTTTTTTTTTGAGACGGAGTTTCACTCTTGTCGCCCAAGCTGGAGTGCAGTGGCACAATCTCGGCTCACTGCAACCTCTGCCTCCCGGGTTCAAGCGATTCTCCTGTCTCAGCCTCCCAAGTAGCTGGGATTACCGGCGCCCACCACCACGCCTGGCTAATTTTTTGTATTTTTAGTAGAGTCAGGGTTTCGCCATGTTGGGCAAGCTGGTCTCGAACTCCTGACCTCAGGTGATCCACCCGCCTTGGCCTCCCAAAGTGCTGGGATTACAGGCTGAGCCACCATGCCCGGCCCAGATATTTCTTTCTCTCACTTTTCTAGATCCAAGAAAGTCCTGGACCTTCTTGGCTCAGGCTCCAGGTTAATACTTCCTAGCTTCAGAAACAGTTCCCTTTGGAAATAACTGAGGTTCTAACTTGGTGTGTGATCCCTGGGTCCTTGCAGTCTTTTATAACCTGATCTTGCAAGTGACATACCACTACTACTGCCATGTTCTGTTGGTGATATAGGTGGGAGAGAACTACACGAGGGTGCATAGGAATCGTTGGGGGCCATGATGGAAGCTGCTACTGTAATGAGGATGTGGTCATGTTGCAATCCATGTTAGAAGTAAAGGCTTAAGCTCTAGCTTTGCCCCATCTTTTAGATCACCACTTACAGAATAACAAAAACAAAGCAAAACTCACAAACTCACACTGCTTGATATAAAAGAAGAGTCCCCACTTACAGGGAGCTCTGGCTGGAGTCAGTTTTTCAGCAGCACCTGATGTCCCTTAATGAATATACAAGTGAATATCCACCTTTATAGGAATGAGGAAATGGGGTTTAACACCTGCCTTTAAAAGAGAACATTGAAAGAAACCAATGGCTGATAGCAACTTGACTAATTACAGAGTTAGTTATATAAATAAAGTTGAAAAATACTCACCTGGCATAAACGTATTCACCTGGTGAATTATTACTTCCAAGAATAGTACCATACAGGAGAAAGTAACTACAACTTTCTTATGGTTTGTTCATGCATATTCACTCAGTATTTTTGTCAGTCAACAAATATTAATAGTTCAGAAGGGACTTTTGGACTCAATTAATAGTCTCCAAGTGCCCCTTTGGGATATGACACTATACTTAACAATATAATAAAGAAACAGAAACATAAAACCAACCCACAGTCACTTCCTTCAAAAATCTTTCATTCAAAGGCAGGAAAAAATAGACAAATTACAAAATGGTATTTGTTCATTTTTAAGGAAAATAAACACAAGTAGCCATAAAAGTTCATCTTAAAAATAAACATAGTGCCATTTGTCTTGAATCTCTTTTTCCATCTCCATGTGTTTTTATTGATAAAATTGTTTATATACAAAATGGCCTTTTCAAGTAAAAACACATATTTTAGGGTACAACGTAGCAGCACCATCTGTTTGGGCTTATTTTTCTTGTTAATGTGTGTGGGTCAGTTCAGCAGATAACAGTGATGAGTATTTGGGGTTTTGAAATTTCATTGACAGATTAATTGGTGTTGCATCATGTAACCATGTCAAAAGAGGGTAAGTTGAATCTCTTTGGTTCAATTAAAATATAGAGGAATGCAGGCCCAGGCACAGTGGCCCATGCCTGTAATCCTAGCACTTTGGGAGGTGAGGTAGGTGGATCACTTGGGGCCAGGAATTCAAGATCAGCCTGGCCAACATGGCGAAAACCCATCTCTACTAAAAATACAAAATTTAGCTGGGCATGGTGGCGCATGCCTGTAATCCCAGCTACCTGGGAGGTTGAAGCACGAGAATTGCTTGAACCTGGGAGGGGGAGGTTGCAGTGAGCCCTGATTGTGCCACTGCACTCCAGCCTAGCAGCCCTAGGAAACTACCAATCTACTTTCTGTCTCTATATATTTGCCATATATATATGAAAATACACAAAGATATCTTTACTAAACTTAGTTTAGTGGAAACATTCTAGATCATCAGATTGAAGGAAGCTTTATTTTAAAAAGTTTTGCAGATAGGTATATAAGCTCAAGACCAGATTAATTTGTGATAGTATAGGATAGTAAAGAATGTAATTTTACATATTTCCATTTTTGTAGACTATTAAGAAATTTTAGAGTGTGTATAATTTGGCGTTTATTTGCAAGATCAACTTAAAAGCAGCATTCAAACAACCCAGTTAGCAGCTTCCAGCCCATCTCAGTTTTTATGTCCCAGGCAGAAACTATCACACAAATAAATGGTTTTCACTCAAGGGAATTCCCAGGCACAGTAACGTCAAATCAAGCTGTAAGCTCTTAATATATAAAGGAAGAGGAAATTTACTTTAAGTAAGGATGACTCTTTCTTCCACTATATAAAAAAATAGACAAATACCATTTTACCCCACTAGATTAGCAAAAATTAAGAAGTATAACAATACCAAGCATTAAAGAGTACATAGAATTCTTATACACTGTGAGACAGAAAAAACTAGTTGGCATTAATTATCTCACAAGGTTGAATATTTGCATACTCTACAGTGCAGCAACTCTACTTCTAGGTGGAAACACTTGCATACATTACCATGAGGCCTGTATAAGACTATTTATAGCAGCAGTGTTTAGAATAATAATTTTCAAAAGCCTGGAAACAATCCCCCCAAGTATGTATCAACAGAACAATAAATTGCAGTATATTCACACAATAGAATGTTATATAGTGTTGAAAATGAAAGAACTATCATTGTATAGAATAACATGGATGAATCTTAGAAATGAATTCCAGAAAACTATACATTGGATGATAGCATTTTTATAAAGCTTAATAGCATGCAAATTAAACAACATGCTATTTTAACATTTTTGTGATGAAACTAAATTTTAAAAGGAAAACTGCAAAGAAATAATAAACATAAAATTTAGGATCCTAGTTTTCCATGACGGCAGAGGGGAAGAGATAGAGGAGAAACACAAAGGAGATACACGTTACTAGGAAATGTCCTAATTCTTGGTGTGGGTAGAGGTTCATGAGTATTCATTATGTTATTAAGTGTTATACTTAATATATGTGTTGCGTATATCTTTTGTATGTATTAAAAAGTAAATTTTTGGCTGGGCGCAGTGGCTCACGCCTGTAATCCCAGCACTTTGGGAGGCCGAGACAGGTGGATCACCTGGGGTCAGGAGTTCAAGACCAGCCCGGCCAACATGGTGAACCCCTGTGTCTACTAAAAATACAAAAAATTAGCCAGACATGATGGTGTGTGCCTGTAGTCCCAGCTACTCAGGGGGCTGAGGCAGGGGAATTCCTTGAACCTGGGAGGCAGAGGTTGCAATGAGTCGATATAGCACCATGTACTCCAGCCTGGGTGTTGCCGTGAGACTCAAAAAAAAAAAAAGCAAAATTTTAAGAGATTTAAGAGATTGGTCAAATTCATCCTCACCTCCTCCAAGTGAAAAATAAGAAAGCTGATTTTCACTCTGCATGTAAAGAAATTAAGGGTGGCATGGCCCTATCCTCAAATAGGAATGAAATAAAGAGTATTTTTTTAAATTATACTTTAAGTTCTAGGGTACATGTGCACAACGTGCAAGTTTGTTACATATGCAGAAATAAAGAGTATTTTTAAGGGACTAATCAGTCAGCTGGAGCCAAGAGAATGTAAGTGAAATTAAATCCACGTGAACTAAATGGGATTTTTTCCTCCCTAACATGCGAATGGAATGTGCAGTAAACTGAAACTCTTACCTGCCAGTAAGGAAATAAATTGAACTCCAGCCTGGATGACAGAGCGAGACTCCGTCTCAAAAAAAAAAAAAGAAAAAGGAAATAAATTGGGATGATGCAGAATGGAATCTCGGCATCACTAGGTGAAGTTAAGATTTACAGAGCTAAAAGGAGCAGGAGGGCCGGGGCGCAGTGGCTCACACCTGTAATCCCAGGACTTTAGGAAACCGAGGTGGGTGGATCACCTGAGGTCAGGAGTTCAAGACCGGCCTGGCCAACATGGTGAAACCTCATCTCTACTAAAAATACAAAAAATTAGCCGGGCATGGCGGTGGGCACTTGTAACCCCAGCTACTCAGGAGGCTGAGGCAAGAGAATTGCTTGAACCCAGGAGGCGGAGGTTGCAGTGAGCCGAAATCGAGCCACTGCACTCCAGCCTGGGCAACAAGAGTGAAACTCCGTCTCAAAAAAAAAAAAAAAAAAAAAACAATTTTAAAAAAGGAGCAGGAAAATTTCTAGAAAAACTGGAGTCCGAATAGAATACCTAGGAGAAAATGAAGGAAAACACACAAAGGCTAAATGAATTAATTCATTTATTCAACAAATCTTTTTTTTGCATAGACTCTGCGCCAGGGAGAGGGAAAGGGACTGGAGTCATCAAGATAATTAAGTCACAGTCCCCACACTCAAGGAACTCACACTCTAGTAATCAGGATGCCCAAGACTGAGAAAAGGGAAGAATACTTGGAGGTTTTCAAGAACAATGCAGTTGGTGAGGAAGAGAACAGTTTTAATCTTAGGCCAGAGGATAGTAATATATGGGAGCCTAGACACCACAGTCTCTTAGTGCTTTAACCTCTGTGAGCCTGCAATATAAGAAGGGGAGGGAGAGCTTGTGCTTGGCTTGGACCTGGAGAGAAGGGCAGAAATAAGTGATGCCACAGGCAGTGGGAGTCTACATTTATTGAGTTCTTACTATGTGTCAGATACTCTTCTAAATGCATCTTATGAATTAACTAATTTAATCCTCACAATATACCTATGTGCTAGTTACTATTATCATCCTTATTTGATAAGTGAGGAAACTGGGGCCTATAGAGGTTAAGTAATTTAATTTGCCCAAAGTTGCATAGGAATCTGAAAGCAGAGTTTTGAATCCAGGTGATTAGATTACACAGACCCATGTTCTCGACCACCACACCGAATAGAGGAGGGATGTTCTAAATAAAAGTTAGAAAAAACAGAAGATTTTCAAAAGTTGTTAATCTCACAAATTCATTAATGTGTGCTCTTATACAATCGAGGTATATTGTAACTATTAAATTTGCACACCCAAAACATAGTTACACCTTGTGAATATCACTGGGTGTGTCTCAAAAGTTTAGTACTGGACCCTATAGGAAGGTAGAATGTTGCAGAGGAACTAGTGGAGAACAGCTGTGTCTCTGGGTTGGTCCTATGAGAAAATCTCCTTTTTTTGATTCCTCATGAGATGGAGGCAGAAAGTTACCCAAGATAAGTCTTAGCAAAGCCTCCAATTTGTCATATAATAAATGGATATACTTTATAGCCAGTCTTAACACATGTACATATTTATTCAGTTTCTTTTTTTGGTTTCTCAGCAATTTAATAATGGACTTGTTGGCTAATTTCGTTCAGCATTGTGCTAATAAAGTAAAATTGATGGGTTGGGTTTAATTCCCTTTTAGCTCTGGTGGCCATGTATTGCACCCCAACCTTAGCAAACATGAGCTGTTGAGTGACCTCAGAGAAACTGTGTTTGGCTCAGAACAAGTCTATCAACGTTATACAAAAGGTAATGCTTTACATAAAGTGTGTCAGAACTTTTATCTTTGTATTCCGGGACAACACATTAATTTTCACAGAGAACAACACACGTGATTTGTTTAATGTCTACAATAGATCTTTGAGACAATCAGGAATAGATACTTGGAAACTTCAATATCCTATACTTATTCAAATTGACCCTACTATTTATATTACACAGGCATAGTAGTCTTTGACAAACCTCATGATCCAATATATACTCAATTCATCTTGCTTTTATATAGCCAGAAATAACTAAATTAAAAATAAAAATAGGCCAGGATCAGTGGCTCACGCCTGTAATCCTAGCACTTTGGGAGGCCGAGATGGGTGGATCACCTGAGGTCGGGAGTTCGAGACCAGCCTGACCAACATGGAGAAACACCATTTCTGCTAAAAATACAAAAATTAGCCAGGCGTGGTCGCACATGCCTGTAATCCCAGCTACTAGAGAGACTGAGGCAGGAGAATCTCTTGAACCTGGGAGGCAGAGGTTGCAGTGAGCCGAGATCACGCCATTGCACTCCAGCCTGGGCAATAACAGTGAAACTCCATCTCAAAAATACATACATACATACATACATACATACATACATACATACATACATACATAAGTAAATAAATAAAAATAAAAATAGGCCGGCTGTGGTGGCTCACACCTGTAATCCCAGCACTTTGGGAGGCCGAGGCAGGTGAATCACGAAGTCAGGAGATCAAGACCATCCTGGCCAACATGGCGAAACCCCATCTCTACTAAAAATACAAAAATTAGCTGGGTGTGGTGGCATGCACCTGTAGTCCCAGCTACTCAGGAGGCTGAGGTAGGACAATCACTTGAACCCGGGAGGCGGAGGTTGCAGTGAGCCGAGATCATGCCACTATACTCCAGCCTGGGCAACAGAGCGAGACTCTGTCTCAAAATAAACAAACAAACAAAAAATAATAGAATCTTTCATTTTTAAAATTTGTTTGTTTAGAGGCAGGGTCTTGCTCTGTCACCCGGGCTGGAATGCAGTGGTACTATCACAGCTAACCCTAACGTAGAACTCCTGGGCTCAAGCAATCCTCCTACCTAGCCTCCCAAGTAGCTAGGACAAAAGGCATGCACTACCACACCCAGCTAATTCTTTTAAAAAAAACTTTTTTTGCCAGGCGAGGTGCTCATACCTGTAATCCCAGAACTTTGGGAGGCCGAGGCGGGCAGATCACGAGATCAGGAGATTGAGACCATCCTGTCTAACACAGTGAAACCCCGTCTCTACTAAGAATACAAAAAATTAGCCAGGCATGGTGGTGGGCGCCTGTAGTCCCAGCTACTCGGGAGGCTGAGGCAGGAGAATGGTGTGAACCAGGGAGGTGGAGCTTGCAGTGAGCCGAGATTGCGCCACTGCACTCCAACTTGGGCGACAGAGCAGACTCCGTCTCAAAAAAAAACAAAAAAACAAAAAACCTTTTTTTAGGGATAGGGTCTCGCTAGCTTGCTCAAGTTGGTCTCAAACTCCTGGGCTCCAAATATCCTCCCACCGCAGCCTCCCAAAGTGTTGAGATTACAGGCGTGAGCCACCAAGTCCAGCTTACCTCAGTTTCTGATTGCTTATGGAAGAACCCTTACCTAAGGGCAAACTAATGAAAAAAAAAATCAATTCCAACTCAAAAACACATATTTAATATGCCTAAAACAAAGTGATCTGAAACAATGCAATTCATTAAGTGAGAGAAACCTACAGGGTTTCACTTAACAGGTGCTTCTGCTCAGCAAACTAGATCTAAATTTTTAAAATTTTATTTTTTAATTGACACATAATTTTATATATTTATAGGTATATAGTGATGTTTTGATGCAGACAAGGTATAATGATCAGATTAGGGTAATTAACATATTTATCATCTCAAACATTTGTCTTTTTTTCTGTTGGCAACATTCAATGTCCTCCTTCTAGCTATCTGAAACTATGTATTACTGTTAACTATAGTCACCCTACAGTGCTGTAGGACACTAGAAGTTATTCCTCCTATCTAGCTGTAATTTTGTATCCTTTAACAAATCTTTCCCTATTCTCCCTTTCCCCTACCCTTCCCAGCCTCTAGTATCCTCTGTTCTACTTTTTACTTCTGTGAGACGAACTTTTTTTAGCTTCCACATATGAGTGAGAACATGCAGTGTTTAACTTTCTGTTCCTGGCTTATTTCACTTAACATAATGTCCTCTACTTCCATCCATGTTGCTGCAAATGACAGGATATCATTCTTTTTTATGGCTGAATAGTATTCCATTGTGTATATATATATATATACATTACGTTTTCTTTATTCATTCACCTGTTGTTGGACTTGTGGGTTGATTCCATATTTTGGCTATTGTGAATAGTGCTGCAATAAATACGGGGATGCAGATGTCTCTTCGATATACTTTCTTTTGGATAAATGCCCAGTAGTGAGGTTGCTGGATCATATGGTAGTTCTATTTCTAGTTTTTTGAGAAACCTCCATACTGTTCTCCATGGTAGCTCTACTAGTTTACATTCCTGCCAGGATAGAAGAGTTCCCTTTTCTCTGCATCCTCATCAGCATTTGTTATTTTTTTGTCTCTTCATCCTAACTGGGGTGAGATGATACCTCATTGTGGTTTTGACTTGCATTTCCCTGATGCTTAGTGATGTTGAGCATTTTTTCATATATTTCTTGGCCATTTATATGTCTTCTTTTGAGAAATGTCTGTTCAGATAATTTGCCCATTTTTAAACTGGATTGTTTGCTGTTGAGATGTTTGAGTTCCTTGTACATCCTGGTAGATCCAAATTTCTGATGTGATCTGACATCTGACAAAGCCACAACAGTAAAGGAAATGCCTCATAATTATCCAAAGATATTCAGAGGAAAGGAAAAGGATGGTGAAAGTTAATGTTAGCGTGAAAACTTAACAGACCAAGAATGAGGATAAGTAAATCTCCAACTTCAACTGGAAACAGAAATGGCTGAAATTAGGGCAGGAACAAATACAATTTTTAAAAATATTGAGAGACACCAATTTGTAAAGAAAATGTAAAATGTTGATGTCTGGTATTTCAAAGTAGATGTAAAAATCATGCTCTTGGAAAGGGCTGATACTCAAAACTTCTTCAAAGTAAGTTAAATATAAATACTACAGGCATGGGGTGGGGGAAAGGAGAGGAGAAGGAAAAGGCAGAGTTAGTTTAAATTGTGCAAGCTATGGAGGAAGACTGAGTTCTAGCTCTGCTATTTAGTAACTGTGATTTGGGCAGGTGTCTTAATCTCTGCGTCTCAGTGTTCTCATCCATAAAATGGGAATAATAGAATTTACTCATAAAGTTGTTGTTAGCATTTTATTAGCTAATATATAGAGTGCTTATGCAATGCCAGTATATAATAAGGGCACTATATAGCATTATACTTCTAAAAACAATGTATCTAAAGATTAACAACAATGGTAACATTTAATCAGAAAATCAAGAAGAAATCTGACACAGATCTACAATCCCTTATCCAAAATTCTTGGGAACACGTGTTTCTGGATTTAATTTTTTTTATATTTTAGGGTACAATACATTGTATTATCTATATTTTACTTAATGTGTAGCAACCCTTCATCAAACACACTAATGTTTCTACAATGAAATGTATCAGTAGTCACACTAAATGGAATAAATACTTTTTTTTTTTTTGAGACAAGAGTTTCGCTCTGTCACCCAGGCTGGAGTGCAGTGGCAAGATCTCGGCAACCTCCACCTCCCAGGTTCAAGTGATTCTCGTGCCTCAGCCTCCCAAGTAGGTGGGACCACAAGCATGTGCCACCACACCCAGCTAATTTTTGTATTTTTAGGAGAAATGGGATTTCACCATGTTGGCCAGGCTGGTCTCAAACTCCTGGCCTCAAGTGATCCTCCTGCCTTGGCCTCCCAAAGTGCTGGGATTATAGGCGTAAGCCACTGCACCTGGCCCATAAAGGATAATTTTAAATAGATTCATGTCAGTTCAGATTTTGCCACTAAATGAATTAAGAAATTTTTTTGTATTTTGGAATTACAGATAAGGGATTGTGAAGCTGTATCTGTAGAGCCATAAATCTTATGTATTAAATAATAGAATAATCATTAAGGGAAATATACAGCAATAATGATATTAAATGAAAAACTTTTCTGAAAACCTAATGAGTACCCAGAAAACCTAATAAGTTTGTTTTTCACTTAAGAAAAAACAAAAAAATGTATATATAGTTATCATACAGGATGTTACTTGACTTAACACTTGGGTGACTTTTTTGTGACATAAATTGTCCACAATGCCTGCCTGGAACATCTCCCTAAATGTTCCCGTGACTGACTATTTCAGATCTCTGTTCAAATGTTACTTCTTCAGACAGGCTTCCTTGATCACTCTATTTAAAATACTGGGTGAGCGGCATGCATGGACACTTTCACATACAATCACACAGAAACTCTCTTTCCCCTTTCCTATTTTCTTCTTCTTTTTAGCACTTATCACTATCTAGCATTATATTATACATTTGTTTACTGTCTTACATAGACTGGAAACTCTATGACAGCAGACATTTCATTTTGTTCAAGCATCTGGAACAACGTCTGGTAAACAGACATTTGATAAATATTGTTCAAAACATGACCCAAGAAAATAAGGCTGACTGAAAAACAACAAAGAATTCCAAGAACTAGTCCTGACATAGCAGGCCATACCTACTTTCCAGAAATTCAAGGCCAGAAAAAAAAGAGCCATCTAAACACCAACTGTAATATGTTTATGTAAGGTGTCTATTTTTATAGTAATATAAAAAAACTCTTCATCATAAACATACTTAAGTAAATATTTATTTCCGATCTAGGAAATATAAGCTAATCATTACATTTACTTTATCTTAAATTTTATTTTTTATTGATACAAAATACTTGTACATATTTTGGGGATACATGTAATAATTTAATACATTCATATAATTTGTAAAGATCAAATCAGTGTAATTGGGATATCTATCATCTTAAATTTTTGTCTTACGTTATTTCAATTATTCTCTTTTAGCTATTTTGAACCATACAATAGGTTATTATAAACTATAGTCACCCTACTGATTTATCATTATCAAACTGTATATTTCTATCCATCAATCAACCTCTCTTCATCCCTCCTCTCCTCTCCCCTTCTCAACCTCTGGTAACCACCAATCTACTCTCTGTCTTCATGAGGTCAGTGCTGGGATTACTTGCATGAGCCACTGTGCCCCGCCAGGATTTCATTCTTTTTTATGGCTGAATAATATTCCATTGCATATCAATCACATTTTCTTTAACCATTCATCCACTGATGGGCACTTAGGTTGATTCCATATTTTGGCTATTTCAACAGGACTTCAATAAACATGAGAATGCAGCTATCTCTTTAATATGTTGATTTCCTTTCTTTTGAATATATACCCACTAGTGTAATTGCTGGATCACATGGTAGTTCTACTTTGTTTTCGGAGGCACTTCCATACAGTTTTCCATAGTGGCTGTACTAATTTACATTCTCATTGACAGTGTACGAGGGTTCCCCATTCTCCACATCCTTCCACCAGTATTCATTATTCCCTATCTTTTTGATAAAAGCCATTTTAACTGGGATGAGATGGTATCTCATTGTGCTTACATTTACATTTTATAATTAATTTTGAGTATTTAAGTAGACAAGAAAAAGTATGCTCAAAATATAAAAATGATTACTATAACACAAAATATTAAAGAAATAACTGACTTTATATTTTTCACTTGGAGTATTGTCTTGATTTCTTCCCCTGACACATTTTAATCACCACAGAAAGAAATCCCACCGATCTTCTTCATCTAATTGCAAAGTGCTACTGCATTAGGTTATAAAAATGGCCTGGATTAGCTTCAGAAGGCACTGGTGTCTGGTTGTATGTAAGCAAGCAGAGGAGTTTTAGAGCTACCACAAAATATGCAACAAAGTTCAATAGTGCTATCCAGTTCAGATAGATCCACTCTTTGGAAAAGCCCAGCTTTCTTCTCCATCTCTAAGTTCATCCACATGTTAGTTCTGACATCTGAATTACGTTTAAAAACAAGGAAAGAAAATAAAGGTGCAAATAAGAATTTAGGTCACACTCTTTGTAAAAGTATCAAGAATAACTACCATTTTCAAATTGTCATACTTGTAGCCTACAAATTTACATTTTGCTGATTATGGTAAATGTAAGACAACAGTATCATTTCAACATCTGTTACTTTTACTTTGGTATTTTATTCTTGCCATTACTCTTAAATGATAAAGAAAAATATGCTTCAATAGTACTTAATCAATGACTTTCAAACTGTTATCCCACATTCTATAAGGATTTTCTGTAAGAATTACTTGAAAAAAATAATGGAAATTGAGATTGTATACATTTTCTATTGGAAGAGGAACCCTTGGAATAAAACAAATTAGCACACACATCTGGCTCAGGTGCTGTTAACCAATGATTCCAGAATGGGAGGAGATGGGTTAAAAAGATGAAGCCAGACAACTGATACTAAAAAAGATCAGAGACTCATAGTTACATAAAATTTGACAAATGAGATCAAGTTTAAATAATTACTGGTCCCTTTGCTCTCAAGTTATTGTTTAGTGAGTTTCATCTGGATAAACACATTTTGGTGGTGGTGTAGTTAGGAGGATGAGGAATGATTTTCCCCAGCTTTATACCCTCAACAGAGAGGGTTCTGCTTACCTGCTTATGAAAACCAATTCGATACCATGTTAGCCTTTAAGGAGTAAACTAAAGGATTCACTTTAATAACTCCAGTATCAACAAAGAAAAAGCTGTCCTTGCTTAAACCAAAAATTCAAGATTGCTACTATATAGTATGTTTCAGTGCACATATCAAGTCTACAAGTCTCACACTTCTGACCCTTGTCTTCAAGTCCCTAAACTGGAATAAAACTAGATAAATGCCTGAGGAACCACTTCACACCCTAAACACGTGCAAACTTTGTTCAACAGAACATTTTACTGCCAAAATGGAGTTGGCAGAAGTTTGGAGCAAAGGCCCCCAGGCTGCATGATTTGTTGGCACCAGACAGCTTAAAAATCTTAACATAATACTGCAGAGTTTGAGTACTACCAATTTGCTTGAGACTCCTCCTCCAAGTTTGACTTGAGATAGATGGAAGACGCCATAAAGAAAGACTATTAACACTTCATCCTCTATCCAGAAATGCTTTTATTTCTCACTCCTGATTGTCATACCTCTATATTCCTTGGTGGTTGTATTTACACGGTAAATCAAATGGAGTCTATTTTGAAATGCATATAAATTCAATTGTATTGTGTTGCTTGGATAAAGGGACACAGGGAGAACTACTATAAATACATAAAATTAATTATGACAAAGTTCTACTTAGAAAACACTTGATCCAAATAACCCCCATATATCACAATTTTTTACCCTAAAAATGTGGGAGAAATTAAGATACAGAATTACCTGTAAATTGCTACCATTTTACATTTGGTTCAGCTTGTCTTCTCACTTCTGTAAGTCTGAATGACGGTAGTTTATCTTGTATGTGAACAATTTAGGAAAGCCAGGAAAGAAGCCAAGTAGAGTTCTCTTCAACAAGGGTCAACAATAAAGTCTTGGAAATCTTCATAAGCTTGATGCTGTTAATTAGGAAAAACTGCATCGGAATTTTTAAATTACAGTTGAGTACAAGCAACTATATAACTAGCAACTTCGAACCTGTAAATGCTTGATAAATATGCAGTACTGAGAAAGGATGGTTTGCTTTGGAAGGTTATCTTGTCCTATGTTTCAATAAAAGACAAGGTTTAAAGAGATGCTACTTGCTCCTCATACACCTAAAAAACTTTTTTCTTGAAACTTTCTAATGTTTTCCCTCCGTAGCTCCATGTATTTTATTAATGTGTCTGATAGCCTTTGTTTTTCCTCCTCTAGAACCTCCAAGTTTTCTAATTCTCAGCTATGATTTTAGATCATTAAATCACCAGTTTCTAATCTCCACAATACAGTTGGAAACATTTAGGACAGAATATCCTTTAGGATATTAAGATGCAGAAGACTGTACTTCGAAGGATATTTATATAGTAGTGCTGCCACCTAAAGATGAGGTGAATATAAAGAAGCAATTCAAAGGAAATGACCCATCACCCTTAAGCCAGTCTCATTTTCTCACCTCCAGCTAGGAATTAATAAGCGTGTTGCTGTTGTTGTTGTCATTAACAGGGAAGTTGAACTGTTTCGCAATCACTTATTTCTGAGCTTTAATCCTCTGTGCCAGATAATTTCAGACTCAAACCTTTTCTAGTCCTCTGCGATTCTTCTCAGCCATCAGGCACTGCCTACAATACGTAAGAGGCAGCAAAAGATACTTGGAAAAAAACAATTGAGAGATTTCTGGTTTAGTGAATAAAGCAGGCAATAATAGACCTTAGAGTTTTCCCTTTATCAGTGATAGACTCCTCACAATGCTGAACAACTGACTTACATTTTGATAACTAAATTTTCATCTGTAAAATGGGAGTAATTATACCTTAGTCCTACTTGCCTCGCAGGCTCAACTAGATATGCTTCTGGGAAAGATTCTCTAACAAGTGAGTTTAAAAGTCTACCACTGCCTAACAAAGAGGGATTTTGTGGTATATTTGCAAAGTAACTTCAAAACAAAATAGTTAAATAGGTTGAGGCAATGATTAAGTTTTCCTAAATCACAGTTTGACTTCTCGGAGGTCTATTTAAATAATGATAAAGATGATAAATGCAGTTTTTATTTTGCTGCAGTTATTAGCTGATCCACGTTCCATCTACGTATTCAGTGTTGCAGGATGGAGACGTGACAGCGTAGAAAGCGAGCAAAAGCGTTACCGTGCACCAAAAATCTTGTCAAACTTGATACGATTTCAAGAAGACTGTCTTAAAGGACATTTTATAATTTCACATTTAGCCCTTGCATAGCATTTTATGAAAATTAACTTTTACCCTTTCCCCCTCGGCCCAAGGAAGTCGCATTCCCTCAAAGGGGCCCGGCTTCAACATATTACACTGCGTGGGAGGCTGGGCAGCAACCCCACGCTTCCTGTCAAGGATTCCTGGGGCCAGAGCCTGAAAAGTGCTCTAGCCACTCTTCTCTATGCTAATTCTGTCCTTCCGACCCCTCTTGGCGGGTGTCTGAGGGCCAAGGTGAGACTTTCCCCGGAGATGAAAGGCCTATTGCCTCTTCAGAGACCCGGGCGGAGTTGGGGCGGGGGTGCCGCGTGATAGGGTGGTAGCAGAAGTCGCAACGACGCACAGGGCCCTAAGTTGGAGCTGGCGCAGGCCCTTCAGGGTTCTATCCCCGCCAGAGCCTGGCTTCGGCCTTCAGAAGCCAAACGAGTAATAGGTCCTTCTGGGGCGCTGTGGGCGGTGGGTGGAGGAAGTGTGGGCGGAGAGGCCACAGACATCCCCCTCCTCAGACGCGCCCCAAGGCCTGGCCCGCGGAATGTTGACGCGCCAGGAGCCGATAGGGCGCGCTCACGCGCGAGAAGGGGGCGGAAAGAGCGCGCTCGGCGGCCGCCGCGGCGGCAGCTAAAACGGAGGGACGCGAGAGCGAAGGGCGCGAGCCACGGAGTTGGGAGGAGGGGTGGGGAACGCGGAGCGCGCGCTGACGTCGCCTGGAGTCACGCACGGAGCGCCGGGTTACGCGCCGACGTCTGGCTGCCACGACTTGCCGTCTGCGGCGGCGGCGGCGGCGGCGAGCGGATCCCGCAGGGGAAGGAGGAGGAGGAGGGAGAGCCAAGGGGGCTGTGAGTGAGCGGGAGAAGCAGGGTGTGAGCCGGACTTGCCCATGGGAGGGAGAGCGAGCGAGAGCCGAGCCAGCCATCCGAGCCGCCTCCTCCTCCTCCCCTCGGCGTCCCGCCCCCGCCCGCCAGCCCGCCCTCCTTCCTCCTCAGCCCGCAGAGCCTAAGTGAGGCGCAGCTCGGCTAGCGCCGCTGTCCAGGACAGGTGTGCGCGCGCGCGCCCTCCTCCCCTCCCCCCTTCCTCGCGCCTGTCTCGCGCGCGCCCTCCCTCCCGCCAGCCTGCGCCCTCCCTCACCTGCGGCAGGACAGCGCCCGCCCGCCCGGGTAAGCCCCTCGCGACCTTCCCTGCTGCCACTGCCACAGCTCCAGGTGACGCTCGCCCCGTCCCCTTTACTTGCTCTCTCAGCCCAGGAATAATTATAGTACCATTGCAGACATCCCCGCACCCTCCCTCTTGGAGACCCAGGCGGTGCAGCAACGTTCTCTCCCACCCCCCGCAGCGAGAAACGAATGAACCCCCTCCTACTTTCAAAAGAGAACAAAATAACACGCCCCTTAAGAAAAGAGGCGATCCTACCTCCGCAGGCGCTGGAGACCACCAGTGATGCGTTTGCTTAGCAATCCCTGAGCCCCATTTCCCCTGGCCGCCTTCGCCCTGGGGCCTGGGACTGTGCGCTAGACGTGGCTGACACTCCCTGCACGGCAACCCTGGAAGGAGGGAGAGGAAGGAGAGTTCTATAACCCAGGCTTCACTGCCAACCCCTCCTCTGTTCGGTTCCCCCCACCCCACTACCACCAAATGCATACACCCGCCCAGGATGCGTTGTAAAAACAAAACAAAACCAGGAAAAAAAAAAAAAAAACCTTTGGTGCTGACATCGCAGATGAAGCCGGGCCCAAAGATGGGTGGCCCGAACAAGGCATTTTTACTGCCCCACAGCGCTGGGTCAGCTCCACAGCTCCTCTGCCTTTGTCCGAGGGCAAAAGGAACGGATGTGAAGCTGAGGGGTCTTCTCTGTGAGCGGCGGTGGGCCCCGGAGGCGGGCTGTGATGTTTGTAGGGGAAGGCACCCAACCAATATATCTGCCATAAACCTGAACTTGGGTTGGAGAGCCCCCAGAGACTGGCTGGGGTAACTGGTTCGTAGCTGTCTACCCCGGAATAAATGCCACCTTCTTTTCCGCGGTGTCTGCGGGACCCTCTGTTGGGGGTTCTAATTCGTTTTGGCCTGGGCTCCTTACATTTCTGTCCGGCCAGGCGCTTTTGGACAGCTTTTCGCAGCGGTGTCTAAGCTTGTGTTCGGTGTCCTTGGAAGGGAGGTCCCAGAGCTTTACAATAGGCTGGATTTGGTTTGACATCTTTTGGTGGACTGTCAAAGGGGAAAGGAAATTTTTGGATTACTTCAAGATCCCCCACCGCCCCCGCCCAACTGACGTTTGCGAATTGCGGCTTTGGAAATTGGAGTGTTGACTAGAGTGTGGAGAGAGAGTTGCTGATTTCATTGCTTTGAGTACTAGTAAAACCATTTAAGTATCAGCCGGAAGGGAGACAGCTATTGACATTTACATCGGTTCTGTTTGGACCTTTGGGGTACATAAAATGTCGGGTTCTCTGAATTTTTTATCGAATTTAGAATGTCTGCTACATTTATTTAACTTCTGCAAATGCTTAAAATGAAAACATTTTGGAAATGCGAGGATTTTTATCAAGTGGATTGTTCTCTTCATATATTAAATGTTTACTTCATATCTTTAATCCGAAACATTAAAATAGCATTGAAGAGGCATGATTTTCAAGATTAAGTGAGCTATGGAAAAGGAATACGCTTTTAAAGAACGATCTGGGAAATGCTGTTACTATTAGTCATTGTTGTTGTTAAATGTTAAGATTTATTTGAGAGTTTCTCAATTTTTTTGGTAGACAGTCATGAGAAGAAATGGCTAATTCCTCCACTTTGAACATTTACAGTACAACATCCCAGTTAGTTTTAATGATTTGGGTATTGAAGATAGTTGTCTGGTTTAAGACTGGTATTTAATCTAAGTATCACTTGAAAACACAAGCTCTAATGTTCTTTATTTTGGAAATTTGTGATTTTGTAAAATATTAATCAACATATTGTTTCTATTAGGAACTCTATAATCAGAAGGGTTTACTACCCAGAGGTAGACAACCTCTTTCCAAGTCTATTTTATAAATGTGTGTTGATTTTTACTTTATAAAACCAAAACTGAATTAGATTATTTCAGAATCACCTGTAGTCAGGCTGAAGAAAATTAAAGCTTTTTTCTTTTTTGTTCTGCCTAATGTGTATTTCTTTGCGCACAATTTTTTGTTGGTAAGAGTTTGTTAAATACATAGAGACAGTGGGATTAAAAATAAAGCAGTCTCTATTCTCTTTAAAATGTGTCTGTTGTATTAATAATAAAAGGGCTCAAGAAATCTAGAGACATTATGTCTTTGTAAGCATATTGTGAGGAGAAAGGAAATGTTTACTTTTTGATGTTTTTCATTAACATGGATTTTTGCTGCATATTAATTTGCTGTATATTTCGTTTTCCCTTTGTCTTTCCTACATTCTAATGAAATTATACATTTAGTTTTACAACTATTTGTTTTACATTAACAAATTCAAACAGCTGGATACTAGAACAGACTTCATTCACCAAGTTAGTATATTGTTTAGATTATTAACAAATGGTTAGAAGTCTTAAAATCCACTTATTTTCTAATGACTTTTCAGTGTTACAATGCAAATATAACTGTGAAGTTTTATTTAAAGTTTAAACTTTTTGTTTTAAGACTTCTGGAAGTTTATATTCATTTCTCCCAGATTGCCTTTTAAGGCTACTGTACACTATAGCCCAAAGAAAGCTGCCTTTCACCTCCTTAGTCTGAGAAAAAGCCCACACTTAAAGGCTTATTCTGAAATTAACTCTCGTTTCAGTAGTGAAAATATGCTAAAAATCCTATTTATCATTGAATTATTTTGGAAAGGCATTGTTAATCTTGTTTGCTTTTTAGATACACATATAAAGTAGAGAAGCTGGCAAATAAGGGCAAAAGTTTTATACATATATAATGAATAGCATAAAACAAGTACATATTTATGTGGAGAGATCTAGGTCCCAGTAATTTGCTGATTTGACCTTAAAATTCCCAGTTTAAGTGTACAAATGAGATTCAACTTGTGTTCTGTCTGGAAACTTCATCAGTTGCCTCTGCGCTGGGTAACTAAGAAGTCAGTTCTTGGTGGCAGTCACTTTTTCAGAAAAACAGGGCACTTCCAAACTCAAATCATTCGGAATCCCTGTATATAGACGTCTAGGACGGAGGGCAAGAAAATTTAGACTGCAAGTCGGGATAGGAAGGCGGGAAGTTGGGATACGAAGGCGGGAAGTTGGGATAGGAAGGCGGGGCAGTTTCGAGTCTTAGTCTTCTGTCCTGGGGGCAGCAATCAGCACGGAAGAAAGGCAGGGACTGGCAGGGGGGGTGGGTGGGGCCCTCATCGTATTCTCATTGGCCTTGTTGCTGCCTTGAGTTTTCATTAGGGAGCAGGGGCTTGGTTTGACGCAAGGTAAACTCTTGAGGAAGAGCAGCAGCCCTTCTAGATCGGATTGTACCAGATCTTAGCCTCAGTTTACAAGTGAAACATAATGTCCCACTCCATTCTCTGTGGAGAGCCTGCTACTGAGCCTTTTTGTCCCTGGAGGCGCTGGGGTCTATCCAGAGTCCTGATTGCTACTGTTCGAGCCTGGAGGAGTTACTGCTTCTTCACACGTGTATTTCTGTGCAGTTCAAAGTGCTTCAAAAGTTCCTGTGTCCCCTTCTCAATAGACTTTGGGACAGGGGAAGGAGTGCAGAAAAAATCAACACGGAAAGAGTACTACAGGGTACTAGAGGTTGCCTCCCAAATAAGGGGAAGTTCTTTATGGGGCCCAAAGTCTGGGTTTTTATCTCTTGGTGTGGAGCCTTCCCTTCAGAGAGCCATTTCAGGGACCACTGGACATAGGTGGGTGGTTCTGAGACGGGTGCACAGGACAGCGCCTGTTTGCTCCTTGGTGGCCAGGTGCTTCTTGTTTCTTTTCAGTAGGAAGTCGCAAACTTCAGCCCAGGGCTGAAGTAGCTAATGCTGAGTAGAATGGGGCTCTTTCTAAGAGAAAAAGGAAGCTGTGAATACCTAGCAGGCAAGTTTGTTCAGGAGGTGAAGAGATATGGTAAGGGGGGCTTTGAGGGTTCAGGAATCAGCAAGGCTTATTCCCTAGCCTGCTCTTGGTTTCTTGATCGTTAGTCCACTCTTTTCTAGGAAGCTGGGCAATCATATTCCCAGTTGTCCCTCGGGCTAAGAGTGAGGGAGGCAAGTCTCCTTACTTTTGGGGGAAGCGGGAGATGCTCAATGGGAATAGAACCCACAAATGGAATAGGTATACTTTTCTCAGGATAGAGGCAACGATCTGTGCTTGAGAAAGCCAGGGGCAGAGCTGTGTGATCTGTGTCTCTCAGCTGCCTGTAGAAGGTGATGGGGGAGAGAGTGGGCGCATTGGCAGGGGGGGGTCCCCTGGAGATAGGCCTTAGCTTTCCCCAGAGTGCCAGGGCTGCAGACTGCAGTGAGAGAGTACAAGCACTCAATACCTATCTGGAAATAAGCCCTAGGTTATACGTCAGGTCTAGTAAAAGAGAAATCAGGTATCTCTGAGCTCCTCTACTCCTGAGCCCCTAATACCAGAGAAGATCCTTTTTAGCTATCACCGTCCAAAGACTCACTGGTTAATTAATGGTCAGCAACTTAGCTGTCTGCATAAAAACCAGCGACCACTTAATATGTTACTTTTGGGAGTGGGATCTCTCCTTGACACAAGTTTCTGGGAAGAGTAAAAGGGGCAAGCGAACCTGCTTTAATGAATCCCGTAAGGAACTGCGTTTCCCAGGAAATTCCTGACATTTTTAGCTCATGAATTTCCGAAAGCCTGCTTGGTTTTCTCCTCCATTCTGGGTCCTTCCAGAAAGGAAGAAGAGTGGGCTAGGGTCTGAATGCTCACAGGGCCTGGTTCATCCGCAGAGCTGGCCAGCAACTCAGGCTGGGCTCAGCCCTGAGCAGGGTGCCCCCCTTCCCCAAATCTCAGAAGGAGGAGGGGGAGGCGGGCGGGCAGGCAGTCAGTCGTGGTCCCAAGGGGGACTGGCTGCAGGTTTTTGGGTGAGTGTGGAGTTTCTTTTTGATTGTTGCATGTGGGGAAGGGCAGAGTCGACGGGAACAGTCACTGCGGGCACCCTAGCCCTGGTGCGTCTACTGTCCTCTGCTCGGCTCCCCCCATCGGTGAGTGCGCCCGCCCGCCCGACTGTGCGGGGCTGCGGTTGGGGGGAGGGGGGAGCGGGATCATCTGAGGCCAGAGCCACTGCCGTGTGTGCGGGGAGGGGGAGCGGCGGGAGAGAGAGGGGAGGGACAGGCTAGGTGTCTGCTGCTCCACGCCACTGCTGCCGGCGCCCCGACCTCATCCCCAGCAGCCCCCTCTGCAGCTAAGGGTTACCACCGCACCACCTCTCTTCTTTGCCTGCCTCAGCGGCCAAGGCTCTGCGGTAGGAGACAACCCAGCCGGGTGGCGGGTGGGCCTGTCTAGGTTTGGGTTTGGGTCTTGCTGAGGCCCGCATGAGAGGGGGTGGCCGTGACTCGGTGTCCCCTCTTTGCAGGGGGCTCTGCTGCGCCGCGCAGGCCCCTCCTCCTACATCCTCTTTGGGGGGTCACTGGAAAGCAGAGCTTAGGCCCACTCTCTGTGCTTAGTATGGCAGACTCCTTCTCACCCCTAGTCCCCTAACTCCCCAGGCCGAGGCCGCCTAGGGTCTGCCCAACAGCGACAGCCACGGTGGTGGTGGTGGTGGTGGTGGTGGTAGCAGTGGTGGCGGCAGCAGCGGCAGCAGCAGCTGCGACGCTGCGCGTCCTGCTCCCTCTCCCCCACCCAGCCAGGGTTGTAGGGTGAGGGCCGGTGGGTGGGCGCCGCCTGGCGGGCGGGCGGACGGGGGGCTGGCAGCGGGGAGGGGGCGCAGGTCACGTGCCGGCGGGCGGGTGGGCGCGTACAGTAGGGCGCCCTGCTACTGTACTGGGGAGTCAGTGCCCTGTTACCGGGTCTCGTCTGTCTCGTCTCTCCCGCAGATCTCGCGAGAGTGGCTGACTGGCTGTGGGGGTTGCGGCGGCAGCAGGCGGAGCCGGGGAGGGAAAGCAGCGGCGGCTGAGGCGACTGAGGCGGCGGGCGGAGCGGCAGGCGGCGGCGGCGCGGCAGCGGAGCGCAGCATCATGGCGGACCGAGACAGCGGCAGCGAGCAGGGTGGTGCGGCGCTGGGTTCGGGCGGCTCCCTGGGGCACCCCGGCTCGGGCTCAGGCTCCGGCGGGGGCGGTGGTGGCGGCGGGGGCGGCGGCGGCAGTGGCGGCGGCGGCGGCGGGGCCCCAGGGGGGCTGCAGCACGAGACGCAGGAGCTGGCCTCCAAGCGGGTGGACATCCAGAACAAGCGCTTCTACCTGGACGTGAAGCAGAACGCCAAGGGCCGCTTCCTGAAGATCGCCGAGGTGGGCGCGGGCGGCAACAAGAGCCGCCTTACTCTCTCCATGTCAGTGGCCGTGGAGTTCCGCGACTACCTGGGCGACTTCATCGAGCACTACGCGCAGCTGGGCCCCAGCCAGCCGCCGGACCTGGCCCAGGCGCAGGACGAGCCGCGCCGGGCGCTCAAAAGCGAGTTCCTGGTGCGCGAGAACCGCAAGTACTACATGGATCTCAAGGAGAACCAGCGCGGCCGCTTCCTGCGCATCCGCCAGACGGTCAACCGGGGGCCTGGCCTGGGCTCCACGCAGGGCCAGACCATTGCGCTGCCCGCGCAGGGGCTCATCGAGTTCCGTGACGCTCTGGCCAAGCTCATCGACGACTACGGAGTGGAGGAGGAGCCGGCCGAGCTGCCCGAGGGCACCTCCTTGACTGTGGACAACAAGCGCTTCTTCTTCGATGTGGGCTCCAACAAGTACGGCGTGTTTATGCGAGTGAGCGAGGTGAAGCCCACCTATCGCAACTCCATCACCGTGCCCTACAAGGTGTGGGCCAAGTTCGGACACACCTTCTGCAAGTACTCGGAGGAGATGAAGAAGATTCAAGAGAAGCAGAGGGAGAAGCGGGCTGCCTGTGAGCAGCTTCACCAGCAGCAACAGCAGCAGCAGGAGGAGACCGCCGCTGCCACCCTGCTACTGCAGGGTGAGGAAGAAGGGGAAGAAGATTGATCAAACTGAATGAAACCCCCACACACACACACATGCATACACACACACACACAGCCACACACACAGAAAATATACTGTAAAGAAAGAGAGAAAATAAAAAGTTAAAAAGTTAAAAAAAAAAAAAAACCTGTTAACTCCAAGGGAGCACCACCCACAGAACCTCCACCAACTGACAGTTTCTCTTCTTGACTTGCCACCCATCGCTGGATGTTGTCCACTTTATCCACCATATAAAACAGTAAGCAGCTGCTAAAAACAAAAAAAATACAAAAAGTAATAACATTATATGAACTGTGTTTCCTACTTGATTAAAAAATATAAAGAACTGAGTGTTTATTTCCCTAATTAACCAAGAACTTTTGTACACGTTTAAGCTATTATTATTAAAAAGTGTTTGCAAAATGGTCAAGATTATAATATTGCTGAATTATATAAAAGTCCTTTTCATGTTGAGCTAACATTTGACTTTAGCACAAAAAAGAGATATTTTAGAACACGTAAAATAATATTTTTAGTTTTTCTCATTTTGTTACCAAATTTCAAACCTTACATGGAGGTTATTATAGTATATTTGACACCCTATATACCTGTGATTAGAGATGTGTATATATATGAGGGCTAGGCATGCTGTGTGTCTGAGCTTTGTCTAAATGTTATGCAGAAGTTTGTAGAGTTAAAGGTACGTAGGTTTAATTCATGCAAGGTAAACAATAAGTGCTCTCTTTTATACAATATGCATTGCATCTGGACCTTAAACTTATAAAAATGGTCAGTGAAACTTCTGTGAACATGAAGAAATTATTAAAAAAGGCATTTAAATGAAATTTGCTAAGTTGTGATTTTTATGGTTGGAACCAAAGTTATTCAAATAGTAAAAGGAAAAAGAAAGAAAAAGGAGATCTCCCATAATATTTTTCTGCATCTGTTTGCTTTGACTGAGTAGGCGTTTTGTCATTATTGTGTATATGAGATGTACTTGTATCGTTCATAATATATTTTTTTTATTATGTGTAGAAAGATTTTAAAAAACTAACGTGCAGCAATTTCCAGTGAACCTGTACTTGGACATCAGGTAGTGAGTCTATTTGTGGTCACTAGCACTGTCTCCTAAACTTGTAAGAGGTCTGAAGCTATTCTTTGATTTTTGCTAGTGCTATTAACTTATGTAGACCTGTTAAAAAGCAGAGCAACACAATTATAGTTATCCTACTGAGCCATGGATTCTGAGTTTTGTTTTAAAAGTGAAAGCCAAGTTGGTGTATGTAAAGGATTTCCATGTAGCTGTGGTGCTAGTTATTACTGGCTACATTATATGCTAAGTGTATTTGTGTTCCCCAAGTGTACAAGCCTTCTATCAAAAGTATGTTCTATAACTCATATATTCAAGGTGTAGGGTATGAAAATGCAAAGTTTAGGAGAGCACTTTACCAAGCTGGTGTCCTCCAAACTGAAATTGTTTGTAACGATAGTCTTTTACAGGTTTTCCTTTAAAGATGTTTGTGTGCTTTTAATTGACAACTAACTTCTTGCTGCTGTATAGTAAAATATTAATATATTTTTATCATTAAACTGCTGCATGACTATCATCTTTGAGTGAAGAGAAAATGTTATAAAAAAGATGCCTTAAACAGTACATTTTGGTTTGGAATTCTGTAGAAAGTATTTTGGTAAAAAAAAAAAAAAAAAAAAAGGGTCTTGTCTGACAGAGAGTTCTGGGGATGGAATTGTTTCTTGGCAAATCCAGCCATATAGATCTAACTGCTGTATGTATAAGACACCACCTGTAGGAGCGGGAAGGTATCAGTGCTTCTTATATTGTAAAGCATTGGCCTAGGAAGGCAAACAGTTGTCTTTTTGAAGGATTTTTTTCTGCTGGTCCTTTGGGTTTTGATTTGATATTTTTATGCTCCCTGGTTGAGTGTGTTGTCTTCGTTTTTGAGATCTACTGTATGTGTTGAATAACAAGCTATTTTCATTGTACTGTGCATTTTCCCATTAAATTGTTTGCTTTTAATATTCAATGTTAAATATGAGGTGACCGTACAGTAGTTAGGAGTTTCTTTACTTACAAAATCACTGGAAATGATTAAATTGCTTTTCCCCCTCCCCAGAGGTGCATTTTTCTTATTTCCATATAGTAAAGTTGAGCTTTTACAGTGCATAATGTGACATTTGGAATGCTTATCAACTGCATGTAAACATTAATAACCTGCACTTTTTTGTCTTAAGGTTTGTTGAGCTGTTTTGTTCACTGTACTTTAACTGTGATATGGAAAAGACTGCATTCTCTGTGCTGTTACTAATTAGGAAAGAGAATTGCTTTGATTTTGTCTCTTGTTTACTATAGCTTCTTAAAGTTAAGCCTTGTACTACAGGTTGTTGGAGTACTCCTAGATCACTGTTTCATAGTAGCCAGCAATAAGTAGTGCAAGTCAACAAAAACACAGCAAACTTAGGCAAAGTGTCCTTTCTTTGAGATGCGAGTTCTTTCATGAGGTTTTCTTTAGGGCCAGAGTTACCTAAAGTGAAGCCTTTCTTATCTATAGACTTCAGATTCTGCTTGGAATCCCACCGGCTCAAGAAGCACATGTATTGTGCAATTAATTGTCTTTACACTAAAACAGTTTAATACAATCTAACTACGATTTTGAAACCAGTGTCTGATTTATGGTCAGTGGGTTTAAAAAGAAATCCACATGCAGATCTTTTAAGACTTAAAAAGTGATCATAGAAAAGACTAAGTGACTGTAAAGATGCTCTTTTTTTAAGCATCTCACTTTACCTCCCCAAGCACCCTCCCAAACCTTGTCTTCCCTCTTCTGTTGCATCCTTTCCCTACCCTTCCCTCCCAGGTGCTCGGTACTTTACCTAGTTTCTATATATCAGTGTTTTATGTTGGAATTTTTCCTTGTTTTTATTTTACTAGTTGGTAAACCCTGTTTATGCTGAAACAAATAAGGAAATGGTATATTTGACCATATGTGTTATTCATAGAAGACAGTATGATCAAATGTGCCAAAAACAAGCAAACAAAACTTAATTCCTGAGAAGTATGCCTTATTTTTATTGATCTGCTTTGTCTTACAATTAAGGTCCAAGAGCTTGGTTAAACTGTATTATTTGCCTAAGTATAAAAGAAAACTTGAACTGCATTGCAATATTGACGTTCTTTAAAATGAGAGACACTGTCAAGTAATTTAATCCAGAGATCAGCCACCAGATTTGAAATGCTTATGTATGTGTGTGTGTTTGGAGTTGTTTTTTTCTTTTAAATCACCAAATTTTTTTTAAGCTACTTTTTATTTGTGCCTCCTATTTATCATGCTGATGTTAGAAGCAGCAGTCATCCAGCCACAGAGGGAGCTAAAGTTAACTAACCAGAACTGTAGAAATCATTATACATGCCTTTGACAACAAAGGAAGTTCATAAGAAAAGCCATGTCGGCTTTTCCTCTACTAGATACAGATTGGAGGTAGATGAATATTTGCCAAATGGAAAAAAAGACAATGCTAGTCAGAAAAGACAAACTGTTTTCCAGCTTCTCAAAAAGCCATGGAGAGTAGAAACCAAAACCAACAGGGAAATAAAAAACCTTGAAAGTCTCACTTTCTAGTTGTCCCATGCAGGGGTTGAAATTTGATTCCAAGCGGAAAGTATATTATGTTTTTTCAGGCCTTCACATCTAGAGAGATGGATAACTTCCAATTTGATTTTTCAGGTAATAGAGAAAGCTGCTAGTAATTTTAACCCCTGCCTAAAGAAGACATATACTTCATTTGGGAGCAAATACTTATTGCCTTGAAAAGTAGCACTGTAATAGCCTATGATAATTAGTTGTAGAATAACCTTTATCCCTTTCAAACTATGCAAATTATTAAATAAGTGTAAATTAGGATTCAATTAAAGATAGTTGATTATATTGCAATCAGATGGCATTCACAAACTTAACTGGAGCATATACAAATATATTAGTCTAAGTTTTGTATGCTAACAGAAAGATATAATTTAGCTACCTATTCTAAAAATGGTGAATATTATTAATATTGTATAATAGGAGTGGGAAGACTGCCTCCTTTTTTGAAGAGAGAGATTAAGGATTTTTATAATTGTTTTTCATCAAATTTTAATATTTTTGTCAAATTTTTAGGTATTTAATTTGTAAAACAGTTTGCTTTGTACTGGCATACAGAAAATAGGGTATTGATTTTAAACTTTTTGAAGCCAAGTGATCAAGTACATTTGTAATAAAAGTCAATGGATCTATATCAGTTGTACTCACTGTTTTCATTTCTTATTAATATAGGGATGCTGTACTTTTTCTTAAGGAAAACTGAATTAAATTTGGGTGGAAGGGAGGGGGAAAAGATAAATCCGTTGATAATGAGAATCTGGGTGGGTATCATGGCCCAAGCACTTTATATCATTTTTTAAGTCAGTTAAGATTTGATATATTTTAAAAGATACTATGTCAACTTTTTTCTTCCTATTTTCTTATGTAACTTGACGTTTGGGGGGATTATCTCATTCATTTTTGTTTGTGTGCTTTTAACATTTTGTGTTTTGGCCCTGTTCAAACTTTCTAAACACATTTTTCTTTTATGACATTTTGGGTTATCTGCTAGACCTGGTGACCCCACCATATGGGCATGATTATTTTTATCTTCCACACATGGTTCACCTTCTTGTCTACAATATTCCCACTCATTTTTTCAGGTTATATATACACACACATTTCCAGATAATTTTAGAATGGGGCTATCTGAAATTGATGGTCTAGTAGCTTTCATAGCTCCACAATTCATTTTATTTTACATGTGAACATAATTTTAAGATTTTCTTCACCATAAAAAGTGAGATACCAAGTCTAATGACTTTTTTCCCTTTTTAAAATCTTTTGAGTATCAGAATGAGACCTTGCTATCTATGTAAAAGGATGCTAAAACAAGGGCATCTGTAGCAACTTAGGTTTGGAATAGTTGGTGATGACTCTGAGTATAACATTTATAGTTTATTATCCCTAAATTTGAATATCTTCATAATTTGGAGAGAGATGTATACACACACATACACATATATATGTATATATACATTGTGTGTGTGTATATGTATATAGATACACACATCTCCTTGAGAGTGGAATAAGTAGGAGAGATAATTTATTGGAATTGCTTACATAGATAAATTCACCAAAGTTATTTGTGTAGATTTGTTAAAGTGTATCAATTTTTAAATCACAATATTTCTGTTTTCTTCATTGCATATTAACCAAATTTTGGCCATTCATAAGTATGCTATAAAACTAAAGTGATCACTGCTATTCACGAATTATTATAGAATCTTCTTTGCAGATTTTGTGATATATTAAGAAAAGCTGATTTTAATATTAATATTTAAGAAGTTATTTGATCCTGAAAACCTAAATTTAAGGTATAGGCCATTTGACACGTCCTTTTTGAACAGAAATTTCATTACAGGCTAAGTGAAAATAAGCCAGAATTAGCATGAGTCAGGTAGAATTTCATGATAAAAGAACAACCAGATGAAATAAGAAATAATGATTGGTTTCAAGCCAATGAATCTGCTAAGCTAACTACCAAGTTTTGATGTTGAATGGTCCAGGCAATTTATGTCTTTAGGAAAGCTGAGTGTGGCAAAGGTCACTTGTTAACATTTTTCTTAACAAGAATGTCATAACTACTCATTCATTTTTATTTTGTCCCCACGTTTGGTATTTGTTTTGTTTTGTGTTTTTCCTTCCTGATGTCCTTTGCTTTTGTGGAAGATTGTCCTGTTGATAGGCAGAAACATGGTGGTGATCCTCTATGTAAAATATAGTTGCTTCTTACACATCAGAAGTATTTCACTCATTTTGGAATCACAGGATTTTCATGTTTTCATAAATACACACATTGTTTTGATAATTATTAGCAATTAGCTTATTTTGTAGCATTAGATGGAAAAATGTTTAAGCTAAAGAGTTTAATTTTCTTGATTTTGGTTCCACTTTAATAATTCAAGAGGCCTCCAAGTTCAAGGACCAAGTCCTTCTATTTTAGAATTGTGAAAAACATGGAAATACTCTTGTTAGTGTGTGTTTTGGTCTAAGGTAGATTATTAACACAGAAGGATCCTAGGAGGATTTAAGAAAATATGTCCTTATCGTGAAGTGGCAGTTAAAGTTATGGGACAGGTGAATTACCTATTCATCTTGACTAGCTCAAACAATGATAGCCATCAGCTAATGACTTATCAGACACATGTTGAGTTTGGGTCAAACTCCCATTCAGCTGGAGTGGATTGGCAATTTTAAATGCAGGTAGTTGGTGGTGGTACTTGACCTACCTCCTTACCATGTACATCTGGCATCTTCTCTCTCCTATCCTTTTTCTTTGTTTCTCTCTCCACTTTTACTCTTGCTGTAGGCCTACCAGTGGCACTCAAGCTTACTTCTTCAGAGAGAAGTAAAGAAATTTCTGACTCCTGCCTTAGAACATAGCTAACTGATGATCCAGAACAATTTCAGTATTATGAGGTAACTGGGCAGTTTTTTTCTGATTGCTATTTTCCCCATAGTCTTAAGCTGGCAGTTTGAAGGTATCTAAATTAATGTTAAGAAACTTGTGAACTGAAGAGAGTAAGAAGTATGTGTATTTTAGGTAAGTTACTGGGAACTGAGACTTACTGGTTTGGAAATTGGAGAGTAGGACGAGGAGAGCTGTTTAATGTGTTTGTGGATGGGGGTTTGAGAGGTATATAGAGAATGGTTTGGAAATAAAGTGAGAGGAATTTTTACTAGAGGTAGGAAAAGGTACTATGATGGAGTCCGAATGAGAGTTATTTGCTAAGGAAATGAAGTTGATCTTCACTAAGGAAGTTTCAATAAAGCCAGAGAAAATGGGTCCCTCATTGATTATGAGAAAGCTGTTAGTTACTATAGCTAGAGTTATGATAATGATCATGCATTATACAAGTCTGTTTTCATGTATAGGATGTCTGCTTTTCTGGGACAAATTAGCACAATTGTGGAATGACAGCTTTTCTGGTCAAGGCAAGTGGATGCTGGGGAGTTATTATTTTGAGGAAAAGAAAATTTCAAGCTTTTCACCATTATTCTTTTTAAACTATCAGAAATATTTATCACACATACTATCTATTTTCTTGGGCTCTTGTTACAATGTAGTTTACCTTTACTTTTCAAATGGTCCTTAGATCAAATTATTTGATTTTGTACTCCACAAAGACACATATTATTCCTTGCTTTTATAGAATTTTGAGACTTTGGCCCACACAAATTTCTTAGAAGACAATAAACCAGGTAAAAACACTAACTTGCAATTTTAGGTGTCTTTTTTATTTCTTTTACATTTGCATCCGTAGCAACCATTTAACCTTGTAGACCTTATGAGGCCCTCAATAATACTGTATTTCTAAAATTAGACAACATACCCCCCAAACTCATGTTTCTGTTTCCCTACTTTCTCTCTTACTTTAAAATTGTAGTATTCCCAAGAGTTCAGTGGTGGCAAATGTTAATAAAATAAGTTAGTACATTTTGGAGGTTCTTATATCCTTTGTAGGGTAAGCTGATAGTGTTTAGATTTCTGTTCCCATTATTCCAGTAGTGTTTTAAATTATTTAAGATAAATAATTACTGTAATGTTTGTTTTTAAGTTACATAATTCAAGTATGTTTGGATTAACTCTTTGTTGTCAAATTTAGTATGGATTTATTCCTGGTGATTTGGACAGATTACTTTGAAGTTTCATTTTACTCACATCTCTATATATTAGTGATAAAAATCTCTTTTAAAAATAGCAAAAAAGTGGTTCTGATTTTGTACTTTGAAGGTAATTTTTCTTTTTTACGAATGTCAGGTTCATTAACAATAGCAGGATTATTTTTACTATAGCTTATTTTGTAGAGTTGGCACTTTAGTATAATTTTCACATTTTATTGTGTCAGATTTTAAATTATAATAGTTATATACTATAACTCATTTAAGTCAATGCAAAGCCTTCTTAAATAGCCCCTCCCTTAGAAATTTGTTTAAAAAGAAGTGAATTCCCAAACCTGTGTCAAGAACTTGTGATTTAAATGACTGTGAGACAAGTCCTTGAAAGGCTTAAGTCTAGTCAGTGGAGATAAATGATAGCCCATTTCCATGCTGCATATAGTTGTTAGGGTTTATAAAGTTGTCAATGTGTAAAAGTGCAAAAGCAGGAAAGACTAAAGTTGCCTGTAAAATTTCTAGTTTTCATTATTTGCACTATTTATCTTTGCACTTGATTTTTTGAAAGTTAAGGCTAGTCACTTTCACTTTTGTTTCTAGTCTTTTCTAATTTCTTGCAGAATTGTGTTTTCAATATTCCACCCAAAGCAAAAATTATATGCAATTAAAAATATTTTATAAGGCCAAGAAAATATTTCTTAATGTTAGCTGTATAAAACAAAAATTTGTTCTGATAAAATTTTTAATATGGGCCTTTATTTGCCAATAAAATCCTTTGTAAATGTGAGCTTTATTAAACTGTTTAAATAGACAAAGTTAAAGCTTAGGATAGGGAATATATATGTATGTGTATATGAAATGATGTCTTCGAGTTTTAACTTCCAGCCTGAGATGGCCTAGATTTGGTGTGTTAGTTTGTTTCACTGAAGTCAGTGAGATAGGAGTCTAGCTGGGTACATGCTTAAAAAGCTGGAAGTGAAGTGGGTGGCAAGTGGCAGCTCCCTCTTTCATGTAGTTTTCCATAATGTTCATATAGTTTCCTTATGGTCTAAGTGTTACAACTGGTTTTCAAGTTGTTATATTGAATATTCCTTTTTGGAATTCAGGGTTGAATCACTTTGAGGGGGAAGGGAAGCAAGGGCAAGAGACTTTATTTTAACCAGATGCGGTCTTATGACCTCAAAGATGTGCTCTAGAAAGAAAATAACAAAAAGTGTACCTGTGAACATATTTTTTGTCTTGGTGATATTATGCAACACAGTGTTCAGAATTGCAAAAAAATTTAAAAATTGATAGTTTTATCAATGGAACAGAGAGATGTGTTTTTGGCTAAAATTATTTTTTGTAAGTTATTTGGTTATTTCATTTTATATTCCCTTTCCCATAGCTTTGTACACACCTCATACTTAAAACCAAGTGAGAGGCCTCTTTTCAGATCTGGTTTATTTTTGGAATGCCTGAGTGTGTTTCCAGATTGGGGGGGGAGAGGTGGTGTTTTACTTTTTGACATGCTCTTAGCATGTTTTGCTAGTCATTCTGGATCTTATGTTTGCAAATTCTGTTGAACATTCAGTGATGTATTTGAAATGAGAAAGTCCTTTATAACATAGTGTGAATGTTTGTGGCCAATTCAATTGTGGAATCTTATGGCTTTGTTTTTACTTTGGGTAGAAGTTTAACTTCCATTGTTCAGATTTTAGGTTTATCTAGTGAAATTGTGCCAGGTAGTTGTCTAAATATGGACCAATTTTGGGAAATGAAGATTAATAAGTGTATATTTGATTCTAGATAATCCTTTACTCAAAATCATAAGTTAAAGATTCACATCATTAAGAGTTATCTAACTTTTATGTTGTCAAATCTTTAAATGTGGATGATATTCAGCATTCTATCTATGAATTTCCTTTAGGAAAAGAGAAAAATTCAGTCTCCAAACCTTTTCTTGGAGACAAAATTTACCACATATCGAAAATGAAAAAAATTTAGAAAGCGATTTGATTATTTTTTAATGGAGTTTAACCAGCTTAATTAATGATTTTTCCAGTTTGAAGCACTTATTTTCCCAATGTGAATAAAGGGAAAAGATCAGCAATTTGTCCCTGGCCTTTTTCGAGGCCATTTTTAGTTTTCTGCCCCCATTTCCCAGTCCTGGTATAAAATGAATTACGGGTATCCCTCTAAGTCCCTATAACCCTTTTTGGGGGTCACAGATATCTTTGATAATCTGATGACAGTGTGATGGATCCTCTACCCAAGAAAAAAAAAATGCCCATCCCTGGATAATTTTGCATACAACTTCAGGGGCATCACACATCTTCTGAAACCCAAGTTAAAGATCTCTGCTCTAAGTAAATTGTAGAGAATTTTAGTGCAAATCGTTGATAAAATTAGGAACCAACTATTGGCTTAAAACCTTTCATATTGGAATTATTGTTAGATGGTGGCCCCTACTAGCAAAATGTGACATTGCAACCAGCTTCGTTAGACATTATAACAACCAGAGAGAAGGGAAAAAAGCAAAGTTCTGAAAGCTATTTATAAGGAGTCAGGGCATCTCTAGACATGGGAGCCTTCCTGGTTCAAGGCAGGGGTCAGGGTGCCTGACAATTTCTAGCAGGGTAGAGTTTGATAAACCACAATGCTCAGGATGCCAAGGGGTTAGCCATTATCTTAACCCCTTCCTCACCAAAAGATTTTAGTTTTGTCTGTTGGGAAACAAGATGTCACTAGGGAAAAAAAGATTTGCCTTACAACTTTGCTGGAACACATCAGTTTGGTGACGTTGGGACACTAGTGTTATTTTTGAGAAGGCGCATAAAACCAAAGTAAATTATTCTCTATGTAGAACATTTATTTACTAGTAACATTTGTTTGCGTGTATTCGCTTTGACAATTTTTACCAGTAAATATTGGTTTTATTTAAAACTGGGAATCCAGTTGATATATAGGATAGTTGATACATCTGTTCTTTCCCCCATGTAAAGCATAGTTAAAAGATTTATGCATACTTTTTACTTTTCTCTCTTAATGCCATGGGGTGGGGAGGGTGGGTGGGGGAAAGATTTTTGAGTCTACAACTGACAAAATGTCTTCTTCAAATTAAAAAAAATTGAGAAGCAGCACTTTAAGTCTAACTCTACACCATTTTATTGCATGTATTAGTTTTATTAATGATTTTTGGTGCATGCCTTTGGGCTTATTCAAAAGTGTACAATAGGAAAGTATATTTCCTTTCTTAGAAAGGAGATGTTTTCTACTTTGCAACATGTGATTACAAAAATCTTCCTCTGTGGGAAGATTAACCATGTATTGAACTACTGAAAAGTATATATTTTTAGATATACA
Source organism: Homo sapiens (assembly GCF_000001405.40). Lineage (NCBI taxonomy): Eukaryota > Metazoa > Chordata > Mammalia > Primates > Hominidae > Homo > Homo sapiens. Next base: position 140,126,226 of record NC_000005.10, read on the forward strand.
GAAGGAATCTACATGGAGCAGCATTCAGACCTATATAGAAGTCATAGCATTCTGTATAGGACCAAAAAGGAAATAACATTAAACACTTAAACAGACGTTGTTGGGTAGAAATACCTTTAGATCTTGCATTTACTTCCAAAAAGAAAAAATGCCACAGAAGTTTGCTGAAAACTTTTGTCGTTTGAATTTTCTCTGTCAGTGTATTTAGCCCAAATACAACAGCTTTGGGTTAGCACACACATAAGAATCAAAAAAACAAAGCTCACTAAATAAATCAGTCTGGTTTGCCAATCCAGCTTGACTGAAATAAGTAAACCAATCACTTGCAACATGAAAAACTGTCCAACTCCTCTAAGGTTCTGACAAAATAACCTTGGCTGATGTGGGAAGACTCCCACTTTGATTACTGACCTGACAGTGAAGATTCATGCTTGACATGATTTCAGACTTGACAATGTCTGTTTAAGGAGCTATGGTACAGTTTGCTAATTCAATCCCAGATACCTGTTGATTACCTGTGAGATCTAGAGTCCAAAGTAGCCAGCAGCCATATCCCTGAGTGCTCTGTGCCCATCAGATATCTTAAAGTAAGCAGGGTTGGGACAGGTCACAGCTTGGATGATTGACCTCAGGTGCCGTAGACAGCCCCAGATTCAAGAATTGTATCTGCTTTCTTGGCAGTCGTCACTGAACTAATGTCCCATACTGTGTTACTTACTGTAGATGCTCTCTTTTAGAGGAGGCCCAGAGCACACATCCTAATCGCTAGCGGTACTCAGAGAGGGGGTGCTAACTCTGATGCCCTGGCCAAATTCCAGTTTAGGGATGTGGGTCTTCTTCTTGTCATTCTAATTGGAAATGTGCATCACTTCCCATTTTTCTTACTGATCTCAGTGCAAACTACACTAGTCTGTTTCTTTGCCCTGGTCTCAAGTCTCTAAGACGCTGGTGTGTATTATGTGGGCTAAGTTCATGTGTTATCCTAAGGCACAAGAGTTGAGGAATGGGTGAGCTTGGTGTCAGAGCACTGTGTGGTTGGAGGGTGGACTCTTGTGATGCTGTGGGGATGAAATTGGCCCTCTTTTAGCATAAGTTGGGGAGTGTGCACTGGCTGGAGGCTTCCAGAGGCTTCCAGCCATGAGGTGTGAGCTGAAACCAATTTTTCCTCTTTCCTTATAGCATGTTGAGAAAATCTGTTGGGTTTTCAGCAGTCAGGGAAGGCCGGAGTTCTGCTTTAATCTGGGTAACTGAGGCTAATATGAGCAAGACTTTGGTTAATTAACTGGGTTCTCAGATGCCACAGACTCCGTGAGAAGTCACCATTATTTTCAATGGTTGTGATAGAATTTCCCCCAGTAGCCATTATTTTAAGATTATATTGCAGAGTTGCTTTATTTTGAGCTTTTTGTGTATACACAATCCCAAACTGGAAGAAATTTTAAAAAAAGGAATCCTGCTGTGAAAGGTATATATTACTCTAGATTTTTCTTACTGTAAATATTGTAAGATTGTAATACTGTCGATATTTTATTAACCAACAAATGTTAATCTATGTGAAATCAGACTTATTTTAAATGTGCTTCTTATTTACTGTGTGTGGTCCCTGTTGCTGACAGTATTAAGTTATATTCTGATGTAAGATTAACTTTATTAAAGAATGTAAACATTAATGTTTCCTTATGGGAAAACAAATAAAGTATAAAGAAGACAATTCTTTTCATTGAAATATACTGTGTATTTACACTTGCTAGACCCAGCACCACTTATAAATTTAGTACACTGTTCAGAATTTTAGTTAACACAGCTGACATGGTTGTGCTCTGTTTGAAAGTCTAAGAATAGGTATTGTTGGAATATACAGTTTGTATTTGTCTGCTGTGAATCATAATCTTGAAATTTCTAATCAAGTTTGTAAAATTTTTATAGTGAAACATTTTAATGACAATTTAAAAATTTATCTTCTCTAAAGAATGGTCAAAACAATATCCTTTCAGAAATAGAATTGTTCTTTAATATCTTTCCAAAATGACTTTGGTTAAATGGACCAGATGTATATTAGTTAAAATTTAGGACTAAGTTGTTGATATTCTTTGAGTTTACAAGTTAATCCTTATTGGAGATGTGCCAATATACAGTTAGAATATCATTAATTTGCACTGTTTGGGGACCCCATTTAAGAATGCTGAATTTTGCCAACTAAGAAGTAAGCAAATGCAATTTAAAAAGTAAATTTGAGCATTCTGTATTAAATATGTGCAGTTATTATCACATGAAGAAACGCAGTGTGTCGGGCTGTAATATTACCATATTTGCTGTCATGTTCTCCCATCTCAGTGCTGGGAAATCACCATGTGGAAACCAAGCAAACGTGTTGTGCATCAGCCGGCTTGAGTTTGTTCAATATCAAAGCTGAAAACTAGCGAGGTCTGCTGTACTGCTTATTGAAGTATTGTGATTATTTTAGGCATTGATTCTTACAAAATATATACTGTAACAGTATACTTTGTACAGATTTAAATTTTATTTGAAAAAATGAAATAAAGTAGGCAAAAAAATAAAGATGTTTATTTTTCATGTGACTGTATAATCAGATCAGTCTTTTGTTTCAGTGCTTTTTGGGGGAAGGGGTCTGGTTGCGATCTTGGATTTTTTTTTTTTTTGATAGGTGGAAACTTTTTAGGACTCAGTAGCAGGTATACTTATGCTTATGAATTGGCTGCAAGCATTAAGTGTGCTCTCATACTAGAGAACTCTATCTTCTATTTTATTTTAAGGTAGGTTTGCTTATTTTTAAAAATGTTATGTGAATGGCCTCCCTATCCTGGCATACTGGGTCATTTAAAAAATTCTCTGGTGGTATGACAGTGAACCTAGCCATCATGTTGAAGAGAAGGGAAACCTTTTCCCAAAGATCATGCTCCATTCTCATGGAAGGTTTTTTGTTTTCTGTCAGTTACAATAAAAAAAATGTAATTATCATGGATACATACTAGTTATACATACTTATGGGGTACATGTAACATTTTGAAACAAGCGTACAATGTACTGATTAAATCAGGATGATTGGGGTATCCATCACCTGAAGTATGTATAATTTCTTCGTTTTAGGAACATTCTAATTCCACTCTTAGTTATTTGAAATATATAATAAATTATTTTTAATAGTTGCCCTATTGTGCTGTTGAACACTTAGAAAATAGAGGTTGCGGTTTAAAATCTCTTTCAAAACTGTTTTTCTAGTGAGTGGAATGGCAGACAGTGAATGAAGCTACCAATAAAAACAAGACACAGGAGCCATCCCTCAGGATAGTTTCAATGGGGCCTTCTAGAAAAGTAGATTATCTGACCAACAAGAACCACCCATTTTGACCTCTAACTTAAAAACCAACAAAGGCCTCAGAAGCCTCAGGTATATATTTTCCTCAACCTTTTTAAGTAGAGTTTGAAGTTTTATTTGTAGCTTTCTCCTTTTATTTTATCTTTTTTTTATGTTTTCACTTACCTTCAGGCTGGATATGAGGAATGCCTGGAGCAAGTAGTTCTCCAAGATACCTGGCAAAAATCACACTATGAAAAATCTCTCAATTTACTTAAGTATATACGACAGCAGTTATATTCTAAAACTTGATGCATGTCCATAGGCCATCTCAAGTTCACATTACTGCAGTTCCAGGCTTCTCTGGGGGAATCCCAAGAGAGTTCATTATGAGTATTGTTTTGTTGTTTTCTTGCTAAAAAGGCCCTCCTTGGCTGGGCATGGTGGCTGAGACCTGTAATACCAGCACTTTGGGAGGCCTAGGTGGGCGGATCACTGGAGGTCAGGAGTTGACCAGCTTGGCCAACATGGTGAAACCCCGTCTCTACTAAAAAATACAAAAATTAGCTGGACGGTAGTGCACACCTCTAGTCCCAGCTACTTGGGAGGGTGAGGCATGAGAATTGCTTGAACCTGGGAGTTAGACATTGCAGTGAGCCGAGATTGCACCACTGCACTCCAGCCTGGGTGACAGAGCGAAACTCTGTCTCAAAAAAGAAAAAATAAGTAAATAAAATAAAAAGGCGCTACTTTGGAGTGAACAGAAGGATGAACTAGCTTCCACATATGACAACCACCAACTTCAATAAAAATAATGGAGAAACTTTGCTTTCTGAAAACTGAAAGCTGAGAGTGCCACTGTTGTAGAGAGGTAGGTGGGATGCCTAAGAAACTTCAGTTTCCCTAAGTTCTAGGGTGCCTCTGATTTGGGGGGTACACACAGAAGACAGGTGGCTACTTCCTGAAGAAGAGACCAGATTCTGCTCTCTTCTCTGCAGAGATCAGATAAATCCTTGGGTCCCTGTCCGAGAGAAGGACTCAAGCACAGGAGGTTGTGGTGGAAATTCCAGCCATGATTTACTCCCAGCAAGTATAAGGGAGTGAAAAGTCAGGAGTCAGGCCCTTCATCTTTTAAAGACTCCGAAAGGACCATGATTAAATATGCCCAATGGTCAGTTGGACAGCAAGAGGCCCCGAGGTGAGGTCCTACTGAAGGGCTACAGGAGGAGCATCCCAGACAGCCAGGTCGGAACTACACGGCAATGCTGGTAGGGCCATGGGGAGCCCCTCAAGAAAGGAACCCAGCATGCTCAAACAGAACTATTTGTCATTTTTCTTCAGTCTTTCTTTTCTAAGATGTAATTGGTGGTCTCTTCCTACATCCACCTCCAATGGATGTTAACTTTCATTTAACCATGTGGTATATCATTTATTTTGGTATTTTGCATGGCTTTTAGAAATCCTTTGTTCCTAGTCTCAGTAACAATTTATTTCTAAGCAGTCAGGACTGTTTTATCTTGGGTACTGAGTTTTGGAAGAGGTCCTGCTCTTTCAGGACGAGAGGAAAGAGAGTTCTCTTTTCAGTGTTTGCCTCCTAGGTCACCTCAGGGCCGGCACACACCTCCACTGTTCTCACTTCAGCAACCCCACCCCACCCCCGCCCTGCCTTCTAGAACTTCAGGAGGAGGAGCCACAGTTTTTCCCCTGAAACTGGGGATTCTACCTAAATATTGCAAATCTTCAGAGTGTTTCCAATGACATTGATACAATTTTCCTACCAATATTGATTTTCATTCACTTCGATTTCCTCACATCAGGCTATTTGGCACTTAGGTTGGCAGTGAGAAAATGTCACAAAACAGACTCACTGAATGTTGCAAGGCTTAAAAGAATAGGATATCATTACCTTACAGCCAGCAGGGGTGTCTAGTTAACCCCACCATCGTAGGCATCCTGGCTCTCCCTGCATGCTCATCTCACACCTCAGACCTCTGTCAGCCTTCTGTGGAGACTAGCAGTAGCTGTAACATAGCTCCACTTTCTGTTTCTGGCAGTGTCACTTAGAGTGGGTCTGTACTGCCACTATCCCAAATTTCTTCATGCTCACCACACTTTATTTTTTAAACATTGAGTGCTTAAATATTCAAGGCACCAAACTAAGCATTTTACCTGTGTTATTTTACTTCATTCTTACTATAACTCTATGAAATAGGCACTATTATTACCCTCAATTTATAGATGAGGATACTAAGGCACAGAACGATTAAATGACATGCATAGAACTCCACAGTCAGGATTCAGGTCCAGGTAGGATGATGGCAAAGCACATCCACAGTCTCAATCACTCTAATATGTTGCCTTCTCTATGAAGTTGCCTCCTCATCCCTTAATTTGTAGGGTCTCCCTGACTTTGACTTTGCCCCACCTAAGGATATATGTAGCTGAGTGTCAAAGCTAACGTTACGTGGAGCAAAGGAGGATTCTTCTGCATAGCTCAAAAGCCACACTTCCTGTTTCAGAGGTTGATTCATGAATGAATCCACATTTTCATTTCCCCCTCCCCTTTCATGGGGAATGACTTACTCAGAGCAGGTCTGAAGGAAGCTGGCAGATGGCCCTACCAGGCCTCTCTCCACTGCTCTTGCTTAAAGTAAGCACAGCCCTGAGTACTATTCCTGCCTCTTCCCGCCCTTACCACAATGACCTGATCAAAGGGTTCTGTGAATGAGGCTCTTGAATTCTGTCTAGTTGAGTTGATTTCCTTCCTATGCCCAGCTTCTATCCCTTAGCAGACACCCTTTCTTCCTTAGAGCAGGCCTCCTAACTGAGCCCATGTGGCTTCAGACACAAGTTCAACAAGTATCAGGAGATAGTCTCTAGGAGAGGATCTGGGTCTGCCCAGATTCTCAAAACCTCACTGTTCACCAACAATTGGTGCAGCAATTGGATCAGCCAGAGAAAGCCATGTAGTTTTCAGCTCAGTTTTGCTTGGGCTTTTAAGTTTCTGGAGGCATTTTCCTGCACCCTATAAAATGCTATTTCCCAGATGTTTCCTGACCTCAAGGAGAGGTCCAGAGTCTGTAATTCTCCAGGGGCTTCTTCCAAAAATAAAATCTCAAGTTCCTTGGGACTTAGGGGTAGTTTCAAGGGCTATGGCATCTGTTGGAACTCCTGTCTGAAAAGGAAAGATCATAATTTGAACTTGAACTCTTCGTGGTTTTTGGTATCCTCTAAAGCAGTGGTTCTCAAAGTGTAGCCCCTGGGCCAAGCATCCCCTTACATTCTTGGGTCCCACTCCAAACCTACTGAATTAGAACCTCTAGGGCTGGGCCTCAGCATCCATATTGTAACAAGCCCTCCACGTGATTCTGAAGCACACTAAAGTGTGAGCACCACTGCTCTCTAAAGCAAAGGTTCTTTATCTCTTTTGGAGTTTTAGGCTTGAGAATCTGATGAAAGCTTGAGGCTCTCTCAACTGCATCACAGATTCCCCAAAGGTCCAAGTTAAGAATCCTTGCTCTGGAACTTAGAGCTTGTCTATCCGTCTCTGGCTTCCACCTGCTCTAGCACCACTACAAGGAGGGGTGGCCACATACTCCCTGTTTCTCCTTTCATCTGTGCACTGTTGGATGTCACTGATGGTGTGCATTCCCTGCACCAGACAGCACAGGGATAAGGGCTTGCTACTCCCTCTATGTGCTGCAACTGTAGCCCATGTACTCTAAACAAAAACGAAATGCTCAGGCATGGGGTGCCAGGTTAGGAGTCCAGGACCAAATAGAAAAGTGATTTCTCCTGGACCTAGGAGCTGTGTGTTGGAGCACAACTGCTAAAACTGCTGAACTTCCTGTGACAGTCCTGGCTGGGTTATGTTCATGATAGCCAGAGCTTTGTCATCGGCAAGCTTTGGTCTCCAAGAGAACTCCCAAGACAAGTCCTAGATTTTTATTTTCTAGATAAAAGCATCTCAACTTGTACCTTCTTAAGCTGTTTTCACCCGAGTAGTCAGTTATTTGGCTCTGAGGGCAGTGCTCTACTTTTTCTCCACAGTCATTCTTGGGCCATAACTTGAAGTGGTACTCAGAGCAACTTCATTGGGAAAAGTTCCCTACTCTAAATTCAGGGACTCATAAGAAGGAGGTTGACTCTGAAAAGAGTGCCTAAAGCTGCAGAGCTTGGCTGCCCTCTGGCTGGTAGAATGCTTCCTTATTCTGAGAGGTGACCCAGGGAAGAAAGGCCTATGTCTTCACTCTCACTTTATACATCTGAAACAAAAGCTTAATCCCCTTACAAAACCCATCCTCTCCCCATCTTAGTCCTTCCCGTTGCAGTAAAGGGCACCACCATATACACATCGCTCAAACAAAAAACAAAGAGCTGGTTCCACATTCTAGTTTCTTTCACCCCTCATATTCAGACTATATCCTGTGTCTGGCCACACCTCATCACCTATACCACTGGCACTAGCTCAAGTGATTCTCAAACTTTAGCCTGCATCACCTAAAGGGATCGTTAAAACATATACCACTGGGCTCATCCCAAGTTGCTGATTCAAAGGTCTGGGGCAGGAGCCTGAGAATTTGCATTTCTAACAAGTTCTCAGGTGATGCTGATGCTATTGATCTAGGAACAACACCTTGAAAACTACTGCCCTAATCTATCATATCCAGAGTGTCCCTATGTCCCACTTTGCCAGAGACCATCTGGTTATGCCTGTTGTCCCTGCTTAATTATTTGTAGCACCCCTGTTTACCTGCACAACTATCTTGGTCTGGATGACAAATGATGTGGGCACCAATTTTCTCACCTAACAGCCTCCTCACTGGTCCCCCTATTGCCATGATTGCCCTATGTAATCCATTCACACAGTAGCTAGAGTGATCTTCTAAAAAGTACTAATTGGATGATGTCACTCCCTGCTTCCCATTACACTTAGAATAGAAGTCTGACTCTACTATGGTTACAAGGCCTCTATGATCTGGCCCTACTTAACTCTCCAGCTTTCTCTCCTTCCTCTCACCCACTTGTTCATTTCTCTCAAGCAATAGTGGTTGCCTTTCTGTTTTTTAAATGCACAGAGCCCACCGCCACCTAAGGGCCTTTGGCGTTGCTTTTCTTTCTTCCTTGAATGCACTTCCCCCAGATCTTCAGATGGCTAGCTAGCCCTTTTTCATAATCAAGCCTCAGATCTCATGTTCTTTCTTCAAAGAGGCTTCCCCTGACAACCAAACTGAAATGGTCCCTTCCAGTCACTCCCTTACCAGTCTGTTTCAGTTTTCTTCCTAGTGCTTATCACTGTCCAGATTGTCTTTCTCATGTATTGTTTTTTTCTGTTGATGGCCTAACACTGAGGGCAGGATTCACCATTGCATCTCCAATGCCCAGATGAGTCTGGCACATAGCAGACATTCTGCAAATATCTGATGACAAAATCATTGGACTCCAGTGAGTCCAGACCATTTTTGGGAGTCACCTGTGCCTCTGGGGCTGACTTCCTCATCCACTTTGAAGGTGGGTACTGTCGTTACTGCTTTATCTCTCCTCTGTCCTACAGGTGGTATAAAACAGAGATCCTAAAGATGAGATGATCTTCTCACCTGCAGTCAGTTAGCTTCCTGCATCTCCCACCTCTGTGTAGGCCCAACATCTCCTCTCCCTATTTAATCTCAGAGATGAGGCTCTGGGGCAAGGACAAGCAACCCTGGACTCAGCAGATAGCTTAATGCCCACTCTGCCCCCAACTGCCTCCCAAAACATGGTTGAGGCTCTAGCCATTCAGCAGGTACTTGGGGCCCCCTTGGCCACTGGGCATACAATGGGCAACATCCTTCTGTACCTTTCTCTTGGTTTGCTGGGCACTCACTCTCCCTGGAATCCACTAACTGAGGAAAGGGAGGAGACTAGCTATTTGAGAATTGATGTGCCCTGTTTCCAAATGCTGAGGGGTAGGAGGTGTCTAGAGAATCCTGGCCCCCATAAGGCACCAGCACCATTGGTGACACTTTACCAAACTTGGGCTACTCTACTCTCTGTTTCTCAGCACTCCACACACACACACACACCCCAAATATTTAAAATGGGACTGATGACAACTAATCCCCCACCAACAACGTTCCAGTGGTCAAATAGAAATGAGTCTTTCTCCTTGATTCCAAACCTGAAGGGAAATAAGGTTCCTGGGCTGAGCTGAGTTTAAAATAAATTTAGGCTCCCAGATAAATTTAGGGCTATAGAGTATGGATTCAAATAGCAAAGTCAGACAGAGATAGGAGAGAGAGTTTGAGAATTTCCAATCAACTCTCCATAAAGTGAGTCCCTTTTGAGAACCAGGCTGCCACATGGTGGGCAGCGGATGGGGAGGCAGAAGCAAGAACTAGAGCTCTCACTCTGGAGATTATCACTCTGGACGATTTCCTAGGCCTTTGTCTGAGTATTGGTCTTTTGGGGAGGAGCATGAGAGTGGAGGTTAAAAGTATTGGTTTGAAATCAGGCCTAAATGCAAATTCAGGCTCACTCTCTCACTAGTTCTGTGGCCTTAAGCAACTCTACTAAGCCTCTCCTAGTCTTATTTCTTGATCTTGTAAATGAGATAACAAGAGTGCTTTACTTCATTTGATTTTGGGGAAGATGAAATAATTTATGCCAAGAGCTTATAGCATAGTGCTTGGCACAGAGTACTGTTCAATACTGATGTTTAATCAATGCTGCTGCTATCATTATTATTTTTGGAAAAAAGGGAAACAAATATGGAACTTAAATAGTTCATAAGGGCATAGCCTCTAGCAGCCTCTACATTCCAGGTAGGGGGCAGTGAAAAAGAGCAGGTGGAGGTCAGGAGTTCAAGACCAGCCTGGCCAATATGGTGATACCCTGTCTCTACTAAAAATACAAAAATTAGTTGGGCGTGGTGGTGGGTGCCTATAATCCCAGCTACTTGGGAGGCTGAGACAGGAGAATCGCTTGAACCTGGGAGGAGGAGGTTCCAGTGAGCCCAGATCACGCCACTGCACTGTAGCCTGGGCGACAGAGACTCCATCTCAAAAAAAAAAAAAAAAAGGGCAGGTGCCTCTCTGGAACGATCAGCTAGTGTGCATTTAGCTAAAGGAGGACCCATCTGACTCTCCATTTCAGCTTTGGCCTGCCAGCCCAAGAAGAGCCCAGTCTATGGCTGTCTTCACAGATGTAGTTGTATACTGCACCAGATTTATTTCTGTCTTGTCACTTTGTGTCTGTGTTCCAGGCCTGGGGTGTCTGAGGTTTTCTGGTGGGGGTGGAGTAGAGTGCTCCTTTGAAAAACAAAATGTGGTCTCGGTCTAGGGGCTTTGCTTCCTTCTGGCTTCAGGCAACAGCAGAGACCCAGCCATCTGCCAATGGCATGGGATGACTAGAGTTCAGTGCTGAATATTCACTCACCTGTTGGACATCTAAGATGGTAGTTAATCAGCCCTGGAAAACAGCTCTTGAGTAAGAAAAGGAGTGATTTGTCTTCAGCAAGAATTCTTAAGCTGGGGCTTTTGGGGGTCTAAAGCTCCTGAAGTTTTACAGATTATATCCGTATGTGCAATGTACATTTTTCTGAGAAGAGGAGCCATAGTTTTCATAAAAACTCTCAAGAGGAGCCACAGCCCAAATAGGTTCAGAATCACTGGTCCTGATCTGAGAGTAAAGACAGCATCTTCCTCCATGGGGTCTCTAAAAGACTGTAGCCTTCAACCTGGCTGATCATCAGGACTGTTAGTGAAAAAGCGCCTGGAAGCGGTGTTGTTTAGGCATTGAGAGAGAAGACAGCTACTCTCCTTATTGGAACTGTGTTGGCTGATTGGAGCCTCCCATATCCATTTGGGAAGTTGGAGTTTTTGAGCTCACTAAATATCCCCTATTTTCCCTGAAATTTGGTTGCATGTTAGAAGGTATTCAAACTAACATATGTTGTGCCAAATGAATGGACTGGTCTGGTCTCATCTCAGAGATGGGGGCAGGGCTGGGTGACTTCACTAGGTGTGTGTTGCTGGTAGTAATGGTAGGAGGCACAGAGGTTGTTTTATGTTGCCCTCACTTGAATGCTTGGTATGTAGTTTGGTACTTAGCCATTGTTTGTGCATTTATATAAAGGAATTGTTTCCTTTCCTTTTAGAGACATTGAATCTAAGCTCCACAGTCCATTTTTTTAAAAAATTTCTCAGGGGTCAATGGTTTCTCGTCACCCCGTGGCATCCTTTCCTGAGGGGTCAGGTACCTTGATCTTATCCTCAGCTGTGCTTATTTATTCCTTAATCCTCACTCTCCAAATCCTGAATCATATCTCTGAAAGTCAAATTGGGGCCTGTGAGATTGTTTGATGCTTCTTGGAATGTGATTCCATCACTGAGGCTATGCTTCAATTCTGGCCAGTCCTGATACTGCCTCCTGCTTTTCTCAGTATCCATCATTCTTTGTTACATCCCCTTGCTCATATTAGAAAATGGCATCGACATCCCTTGCTGCAAAATTTTCCCTTTCTCTTAACCCCAGGTCCATGTGTTCAATGCAGTTTACCAAATGGCATCAGAATGCCACAGAGGTTTCATAAGACTTGAATGTGGCTGCCGTACTACCTGAATCAGGCAAACACCCTCTGAGCTCAGTCAGCTCACAAGTGGGAAGTATGAGCTGAGAGTAGCTGAGTACAGTAATTCCCTGGCTTCTCTAGGAAACAGCCTGATCCCCATAGGGTAAGCTGGCTGGTAAAGCCTCCACGGGACAACAGTTTCACTTTGCTTCGGGGGCCTTGTATCAGAGTGTTCTCCAGACATGAAACAGAGTCATGTCAGGCTGGGCACAGTGGCTCACACCTGTAATTCCAGCACTTTGGGAGGATGAGGTGGGTGGATTACAAGGTCAGGAGTTCAAGACCAGCCTGGCCAACATGGTGAAACCCCGTCTCTACTAAAAATACAAAAAATTAGCCAGGAGTGGTGGTGGGCGCCTGTAATCCCAGTTACTCGGGAGGCTGAGGCAGAGAACTGCTTGAACCCAGGAGACGGAGGTTTCAGTGAGCCGGGATCGCACCACTGCGCTCCAGCCTGGGCGACAGAGCAAGACTCTGTCTAAAAGAAAATAAAAAAGAAACAGTCCTGTCTCCAAGACATAAGCCTCTGACTTGGAGCTATCAGACCATGCAAGCCCACCCAAGAATATGGGCATATCTATCATCACTGCCACTGGGGGTCTGGGCAGAGGCCATTATTCCAAGACAGCCCTGATCCCCACAGAGCTCAGGGGGTCTCATGGAGATTATTAAAGCCCATACAGGGTGACATTTTCCCCATATGCTCTTCCCCAGAAGCTCCCTACTCAGGGAAAGTGAAGTCTTGGGAGCAGTTGCCTATACCACATCCACTCAGAAAGATGGGCCCAAGGACTGGAGACTGTGATTTCTGACAGAGGCAGCCCTTCCTCCTGCTCCTACCCTGAGGCCAGCAAAATTGTTTCTACTCCTTCCATCTCGCTTACTGTCTCTTGTACCCTGCTCCACTTATCAACTCATTTTGAGCTGGCTCTTGATAACTATGACTTATCTCTTGATTATAGGGCTCTATGGATGATGGACAATGGGGAATGGCCACCCTCTGGCATTTATTTGCTTCCTCTCAAACCGTGACTTCTTTTGAGGGAATTGTGAGGGAGCAGATAGGCCTCCAAGGCCATCTCATCTCACAGTCTGCTTCCTAGCAGAATGGGCCACCCCTCAGTCCAGGCCAACTCATTCTTTTAACCTTATTAATGGTGCCTTGGGTTATACAGAGGCTTTTTATTTTGGTGTAATCAAATGTATTACTCCTTTACTTTATGGCTTTGTATTTTATGGTTCTTAAAGAAGGCTTCCCTATCTCCAGATAATAAACATACTCTCCTATATTTTCTTTATACTCATTTTATAGTTGTGTTTCTATGTTAGTCCCATCTGGAATTTATTTTCATAAATGGTGTGAGTTAGGGATTTTTTTTTTTTTTTTTTCTGAGAGTCGCATGCTGCCCAGATTCTATAGGCCATCTTTTTCCCCAGTGTCTTGAAGTACTACTCTTCTTGTAATCAAAACTCCTATACATACATGAGGCTATTTCTGGATTCTCCGTTGCATTGAACTTTTTTATATTCTTCTACCAACCATGCTATTTTAATTTATGTAGCTTTTAGGTATGGTTTGATACCGTATGTTTTTCTCCTTTGTTTTTTTCCTCCCAAAATCATTTTGCTGTTCTCACATGTTTTTTCCTTCCAGATGTACTTTCCAATCAGCTTGTTAAGTTTCATTTAACAAGTCCTATTAGGACTGCAGTTGAGATTTTATTGATTACATAGGAAAGTTGGGGAAGAGTTGATAATCTTCACAATATCGAGTCTTCTCATCCAGAAACAGAATGTCTCGGCTATGTTCTTAAAGGCCCCCAGGGAAGATATCTTCTCTTTTCCTGACTCCTACAGTCCCTCAGTTTCCCTTGGCTGGTTCCCTGAGCCACCAGACCCTTGTATTGTAATGTCCTATGATCCTAGCTTACTCATTCTCTCCTCCCATTTAGAAATGGATTAAACAGCTGAGCATTTGCTTTTGCTCAGGAATTCTGAGCTTTATCTTTCTAAGACCTAAAAGAACTCCTGGGGGATTGTCCCATCTCTTTTCTCCCCTGCCTTCACATCCCATTCTCAGGATCTCCCTTCTCTTATTCCCCCAGGAATTCTAATATTTCTATTCTAGAATCATACAGCCTAATGTTTCCCTTTATCTAGACTCCCCTGATAACCTGGTTGACCTAAAACAAAACTCCTCATGCTGACCTTCTCTCTCCCTCACATTGTTTTATGTAATTTCTAAGCTTTGTCCAGACACAGTGATATCCTGGGAGAAGAGTCGAGAGGGGGGAAGAGGAATGGCAGTGTTGGTGATCTGCCATCTCCCAATCCTAAAGGCAAGCGCTTATCACCCCAGATTTGCCAACAGGCTGAACTCCACAGAGCATCTAGGAAGTCCTAGCCATTTTTGTTCCCTGATTTCTGTCATGTGTACCAGCCTCAAGAGGCAGGCTTCTAGGTTAGGCTGACTGCCAAAAGCCTAGGGGTGAAGCAAGAAGGCCCTAGCCTCTTCACTCAAATCCCTTTCAGGGACAGCAGTATCCGTTGTGTTATTGCCAGTGTGAAAGCCAAAAGGGTCAGAACTAAAGTTGTGTGGCTGTCAGACCAGGTGTCGCAGAAGCCAGAAAGTAGGAAACAGGAGCCCAACACAGGGTTGAAGTTCTCCCAAAGGGCTGAATGTGCTTTAAGGCCAGGTACAATAGCAAAGGAAAGACACAGGAAGTTTGCCCAAAACCTTTTGCATATACACCTCCGTACCCATAAAGGCCATAGAGTCCCTACACCCAGACACACTTTGCTCAGCCATGTTCCTCTCTCACTTCTGCATCTACTTGACTTTCTATGCATCACCTCCTCCTGCTTCCAGGCTCCTCTGAGGCCAGGTCAGCACACTTTACCATTAAAATATTCCGCCTAGCCTTGACTCTTCTTCATCTGCTACTTATCCAGGGGATAAGATACCAGGGTAAAGACTGTGGAATTTGATACAATGATTGAAAAGTTATTCTAACATAAGACTATCACAGAAAATAATTTCTAGACATTTGTGTTTCAAAAGACAAAATGAGCCACTCCCCAGCAGAGCGACCAACTTCCAGAGACAGAAAATCTGCCACAGTGGCTGAAAAGTTCTAGTAACACAAACAGAGCTACAGCATCTGATTCCTCAAGATCTCTCTTCTACACACAATGTGCTGCAAAGAATTTTCCCCAGTCCCCACCCCACCCACCAAGTTGCTTAAGACCTAGCCAGCCACCCAGTTTTACATGTCTAAATCTGAAATCAAAGTCCCAGGCAGGGAGAGGGATTGTCACAAGTAATTGCAACATCCCACAAGAATTTGTTTGGGAGTTAAAGGGAGCCAAACCTGGGCCTTCTCCAAAGCTTGCAAGTCTGAGCTTTTTGAGAACCACATTTGATCTGTTCCAATGTGTTGAATGTAAATGTTTGTCTTGTGCCTGCTTGCTAGCTCTTGGGAACTCTGCAGGACTTCTGCTGGTCCACAGTGGTGACAGGTGCATCTTTCCATAGGAGAGGACATAGTGGGGAACGGCCTACCGTGAGCTACAGGCCCCCAGAATTGGCCCTTACCCTAAGCCATGCTCCAAACATTAGCCCAGGGGAGGGGGAGGGATGGGGACTCTGAGAGGCATGGGATCCAGGTGGCTGCAGGGAGGGACATGGATGGGAGGGGAAGGGACACAGGCATCCTGATGTACCCTGTGTCCTTTCTCAGCAACTCACATTCTCACTCTCCCCTTGCCTTCACCCTTACCTTACTTATCTCATTTTATTTTTACATGTTACCTTCATAGACATTATTTTAAGGTAGTGTTCTCTCTTTTTACATATAGAAAAAGGCTACTTTCAAAGTGACAGCTTAGGGCTTAATCACAGTAGCTACTCCAGGTATGTCTCAAGACAGCCCAGCATTACTGGGAGGTATAGTTGGTTGTTATGAACCACATACAATCTTCATCATCATCGTAATCATAGAATAGCCACCACTGACTGAGCCCTTACTTTGTGCAAAGCAGTGGGCAGCAGTTTACATATTTTGTGACTCTTCTCTGCCCTCTTGTGAGGCTGACATTGCAATTTCTTTGTTTTACCAAGAAGGGACAAGGCCTGATCAGGTTAAGTGGCCTGCCCCAGGTCTCCCCGTTGGTCAGAGAGACAGCCTCACCTTCAGAAGACCTGGGACATTGCCATAGCTCATTTTCTTCAGGGAGGACCAGAAGGGAGGCAGAGCACGAGGAGGCATCTGCCAGCCCCAGCAGTTCAAAACTGCCAGGC
This sequence comes from Homo sapiens, assembly GCF_000001405.40. Taxonomy (NCBI): domain Eukaryota; kingdom Metazoa; phylum Chordata; class Mammalia; order Primates; family Hominidae; genus Homo; species Homo sapiens. The sequence goes on from NC_000005.10 coordinate 140,142,450, forward strand.
ATGGCTGGAAGGGACGTTCACACCATGTCTTTTCCGTGGGCCTCAGGCCTCCCCCAGCTGACTCAGGACCATCAGGACATGATGCCTCAGGGATGGGGATGGTGTGAGGGGAGAGAGGGAAGGCCAAGCAGTTCTGTCTTGGTTCCTTAGAGAACCCTTATGTCATCATGGGCCCGTGGTACCCAAGGGGCATCCAAACCCTGATTCCCTCCTCTCAGTTCTTCAGGGCTTCAGGAGCAAGGCTTTCTCTGAGATGCAAGGTTATTCCTCATTGATACTACTCTGGCCCTAGCTTCGGAGAACTTGAAGAGAGCCAGAGCAGGCCAAGGTAGATTTTCTACTTGGAGGTCAACAGTCTTACCCCTGAGAGCCCAATATCCATTCAGCACAGCCTAATGTCTCTCTATTCCCTCTGCTGATTTACATGCCAGGTTTATTTAATTAGCCAGAGGTGAGTCAAAGTGCAGCTTGTCCTCAGAGTTAATTAATATTAACTGAGCCACCACACAGTGAGTGACGCCAAGACTGAACTGTGTCCTCTGTATCAGCTTGGGGAACAAACTTCAACCCCTTGCTCCCGGCTGGGGTTGGGAACCGAAGCCAGCCAAGGAGTCAGGCTGATGGGCCTCTGAGCTATTGTGAGGAGTGAATGAGGTCATGCATCTGACATGCGTGAACACAGTGGTCATGTTTACCACCGTGTCTGACACGTAGCCGGGACTTAGAAATTGATAGCTGTGTTTATAAATTTTGAAAAGGAATGGCAGAGAAAGGTCCCTGGGAGACCATGTTTCCCTTTGGGGCCTTTTCCAAGGGAGAGAGGAGTGATGGTAGCAGAGGCCATGGGACACAGACCCTCAGGCTCCTGCACATGAGCATCATACTTGAGTAAGTGAGGCATGCTTCTCTCTATGTTAACCTAGGCCCCTTGTAGAAGAGGGAGAAGGTGGTAGTGGCTGACTCCAGAGGAATTCAAGCAAAGCACAAGTAAATGTAGTCTTTCCTTTAGCTGTAATTTAACTGCAAAGAAAAGGAAACCTGGCCTGGGCAAAGGAGTATGGGCCTATAGGGTCCCCTGCTAGGCCAGGACCCTCTTCTCCTCCTTCCCTCACCCCTGTTCCTGTGCACACCAGAACCCCACCTCAGACTTATCCCAGAAGAGTTTTGGCCCTGTCCTTCTTCCACATGGTGCTTCCTTGAGCCCCGAGGCAGTGCTAGCGCTGTCCTGTGAAGTGCCCAAAGCCGTCACTTTGTGGAGAAATTTGGTGACAGTGCTTTCCCTCTATCCTCTCCCTCCTCCAGGGCCACCATGCCTGATAAGCACCTCACAGCTTGTCCTGCTGGTGTGGTTGCAGGGGAGTCCCATTGCTCAAAGCCCTCTTTGTGGTTGCTGGCTCTAAACAGTCAGCCCCTAACTTTCTCAACTCATCATCTCAGCAGCCCCAGTCCTCCCTATGGAAGTGCCCACATAGCCAGTGCTTGAGTGGGCTTTTCAGTCTGTCTTCCAGGCTTGACCCTATCAAAGGTTGCCTCAGAGTCAGGTTGGGAGGTTACCATAAAGCAGCCCAGCCTCAGAAATGGACAAGCCTTTCTGGAAGCCAAGACCAAGTGGAGAGACATGCCACTGAGACAGGACCCAATGGTCTGTCACCAGCTGCCAGAAAGATGGCTCTCCTACATCAAACACTAGGGCAAGATAAACAGCATCCCTAAGACCTTCCCTGGACAGATTTGGGCTGGAGGGCACAATGAGGCCTGACAGTTTCATTCTGGGTTTGCCATGGGTTCTATACAAAGCCAGAAGCTGGGTGGGAAGGGAATCTCCCCAATTACCTGAGACGACTTTGGTAGGCAAAGTAAAATGGGAAATGGGGCAGAAATAGACAGCCAGACTGTCAGCTAAAGCCAGCTCTGGTGAGCCTGAAGTTCGGAGACCCCTGCGCCCCCTGCTGGTCCCTCAGACAGGCTGCTGCCTTTTGGGCTTCCTTCTCCTCAGGGGGCTTTCTGGTCCTTTCTATTTGCCTCTGTATCTGGAATGACTGCTTCACCTCTCCCCATCTCCCCTCACTCGTTTTAATCTTTTCAGTTTCGGACATAGCCTGGAGCTGCTCCCTCTACCCTGCCATGACCCGGCTTCTTCCTTTTTTTTTTTTTTCTTTTTTTGAGACAGTGTCTCACTCTGTCACCCAGGCTGGAGTGCAGTGGCGTGATCTGGGCTCACTGCAACCTCCACCTCCTGGGTTCAAGCAATTCTCCTGCCTCAGCCTCCCAAGTAGCTGGGACTACAGGTGCGCACCACCACGCCTGGCTAATTTTTGTATTTTTAGTTGAGATGAGGTTTTACTATGTTGGGCAGGCAGGTCTTGAACTCCTGACCTCAGGTGATCTGTCCGCCTTGGCCTCCCAGAGTGTTAGGATTACAGGCGTGAGCCACCGCACCTGGCCCCAGCTTCTTCCTTTCTAACAAAAACCTGAGTCTGACCAAATCTCTCTCTCTCTCTTTTTTTTTTTTTTTTTTTTTTTGGTAGTATATGAGCCATCCTCTTCAAGAAGCCTGGAAACCCTGCTTCCCCACCTACAGGCATGCCCCTCAGGACTGTGAAAGTGGCAGCTTTCCTCTCCCTGCCTCAGCCATCACTTCAGAGCAGGCTACTGCTGCTGCCTCCCAGAGGGGCTTGCAGCCTCCAGCTCTTGCTCCTCCCCTCTGTCTCTAGCGCTGCAGAAACAGATCTTTTATAGGGCCTTTGAGGTTGGCCCCACTAGCTTTCTCATGACAGCCCTCCACTATGCTCCAGATTGGTCCAGGAATACTCTCTTTCTCTTTCCAAATCCTGTCCACTTAGCACGTTCTGATAACTCCAGTGTTCACACTCCAGCCCATCTCCGCCATGCCCTCCCCTGAGGCTCCTGCTGCCAGGCCACTGCTATGCCATTGTCTCTTGAGTGTGTTTGTCTTCTGAGATTGGAAGCACCAGGAGGTCAACATCTTCCACCTCCCATAAGGCCAAGGGCAATGCCAGGCTCCCAATGTGCACTCAAAGGATCATTTTGAATGCTGCTCCTCTCCTAATGACCTCCTGGCCCCACCTCAGAGTTCTTTGGGGTGTGGCAGGGCCGGGATGTGGCTGGGTCTCCCAAGGCTGTCATTGTCAGGTCACTGCAGAAGGAGGAGAGATATGGGGACATTTTCTAGAAAGGGTGAGAACAAGAGGGAGATTGGGTGAGGGAGGGAAGACCACTCAGGGATGAGATCCCTGGGTGTTAGTCACCACACTAGTGGGGAAGCCCATGCGGGACTTGGAGGATGTGGATCCAGGGGAAGCCCCCAAATCTCATAGTTGCTTTGTTCTATCGTCTCTCCCCATGCCTTCAAAGGCGGCCTGCCTTCCCAGTTCCCAGCCTCCCGCCAGATTCTTGCGTGACCTCGGGCGGCACCCAGTGCTGCTGTGGACAGCTCATTCCGCCGCGGCGGCGGCTGCGGCTGCGGCGGCTACAACGGCTCCCGGCGTGTCCCCGGCGCCGCCAGGGGGCGAATGGGGTGCCCGCCGGCTCCTCGGACTCCGGGCGCGCCGGCACTGCGCTCCGGAGAGGCCCGGCCAGGGAAGAAGCAACTTCCCTCCGCCGCCGCAGACCAGCCGGGCAGAGACTTCCAGCCCCACCCTCAAGCCCTCTCGGTGGCTCTGTGCGCCCAGGCCTAGGGGTGGGGGGCCGTAGGTGCTGCGCGCCCGCACAGGTGGTCAGGCCGTCAGCATGCCTGGCTCGTCGCGCACAGAACACTGCCCAGGGGTTCACCCAGCTCCCCTCCCTCCCCTCCGCTGCCCTCCTGGCAGCTCCAGCTCTGCTCTCGCGGCTTTCCAGGTTTTGGGGTGGGTGATTGAGTAGGCCGCACCTGGGACACTGTGACTGGAGGACGCCGGAATTTAAGGAGGGGACGAGGGAGACGCAGCTCTGTTTCTCGCTGTACCCCCTCACCCCTCCGAAGCAGCCGCGGGCGGTGCGCAGGCCGTTCTCTGCGTCCTCGGGCTCTGGGTGAGGCTGGGTGCAGCGGGAGAGACCCGGGGCGAGCTGCTGGGGGCTGTGTGGCCGGCCCCAAGCTGGCCGCGCGCACACGCTGCGCACCTGTTGGAGCGGGCCTCTGCCTGTTCGGACCCGAGCCGGGCCTCCACGACACAGTCCCCTTGGGCGGCGAAACGGCCACATCTAGCTTTAGGTTTGAAAGGAAAACAAAATAGGGGGAAAAAAGTGGGTTTACAGTTGCATACATGGACTCTCTGGGTCAGCTCTTGATGAGGACCAAATATCAGTAGGTCTTTTGGGGCTGCAGCCAACAAGCTGGCAGCTGAGGACAGAGACCTGCTCCCTGGCCTTGGCACTGCTGGAGATCTTTCAGCTTGATGAGATGCAGTTTTCACAGAAAAATTCTGTTCCTTAGAACCCAAGTGAGTCTTTCTCAAAACTGCCAGAGTTGGTGATAAACCTGTGTTAAAAAAAAAAAAAAAAAATTCCCCTGTGTGTCCACATACTAGCCAGTATCCACTCCAGGTAAAAGTTTCTACCATTGAGTAAAAGGAAGTTATGTTTAGGAAGTTTTTGAAACAGCCCCTCTCTACTTGTCTGCTAGTTAATCACCCACATTTTGTTTTGGTTTGGTTTGGTTAGATTTGGTGGGGTTTTTTTTATTTGTTTTCGTTTTTTGCAACTTAAAGCAAGAATTAAAAGTTAATTCTGAAGCTTCACATATGCTTTGGCTTCAAATCCTAACATTCAGCACAGGTTTCCACATGGGGAGTGCCAGGTCTGACATCTGTGTCAGTCCTTATTTTGATTCAGGGTTGGTTAGATAGATGCTCAAATCATTGAGGGAGGGAAGTCCTGGATGAGGGCACTGCACTGCCCACCAGGGTGTCCATGAGACACTTTATAACCTAAGTGTCTTTCAGACTCTGAGGTGTGGGACTGGGTTGCAAACTCCAGACATTAACTTTCTTTAGCATCTGGAACCTGGGTCCTAGGAGACTATTTCCTCCTTACTTCATCCAGACATCAAAAATAGACCCAGCAATTGATCCCATGTTTAGAGGCCCTCAGTGACTCTGCATCCCCAAGGGGAGCCTCATCTCCCAGGACACAGCACTGACACTCTGCAGACAGTACAGGGGATCTACTCCAAGCCCAGGGCAAGACCCCACACCCACTCCCTCTGTCCTTCAGTTCCCGTATGTGTCTTAGACTCCCTGGCCCTGCAAAGGCAAGGAGTGACCTGAAGTCCAGAGCCTCACATGACCACAAGACCCTCAGGTCTAAAGAGTGGCACTTGTTGGAGCCCTGCTCCTGTCCCCACCCTTAGGAGGCTCTGGGAATGGGGTGGGGGAATAGCCTGTGTGGCCATGGCCTCTGGCTCTGGCTTAGACTACTACCTTGCTGCAGTATTGTGTCTTCCTCAAATTTTCTCATAGGTGAGTGCTTACCAGGAGTGGCTCCCACAGAGCTTCCCCATTCACCCAAACCTGTCTGGAAGAGCACCCCAGTTCAGCCACCCAAACCTCACCTCTCACCCTCTTCCAGTTAGCACTGCCTTTTCTCCTTATCCCTGCCAGGGACCCCTTTCTTCCCAGGAGAGATACCCAAATTGTGAGTATCCCACACAATTTAATGGGAACCTACTTTGTGCCAGGCACCAGGCCACGGGTTGTGGATGCAAAAACAAACAAGAAGCAATTACTGCCCTCCTAGAGCTCATGGTGGTTGATGGGGAAATTTATTCCTTTATTCATTCATTCACTAAAATGTACACTGAGCACCTACTGTGTGCTACGCCCTGGGGAGTGCTAAGTTCTTAGGTAGACAGCGATGAAGACAAGTATAGGATTCTGGGGATTCTGCCATCCTTAGAATGCCACCGTGTAGAGTCATGGTTTATAGGGGACACAGACATTAATCAAACCACTTGGCAAGCAGAGAATTATAAGCCATGATAAAGAGAATCACAGGATGCTTTGAGCACCTATAGAAAGGCCAGGAGACAGGAAGCCCGGCTGAATGGGAAGGACCATGGGAGGTGCAGGAGCCAGGCATATACCTGGTAGAACTTGGCTTGGTGCTTATCTTCCTCCTGAAACATGACCCTAGACCCTTGAGAACGTCCCTTCCTGTGCCCTATCCCTCATTCCCCACACCGAGAAAATCTGCCAGCCCCTCTGCATGGCCCCTCCCTCTCTGAGGATACCCGGGCATCTCTCCTTGCTTCCTGTTGATTGGTGGCAGGAGGTTCTAGTGCCCCGCATGGTCACTGACTGAAGTTTTCAGGCCAGCTAAGGGGTGGGGCTTCAGGCTTGTGCGGCCGCTGAGTCCCAGCCTTCTGTGTTCCATGGACCATGGGAGGAGGAGCTGGGATTGGGGCATTTAATGAAAGAACTCCTAGGAGAGGAGTGATGAGGTTTGGCACATTGACATTCACACACCCCACCCACCCCCAGCCTCCACTCCACTGGTTCTCTGGCCTTCTCATTTTTTTTTTTTTTTTGTTTTTTTTTTTTTTTTGGAGACAGAGTCTCTCTCCATCACCCAGGCTGGAGTGCAATGGCACAATCTCGGCTCACTGAAAGCTCTGCCTTCCGGGTTCATGCCATTCTCCTGCCTCAGCCTCCCGAGTAGCTGGGACTACAAGCGCCCACCAGCACACCCGGCTAATTTTTTGTATTTTTAGTAGAGACAGGGTTTCACCGCGTTAGCCAGTATGGTCTCGATCTCCTGACCTCGTGATCCGCCTGCCTCGGCCTCCTAAATTGCTGGGATTACAGGCTGGCCTTCTCATTTTTAAGGCCTGGCTAGGATAAGTTCCCCACCCCTGTCCCTCAGAAGAATGGCAGGGCCTGGGCAGCAGAGCCCTGGGCCTGGGACCCATCCAACAAAATGGCTATTCCAGACGCCTGGTCCTGCCTGGCTTTGACTTCTCATCCACTCTACACTGTGACATGGATCTGGGTGGGGCAGGCTGCTCTGCTTCCAGGTAAGGACTGTGCCACCCACGCAGCCAAAGACCACCTTGGGAATACCAGTACCTGGGCAAGAGATAGCCCCTGCAAGGCCCACCCACCATAGGCTGGCTCAGAGAAGGCTGAGGATCCCTGTGTTCTCCCTGAACAGGGGTACAGGGCCCCTCAGCAGGGCCAGCTCCTCACCAGGGTGCCAACCCATGGCTGGTGGCTGGGAGGAGGGTGCTATGCAATGCTGGGAGCTTGACCCAGGCCTCAGCCTTAAGGAGCAAATGTGTCCAGGGCCACCAACTGGCCTAAGTCCTTGGGCATAGCCTCTGTCTCATGCCTCTTGATCTCACCAGGGGGGATCTCCAGGGTGGCCCGCCTGGGAATGCCTGTCCCTCAGCTGGCACACAAGTACCCATGGCAGTGCCGCAGGTTATCCAGCAGCAGCCACAACAGATAAGGCAGCCTGCCACCTCAGGCAGCCGTGGTCTCTGTTTTGCTTCCTTTTCTCTTTAGGATGAGACTGATGAGGGTGGGGTGGGGATTAACCCTTGAGTTGCTATACGTAGTTTGGCCCAAGCCTAGGACTTTGGGAAGTGCTTTATATCACTGCTTTCTTCCTGTGGCCCTGGCCTTTGCAGATGTGGGTCTCTCGGCCTCCCCTTCTGCCAGAAGCCTTCCCTTCTGCCAGACACTCCATATTCAGGGTGGCCACAACACTGGTCTGGTTGGTGCTGAGACCCCAGCACAGAAAAAGGGGCCTCCTCTGCTCCTGGTGTCATTGCCCATGAGCCATTTCTGTGGAGAGAAAAGTTTGAGAATCCTCTTTGGAAAGCCTGAAGTGTGGCACCGAGCAAAGGTATGATCCTTGTTCTCACCTTCCTGGCCCTGCATTCATCCCATTCCATCCCTGCTCTCTAGTTACAGGAACACCCTATGGCCTCCAGGCCAGTGCATTTGGTCCCTGGTAGGCAGGGCTGCCTGCCTGCCTGAGTTTCCCACATGGGAAGATGCAGCAAGACCTCCCCAAGCTTTTGGAAGAGGCAAGGACAGCAGCTGGGCCATCTGGCACTCTGGGCAGGGGGTGGGGTCCAGAAAGGGGTGGCAGACCCTGCTCAGAACCCAGTGGCTACCTTTCTCGTCTCATTTGAGCTCACTGAGCTCCTCTCTAAGGTACTGTAAATGTTAAACAAATTCAGACTCTGTTAGGTTGGACAACATTAAAGTATCCTGGATAGATGCTTGAAACGCAGCAAGGGACAGATAATAAGAGTAATACTACCATTTACTGTTCACTGTGTACATGCATGAATTTTATTATATAATCCTTTAAAATTAATTCGTTATTTAATCCCATTTAATTGTTTAATCCTTACAACTCTCTAAAAGATATGTGCTGTTGTTATCCCCATTTTATAGCTTATGAAATGAGGCTCAGAAAAATGGAGTCACTTGCCCAAGGTCACACAATACAGCTAGTTAGGATTAAAATTGAGGCCGGTCTGCTTCTAGGGTTCATACCCTCCATCCCCGCTGCATACCACACTCCTAAGCCCCTGAGCTGGGAGAGGGAGGGGCATTGGAGGAAAAGGGTGGGTGCCATGCTGGTCTCTGCCCTCACCCAAATTCCTTCTGTCTTCACACAAATATCTGCCAGGCCTTGGGGATGATGACCTGAGGGTGGGGCAGTAAGGCCTCCAGATGTCAGGGCAAAGTGGTGGCCACTCTCCTGCTGTCAGGTTCCATGTTTCTGATGGCTAATAACCCCAGACACCTGGGTTATCGGTCTCTGCTCCCCACCTTGGGCCTAGGTAGTGATTCCAGGGATGTGGACCCCTGGAACCTGGCAGGCAGCCAGCATAAGACCAAGGACAGACCCATAAAACCAGAGGTGCCCTCTGAGTCCAAAACCAAACACAACCACGTGCACAGCCGCTCATTTGTTCCAGGAGTTTCCCCTACACACCACGGACATAAATCCCAGAGTACCCCATGGCTTCCGCATTGTGGAGAGGTGTGGCCCTAGGGAGGGAGTGGGGTGGGGACAAGGGATATGGAATGGTTGCAAATAGAAAGCCAAGCCAGACTCCAGAGCTGCCCTCCAGCCTCCGGAGGCAACCACAGACCTTCAGGAAAGAATAGAGCCCCTTGTTGAGTGTGGACAGGGGGAGGGAAGGGGCTTGTTATGTCCTTATAGCCACTCTAAGAAGGTGCTGTTATTGTCTGTTTTCCAGAAAAGGAAACTTGGGTCAAGGGTTCTTAGCTGGCAAGTGGCCCCACACTTAACTCATCTCCTGTACCACCTCCCTCAGCCCTCATCAGGTTATGACAAGGGGGGGTGAGCTTGGGTAGAAGGGGAAGGAGGCCTAAAATCCAGGACTTAGAGAGGAGAGAGGCAGTCTCAAGTGTGGGAAAAGCACTTGCTAACAGGAAGTCTCCCCACTCCACCCGCAGGTAAACAGTGTAACCACCACTCATTGGTCCATTCAATGTGAGCATCTGCCCCATGCAGGTCTTATGAATCAAGGCTCAGAGATGACACCATCCCTATCCATAGGCAGCTGAAGTGATGAGAGGGGACAGACACTTTGCAACACAAGTACTCTGGAGACAGCATAATGCGTGCCAGATCCAGGAGCACAGGGAACTTGGAGAGTGCAGCGGAGGGGCAGCCAATGCAGCTTGAGTCGTGGAGGGGTCAGCAAGGCTCCCTGGAGGGGTCTGAAAGACAGAATAGAAATAAGTGAGGCAAGAGGGATGACGGGTGTAGGGGAGGGCTTTCAGGCAGAGGGGACAAATGAGCAAGGCCCCGGGGGGCCTAAGGCATGTGAGGGCTGCTAAGAAAGGTGGGTGCGGTAGGCAGAGGCAAGAGGGGAGTCCTGTGGGTGGGCTGGCCAGAAATCACAGGCCCTTAAGGCAGGAGGAACCTGGCACAGCCAGACCCTCGGACAATCTCCCTAGGCCAGCACAACCACATCGCTGCGAACTGGACCGGGAACATTCCAACCTAATCGCAGCTCAGATCAGCGAGCTCCGGAGGCTCCACACATTGGGGCCGAACTCCACCCAGGGTGCCTGCCACTTTTGGGTAGGGGGGCGGGTGGGGGGCAGCCTGCTCTCTCACCAGGCCAGGCAGCAGCGGGGACTTCCAGATCCTCAAGGATTCTCCAGACCGTTGTCTGGAGACCCAGAGTTTTTTCCTCTCCAGCTTCTGGGGCAACTTGGTGGGGCAGAGGGGTGGCCCCACCTGTGGGAGGGACTGAAAAGATCCTGCCTCAGGACCAGGACTTTGGTGATCCCAGTTCTCAAGGACCCCCTGCTCAGGCTGCTATTATCCAAAAGGGCCGAGGGTCAGGATTTCAGCCCCAGCCCGGGCCCAAGCCTGCACTGTTGCCTCTACCAGGTCCAGCCCTGTCCTGCGCCCCACAGAGCGGAAGGACACAGGCCAGGATATGGGCACAACAGCCCCCAGTCCGGAAGTGAGTGGTCAGGTGGCCAATGGGACCGCAGACTCTGTTGTTGTGTAATAGTTTTTATTTATTAAGCTTCTTTTATTTAATAAAACTTTTATTAAAGCTTCTATTCTTCTATTACGCAAACAGAGAGCAGCTCTTTTCCTAAGGGAGTGGCAGGGCATGGGGACAGATGTCTTAAATATACTACCCAATGTCACCAATTTCAACTTGACAATGAAAAGACAGAGAGCGGAAGGAAGCCCCTTCCTCTTTATGCACTGGAGCGCTTCCTCCATCTCCTCACCCCTCCCCCAGCCCCCTCCCTCCTCCTCTCTCTCTCTCCTTGGCATAAGAAAGCAGGTCTCTGGCATTGGCAAAGAGAAAAGTTAAAGGCAGAGAAGCAGTGAGAGGAAGGGAGGAGAAATCAGGCAGCCTGTAGCTAAAGGGTCCCCATCCCACCTTGCAGGCTAGCCAGGACACCTTGCATTCTGGTAAGGTGGGGGTGGGGTGCCGGGGATGAGGTAGGAGATGGTGACTCTCCCTTGCAGGACATCTGATCTTCTTGCATCAGGCCCAAGGACCTGGTGTCATCATTAGTGGGACCAGGCAGGGAGGAAGGTTCCCCAGCGGACCTAGCTGACCGTCCCCTGGAGGCCAGCCAAAGTGTGCGTGGCCACGGCTCAGAATTTGCATCAGTAACAGCACCAGCAGCCCCTGCAGCGGCAAGGGAGATCATTTATCCAGTGCTTGCTATGTGTCCGGCCCTGTGCTTAAGTATTTTTCATTCATTATCTTTTTTAATCCAACCAAACCTCAGGAGAGTTTATTAATTCCATTTAACAAATGAGGCAACTGAGGCTCAGAGAATTTAAGAGGCCTCTAATTAGGGCAGTCCTTTTTGCACTCTGCAACCCATCTGACCTCTTCCTTCTCAAGCCCTGGTCTGCAGCCCATCCTTCCAGAGCTGGAGAGGAGGCAGGACAGGCTCAGGAAGGTTCTACTTTTTCCCTACTCTCACAGCCCCCTACTTCCACCTGTCCCATAGCTGTTTAATTCCATTGTCTCAAAAATGAGGGCTGCTTGGGTTTTCATGGGGAGGGAGCAGACAGCAGGGCCAGTGCACCCTGGCACGTGGGAAGGGGCCTGAGCCCAGCTTGGCATACTGACCTGGCACGGCCTGGCTAGCATCGTCGTCCCACACGTCAGAGTAGCCATGGTCGCTTTTGTTAGCTGGGATTACTGCATTCAGGAGGGAGGAGGAGAGAAAGGAGGGGTCCCAGGCTGAGGTGGGAAAGGGAGGGGGCGCCACAAACTCCTAGGGGTGAGAGTGAGCAGAGATTTGTGGCTCAGGCTGGCAAGAAAGACTTGCCAGGGCTCCGTTAGTGGCCTCAGCCCAACTCCAAGCCCCTGGGACTCAGTTACTCCCTGCCCCGAGTGGCTTTCTCTTCCTCCCCACTCCTGCTTGCTCTGCCTCCATCATGGCTGGGGCAACTGGGACCAGCGGGAGCCCTGCCTGACTCCCACATTTAGAAAAAGAGGATGTGTACTCCACCCTCAGCCCCAGAAAGATTTACACCCATCTGTTGAATCCATGAAAATATGACTGAACAGGAGCCCAGCTTCTTCCCAGGCAGCCACTGATCTCTTCCCTCCCTCACCTCCTAGGAGCACAGGCTTTGCAGTCAAAGAAACTTGGCTTCAAATCCCGACTCCTCTGCTTTTTAACTGTGGGACCCTAAGCAAGTTAGTTCACCTCTCTGGGTCTCAGGTTCCTTATCTCCAAACTGGCAGAATCCTGTGACAAAGGAGCTATAAAAGATAAAGGCCTATATAAAAGAATATATAGTCCGGGCACGGTAGCTCCCGCCTGTAATCCCAGCAGTTTGGGAGGCTGAGGCGGGTGGATAACCTGAGGTTGGGAGTTCGAGACCAGCCTGACCAACGTGGAGAAACCCCGTCTGTACTAAAAATACAAAATTAGCTGGGCGTGGTGGCACATGCCTGTAATTAGCTGGGCGTGGTGGCACATGCCTGTAATCCCAGCTACTCGAGAGGCTGAGGCAGGAGAATTGCTTGAACCCAGGAGGCGGTGGTTGCGGTGAGCCGAGATTGCACCACTGCACTTCAGCCTGGGCAACAAGAGCAAAACTTTGTCTCAAAAAAAGAAAGAATACATAATAACACTAATGTTTGTCAAGTGCCCATTATGTGCCAGGACGTTTCGTGTATTATCTCACTAAGTCCCCCAAAACACTCGATGAGGTTGGTGTTATTATTATTGCTCCCATTTTATAGGCAAGCAAACTGAGGCTTAGGTGAAGAAATTTGCCAAAGCTGCCAAGCCTTAGAGCTGCGATACGTGCCCAGGACCCAGATAACATAGCTTATGCTCTCAGCTCCCCTGACGTGCTGGTGGCTGGTGCGTCTGGTTGCCTGGAACCACGGGTTTGCACCCTATCCCACCCAGAATGCTGACCCCAGGGAGTCATCCCAGGATCCCTTCATCCCAGGCCTTTTTGAACCCATGGCAACTTCTCCTGGCCACCTCCCTAAGACTTTTCCTCTTCCCCCAGGGCTGGGGCCAGGGTTAGGGGCTGCGACTTGACATTGTGTGTATATGTGTCCAGGTAACGCTAGTGGGGGCAGTAGACCCCAGGAGGAGCCTGTGTACTTAGGGTGTGTTGGTTTTTAATCTTCTCCCATCTGACCATTTGACTGGGCCAGGAAGAGCCTGAGGACCGGTTGGGTCATCACAGCATTCCCCAGGGCTGGTTGCTTTAAGGGAGGGATTTTCTTGGATAGCTCCTCTTCCTCCTCCTTCAGCTCCCAGTCCAGAAGTCACTTCCTCAGGGAATGTCGTAGACCAGGCCCTGTCCCCTATCACAGTTAAAAAAAAATGCCCTTTTCCCCCATTTTGCTTTGATTAACATCTCCCCCTGTGCTCCAACCCCATGTGCTTCTTGTGAACAGGGAGAAGATGACTCTATTCACCACCATCCCCAGGACCTGGTAAAGCACCATGCCTGTTAAACAAAGGAATTAACTAATGGGCTTGCCTGGGCCCACAGTGTCCCAGGAAGGCTAAGAGGATGTCCCCCCAGCAGCGATTGCAGCAGAGACAGATCTGACCTCTGCCACCAGGAGAGAGGAACAGGCCCTACCAGCCTCAGCTTCCTGGACCAGTTGATAAGAGAAATCAAACCCAGAGAACTGCCAAGGGGCAGGTACCAATGGAATATCCTCTCAGCCCCAGACCCCTCACCTCAGCTGGTACCTGCCTGGAGCACTTGGGCTATACAGCCTCAGTGAAGGTTCTTTCTCCAACAGCAGCAGCAGCAGCAGTAGTAGTAGTAGCAGCAACAGCAGCAGCAATAATAGTAATAATAGTAATGACGAATATTCCCGGAGTGCTTACTGGGTCCCCAGCCCTGGGCTAAGCATCTTCCATGAATTCTCTCTCAGAACCCTCACAGTGGCCTTAGAAGATAAATGCCATGTTTGTCCCCATTTTGCAAATGAGGAGACAAGCTCGGAAAGGTTGATGCGTGCAAAGTCGCCCACCACATGAGGGGACAATGAGATCGTGAAGCCAGGTGGCTAGAGCCCAGACCAGATGTCTTAACCTCAAAGCTTTTCTGCCTCTGGGGCCTGCCTCTCTAATGTGATAGTTTGGGCCAGGTGCAGCCTGCTAAGTGGGCCTACCTGAATTCACACATGCTGAATTCTCAGGGACCAGAAGCCCACCTCCACCCGCATTGCTCAATTGGGCACTCCTTCATTTATTATGTTTATAATATTATCAGTATTAGGTATTACTGAATACCTACTATGTGCCAGATACTCTACTGTATTGTCCTTAGTGGACAAATTAATGCAACAAAACTAGACCCAGTCCCTGCTCTCGCAGAGTATATTCTAGTGGAAAATAATCAAACAAATGTGTCCAGTTACAAACGGATACATGCAAAGAAGGAAAACTAAAGCTGGCTCTGAGGGAGAACAGGGAAGGCATAATTTAGACTGGGGGACCAGGGAAGTCCTTTCAGACGTGACGTTTATACACTAACACAACCCATCAATCAGCCAATTGATTAATGCAGGCTAGAGAGGCAGTCAGGGTTCCACTTGCTGTGACTTCCGGAGTAAATAGGTTTCCCCTTGGTTTTCCACCCCCATTCAAGGAAAAAAAATAGGGCTGCAACCCACGGCCATTTTGCCGTTTGCTAAGGGAAGAGTCCCTAAGATTCCAGATTCCTGTGACCTCAGAGTAAAGGGTGAGGGAAAGTATAATCTGACTTGGTTTTTTGTTTCTCTTGGATAAAACAGGAAGGGCAGGGTTCCCCCACGCCCTGATCAGTGATTGAGCCGCCAGCCCCGGGCCTCCCTCCCTGCACTCAGAAATGTGGTGCTCTGTCGCCACCTGGTGGACCTAATAGACGATGCCGCAGCAGCCCAGCCTCCAGCGTCTGGGGTAGGATCCAGAAAGCGGCTTCCTTCAGGCAGAGTCTAATACGGAGGCAATAGGTTTGGGTGACTTCCTGACAGGGGGCGGGGGGTGGGGGTGGGAGAAAGAGTGAAGGGTGGATGGGGAACGGCTGCTTGAAAGTCAACTGACTGGAGAACGACAATGGCCCCATTGTGACCAGGGCCTTGACCTTGATTTCCTGCCACTCTCATCTCCGGAGTGGCATCACCCGGGTCTGATTGGACGGGAGTCCGCTCCGTGACAGTGGGCGGGCTCCGGGGCTGGACACTTGCCCAGCTCCGGGACTCCCGGCTGGCCCAATCCCCCAGGAGACCCAGGGAAGACGGATAGGGCAAGGGGCCGACGCCTCTGAGAAGTCGTTTCCTCCTTCCTCTCTACCATCCAAGTGTGGGGGCAGGCCGGGCGCGGGGGCTCACGCCTGTAATCCCAGCACTTTGGGAGGCCGAGGCGGGCGAATCACTTGAGGCCAGGAGTTGGAGACAGGACTGGCCAACATGGTGAAACCTCGTCTCTACTAAAAATACAAAAAAAAAAAAAAATTAGCCGGGCATAGTGGCGCGTGCCTGTAATCCCAGCTACTTGGGAGGCTGAGGCAAGAGAATCGCTTGAACCCGGGAGGCAGAGGTTGCAGTGAGCCTAGATCGCGCCACTGCACTCCAGCCTGGGCGACAGAGCAAGACTCCGTCTCAAAAAAAAAAAAAAAAAAAAAACTCGGGTGTGGTGGCGCATGCCTGTAATCCCAGCTACTCGGGAGGCTGAGGCAGGAGAATCGCTTGAACCCGGGAGGTGGAGGCTGCAGGGAGCTGGGATAGCGCCGCTGCACTCCAGCTTGGGCGACAGAGTGAGACTCCGTCTCAAAAAAAAAAAAAAGCCAGGCGCGGTGGCTCACGCCTGTAATCCCAGCACTTTGGGAGGCCGAGGCGGGCGGATCACGAGGTCAGGAGATCAAGATCATCCTGGCTAACACGGTGAAACCCTGTCTCTACTAAAAATACAAAAAATTAGCCAGGCGTGGTGGCGGGCGCCTGTAGTCCCAGCTACTCGGGAGGCTGAGGCAGGAGAATGGCGTGAACCCAGGAGGTGGAGCTTTCAGTGAGCCTATATCGCGCCACTGCACTCCAGCCTGGGCAACACTGCAAGACTCCGTCTCAAAAAAAAAAAAAAAAATGAGGCAGGCACGGGTCTCCCTTTGAAAGGCTGTGCAGCCTCGTGGTCAAGGCCTGGGATGTGCAGTGTGTGAGGTGTGGCCCCAAATTAGTTCTGGGATCCTTGGACACAGTCTTCAGCATCACCCACTTTTTAAAAGAAATGTCACAGGCATGGTTACACATTCCCACTGTAAAAAAAATCGCGCAATACAATGAAAAGCTGAAGCTCCCCCCTTGACCACACTCACCCTTCCTCAGGTACCTACTGTTGTTAGTTTGTGTTGTTGTGTAGTTAGTGTCAATGTGTACACTGACCTCATTCAATTGTATTTATATTCGAGTGTGTACATATGAAAATGTGTAAGCTCACGCCTATAATCCCAGCACTTTGGGAGGCTGAGGCCGGCAGATCACCTGAGGTCAGGAGTTCAAGACCAGCCTGACCAACATGGAGAAACCCCCCATCTCTACTAAAAATACAATATTAGCCGGGCGTGGTGGCGCATGCCTGTAATCCCAGCTACTCAGGAGGCTGAGGCAGGAGAATCACTTGAACCCGGGAGACGGAGGTTACGGAGAGCTGAGATTGCACCATTGCACTCCAGCCTGGGCAACAAGAGTGCAACTCTGTCTCAAAAAAAGGAAAAGAAAATGTATAATTTGGTATTACTTTGTGGGCCTCAGTTTTCTAATCTGAAAATTGGGATGACAAAGATAGTAAACTGTAGAGTTCCTGAGAAGGCTGCCTGAGATAATTAGTGTGCTGTGTTTAGCACTGCACTTGGCACACAGTGTCTGCTATTATTGTTGTCATCATTACCATCTTTATTGTCATTATCACTGGGCCCCAGACCTAATTCTGACATCTGAATAGACATCCTTCACAACCTCTACTCCCCCTTCTCCCTCCTTCCTCCTAACAGACTGATAAAAACCTGTGTTCCCTAATGCCTTTGTTTTTTGAAGAAGCTATAAAGAGCATCCGGTGTTTTCTGCATGTTCTCCCTCTTCCCTCCAGGTCCCTCACTCCATCCCCTTCTTTTCCCTCCCATATTTGACCTAGATGCAACCACTCACCCCACTGCAGAGACAGAGAACCTTCCCATTCTCAGCCAGAGAAAGACATCCATGGCCTGAATGGTGCTGCTGGACCCACAGTGACTCTACATAAAGGCTGTCCCTAGGTAGGGGTAGAGCTAGTGGCTGAAGGGGAGGAGGAGGACTCTGAAAGAGGCCTCCTGTGGAGCAGGTAAGCATCAGAGCACCCTAGGGTGCAGCCAAGGGCAAGTCATCCCACCTTTCTGAGCCTCAGCTTCCTCACTTGTACAATGGGGCTACTAAAAATAGCTACTGCATTCAATTGCTATAAGGATGGCATAGTGCCTGAAAAGGGACCTGGCGTTGAGAAAGCCCCTAATAAATAATAGTTATTATTATATTGTAAAACAAAGTGTCATGTTTATTTAGCATTTTAAGTTTGCAAAGGAAATTACCAACATCTTTCTTTTTTCAAAAAGAAACAAAAGGAGCTAGTCTTTCCACCATGGGGAAGAAAGTTTGGTTTTGATTTATAAGTCTCAGAAGAAAGGTAGATGACTTTACCTGGGCCTCTGTGGAAGCATCCAGATGCCACTTCCTGGAGCTGTTGCTGGTCCCTCTGTATTGCCTGTGTTTTGCCATATTTTAAAATTATGTATATACATAGGCATATATTTGCTGAACAATTTGCAGATAAGTTGTAGACACTTTGACACTTTACCTCTAAAACTTTAACATATACCACCTAAGAATGTATGGACATGTGATAAGCATATATTATCACACCTAAGAAAGTTGACAATAATTCCCAAATGTCATCTAATGCTCATCCATTTGCAAACTATCCCAGTTAAAAAAAAAAAGCCTTTTATAGTTTTTTTATCCATTAGTTGTATTTCTAAACTTTTGATTTTGAAATAATTATAGATTCATACGAAGTTGCAAAAATAATAGTCTCCTGTACCCTTCTTCCAGTGTCCCCCCGTGGTGACATCTTATTACTTAAAAGTAATTTTAGTTTTTGCCATTGAAGGTAGTGGTAAAAACCGCAATTACTTTTGCACCAACCTACTATCAACTAGGCTACAGACATTATTTCGTTTTCACCTGCATTCATTTACGTGTGTGTGTGTATCTGTGCTCTTTTATCCCATGTGTAGATTCATGTAACTACCACCACAACCAAGACAGATAGCTGTTACATCACCACAGAATAACTCACTAGTGACACTTCTTTGCATTCACATCCACTCCCACTTCATTCCTCCTTGTCTCTCTTTCTATCCCCTGGCAACCATGAATGTGTTCTCCATCTCTGTCGTTTTGTCATTTTGAGATCGTTATATACAGGAAATCACATAGTTATCTAACATTTTTTCTTTTTTCTTTTTTTTTTTTTTTTTTTTTGAGACGGAGTCTTGCTCTGTCTCCAGGCTGGAGTGCAGTGGTGCAATCTTGGCTCACTGCAACCCCCGCCTCCCGGGTTCAAGCAGTTCTCCTGCCTCAGCCTCCCAAGTAGCTGGGATTACAGGTGCGCACCACCACGCCCAGCTATTTTTTGTATTTGTAGTAGAGATGGGGTTTCACTGTGTTGGCCAGGATGGTCTCAATCTCTTGACCTTGTGATCCGCCTGCCTTGGTCTGTATCTAACATTTTTATATTGAATTTTTCCACCAAGAATAACACCCTCAAGGTCCCTTGAAGTTGTTGCACACATTACCAATAGTTCATTCCTTTTTATATGGCTGTACCACAGTTTATACAGTTTATACATTTACCAGTTGAAACACATTTGAATTGTTTCCAGTTGTTGGACAATTATAAAGTCACTATAAACATTTGTGTACAGGTTTTTGTGTGAACAGAAGTATCATTTCACTGTGGGAAAATACCTACAAGTGGGATTGCTGGGTTGTATGGTAAGGGCATATTTATGAGAAATAGCCAAACTCTTGCAAACTGACTATACAAATTTTGCATTCCCACCAGCAGTGTGAAAGCTGCAGTTTCTTTGGATCCCTGCCAGCACTGGATATTACCGCTTCTTTTGTTTTTGTGTTTAGGATTTTAGCCCTGCCCCACTATAGGTGTGTAATGGTACCCCACATAATTTTTTTCTTTTTGGCAGCGTTTCACTCTGTCGCACAGGCTGGAGTGCAGTGGCGCAATCTTGGCTCACTGCAACCTCCACCTCCTGGGTTCAAGCGATTTTCCTGCCTCAGCCTCTTAAATAGCTGGGACTACAGGTGTGTGCCACCATGCCTGGCTAATTTTTGTATTTTTAGTAGACTGGGTTTTACCATGTTGGCCAGGCCGGTCTCACCCACATGACTTTTAAAACATAAATAAGACCAGGTCATAACCCTCTTTTTTTTTTTTTTTTTTTTTTTTTTGAGACAGGGTTTTGCTCTGTTGCCCAGGCTGGAGTGCAGTGGTGTGATCATAGCTCACTGCAGCCTCAACCTCCTGGGCTCAAGTAATCCTCCCACCTCAGCCTCTCAGCCTCACAAGTAGCTGGGACTACAGGTGCACACTGCCACACCCAGCTAATTTTGGGGTTTTGGGGTTGTATTTTTTTAGAGATGGGGTTTCACCATGCTGCCCAGGTGTGTCTCAATCTCCTGAGCTCAAGCAATTTGCCCACCTCAGCCTCCCAAAGTGCTGGGACTACAGGCATGAGCCACTGTGCCCGGCCTATAACCTTTCTTAAATACTTCGAGTGGCTTCCCATCACACTCAGAATAAAATTCAAACTCAAAGGGCCTGCCAGGCTGCCTCTCCTGATCTCTTATGCCTCTTCCCCTCACTCTGCTCCAGCCACAGTGACTTCCTTGTTTCTCTAATGCCCTAAGCTTGTTCCTCCCTCAAGTCTTTCACCTGCGGTTCCCTCCACCTGGAATGTTCTTGCCCTGGGTATACACATGGCTCAGTTCCTCATTTGGTTCTGTCTAATGTCAGCTCCTCAGAGGCCTTCCCTGGTGGTCAAAATGAGCCCCATCCCTGCGCTCACCCTCGGTTCCCTTATCCTGTTTTATTTTCTTCATAGCACTTATTTCTCCTTGATATAATATTATATCAATTGTTGACTTGCGTCCTGTCTGTCTCCCTATAAGGACAGGGCTTGGCTTTTTGATGGCTATCTCCAGTGCTTAACACAGTGCTTGGCATATAGAAGGAAATAATATTTGTGGAATGAATGTGTATGGGAAACCTCTTGTAACCCTCCTGTCATCCTTTTGGCCCACGTTTTACTCAGCCATCACTGTGGCAACCAGCTTGGAGCAGGTAAACGCACCGAGGCTCAGCTGCTCCACACGGCTCTGCTCTTGCCTTCTGCTGGGGCTTCTCCCTGGACTCCAGTACTGCAAACTGGATGTCTGAGGATGTTAACCCCTTGGGAGTAACCCTGGGCCCTTGGCGGCTGGGGTTGGTGGCTATGTGCTTTCTTCTCTGACACTCAGTGGACAACTAGGAGGTGCACTCTACACTGCTCCTCATCACATCCCAGCTGGGTCAAGCCCCAGCTGCCCACAGTGGTGACCAGCTCTATAACACACCATGGCACTGGCTTTCCCTTGTTCCTACTTCATGAGTCTCCCCAGTCCCCTATTCCTGCTCCCTGGGATCATGTCCTGAATTAACTTGCAAGCATGCTCTTTCTCTGCTTTCTCTACCTGTAAGAAGGTAGCAGGGATAGAGAAGAGCCCAGGTTACATTAGAACAATATATGAAACTTATAGACTAGTAGGAGAGACCAATACAACAAAATTTAAATAACTACAGGTAAAGAGATGGACTTTTCAACAGATGGTGTTGGAATAACTGAATATCCATATGGAATGCAATGCATTTCAATCCTTACTTCATACCATACTCAAAATAAATCAAAGAACTATTAAAAAAAAAACTATAAAACTTCTGGAAGAAAGAAATTCTGCCAGGCACGGTGGCTCATGCCTGTAATCCCAGCACTTTGGGAAGCCGAGGTGGGTGGATCACGAGGTCAGCAGTTCGAGAACAGCCTGACCAACATGGTGAAACCCCGTCTCTACTAAAAATACAAAAACAATTAGCTGGGCATGGTGGCAGGCGCCTGTAATCCCAGTGACTTGGGAGGCTAAGGCAGGAGAATTGCTTGAAACCGGAAGGCAGAGGTTGCAGTGAGCCGAGATTGTGCCACTGCACTCTAGCCTGGGCAATAAGAGCAAAACTCCATCTCAAAAAAAAAAAAAAGAAAGAAAGAAAGAAGAAATTCTTCATGATGGTGGGGTAGGCAGAGATCATAGAAAGAACTTACTATAAAAGGAGGAAAAAGACAGCATTAAAAAGATAAATAGGTAAGTCATACACTAGGAGAAGGTTTTGTAATACATACTTTTGACAAAAGATTTCTATCTGGAACATATAAAGAAATCTAATAACTCAATAGTAAGACCCCAACCAAAATAAAATATGGGCAAAAAAAATTTAACAAATACCTCAAAAAGAAGATATACAAACATCCAATAAACACACATGAAAAGTTGTTCAACATTATTAGCCATTAGGGAAATGTAAATTAAAATCACAATGAGATAACATCACACACTCACTAGAATGGCTAAACTTTAGGAGAATCGGTAATAACGTGTTGGTGACGATGTGGAACAACTGGAACTCTTATATATTGCTGGCAGGAGTGTGAACTGGAACAGTCACTTGGAAAAAAGTTTGGTGGTGTCTTATAAAGTTAAACATATACTTACCAATGCCCAGCAATCTCCATTATAGGTATGGTTGGGATGTGATTTGTCTGTGTCAAAACTCATGTTGAAGTTTGCTTGCCAGTTCTGTCCACTGGGGAGGTAAGGCCTAGTGGGAGGTGCTTGGATCATAGGGGTGAATCCCTTATGAAAATAGGTTGGTGCTGTTGTCCTAGTAGAGTGTTTTCTTGTTGTTGTTGTTGTTCTCAAGAGACTGGATCAATTCTCAAGGAATGTATTAGTTCCTGAGCAAGGGGTTGTAATAAAGTGAAGTTTCTCCTCCTGTTTGATCTCTCTTTGCATACGTCTGCTTCCCCTTTAACCTTTTCTGCCATGTTTTGACCCAGGACAAAAGCCCTCACCAGAAGCCGAGTGGATGCCACTGCCACTTGAACTTCCCAGTCTGCAGAACTGTGAGCTACACCTTTTTATAAATGACCCATCTCAAGTATTCTGTTACAACACCACCAAATGGACTAAGACAAGTATTTATCCAAAGGAAATAAAAATGTATGTCTGCACAAAGATTAGTACATGAAAAATGTCAGAGCAGCTGTATTCATAATAACCAAAAACTGGAAATATCCCAAGTATCCATCAACAGGTGAACAGATAAATTGTGGTATATTCATACAATGGCTTACTACTCAGTAATAAAAAGGAACAAAGTAGTGGTAAGTGCTACAACATGAATACAACTCGAAAACTTTATACTGAAAGATGCCAGATAGAAGCATACATAGCATATTATTACATTTAAATGAAGTTCTAGAACAAACAAAACTATTTTGATTGGCTGGCCTTGAAAAGGTGACATTTGAGCAAGATCTGGATGTCAAGAGGGAGCCAGCTATGGCAAGATCGATGGGGAGCATTCCAGGCAAACAGCACTACAGGAACAGGATCAGGAAAGAGCTTGTTGAGCTTGGAAACAGTCAGCAGGCCACAGTGACTGCGTGAAGTAGGTGGGGCAGAGAATGGTGGGGGACAGGGTGGAGAGGTGGATGGGAGCCAGATCATGCCAAGCCTTATCAGCCCTGATAAAGTTGTGGAATTTGATATGAATAAAATGCAAATCCCTCATAGTTTTGTGGGGCGGAAACACATAAGCAAATAAAGGCAATTCAGGGTCATGGGTGATATATTTGGGGAGTGTACAGGGAAAGAGGAGTAGTAGGCATTAGGGACATCTGAGAAGGCTTCCCAGAGGAGGTGACATTTCGGCTGAGACTGGAAGAGTAGTAGAAGAGGGGAAAGGTCATTCTGGTGGAGGGTACTGTGCCTACAGAAGCTCAGAGACATGTAGCCTCAGGGAACATTCAGAGACCTCAGCATAATATAAGCCTAGTTGGAGTGTTCCCAACTAGGAGAGGGAGTGGCAGGAGATCTGAGGCTGAAGAGAGTGGCTTTGAATGCTTTGTCAGACTTGATCCTGCAGGGAATGGGAAACCCCTGCAGAATTTATAGTCAGGAAGTATCAGGGCCAGGTTGACACTTCAGATCAAGATCTCCAGATTGGCAGGCAGAGAGCAAGGCCACTGGTTCTAGTGTGAGATAATGGGGGACTGGGCCTGGGACTGAGCAGGGGTGGGCGGGGCAGGGAGTAGAGCCAAACTCTGCTAAGCAGTGACTAGGACTCTCCCGATTGAGGCAAAGCTCTCCAGATCTTGAGGCCCCAGAGGGCCATAAATACTTTCATGCGCATCTGTTCTCTTGGAGGGCTTGTCACACCTGAAGGCTCCTAGGCCCTGGCTCCCAGGGATTCAGAAGTGATAGGTCTAGGATGAAGCCCAGGAATCTGCATACATAAAAAGTGACACTCTCCACTCTGATGCGGGTGGACTCCATACCTTCCAGGCTGGGGAGGGGAGGGGGCAGGACAAGCACACTCTCATCTGGACTGTGGCTGAAGCAGCTCAGAGAATCGAAGGTAGCATCTAAAATAAGGACCTGGATGCACTGGGAACAAAGGTAGTGTGTGTCTCCACTGCTGCAGCTAAAGAATTGCAGTGGAGTGGCCCTGGTCATCATGCAGAAAAATGACTCCTGATCACCAGTCCAAGGAGCCACAGAAATAAGAGATGGGGCCATGATCGGACCATAGATCTGTCTTTTAACCTGTACCTTCTCCTAGGGTGCAGACAGGGAGGCAGGAAGGGGATTACTGGAGGCTGCAGTAAACTAGAGAACAAGCTCTGTGCAAAGGAAGCCTCTCTTACCATTCAGCATCTCAATGAATTAACCCTCACAACAGCTCTATGTGGTTGGTCCTATTATTATTCCCATTTCTTAGATGGGGAAACTGAGACTCAAAAAGGTGGAGTAAGTAGTGCTGGGTCCCAAGGTGAGGACATAGGGGAACCATGGCTGGAACACAGGCCTCTGGACACTCCGAATCATAGCATTGCCCTGTGTCCCCTTCAGTGGGAAAAGTCACTTCATCTCTTAATCTTAAATGATCTTCCAAGCAAGAGGAGGGGAGAGGAGGAGTATAAGCTTTCTTTGTCCCATCTTTTTCAGAAGGTATCTAAGTCCTTCCTGTGTGTGTCTTCCAAAGATACAGTACCAGGACCTAGAGAGGCTGAGATTTAGAGCCTCATGGTGCAAACTCAATTGTAGGGTCCTAGCCAGGACTACTTGCCTGTATCTTCTAAGAATCTCACAACAGTGCCACATGCCTCAGCTTTATCCAAGCAACAGAAGGAGGTGGTGGAGGTGGTGATGGCAGCAGCAGCAGCAGCAGCAGCAGTGGCAGCAAATCTGTCCCCAGTGCACTACAGTACTGTTTTGCTATGATGAAATACACATGGCATATGGCTACAAAGTTACTATCTTGAGAGTGGATAGAAATGGGATTTTTCATGTGCCAGATTTCACTTCCCTTTCTGAAACAATTCTTGTAGTAAACAGAGGTTTTCTGATCTTGCTAAGATCAAGAGGATGGGAATTCCTTTACACTTTTAAAGTAAGACCACTGTCTTGTAGAGTTTCAGTCTGTTGATGGTGCAAATGTTTTTTAAACATGGACGCTATTCTGTGTTCCTCCCTCTTTCCTTCCAAAGGCTACGACACAAAGAGGAGCTGCTAACACCAGATGACCAACTCCTTTCCAGTTACGGACCATCCCGGTGATGAGACCTCCATATGTTGTCTGATGGCCGCAGTTCCTTGGCAAGTGGGTGGGGAAAAGGAAAGTTGTGTTGAGTGTGGGAGGCCACAGGGTGGAGGAGGTTAGGAAGGACCAGAAAGCACATAGAATGTGACTTTAAGGAGGAGAATTTTTTTGAACCATGTCTTGTGTGCTGACAGCATAATGATCATTATTAGGGCCTCAGATGTAACATGAAGCCCACCCTGAAGTTAAATTTTCCTTTTCAGAGAAGCGTGGCCTGTCAGCCCAGCATCAGATGGTTCCATGCCAACCTCCTCCATGGCTAGGTGTTGGAGCGCCCCAGCTGCTGCCTCCCTGGTAGCTTTCATTAAAGGACTTTGCTTTTTTGGTAAATAAGGGCCCCATTTTTCTACCTTAGTCTTTGAAAATCAACCTGAGAAACACTTTGTGTAAGTACCACAGATGTATTTGCAGTTTTCTACACACATTTAGTTTCTGGGGTTTTTCGTTGTTTTTTGTTTGTTTGTTTTTTGAGATAGAGTTGCCCAGGCTGGAGTGCAGTGGCATGATCTTGGCTCACTGCAGCCTCCACCTCCCAGGTTCAAGTGATTCTCCTGCCTCAGCCTCCCGAGTAGCTGGCATTACAGTTGTGTACCACCACGTCCACCTAATTTTTTGTATTTTCAGTAGAGATGGTGTTTCACCATGTTGGCCAGGCTGGTCTTGAACTCCTGACCTCAAATGATCAACTGCCTTGGACTCCCAAAGTGCTGGGATTACAGGCATGAGCCACTGTGCCCGGCTGGCCAACTAGTTTCAAGGTTGCTATCTGGAATCCTACCTCCCCAGGCACCCTCCTGGTCACAGCATGACCTCTAACAGAGGGGCAGATCTGTAGCCTTAGTTGTACCCAGACAAATTTGGTTTGGCTTTCATGGTATTTTGAAATTGGTTTTCATGTCAAAATCCTGTTTGCTGGCTTCTCTTGAAAAATCAGAAAACTTGGCCACATTGAGTTATATTCCTGAATGTCAAGTGGCTGGATCTGAATGAGTAGTGCTCCCTTTGCACAGAGCATGTTATCTGATATGCCTCAGTCCCTACCACTTCCCACCATCCCCCGCAACCACACCCCAAGAGAAAATATGAGCTAAAAGGCAGATATAGATATAGGTGTTCTGGTCTTGACCCTACCACTCATTTCCTGTGGCTCCTTGAACAGGTGTCTACATCTCTTAGGAAGAAGAGAATAATGAGATGATGTATGCAGAGCACTGGCAGAAAGCCTAGCATAGAGGAATCTGAGGATTCGCCATGCATGCTTCCTGGTATATAGTACTAGTTCTTGTCAATGGCACAGAGACTTGAAGACTGTATATAAATGGACACACCTACTAGAATGTAAGCTTCATATGCACAAGGACTTTAAAAAATCTGTTTTGCTTATTTCTACATCCCCAGGGCCTAGAGCAGTCCCTGGCACATGGTAGGCCATAGGCCCTCAGTAAATGTGTTGAATGAATATGTGGATTTAATATTTCCCTGACTTATTTTCTTATGTCATGTGCTAAGTCATCGGTCCATTTTAAAAATATAAATGCAAATAGACTTATAAGCTGATTATTTCTAATTTATATGTGTTGAATTTATTTTCTTAATTACTGAAAAGATTAAAAAGCAGAAGGATGCTTCATAGTTGACGGAACTTCATTGCCATAGTCATTTGACTCACAGCCTGGGAGAAAAATGTATTCTTCTTCTAGGTTGATTTTCTAAGATCACTATCAGAAGGCCAGGCTACTTCAGGAATCAAGTCAAAATTAAAAACACATGCATTTATGTGATACCTCTTGAGAACGCAAGTTGCTGTACAAACACATTTAAAGCATTAAGTGCTCCCTGATGCCCTTTCCTCAGAAGTAGTACTTCCAGAAAGGAGAGTGCATTTAGGTAAAACCAATGGCAGGTTCTATGCAATGATATCAACATGGCTCAACCTCTGAGTGCCAGAATTTGCTTCTCATTAGATACAACTTTTCTGGAAATACAAGAGAAGGTAAGTTGATTTCCAAGTGAATTCAAGCCTATGAATTCACAGGTTCATAGCTGTATTACATTACAGAACCTTTCAATAGGAGGAGCTTTCAGGAAGCTTGTGGTTTCAGTATTGGTGGCCTGTAGGGGTCAGTTGTGTTTTTTGTTTGCTCAGCATCCATTCCTCCTACTTCTGGTAACTAAACTTGAATTTTCCTTGGGAAGCCATTCTTCCACACTTTCAACTGTGGGATTTGGGGGAGGCTGTGTTCACCCCCAGCTCCAGAAGAGAACATGGAACCAGCCAATGTGTTACATGCCCTGGCTACGGCCACACATTCAGGAGAAAAGCAAGTTACCCAACTAAGCTCCTGACAGGGCGCGGTAACTCATGCCTGTAATCCCACCACTTTGGGAGGCCGAGACAGGTGGATCACTTGAGGTCGGGAGTTCAAGTCTAGCCTGGCTAACATGGTGAAACCCTGTCTTTAATAAAAATACAAAAAAATTAGCTGGGCGTGGTGGGGTATACCTGTAATCCCAGCTACTCGGGAGGCTGAGGCAGGAGAATTGCTTGAACCCAGGAGGCAGAGGTTGCAGTGAGCCAATATCATGCCACTGCACTCCAGCCTCGGTTACAGAACGAGACTCTGCCTCAAATAAATAAACAAATAAATAAATAAATAAATAAATAAAAACTTAAAAAATAAAAACTAAGCTCCATTCTAGAGCTTTTCTTAGTATTATTAGGAAAGAGAAAGCCTTTTGTCTGCTGAGACTTTTCACTGTGAGAATGAAATTCTGATACCATCAGAAGGATTATCTGAGAATGAAGACATGCAAAGAAAAGAGCTGAGAAAGAGAAAGGGGAGAATCCTGGTGACAGTGTTTGAGTGCCTGGATCCAGCTATACCTGAAAATCAGACTCATCCCTGGATTTTTGGCTTCATGAGCCAATACATTATCTCTCCCTCTTTAAGCTGATTTGAATAGTGCTTCAGCACTTGCAGTGGAGAAATTCCTGACAAGCAAATTGGAATTTGAAAACATAGATCAGAAAAAGAGCCAGAAGGGCCGGGTGCAGTGGCTTATGCTTGTAATCCCAGCACTTTGAGAGGCTGAGGTGGGTAGATCACTTGAGCCCAGAGTTCAAGACCAGCCTGGGCAACATGGTGAAACCTGTCTCTACAAAAAAAACAAAACAAAACACACACACACACACACACACACACACACACACACACACACACACACACACACAAATTAGCTGGCTGCGGTGGTGTGCACCTGTAGTCCCAGCTACTCGGGGGAGAAATTGAAATGAACCAGAGGCCAAGTCTCAGTGAACTTCTCCAGTGCTTTAAACCTCTCTATACTTGACTGAGGGAGAATTCTGATAGTATTTGCGATTGAGCCTGGGAGCTCCACAATTATATTGTTCAATTGGTGCAGACTTTCATTCAGTAGAGTTACTGAGTGCCTGTGCATGCCATGTACCAGCAAGTGGACAGGCTTTCTCATTTTCAGGAGGGGTTGCTTCTAGTCCCTGGTCAGCCCTTCTTCACCCTTTGGGGCTACACCATTGCCTTCTGACCCAGCCTGAATACTTCTGCCAAGTGATTCTTCCCAAACACTGCATTCCATTCTCATTTCCCACTTCAAGGAACTTCAGTGGTTCCCTAAGTTTTCATATTGAATCTATTCTCATCTGCTCAGTCCTTAATAAAACTAATAATAAAAACTAAGTTTAAGGCACTTACAATGGGCCAGGCATCATGCTTACATTTCATAGGTTGCTCAGTTCATCTTCAAAGTGACACTATAAAGCAGATATCAATCTTATTCCTATATTTTTTGGACGAGGAAACCAATGCACAGAAAGATTAAGTAACTCACTCAAAGTCACATGGTCAATATGTGGTGATGG
The DNA here is from genome assembly GCF_000001405.40 of Homo sapiens. Taxonomy (NCBI): domain Eukaryota; kingdom Metazoa; phylum Chordata; class Mammalia; order Primates; family Hominidae; genus Homo; species Homo sapiens. Next base: position 140,171,376 of record NC_000005.10, read on the forward strand.
AGTCCAAATGCAATCCTGTCCCTCTGGATCCAGACTCCATGCTCCTCCCAGAAGATTCTACTGTCTCAAAAGCTCTCCCACAGTCTGCTCCATCTCTATCTTATTTCCCACAACTCCCCAGTTTCCACGGTTCAGTTAGGCTGGTCTTACAGCTATGCCCACCATTACCTAATTTCATTGTCTTTGCTTTTTTTGTTTAATCATGCATCCATTCATTCAACAAAGCGTGGCTGATCTTACACTATGCTGATAATTTCATTATTATCTTTGCTCATTCATTCATTCATCTAGCCAGTGAATATTTACTGAGCCCCTGCCCCGGCTGCTCAGATCACCGCCCTGACCCAGAATGTTCTCCTCACCTACCACCTCTCCAAATCCTATCTTTTTTTTGTTTTTGTCTTTGTTTTTTGTTTTGTTTTGTTTCTCTGTGATGGAGTCTCGCTCTGTTGCCCAGGCTGGAGCGCAGTGGCACAATCTTGGCTCATGGCAACCTCCACCTCCTAGGTTCAGGCGATTCTTCTGCCTCAGCCTCCTGAGCAGCTGGGATTACAGGCATGCGCCATGACGCCTGGCTACTTTTTGTACTTTTAATAGAGATGGGGTTTCACCATGTTGGCTAGGCTGGTCTTGAACTCCTGACCTCAAGTGATCCACCCACCTTGGCCTCCCAAAGTGCTGGGATTACAGGCGTGAGCCACTGTGCCTGGCCAATCCTATCTTTCAAGGCTCTGCTACAGACCCTTCCTTTCATGTATCCCACCTTAGCCAATGCAGCTGGCATGGCCCCTCTTTCCATGAACGCTGCGGGCATGGAAGGACATGACATAGTTTAGCATTCAATTTCACAGCAGCCTGGCAAGGTCTCACACTGTCTTATCTTCCCATCAGAAATTGGATGCCTGACCAAGCCAGGGCACATGCTCCTTCTGTATCCATCAGTCTTGAGTGTACATTAGGCATCCAAGAAACATTCTTTCATCCAGTTGTTCAGAGAACAAATGTGGTCCAATAAAAATACAATGGTTTAAAAAATGGCCCTTTAAAAAATATTACGAATCTGGGTTCTCTTTCTTTGCCCTGGAATTCACCTAAAGTTTATGATAGTCTTGTGAGGTAGGTATTATTATCTCTATTTTACAGATAAGGCAGAGACTCAAAGAAGGTGAGTAACTTGGCCAAGTTCACAAAATGGATAAATCTCAGAACACAGGCTCCCAACGACTGCACCATGTTGCCTCCACAGTCCTTGGACAGTTCTCCCGAATGAACAAATATTGAAAATTCATTGTTACTTCTGTGACTAATGGACTTTCACAGCAAATATGCTTGGCCAGGACCTTGTACCCTGACATTTTTCTTTTATTTCCAGGAATGGAAACCCACACTGCTGTTGTGAAGACACCTGATGAAACTCCAGCAACTTCTACATCTGGCCTGCTGCTTAGTCCTGGGACCTGAGGTCAAAATCTTAGAAAAGAGCCATGTGAGATGCATTCCCTGGCCTCATCTCTGTTCTTGGATGCTGTCAGCAACACTCCTTGAGTTTTTACCCACATAATAACACTTTCCTCAGCATGGATGTGGAGGTGGGGGTGAGGAATGTTCTATTTTTCCTTCGATGGTTACGCCCTCACCCTACCAACTCAGTAAAAGGGGAGTGGTCAGGGAGCGTACTGAGAATGTGTCCTAGCATCTTTTCTTCCCTAGCACAGCCTTCATATGACCCAGCTGCCATGAGAAGCTTGCCTCCCTTCTAAGGGAATTACCCCTGCCTTCCACTCCATCCTCACCTTGCCCTGCCCAGATTAGAGGCACGGAGGCATGTACCACAGGCCTGAAAAACTGTCCAGCCAAAAAGCCTGACTGCCTTGAGTACTATCAGGGTGTAGTTATGGACGTGCCTGTTTCTGCTCTTCCCTCTGCATTAGTGCTCTGCAAAGGGTGGCTCTTACCCTCAGATGGTCCAGAGGTAGTTTGGGGTGTGCATGGATCACCTTCACTCTTCAGAGGCAAACAGACAATGCTGCTCTTCTCCAACAGCCTCTGAAGGACACCACCTACTGACTGGTTCTGAGATGTTTGCTGCCCCAGAGTCTCCCACCTGCTTCTTCCTCCCCCTCAGTCCTTTTTTGTAGCCTCTCAGCCTCCCTTCTCTTAATGCTCTTAGCACCCTTTCCTGGGTCTCTATTTACCCTGCCCTCCCTTTCAGCAACTCCTTCCCAAACCACTGCATACTTCTCCTTTCTTTCCAATCCCTCCTCCCTTCCCAGCACTTTCGCCCTCCATTGAATCCCTCAAGCCTCATTCTGGCCCCACTCCTCCCCTCACCCTCTATCCCTGCCCTCCTCAGATCTGCCAAACACCTCAGGCCTGGCTGCCTCTGTCCTGTTCCTACCAACCTTCTGACCATGCCTCTGTGCTCCTTGGGACCTGGGCTCACATTTTCAATCTCTTCTCTCCTATTAGTACAGCTCTGTCTAGAGCCATGGTTCTTCTCTACCTTTCACAGCTGTCTTCTTTCCCACTTATATGAGTTTCTTTAAGTGTGAAAATTAAAAAGTGCCACTTAAATACAATGATTAAGTCATAATAAACAGTACAAGTTGTACTTATGTGAGACATACCACCCATACACGTTTGATCTTCGAGAACCACATCTCAATCTGCCCATGGCCCATTGCCTGACACTAAAAGATGCTCACAAGAAGTTGACTATAAACTAACTTCTTGGTCTAAGATCCTAAACTCTTGAGAGGGAAGGTTTCAATACATATGAAACCTTCTTGGCAGTGCAGGGATGAGGAGAGTAAAACTGAAATGAAAGTCAGCAAATAGTGAAGGTGTGAAATAGGCAGTGACTCTCACACTGAGACCTCCAGGGGATGTTAAATTTTCATTTCGAAGCTGATAGTCTTATCTGGGAAGCCTAGAGAGTAACAAAAGTTGTAGGCATATACTTATATTAGAGTGGTGCAAAAGTAATTGCTGTTTTTGCCATTTAAAAAAAAAATGCAAAAACCACAATTACTTTTGCACCAACCTAATAGCAAGCAAGGGGAGGAATATGGAGAGAAAATCAATTTCTAAAATGAAAAATAAAAAATTTTTTGCAAGTAGGACTTGCAAGCTCATTCTAGGCCTTGCTCTGGGAGCTTTTCGGTAACTTCTCTTCCTGTTGGAACAGAAGAAGGAAACCTTCAGGACAGAAGATTCTGTCCCCCTTCCCCCTCCTGATGTGAATGAAGTCTCATTACACTCTAAAGTACTGGCGGGACTACTTGTTGCAAGGTTTATGGGGAAAAGTAGCCAGAGAGCAATCCAGTTATCAGCCTCAGCCCCATTCCGCTCAGGTACAGCTCGGGAAGTAAGCCCCCAACCCTAGTTGGGTCTGGACCAACAAGACACGAGGAGGCAGCAGCCCACAGCCGACCCCTCATGCCACGCACTGAGCAGGGTTCCGCATGGACGCTGGTCTTGCCTCCCAGGCGCCTGAACTAGCGGAGTTGGGGTATCGGGTGGAGTCTCGGAGAACCAATCCAATCTGAGGGGGACGCCTGTGGGAGTCCTAAGTATCCAGCGCAGCTGGGAGGCCCACGTTGGGAAGTCGGAGACCGACCCCGCCTCCCGACTGCGCCGACTGCAAGAGAGCGCTTCCGGCGGCGCTTGGAGGCCGAGCAGTTGGGGGCGGGGCTCGTGCTGTGACGCAAGCCTCGCCTCGCCCCGCGCCGCGCGCGTTGCCAGGGTGATCAGGTGACTCCCGGTTCGCGGCGCTGGGAGCGGCCGTGACGTCAGGCGCCCGGCTGCTCCTCACTTGCTCTGAGACAGGTGCGGCAAGTCTACTGCGGGCTGGTCCGGGCTCCTCAGGTTCAGACCCGACCGTTATCCAGTCGGTTCGTGGAGAGGAGAGGTGAGGTGCAGCGGACCTGGCCCGACCCAGCTGGGACCAGGGCGGGGATCAGGCACGGACAGGGCGCGTCCCCGGGCTCCCTGGGGAGCGCCCTGAGAACTGGGGGGCACCCGGGCTGGCCTGGCTCAGGCAGGGGTTCGCGCAGCCCCTGGGGAGGGGCAGGGAGGCAGGGAAGCTGCTGCCGCCAGCTGGATCCCTCCCGGCGCCCCGCGGCTACTCTGGGGCTCCTGGTCGCCGCGCCGCGCGTCTCGGCGGTGGACTCACAGGGTCTCCGCGTCGCTGCGGTTCTCGTCTCACGAGGAGTCGGCGGGCTCGGAGCGGGGCTCGCCACACCCCGTCCCGGGGGACGTCCGCGGGAGGCTTCTGGATTTCTTCGCCTTGGGCTGCGATTTCTGAGGCGCTGCTCTGCCTATTCCGAGCTGGGCCAGCCGGGGGCAGGGGGCAGGTCGCGAGTCCCGCGGGTGGGAGCGGAGCGGAAGTAACTAGTGACTGGAAGTAACTAGGGAACGCAAAGCCGGCGCTCGGAGGCCGGGGTGTTCAGAGAAGGCGTTGCGGGGGAAAGGAATCCCGGCTGCTGTTGAGAGCCGTGGATTGGGATCTGAGCGGACCTGTTGGAGGAAGTGAAATCTGAGCGGGGTCCTGACGGGTGGGAACTAATCTCCCGGTAGCAGTGGAGGTTGCAGGGGGGAGAGAAGGAGGGGAGGACCCCTGGGGAAGGAGACCATGAGGAAAAACGATTTGGGGACTGACTGGACCGTCTGCTGGGCTGTTTTGGGGGAAAAAAAGTTTGGAGAATTAGGTTAGGGAGGATTAGGAAAGGACCCTTGAGTGCCCACCTGAGAGGCACTGTGTGCTGTGGGGAGCCATTGAAACGTTGGCTAGATTGGGGTAGGGGGAACACTGAGGAAGTTGGTGTGAGGGGAACACTGAGGAAGTTGGTGTGACATTCCGGCAAAAAGGTGACAACACTCTTCTCTGATGGGATTCCTCAAACCCTGCTTATGAAATACTTGTAACCGACAAGGGTAGGGGCTCAGGCAGCCAGGTGCCTTTTTCAGCCATTGTTGGCAAATTTTTAGAAATTAAACAAAAAATAATTGTACATATTTATAGATTTATACAATATGATACATGTAAACTTTGTGGAGTAACCATGTTAGCAGATTTTTAAAAATTCCTTTTTATGAAAGGACCCACCCAAGGGCAGCTCATTTTCGAGTATCTCATTTGACGGGATTTAATGACTGGTTGGGAGCTATGCCCCCCTCAGTATGCAGGGAGATTATAGCGTCCACAACACTTTGCCCTTCAGAGGTTTCAGAGTGACTTACAAACACCTTGTATCCCTAGGGTGAAACCCAAACCCCAAATGACTGGTAAGAGATTTAATAGGGGGAAGTTATTAAAGGAGAACCAGCATCCAAACATTCATGTGGGGCATTGGATTCGCTGAAAGGAGTCCCATACTATTTGTTGATTGTAGATCAAAGATCTCTAGACCTGGCCTGGTGCGGTGGCTCACACCTGTAATCCCAGCACTTTGGGAGGCCGAGGCGGACGGATCACGAGGTCAGGAGATCGAGACCATCCTGACTAACACGGTGAAACCCCGTCTCTACTAAAAATATAAAAAATAAGCCGGGCGTGGTGGCGGGCGCCTGTAATCCCAGCTACACGGGAGGCTGAGGCAGGAGAATGGCGTGAACCCGGGAGGTGGAGCTTGCAGTGAGCCGAGGCTGCGCCACTGCACTCCAGCCTGGGCGACAGAGCGAGACTCTGTCTCAAAAAAAAAAAAAAAAAAATCTCTAGTCCTTTCCTGCCAGCTTTGAGTTTCTCCGTGTAAGGCTGCGTAAGTGTTAGTTGGCTATTTTGTCTTAATTTCCTGAGCAACAGGAAAAATATATTTTGGTTATATGAAGAGGAATGCTTTGGTAATTTATGATTTTTCCCAGCCCTGAAATTTATTGGTGCTAGGACCAAAAATACACAGCTGTCTATTTTATTTTATTTATTTGTTTATTTTTGAGGCGGAGTCTTGCTCTGTCGCCCAGGCTGGAGTGCAGTGTCGAGATCTTGGCTCATTGCAACCTTTGCCTCCTGGGTTCAAGAGCTGTCTATTTTATATTGAAACTTACCAAAGTCTGTTTTCTGGGAGGTAGTGAAATTATTTTGTATTTCTTTGACTCCAGAAAACAGAATTGGACCTCCAGGGATCCTGTACAGTGAAAGGCAGGTTTGGGAATTGCGAAGGAAGGTGGCCGCAGCTGGTTTGTGCGTAAATATAGAAACCGGTGCAGCACTCAAAGGAGTGCAAATCCAGGGTGAGACCTGGGGAAACGGGACTTCCAGTCAGATCAGTGAAGTCATTCTCTGTAAAAGAAGCCCCGAAGTGTGTAAAAGGCCAGAGTAGTTTTTTCCCCGTGTGTTCCTGTTGAGTGGTAGAGATTATGATAGTGATTTTTAAGGGGCTTTGCAGGAGCTTGTTAATATTAAGAATCGCTGGAAATCAGATGTCTTGGCCTCATTAAAAAATTTAGAAAAGTAACTGTTTTCCAAATCTCTTTGATACTATTTGAAGTGGCCAACTAATTATGGTTCCTTTGGAAAGAAACAGTCCACCCCCTCCTTTCCCAAACAAAATAACTATGTGCTGTCAGGGCAGTTAAGTAGGCCAAAAGTTTTTGGAAATTTTCTGCTTTCATTCACCCAAGCCACCCCCACAAGTTTTCTCATTGGTAGAGAACTTAAGACTTTACTGTCAGGAAAAAAATGTTAGTGTGTTTCCCTAAATACAAACTATAATAAACAACAGGGCTGGCCTTTAATAGAAATGCTCTTTCTTAAGGGGGACTGGGCTGAGGTGAAAGGCAGGGCTGGGGTATGGGCTGGAGCATTTTGAGCTCACATTTGTCAACTAAGGCCTTGAGCAGGGCACTCCTTTCTTGGCATGGAAACTTTCTTTGACCTTGAATGCGGGTCAGTACCTCCTCACAGAGGTACCAAGGAGAATTAATGAGAGGCTTATATGAAATTTGAGCTCCTCCAAAGCAGAATATTTTAATTCTTGGATGAATGGTATATTTTGAGATGTGATAAAAGTTTTTTAAAAGAGTTTGAAGTTCTAAGTTTTTGGAAAAGCCCTATTCAAGTCCTTCCTTTTTTTTTTTTTTTTTTTTTTTTTCAGAAACAGGGCTTGCTATGTTGCCCAGGTTGGTCTCTAACTCCTGGGTTCAAGTGATCCTCCCACCTCAACCCTGTGAGTAGCTGGGACTACAGGCGACCATGCCTGGCTATCTAAGACCTTTTTGCTGATTTGGTTTTTTTAATTTTTTTGAGACAGGTTCTGGCTCTGTTGCCTGGGCTGGAGTGCAGTGGTGTAATCGCAGCTCACTGCAACCTCCACCTCCTGGGCTCAAGCCATCCTCCCGACTCAGTCTCCTGAGTAGCTGGGACTACAGGCCTGCACCACCACACCTAGCTAATTTTTTGTGTTTTTTGTGGAGATGGAGTTTTGACATGTTGCCCAGGCTCCCCTCAAACTCCTAGGCTCAAGCAATCTGCCTGCCTCAGCCTCCCAAAGTGCTGGGATTACAGGCATGAGCTACCATGCCTGGACTTTTTGCTGGTTTTTTGTTTTGTTTGGCTTTGTTTTTTCCTGGGGTTTTATGGGCTTGGTTACTAATCAGCCTGTAATCAAGATCTGAGGCCCGGTGCGGTAATCCTAGCACTTTGGGAGGCTGAGGCAAGAGGATCGCTTGAGCCCAGGAGTTCAAGACCAGCCTGAGCAACACAGGGAGACCCCATAGCTACAAAAAATTTTTAAAAATTAGCTGGGCATGTGGTATGTGCCTGTAATCCTAGCTACTCAGGAGGCTGAGGTGGGAGGATCGCTGGAGCCCAGGAGTTTGAGGCTGCAATGAACCATGATCACGCCACCGCACTCCAGCCTGGAAGACAGAATGACATCTTGTCGCTTAAAAAAAAAAAAAATGGCTGGGCACGGTGGCCCACACCTGTAATCTCAGCACTTTGGGAGGCCGAGGTGGGTGGATTGCTTGAGGCCAGGAGTTCGAGACCAGCCTGGCCAACATGGCGAAACCCTGTCTCTACTAAAATTACAAAAACTAGCTGAGCATGGTGGCATACGCCTGTAATCCCAGCTAAGTCGGGAGGCTGAGGCACAAGAATTGCTTGAACCCAGGAGGCGGAGGTTGCAATGAGCCAAGATTGTGCCACTGCACTCCAGCCTGGGAGACAGAGGAAGACTCTGTCTGAAAAATAAAAATAAAAATTTGGAAGCCTGAGGCTAACTAAATTCCTGTTTATATTTCATATATAAATAGTAAAGCTCAGATTGTTCACTCTCTTTTTTTTCTTTCTTTTCTTTTCTTTTGAGACAGAGTCTTGCTCTGTCTCCCAGGCCGGAGTGCAATGGCACGATCTCAGCTCACTGCAACCTCTGCCTCCCAGGTTCAAACGATTCTCCTGCCTCAGCCTCCCGAGTAGCTGGGACTACAGGCATGCACTACCATGCCTGGCTAATTTTTTGTATTTTTTAGTAGAGACGGGGTTTCACCACGTTGGCCAGGCTGGTCTCGAACTCCTGACCTCAGGTGATCCACCCGCCTCAGCCTCCCAAAGTGCTGGGATTACAGACGTGAGTCACCGCGCCCAGCCTCACTCTCTTTTTTCTTTTATTCTCTGTTAACCTGGTCTTGGCTTTTTTTGGAGTGCCTGGAGTAAACCAGTAACAGAAGGCTGTGGAACTGGCAGCCTATGACCCAGCATCTTTTTTAACAGCAAGAGTATTATCAGAAAGTGTCACAGCCCTCAAAGGAGTAAGTTATTAAGCTGGTCAGAGACAAAAGGGAGTAAGATTGTTCAGTAAATTGGATGAGGAGTGAAATAGTCATCTTTTAAAATTTCCCTCACCTGTGTCAGGCCACCAGTCCTGTCACTCAATCTAGTAGGATTCGAGTGCTTGCTGATGTGCCCAGGGACACTACGTACTGAACTACAACATCCATCTTTTAGACTTCTGACATTTGTTGGCCAGGTCAAGCTCTCTCTCATGAGGGAAATTCTGACAGAAAAGGCTTTCTGTTATCTGTAGGCTTAGCTGAGTGCCATGTTTCAGGCTTCCAAGCTCCTCACGCTTGGCCAAGGCTACTAATTGGCTTGGCTATAAAATGGGAGTCAGCAATTAAACAGCAGTAGTATAAAGCAAGGGAATTGAACATAAACTGACCCTCCCACTTTACAACCAAAAATGTTCACACCATTTTGGGCACTACACAAAGGAGTCTTCAAAAGGAAGTGAGCTTGGAATGATTCCTTTATAGCTTTTAGGAGATGTATGTGGAATATTATTATTGATTTAGGCCTCCAAGTCAGATCTTGGAAACTGGGTAGGTCCTCACATCTAAAGCAAAGGAGACAAATGGTTTGAATCCAGTCTCTGTGGGCAGCAAGCTTGTGGTATGACTTTGCCAAAACAACAGATGATTTATATTTTTCTAAACTCTTTTCATTAAATGGTTTAAGGGAGAATATTGATGGTCATGGTGGGAGGAGGGTTTGATCTACCTGAATTTACTCACTGAAGAGTAAATGCCTTATTCAGAGGTTCCTATCACTAGTTTCCTGATTATTTGTACTAAAGAATCATTAGCCAGTCTCAAGAGCATTGGCTCAGAAAACATCGTAACTGAAAACTATCTAGGCATGCTTCTTATTCAGAGAAAAGTAGGGATGGGAAACAGTTGAACTACAAAGACATTTGGGGAGAGGAAGACCTGGGAAATGGTGCTAGACTTCTGCCACGTTAAACGTTTAATGCTGCACGCAGTACTTTACTGGTCAGCTTTCAGTTTCAGAATCTTAGGCAGAGTCAGTTGGGGAGAAAGTGTGTGAAGAGGGGGACATTTGTAAGAATGTGGCTATTCTGTGAGCCCTTATTGTTAAGTCGAATACTTAGTGCTTTCCTGCTGCCACTAGCTTCCTGGACACTCCAGACTTTGCCCTTCTGCCTCTTCCCCACTAACAGCCTTTCCTCCCCAACACCACCCTCTCTAAAGCCAATCTAATCTTTGATCGCAGTTTCTGCACCCTTCTGGCTCTGCTAACTTTGTTGAACTAATTTTTGGTGGCCTTTAATGTCTGGTGGTGGCTGTGTGAGAAACTAATGAGGGATAATTGTATTTACTTACTGATTATTATTTTGCTTTAGGGACAATCTGCCAGACTGGAGTGCATGGCATGATCATAGCTCAGTGCAGGCTCAAACTCCTGGGCTCAAAAGATCTTCCCACCTCAGTCTCCTGAGTAGCTAGGACTACAGGCACATATCACTGTGCCTGGTTAATTTTTTATTTATATTTCATAGAGATGGGGGTCTCACTATGTTGCCCAGGCTGGTCTCAAACTCCTGAGCTCAGGCAATCCTGCTGCATGAGCCACTGCACCTGCAAGAGCCACGGGGGCCACTGCCACTGCAAGATAGCAGGACCCCCGTCTGTATTTTTTGCTATGTTGACTAGGTCTTGCTATGTTGACTAGGCCATTCTTAAAGTCCTAGCCTCAAGGGATCCTCCTGCCTCAGCTTCCCAAAGTGCTGGGATCACAGGCGTGTGACACCACCTTCGGCCGGGTAGTTGTATTTAAAGGGAGGGTCTTGAAAGTAAACCCTAGTGTTTTTCACACTTCATTTGTGTTCCCCTGCATGATTTTTGTCTTATCTTTATGTCATCTGTACTGTTGTTTAACATTCTTCTTAAAGTTGACCCATTTTTTAAAACCCTAAAATTTGTTTAAAAGGGAAACGATATCATTGCCTTAAACTGATAACTACTACATCACCTGTCACAAATAGAAGGTATAAATTATTGAAGTTGTTTGTCCATGTTCCCCAAGTTCCACATATCCCACCTGGGGCAATACAGCCTTTACCCAAAGATATGACTCACTAATAGTGAGTTTTTCAGGCAGCAGTAGATGGGTGGTAGGATGGTTTGGAGTAGGCAGGCCTTCAGAGAGGGCCCCTTCAATCCTATCTTTTCCTAAAACTTGTGTGGTTCTATGATACTAGGAAGGCCACAGAATGAAGAATCTAGGAGGTAACAAGAGGTAAATGCAATGTGAAACCACTTCTGTTTTGATCTGAAGTTTGCCAAAAAGAGGCCTGAGTGGTGGTGAGGCTGTATACTATATTAAATTCTAGGCCCTCTGCCAGGGGTGTGGCTTCATTGATGCTGTGTTACATTGTTCTTTCTGTGCCAGCGTGCTCTTAGAAAACTCAGATTCTCCTGGGAAACTCAGATCTTTCTTGGGGGGCAGGAGGGATGCTTTTTTTTTTTTTAACTCATCAATAACCCAAACTACTTTGAGTTCCTTTCACATATAGAGAACTGTTTGTGGATGTTGCTAATGATAGAAACTGAAGTTATCATCTAGAATTTTTTTCCCCCAATCTTCATTGTCCGTAAAGCCTATTCCTTTAAGAATCCTATGAAAACAGAAGAAAGGGGGAGGGTGAGCTGCCCTGGGTTGTATGGTCTCTTAGGGTGCAGCACATGATAGGCATGAGTGGTACTTCCTGGTTTGATGTGAAATTCACTGTTGTCCATTAAGAGCCACCCCGCAGTGCTGACTGAGCTGCTGCTCCCTCAGAGGGTCAGGAGAGCGTGCTTTCATGATGGAGCAAAGCCAGGCTGGCTTGGTATTCATCAGGAACCAGGAGCGCTTAGTTAAATTGCCAGCACGTTAAGCTGTAGGGGCCTCTTTCTAAATCATCAAGATTTCAACTTTCCCACAAAGCCTAATCTAATGCTCTGGGAGGAGGCAGGCAGAGCCTGTCTTTCAGGGGCTGGGCTGGCAGGGGACCTGGCCTGGGAAGTGGCCTTATCAGGCTTGTTGGGAGGGATGGACCTGTCCCTTTCTAGTGTGTCCTCTCAACTTGGCAGGGGGCAGAGTTCTTCCCTTTTCTCTCTCTCCATGCCCTAACCGCTCCTTTCAATTCCCCAACTCACTTTCTGTGTTCACAGCTTTCTTCCCTTTTCCTTTCCCTTCTGTTCAATACTGCCCTCTCTTTTGAGCCTCTCTCTTGCTGGGCCCCATTTTCTCTCCATTCTCACTTTGAGGGTTGACTATTTGAAGTTCCAATTATAATGCTGTCCTATATGTCCCAGTGACTAGATGTAATTCAGAGATCCCTACCCTATTTTTCTGAGGAGAAGCCAACCTTCATTTCTCTACTGGCTTTCAGATAGCAGTGTTGGTGGGGTACTGACCAGAGTCCCTGAACTGAGTGGTTGGGTGAGGCTGGATGTGCTCCTCCCCGATATGGGGGTCCCAGCAGTATGGGGAAGGTATTATAATCAGGGTTTGCTGACAATGCCAGGATCCATTAGACAAGGGGCTGAGGCTTACCTGTGGGGACCCTTCCATAAGCTGAATGCAGAGGGGAATACTGCATCCAGGCAGTCCTCTAGCTTTTGCAGAGGACCATACATGATGAATGAAGGCTGGAGAAGGAGCCCTTGGGTGAGGTTAGCCTGGAACCCACAGGACTATTTGCAGCTGTGGATCCTGCCCTGAAGCTAGGTTTTCCCAGGTAGCAACTGGACCAAATTGTCTTCCCATGTGGTTAGATGGATTGTTGGAAGCATCTAGGAGCATGGCTTTCCTGCTTAATGAGTTAAAAAATTGATTATTTTCTTGTAAAAGCCATGTGGCTACTTTACCTAAAGATGATTAGCAAGGGTTTTAACTTTCATTGTTAAATATAACATATGTATAAAAAAGTATGTATAATGTACAGTTTAATCAATAATTGTATTCATTAGTGTAACTGTGTGATCTATTCAGGTTTAGAAATAGAAGTTTATTTTTAAACCCAAATGGGGTAATAGAATGCACTGTGTTGCAATTTGTTTTTTTCCCACCATGTTGGTGCTTTTTCATATCAGCACAGGTAGTTCTAACTTATTCTTCTGAAGCGTCATATAGCAGCAGTTCCATGGATTGGAAATACCATGGTTTATTTAACCATTCTCATATTGATGAACATTATATTTAATATATATGCATGTGTATAAAGTTGGGTTTTTTTTTTTTGGCATACCGGCTGGCACTAGTATATATCTGTAAGATAAATTCCTAAAGGTAGAATTGCTCGTTCAAAGGATAGGGTGTTTTTATGTATTTATTTGGGGTTTTACTTAAAAATATGTCTTTATTGAAGAGTTTATAAGAAAAAAGGATAGACCCGCTATAAAAAGAAAGGCTGTCTGCTCTAAACATTAGGGAGGAATGGGACACCAATACCTGGTGGCTAAGGATAGGTCATTTTAGTTGTTGATATTTTCAGGTAGTAATGTCTTTTTTCCCAGGAATGTTTATAAATGTTATATCTTACAGAGCACCAAGCCCTGGATCCAACTAGAGGTTCTTTACAGAAAGCTTTATGGAGAAAGGTTTTAGCAGATGATATGTTATCCTCTGTTGAAGGGAACTTCTCTGAATTCCCTCAGAAAGTCTCTAAGTCTGGAAGAATGCTAAAATGTACCTACCAAGTTTAGTATTGGAGGGAGACAAGATTGACTGTAGTCACATTTTCAAATAATTCTGAACTATGGATAATTAATGTAGGTATGGTATGACTTTTCAGAATTTGCTGTTCCTAATCTATCAGGACAAGTTGAGAATACTTACATCTTTGTGTTATCTTAATGTTGGGGATAGCGGCTTAAAGCAATTATCTGAATGGCATTAGCAAACTATGTTACTAAATAGTTTGTAGATTTTTAGCTTCATATGAACTCAGTTATAAAAGCAGTGTGTGGTTTTTGTATCAGATATTTTTTGTGAGAAAGGAAAATAAGACAGTCTCTGAACCTCTTCATCACTCTGGGCCAGGGCCTTCAGAGGTAGATGATCCATTGTTAGTTTTTGCCTTCCATGTGCACTTTGATGCCCTTGTTCAGCGAAAGGTCCCATATCTGAGCTGTGTATCATTTTGTACTCCATAGAGGGGCTATTGTGAAGCCACAGCCAAAATGTTGATACAAAAGATACGTTCTAATACTTATTCATTCATTGACTATATGAGAATAGCTCAGGGCCTGGTAAAACTCTGGCAAACAAGAGATATTGAATGAAGTAGGGGATGGCTAATGATATTTGGGAGGTTGAGACCAGAATCAGTATTTGGACAATAATGGAGTAATACTGCAGGTTGTCTTCCTCCAGTCTGTCCCTAAAAGAAGAGCAATTTAGAAAATGGCAATACCCAGCAATGTGTTTAAAATGCTGAGCAAGTCGTAAAAAGAAATATCTTGTCCACGTTATGCTGACTATCAGAGGTCTCCTGGTGTTGCACTGTTACTGGGAGCACTGCTACCATCTTTAAAAATGTAAATCCCTGCTATTGCTATCCCCCTGGGGCTCCTGTGTTAAAGTGTCCATATCAGGAGCAAGTTCTTCCTAGGAGAAGGCCTACAGTTCTGGAATGCCTATTGTTGTGACTTTGGCCTTGGGTTTAAGATTTGAGACCATCATTTCTTACCTCTGCTCACTGTACATTCACAAGTATGGTATGACTCTTCCGATTGGGGAGTCATTTGGGCTTCTACTTATACTTCAGTTTTAGTAACTTGTGTAACACTTTGAGGTAACTGCCTTTTGGACCTCCCAAAGTAAGTTTTGTCTATTCTGTCAAACTACCTTCACCATATCCTTAAAATTTGGAAAACTTCCAGCATATTCCATCTGATGCAATAGCAGACAAATGGAAGTGATAATTTTATTTATATTAATAGCAATACTGAAGGGGAGGAGCAAGCCAGCTATATAGTTCTTTACCTCTTATCTCCAGCTCTAGGCCTGATATGTAGTAGGTACTTAATACATATGAAATAAGTGAATTATTAAGTTTGTCAATAGTATTCAACAAACAAACATAAAGTTACATGAATCCTTTTAAAAGAAATAAAGAATAACGATAGAAAAGGAAGATGCAGCAAACCTAGAAGTCTGCTCTTAGCAAGGCTGTTTATGAGCTGACCCTTTGGCCTCATCCCGTGAAGTGTGCTTCAGCCATTAGAACCTAGTCAGTTCCTCAAATGTGCTTTGCTTTTTCTCTGAAACATCTCACAGATTCTTGCCTCTGCAGAGTATGAAATTTGGAGTAATACGAATTTCTGTTTATGCTTAGTCATGTGATCATCACTTCTATTAGAATCTTTCTCTGACTTCCCTGAGTAATTAGTTATCTCTACTTTGAGCTTACAGTACGCTCTGCTTCCTCTATCTTCGCTTGGTTTTGTGATTGCTGGTGTTATTGTCTGTCTCTCTCATACCCTGAATAGGAACTGTCTCTTGCTTACCATTATCTCAGCAGCACCTGGAACCCAGTAGTACTGGGTTATAGTTGATGCTCCTATAAGTATTTATGGATGAACAAATGACTGTGTGAATGGAATAAACTAATATGTCAATGCCAAAATTTGATGAAAACTCTAAACCAGAGATGATATGGCAGTATAAAACTCAGTAATTCTAGGCCAGGTGTGGTGGGTTACACTGTAATCCCAGCACTTTGGGAGGCTGAGGCGGGCAGATTGCCTGAGGTCAGGAGCTCAAGACCAGCCTGGCCAACATGGTGAAACCCCATCTCTACTAAAAATACAAAAATTAGCCAGCCATGGTGGTGCACGCCTGTAATCCCAGCTGCCCTGGAGGCTGAGGCAGGAGAATCGCTTGAACCCGGAAGGCAGAGGTTGTAGTGAGCCGAGATCGCACCACTGCCCTCCAGCCTGGGCGACAAAGTGAAACTCTATCTCAAAAAACAAACAAACAAATAAACAAACACCTCAGTAATTCTAAAACTTTTTTTTTTTTTTACCTGAACAAACTGCACCCAAAATTATAGATGTGAGAGTCAAGACATATTGAGGGACTTAGAATGTAAAGTGGTCTATTTACAAAGGTTTTGTTAAAAAAACAGCTAATGGGGAGTTAAAAAAAAAAAAAAGACACCGAGGTCTCTAGGGTAAGATCTGCTCTCATAGTTTTTGTTTGTTTGTTTTGTTTTGTTTTTGAGATAAGGTCTTGCACGGTCTCCCAGGCTTGAGTGCCGTGGTGTGATCACGGCTCACCTCAGCCTCAATCTCCCAGGCTCAAGTGATTCTCCCACCTCAGTCTCCCCCAGGTAGCTGGGACTACAGATGTATGCCACCACACCCAGCTCAATTTTCCTATTTTTTATAGAGACAAGGTCTCACTATGTTGCCCACACTGGTCTCAAACTCCTAGGCTCAAACAATCCACCTGCCTTGGTCTCCCAAAGGGCCGGGATTACAGGTGTGAACCATGGTGCCTGGCCCTGCTCTTATGTTTTTAAACTTTAATTTTATAAGTTACCAAGAAAGATAAATTGAAGGACATAAGGATAAGCATGACTTTAGGCTTTGATAATAAGAAGGGTTCCAAGATAGAGAAGTCTGTATGTAACCAAAAGAATTTGGTTTTTTACCCCAAGTCTGGTACCCAACCAAGTGACTTTTTGGTTTGAAGCAGAAAGAAAACATTTGAAGACCTTAGAGAACCAAAGTGTCTTGTGAAAAAAAAAAATTGCAACTACAAAAATCACCTTAAAAAGCAGTGAAGAGCAGATTTTGACTAGATCATTAACAAGAGGAAAATAAGTAATGAGAAGGCAAATTGGTATATCAGAAGTGAATAGGAGGTTTAAAGTGGCATTTTAAAAAATATTTGTTAATTTTAACTTTTTTTTTTTTTTTTTTAGAGACAGGGTCTTTCTTGTTCTGTTGCCCAGACTAGAGTGTAGTGTCATGATCATAGCTCACTGCAGCTCAAACTCCTGGGCTGAAGTGATCCTCCCACCTCAGCCTCACAAGCAGCTAGGACTATGTATAACACCACAGCTTGCTAATTTTTTTGCGGGGGGAAGGGGGGAGGGTAGACACAAGGTTTCACTATGTTACCCTAACCAGGCTGGTCTTGAACTCCTGGCCTCAAGTGATTCCCCTGTCTCAGCCTCCCAAGTCACTGACATTATAAGCATGAGCCCTGAGCCCAGCTAAAGTGGCATTCTAGCTATTAAAAATGGCAGGCAGCATGGATATATATCTGAAAGCACTAGGAAAACTTAATCTTTTTCTGACTGTATAGGTTCTCTTGAAATTTTCAGAAATACAGACGAGTGGCTGGGCGCGGTGGCTCACGCCTGTAATCCCAGCACTTTGGGAGGCCGAGGCGGGCGGATCACGAGGTCAGGAGATCGAGACCACGGTGAAACCCCGTCTCTACTAAAAATACAAAACATTAGCTGGGCGCAGTGGCGGGCGCCTGTAGTCTCAGCTACTCGGGAGGCTGAATCAGGAGACTGGCGTG
Source organism: Homo sapiens (assembly GCF_000001405.40). Taxonomy (NCBI): domain Eukaryota; kingdom Metazoa; phylum Chordata; class Mammalia; order Primates; family Hominidae; genus Homo; species Homo sapiens. The sequence continues at coordinate 140,188,699 of NC_000005.10, forward strand.
AACCCGGAAGGCGGAGCTTGCAGTGAGCCGAGATCACGCCACTGCAGTCCCACCTGGGTGGAAGAGCGAGACTCCGTCTCAAAAAAAAAAAAAAAAAAGAAATACAGATGAGTATAATAAAAATTGCCCACAATTCCAGCACCCAAGGAAAACCACAATAAATATATTTTTTCTAGCAAAATATCTGCTGTTACTGTACAATTTACAATAAAGTTTGAAAATCTTAATGTACAACTCAATACATTTATATGTATTCATGTAAACATGACTCAGCTCAAGATACAGAATGTTTCCATCATTCCTGAAGGTTCCCTTCTATCTTCCCCTCAGTATTCATAAATTTGTTTTGGTATCTTTCTTTTCAGTATCCACAGATTTGTTTTGGCTGTTCTTGTACCTCATATAAATGGAATCACAGAATGATATAGTTTGGATATTTGTCCTCTCCAGATCTCATCTTGGGATGTGATCCCCAATTATGGAGGTGGGTTGGTGGGAGGTGTTTGGGTCATAGGGGTGTATCCTTCATGAATGGCTTGGTGTCCTCTTTATGGTAATGAATGAGTTCTCACTCTATTAGTCAAGTGAGATCTGGTTGTTTAAAAGAGTCTGAGATCTCCCCCCACTCTCTTGCCCCCTCTCTCATCATGTGATGTGCCTGCTTCACCCTTTGTCTTCCACCATGATTGTAAGCTACCTGAGAGCTTCACCAGACACAGATGCCAGCACTATGCTTCTTGTACAGTCAGCAGAACCATGAGCCAAAATAAACCTCTTTTATTTATAAATTGCCCAGCCTCAGTTAGTCCTTTATAGCAACACAAAACAGACTAAGTAGAGTATTATTGAAGTCTGTTGAGTCTGCCTTCTTTTGCTCACACGTTGTGGCTGGGATTCATCCATGTTGTTTCACGTAATAATAGTTATTTTATTTATTGTTTTGGGGTCATTTTCTACTGTGAAAATATATAATAATTGTTCTGCTGTTGATGAACATTTGGATAGCTTTCAGTTTGGGACTATTATAAATAAAACTGCTTTGAACATTCTTGTAAAAGTCTTTTGGTGGACTTACACACTTGTTTCACTTCTATATATATATATCTAAGAGCTTCTGGGTCATAATGTAAATACTGCAAAAGTCATGAATATTTGGTATACTTTCTTCTAAAAGCTTGATTGGTTTAGCTTTTGCATAGGTCTGTGATATGTTGTGATTTTTTTTCTGTGATATATTGTGGATTTTTTTAATGTATGAGCATGGAGATCAAGGGTCATTTCTCCCAACACAAGGATAACCAATTAATCCAGTGCTATTTATTGGAAAGACTACCTTTTCTTTTGTGAATTACGTGGTGCCTGTCTGTTAAATTAGGAGACTGTACTGTATGGATGTGGTTTAGGACTCTTTATTCTGCTCTATTGATCTGTTTTTCAGTATTTATTTTAAAGAAAGTTGAGACATGCTGAATACAGAACTTTTAAATTTTTCTTACACAGTATTACATCATACCTCAAAAGCATAAATTTAAAACAACTGCAAAAAAAACCCTTATTTTTTTTCTTGGATATTTTCTTTCCTTGGATATTTAGGTTGTTTTTTTCCTTCCTCTGTTTTGTTTTGATCTGTTTTTTATGTTGGAGGCCTTCCTCCAATGTCTGATAATCTTTGTCCATTCATTTATGTATGAGGCAGTAAATAGTCCATTAGAAGTTCAGTGTGCATAGGCTTTACTGTGGAGTGACTGGGTGAGTCATTTCTTTGGTGTCTCCCCAATTATTAGTATCTGTCATTTTTTTTCCACTGGGACTGTTCAGTTTTCCAGAGGAAAATTTTCCACTTTACTGTCTGCAGAGTCAGTGCCAGTCCATCTAGCAGGTGTCTTGTAATTTAAAAAAAACAACATTGAAATATATTGCTTTTTTTCCTCCATCTCTACTTTGATGAGGTCTTATCTCCACTGACCACTTTCCCAAAGAATAGTTTCTGCCCTTCTCATTGTGTGGTTGAATGACTGCTAATCCCGTGACTCTGAGTATGTCTTGAATGAGATCGTGGGATAGCAGTGTTCAGTGCAGTCTATTAATGGATCTTGACTGCAGCACTATTTTAGCTGTCCCTTTTAGAGTTCTGATTTGTCTTTAATGCTACAATTTACACTGTTTGCATTTGATCTGTAGTAAAACACTTCACTAGAGTAGGGTTTATATTTTACCTGACCAAATTTATAAGGGAAAGCAGTCATGTTACAAAGTTCAGTATCATACCTTAAATTTAAAGCTCTTTTGAGTTTTGGTTATGTAAAGTGGTTTGTACTATACTGTGTCAGTGTTAGGTAATCTTTTTTGCTTTGCTTTTCTTCTTTACCAGCTTGGGAACAATGGATTCCCACTGGATGAAGTCCTGTTTTTCAAATGCCAGCTCTAGGATCTCTCATCCTGCACACGTGCTCTTTCTGTGACTTTTGCTGTTCTCTCACTGGGATTTTTTTCTTGTTTAGAGGAAACTGAAAATAGATCCAGATTTTTATTCCTCCAAGATAACTGTCTATATTGGGAACAAAGGGAAAGAGTGTATGTGTGGAAGGAGGTCATGGTAGCTGGAGCACCTTTGTAGTTTATGCTTTGTATAAATGCCTCTGTGAATAACTCATGGGATTTTTCCCTTCTAGACCTTACATGCTTTTTTCCTCAGGCAGTTGGAGAAAGATACATACCAAAAATGAGAGGGAAACATGATGAGGGGTAAGTGGGGAGGACGCATACACTTGGAAGAGAGCTTTGAGGTTCTCAGGGAGAGAACTGCACAGGATAATGAGGAATAAATGCAAACAAATGGATCAATAAAAGTCATGAAACATTGAGGTCTGAAGTTGTAGTTCAATACTCTGTTCTTTTTTCTCCTCACTGCCCATTGTTTTTAGATGAACAATGTCTTCAAAGAAATACAGGTCCAGACTTTGCTAGAGTGAGAATGATCTACGTGGTCTTGTTGAACTGATCAGGTTAAACTACAGTTTTAATGAAGTTAGGTTACACACACTGAATTTCAGGACAGAAATAGTTATGATAACTGTATTGTACTTCTGTGATTTAAAAATAAATAATGGAATGGCCATATGGGGATTAATGAGACTGATTTCTGTGTTAACCAGGGCTCACTAGGCTTTCTACAGCCTTCCTGGTAGGAGAGAGGAAATAAAATGCATTTGCTTTTGTCCAAATTCATATGATAATTGTAGTGTTAATCACCATGAGCCTTTGCATTAGGGTTCCTAGGTCAGGGTGTGTTGCCAGTTGCAGACCAGAGCGCAGAGAAGGGAAAGAACTCTACTTTTTTCCTGAGTCCCTTTCAGGCCCTGGAAAAATAAGATGGTGTCAAAAATGGGAGGCAATACAGATGTGGTTGAAATAGAGACCCTCAAGCCATTTGATCCCATAACATAGAGTTTCAATTTATAATCAACTCCTTCAAATGACACTCTCTTGATCAGCACCTCCTTCTACTAGGTTTAAGCGCCTACTCCTACCCAGCAGTCTGTTTACCACATTTTCTAAAAATCATTTTCCTTATGTTTGTTTCAGCCAGTTGCACAAGGGTAGGGTTTGAGGCATATTGATCTCTATACCCCACTACTTAGCCCAGTGTCAAGAAAGCACTTAATAAATGTATGTTTGTGAATGTCACCCAGAAGGGTTCATTACCTTACCTTACCATTGGTTTCCAGGACTGGAAATTCGATAGAGGTAGTTTAGGTTAGGCCAGGCTTTAGTCTTTGATTTAGGAGCTGTTATAAAGTCATCTGGAATCCCATTTCTTTCCTTTTTTCTGCTCTGCCTTTCTGAATGGCCCACTTAATCTTAAAACTGGCTCCTTCTCAGGGCTGCAGATTGGCTGTCAGCAATTTTGTAGGCCAATCTTTCCTAGACTTTGTGTATACCTTTGTACAGGGGAAGGGAAGGTTCGGTGGGAGTGTGTTAAGAGAGTCTGAGCTTTTTACTGATTGAACCACTTCAGAACCAGTCCCAGTGGCCAGGGAGTGCCATTTGCATCTGGGTAAAGTCCTGAATTCCTTGAATCAATCATGATAAAAAAGTGGAGAGAGTGACCCCGATTGGCTTAGATAGACTGGGTTCACCCTGGAGCTGGATGGGATGAGCTTTCCCTGAAGCACATGAACTACAGGAAGAATGAGCAGAGATCTACCTGGAAACCTGACTCCTGTTAGGAAGGGAGAATATGGATGTTGTGTGGGCAACCATCAAAGTCCACTGCTACTGTAATCCAGATTTTCTAGGGAACCTAGACTATTTATAACTATTCTGTCCTTTATATAATAAAGTCACTTAGGAATTTGTTGATTGCCTGTTATGGAAAAGAATTAATAGTGAAATTATTACATTTTGAATCTGAGACTCTTCCCTACTATTTGGTTGGGGATAGAAGACACTCAAATAGGTAAAAAGTTAACTATTGATGTAAGATATGGGTAACAGTACAAGGCAGCAGTATGACAGATGATATGTTAAGTGAGTCATCCTTAGAGTTTATACTTTGCATTCCCCAGTAATTGTTTGTTTGTTTGTTTGTTTGTTTGTTTTTGAGACGGAGTCTCACTTTGTTGCCCAGGCTGGAGTGCAGTGGCACGATCTCAGCTCATTGCAACCTCTACCTCCCAAGTTCAAGCGATTCTCCTGCCTCAGCCTCCTGAGTAGCGGGACTACAAGCACATGCCACCATGCCCGGCTAATTTTTTGTATTTTTAGTAGAGACGGGGTTTCACCATGTTAGCCAGGATGGTCTCAATCTCAACGTGATCCGCCCGCCTCGGCCTCCCAAAGTGCTGGGATTACAGGCATGAGCCACCACACCTGGCCATTTGTTTGTTTTTAATCTGAAAGTCACCGTGCCAGGCACTGTGGAACTTAAAGAGATAATAGAAACAAGACGCTGGCCCTGAAAACTTCAAGCCCAATCAAGAGAATGATTAACAGGCTTGGGGGCTGGGAAGCGTGGCTTCCCTCACAGAAGCAAACCATGGAGGACAGGGTCCTGTAAACACAAATAAATGTTCCTGGTGAGCCCTCCAGAGTCTCAGGGGCCTGGATGGGCAGAGGAGACGCTTGGCATTCTCTATAAACAGCGCTGTCCAACTGCTCAGAGCAGCGGGTCTGGGGAGAACAACCAGATCACCCCAATCCCCAGAGCAATGGTGATGGTTACAAACTTTGGTTGGTCATTGCTGCCAGTGCTGCTCGTTAGAAGGCCCCACTGTGGCCCAGCCCTGTTGATTGGAGGGTTTCTAGTAGTGGATCAGCGTCCACTGATGAGACTCATAGTGCTGTTAGAACACTTTCTTAAAGCTATCCAATCACATTTATGGACACTTCAGAGGAATTAAAAAACAAAATATCTTGCTATTCATTTAACACATTTATTTAGGGGACTGCCTTGTACCAGGCACTCTGCAGTGCTCTAGGGACATGGTGGTGATCCAAAACTTACTTGATATCTACTGTCACAGCCTACAGTCTAGTGGAGGAAATAGACAAAAGGCAAATAAATATATAAGATAATTGCCAATTATAGTGATGGTGAGAAGGAAACAAAATGGGCAGAGCTAGAGATTTGCACAAGGCTTGATACACCTTGAAGGTATTTTGTAAATGATCTTATGGGTTAGGATTTTATTCCTGATGATTTCCACAGTTAAATGCAAATAATTTTCATTCTTTTTGTCTCTTAGGTGCACTTTACAGGTCCCCGATGAACCAAGAGAACCCTCCACCATATCCAGGCCCTGGTCCAACGGCCCCATACCCACCTTATCCACCACAACCAATGGGTCCAGGACCTATGGGGGGACCCTACCCACCTCCTCAAGGGTACCCCTACCAAGGATACCCACAGTACGGCTGGCAGGGTGGACCTCAGGAGCCTCCTAAAACCACAGGTGTGTGTCTCTGAATATGTGGGTGTGCAGTCCCGTGTCACTAAAGGAAATGTTTGCATGTTTTCTTTGGCAGAGAAGAAATTCTTTCCAGCCTTTGCAACTTGTGCTTGATGTCCCCAAAGCTTGATGATGGCTTAGGGTGGATTCTCACTCCTGAGAAGAGGCCCAAGTCAGCTCTGCCTGCTACATTCACACCTCTTGTCCCCTCTGGGGCTGATGACTTCCTGGCCAACGTGTTTTCTGAGGGCTACCCTCTAGAGCACTTGGGGGTGGGGAAGGAATTAGCAGTTGAGTCTTTGCTCTGTAGCCAGCTTTGTATTTTAGGTTTAGTAATTAGCCTCTTGAGTTTATTTTATCTGTCAGCTTGTTGACCCTCAAGTCATCCTCTTGCCCCTGCTACTGGGGTTTTTCTTTTTTTTCTTACTAAATGTTTTCATAATTCTATTTAACCTGCCAGTTGAGTTTTCAGGAGGCTCTTGAGTCCTTCTTGTGTGCTATAGAACAGTGTTACTCAAAGTTCAGTCTGTAGACAAATGCCAGTCAATGAACAGTGAACAGTTATGGACTATATTATATGTACAGAAAGTGAGAGTAAACATTTAGAAACTTTTAGAGCAATTTGGTTTTGCTGTGACATCCAAGTATGTAATCTTGCATTTTACAGAAAGTATCAGTCTGAAAGATTAAAAGTAAAACATCTTGAGGAGCACTGTGCTAGATGTCTTGGTCACTATTTTGTAGCCCTTTGGTTGGCAGAATAGCTGCTCTCTTAATTAGCCCTTTCAGCTTTTTTTTTTTTTTTTTTTTGAGACGGAGTCTCACTCTGTTGCCCAGGCTGAAGTGCAGTGGCGCGATCTCGGCTCACTGCAAGCTCCGCCTCCTGGGTTCACGCCGTTCTCCTGCCTCAGCCTCCTGAGTAACTAGGACTACAGGCGCCTGCCACCACGCCCGGCTAATTTTTTGTATTTTTAGCAGAGACTGTGTTAGCCAGGATGGTCTCAATCTCCTGACCTCGTGATCCGCCCCCCTTGGCCTTCCAAAGTGCTGGGATTACAGGCGTGAGCCACTGTGCCTGGCCAAGATAGCTAATTCTTAAAAAGTGCTTATTATGGCCAGGCACAGTGGCTCATGCCTGTAATCCCAGCACTTTGGGAGGCCAAGGCGGGCAGATCACCTGAGGTCAGGAGTTCAAGACCAGCCTGGCCAACATGGTGAAACCCCGTCTCTACTAAAAATACAAAAACTAGCCAGGCGTGGTGGTACGCGTCTATAGTCCCAGCTACTCAGGAGGCTGAGGCAGGAGAATGGCTTGAACCTGGGAGGCAGAGGTTGCTGTGAGCCAAGGTCACACCATGCACTCTAGCCTGGCGACAGTGAGACTCCATCTCAAAAAAAAAAAAAGTGCTTATTGTGTGTCACATGGTCTCCTAAGTGCTTTATATACATTAACATTTAATCCTTGCAACAATCCTATGAAGTTATTCCCATTTTATAGTGATGTAATAGAGGTACAAAGTTAGAGTAATGACTTGCCCAAGGTCACCTAGCTAGAAGGGGCACTTTCTAGATTAGAATCCTGATAGCTTGGCCTCAAAATCTGTACCTATAATTTATTGCTGTACTGTTGTTCCTCTCCTGCCTTTTCTGAGCTGACTCACATTCATCTGAATTTAGTGACTTATGCTTCCTCTTAGAGATTTTCCTGTCATTTAGTTCTTTACTAATCAAAAGTAATAACAGAATTGATGGCTAATTTTATTCTAGGACTTGATGATTCTCTAGAATAAGAATTTTGCATTCATGGAAAAGATTATACTTTTATAGTGGCAAAGCTTATACTCTGTTAAGATTGAATAGAATATTTGAATACCTTTAAAGAATTTAATTTATCTGGAAGGAAGCTTTTGCAATCCAAGATTGTGTTCTGTTGTAACAGTTTTTATCATGCATGCTCGGAAGAGGGCAGGAAGTATAACCAGTATAATCGGAGTAGTTGGTATTCAGGCCTGTGACATCAGAGAAACATTTTCTGAAAATAAACCTCAGCTTCTGGGTTTTCTGCTTCAAAATAAGGTAACCCTGTGATGAATAAAAGAAAGCAGAAAAGACTACATATGGTATGATTCCATTTATGTGAAATTCAAAAACAGACAAAAACTATGTATGATGCCAGAGATCAAAATAATGGTTACTCCTGGCTGTGGAGTTGGGAAACTAGGGTGGGACTGGTTATTCATTGGGTTAGGAACAAAGGAACTTTCTGGGGTGTTAGGAATATTCTGTATCTTAATCTTGATATAAACATTCTTCAAGATAGATAGTTATGACTTGTGTACTTTGCTGTACGTTTTATGTCAGCAGAGAAAGATAGCCCAGCATTTGAGTTATCCGGTAGACTCAACCCAATGCCTGCCTGGTGTTAGGTCTTTCACCTATAGCCCTCATGGTCTTCCTGTCCATTTCTAGGCCAATATTGTTTATACTGACTCTCTAACTAGCATTTGATGAGTTTAGAACTTTATTGAGTTTGTTTAGAATAAGTGCTTCCTAGGTTCAGTGGACTTTGTCCACTGTTCATGCAGAAAATACAGATTTGGTCATCTTTCTTACCTTTCATGTAATTTAAGTATTGATGTCAGCCTTTTTGATGAAAAATAATTTCTTAATTCTTTTTAGGGTTAAAAGGCTCCTTAGTTCAGTGTTACCAATCACGATTGATTTCACAAATGCAGTTGAAAGCTGTTTAATATCCTTTCCTATGGATATACCCAGGAATTTATTTCTCTGTCATTAGCTTGTGAATTATTAACTGCCCAGATCCTTTCTGCACCCAAACATAGCAGGTAGTGCCAAATGGTCAAATTTTGTCACCTGGGGTCCATGTTCTGTGAATGGGACTCTTGGAAGAATGTAGCCTCACTGAGTGATGAACCCTTTAGGGACCCATTTTATTCCTTGCTTTGGTATTGCTTGTGGGATTCTCAGTCAGAATTATGTGTTCTCATGCTGTGTATCTGAGCTCTATATGGAAATTTAAGCTTTTTCTTTCCAGCTGAATGATTTTAGATTTATCTACTACTGTAGATACTCTCTCCACTCAAGTTCAAGTGTGTGGCATATTATGTTAATGGATACATAGGTAGAAATGGTTTCTTTTTCAAAGGAGGGAGGATCTCCTTTATCCTTAATTGGCGTCTGGTAATTAGTTAGGGCTTAATAAAGGTGTGATGAATGGATGAGCAGGGTCGGGTAGATGGCTAACCTAAGCAGAACCTTCCTTGGTCATCTGTTTATGTTTTAGAATTCATGTGTCAGAGATTGTAGCAAAAAAACCCACCTTTTGTTTTTTTAAGAAGCCAACCTTTTGGAAGCCATGTGATTGGAAGCAGCAAGTGCTTGTAGGAATAAGGTCTCCCAGAAGAGCATACCTGCAGATTATGTCAAGGATCTCCTGGGTGGTTTTTAAGAATAACAACTAGTATTTGTTGAGCACCATGCTTGGTGTTAGCTTTATGTAATCTTCACAACAACCCCATAGTATCAGTCCCATGTTATAGGAGTGGAATCTGAGACTCAGAAAGGTTGTTTCAGTTATCTGTTGTATAACATATCACCCCCAACTCACTGGCTTAAAACAACAATGATTTATTATTTCTCATGATTCTCTGAGTTGGCTGGGAGGCTCTTCTTGCTTCGTGTGATCTTTCGTGGGGTCACTCTTGTTACTTAATTCAGCTGTCAGCCTGTCTGGGTGTAGGCTATCCAAGATGACCTCACTGACATGAGTAGGGTCTTGGTTTGCCTCCACGAGGCCTCTCTCAGCACATAGTCTGTCATCATTAGGTGGTCTAGCTTAAGCTGCTTTACATGACAACTAGCTTCCAATAGAGTGAAAGTGGAAGCTGCCAGGATTTTGGGCTAGGCCCAGAACTGGCACAGCATCACTTACCCCTTATTCCAGTATTCAAAACAAGTCTCAAGGCCAGTCACTTTCAACAGGAGGGGGAACAGATATCACCTTCCTCCTCCCCCTCTTTTTTTGGTATATTCGACATACAATTCATGTACCATACAATTTACCCATTTAAAGTTGTACAATCCAATGGTTTTCAGTATATCAACAGAGTTTTTCAACCATCACCACTATCATAATTCCAGAACATTTTCTTTTATTATTATACTTTAAGTTCTAGGATACATGTGCAGAATGTGCAGGTTTGTTACATAGGTATGCATGTGCCATGGTGGTTTGCTGCACCCGTCATCTACATTGGGTATTTCTCCTAATGCTATCCCTCCCCTAGCCCCCCAACTCCCCGACAGGCCCCAGTGTGTGGTGTTCCCCTCCCTGTGTCCATGTGTTCTCTTTGTTCAGCTCCCACTTATGAGTAAGAACATGTGGTGTTTGGTTTTCTGTTCCTGTGTTGGTTTGTTGAGAATGATGGTTTCCAGCTTCATCCATGTCCCTGCAAAGGACATGAACTCATCCTTTTTTATGGCTGCATAGTATTCCATGGTGTATATGTGCCACATTTTCTTTATCCAGTCTATCATTGATGGGCATTTGGGTTGGTTCCAAGTTTTTGCTATTGTGAATAATGCTGCAATAAACATACCTGTGCATGTGTCTTTATAGTAGAATGACTTATAATCCTTTGGGTATATACCCAGTAATGGGATTGCTGGGTCAAATGGTATTTCTGGTTCTAGATCCTTGAGGAATTACCACACTGTCTTCCACAATGGTTAAACTAATTTACGCTCCCACCAGCAGTGTAAAAGTGTTCCTATTTCTCCACATCCTCTCCAGCATCTATTGTTTCCTGACTTTTTATTGTTTTTGTTTTGTGTTTTTTGAGATGGAGTCTCACACTGTCGCCCAGGCTGGAGTGCAGTGGCGCGATCTTGACTTACTGCAACCTCCACCTCCGGGGTTCAAGCGATTCTCCTGCCTCAGCCCCCTGAGTAGCTGGGATTACAGGCATGCGCCACCATGGCTGTAATTTTTGTATTTTTAGTAGAGATGAGGTTTCACCATATTGGTCAGGCTGGTGTTGAATTCCTGACCTAGTGTTCTGCCCACCTTGGCCTCCCAAAGTGCTGGGATTACATGCGTGAGCCACGGTGCCCAGCCGTTTCCTGACTTTTTAATGATCACCATTCTAACTGGCGTGAGATGGTATCTCATTGTGGTTTTGATTTGCATTTCTCTAATGACCAGTGATGATGAACTTTTTTTCATATGTTTTTGGACGCATAAATGTCTTCTTTTGAGAAGTGTCTGTTCATATTCTTTGCCCACTTTTTGATGGGGTTGTTTTTTTCTCATAAATTTGTTTAAGTTCCTTGTAGATTGTGGATATTGGCCCTTTGTCAGATGGATAGATTGCAAAAATTTTCTCCCATATTGTAGGTTGCCTACATATGGGATGATGATAGTTTCTTTTGCTGTGCAGAAGCTCTTTAGTTTAATTAGATCCCATTTGTCAGTGTTGGCTTTTGTTGCCATTGCTTTTGGTGTTTTAGCCATGAAGTCTTTGCCTATGCCTATGTCCTGAATGGTATTGCCTAGGTTTTCTTCTAGGGTTTTTATGGTTTTAGGTCTTACGTTTAAGTCTTTAATCCATATTGAGTTAATTTTTGTATAAGGTATAAGGAAGGGGTCCAGTTTCAGTTTTCTGCACATGGCTAGCTAGTTTTCCCAATACCATTTATTAAATAGGGAATCCTTTCCCCATTGCTTGTTTTCGTCAGGTTTGTCAAAGATCAAGTGGTTATAGATGTGTGGTGTTATTTCTGAGGCCTCTGTTCTGTTCCATTGGTCTATATACAGAACACTTTCATCACCCCAAAAAGAAACCCTTTAGCAATCTCTCCCCATTTCCTTCCACTCTTCCCCCCGGCCTTTTTTTTTTTTTTTTTTTTTGAGGCAGAGTCTCACTCTGTCGCCCAGGCTGGAGTGCAGTGGCACAATCTCGGCTCACTGCAAACTCTGCCTCCCGGGTTCACGCCATTCTCCTGCCTCAGCTTCCCGAGTAGCTGGGACTACAGATGCCTGCCACCATGCTCAGCTAATTTTTTTATTTTTAGTGGAGACGGGGTTTCACCGTGTTAGCCAGGATGGTCTTGATCTCCTGACCTGATGATCCGCCCACCTCAGCCTCTCAGAGTGCTGGGATTACAGGCGTGAGCCATCGCGCCCGGCCTCTTCCCCACCATTAATCTACTCTGTCTCTATAGATTTGTCTGTTCTGGACATTTTGTATAAATGGAACCATACAATATTTGGTCTTTTGTTACATGCTTCTTTCACTTAGCTTGATATTTCCAGGGTTCATCTATGTTGTAGCATGTATCAATACTTTATTCCTTCCTATTGCCAAATAATATTCCATTGTGGATATACCACGTTTTAGTTATCCTTTCATTGGTTGATGGGCATTTAGGTTGTTTCTACTTTATGGCTATTAGGAATAATGAATAATGGCTGTTATAAACATTTGTATAAAATAGACTCCATCCTGGAGGAATGGCATGTGAATACAGGGTGAGAGGAATTGGTGACCGTCTGTGCAAACAGTCCACCACATTCTGCCCTTTGCTCTCAACAATTTACATCCCCCTCATATGCAAAATATATCCACCCCCTTCCACCACCACTAGATGTCTCATCCAATAATTACATCAGCTTGAAATCCAGAATATTATCATCTAGGTAGTCTATATGTAGGTAAGGCCTCTAACCTGCCATACTGGTCCATATACCCTAACTTTGTTCATGCTGCTTCCTTTACTTCCCACCTCTCATTCCCACTCTGCCACAACCTACCCTACACATCTCTGGCGATCAAAAGAAAATATCTCTTCTTCCTTGAAGCTTTTGCTTACCTATACTATACCTCCAGTAGAATTTACCACTCCTATTTGCTTCAACTGCACCCTATACAGACTTCTTTCAGAGCCCTTCTTCTTGCTCCAGATTCAATAGTGTCTACCTTATGTACAGTCCATTTTAGCTTTTTTATGTCTGAATTCAATCAACCTTGCTCTTAGTGTTTAGGCTTTCACTGTTTGTTTTGGTCAAGACTCTTAAGGCTACAAGTGATAGAACCTTAGCCTTAGATATTAACCAGCAACGGAGGTTCACCAGACATCTGAGTAAAGAAAGCCTCCAAGATAAAAGATGATGATCCAAACAGAAAAAAGGGATTCTGAGGGAACAAACATTGCAGGGAGAAGAAAACCCTCCTACCAGAAAGTGGGGGAATCCTCTAATACTCTTTTTTTTTTTTTTTTTTTTTTTGACGGAGTCTTGCTCTGTCATCCAGGCTGGAGTGCAGTGGCGCAATCTCGGGTCACTGCAACCTCCGCCTCCCAGGTTCAAGTGATTCTCCTGTCTCAGCCTCCCGAGTAGCTGGGATTACAGGCATACGCCACCAAGCCCAGCTAATTTTTGTATTTTTAGTAGAAATGGGATTTCACTGTATTGGCCAGGCTGGTCTCAAACTCCTGACCTCAGGTGATTCACCCTCCTCGGCCTCCTAAAGTGCAGGGATTACAAGCATGAGTCACTGCGCCTGGCCTGCTAATATTCTTAAGTTATACTGAAGATAAATCTTATTGAAATAAGAGCAGTGGTACTGTATAAAATGAACTCTGGAAACAAAAGCACTTAGCAAAGAACAATGTGAAACTGATCTCACCCTAAGGATTAGATCCAAAAGGTCCATTTGGCAGCCAGATCTTGCCAGAGCAGAATTTAAGGCATTTGCCATAGGTGGAAGGTTGATGTATGTTTTGGTTATCTATTGTTACGTCACAAACCACCCCCAATCTTAGAGGTTCCATAATTTGGACAGGGCTTGAGCAGAAAGATTGATTCATCTCTGCTCCTTGTTGGCACCTACTGAGGCTGGAACGTAGATAATGATAAGCAATTTGCTGGGTTGGATTTGTACACTTTCTACCGTCCAATATGATCCATCAACTTTCTTCTTGGCTTTGTATTATGTCCAAAAGGGTACTCTTGGATTGACTTACACTTGCAATACAGAGAAAGAAGCCATTTGGTTTGGCCAGTGCTTTAGAAGGGAGAAAGGGGTGGGAGCATGATGTCCAACTGCTGGGAGGGGTCAGGAGGCACCTACATGCTAGTATTTCTGTGTGCATTCCAAACCAGTGTTGGGTTTCTCCACTTCTACTGGCTTTGTTTGATCTTATTGTCCTTGAAGATTTGATTAACTTCAACCCTATTCTGTCAGCTGTTTCAGTTCCAATGGAACCTTGTAATTCTGGCTCATTATAACAAGAAATTATCTCAAATCCAAAAAGAAAAAAAAATCACGTCTGGTATTTCAGCTGACATGATTGAAACAGCGTAGGGTTGGTTGTCTCTGTCCCTCTGCATGGTCTCTCAGTGCTGCTGTCACAGCATGAGAGTTTCAGAGTAGGTGGGTTTTTTCCATGTTACAATGCAAGAATGGAATCTGCCAGGCCTTCCTGCACATGTACCCCTGAACATAAAATAAAAGCCTTAAAAAAGAAATGAAACAAAAAACTTTCGATTTAACTTCTAATTTTGAAACAATTTCAGACTTAGAAAAACATTGCAAAGATAATACAAATGGTTCTGTATACCTTTCATCCCGATTTCCCCAAACCTTACATAGCCACAATACAATGATCCATCAGGCTTTTTCACCCCCTTGGCTCAGAAGTCACACAATGTCACATCCATCACACTCTTGGTCAAAGCAACATGAAGTCTATCTAGCCTAGTTTCAAGGGGAGGAAAATAGACTTCATTCCTTGTTGGGAGAGTGGTAAGTCACATTGCAAAAAGGCATATGGGATGGGAGATCTTTGGAAACATTACCACAAGTTTCAGTGGTGACAGGTGAATTCCTGTTGACTGAAACATTCTAAATAACAAAACTATTTCTAGATTCTAATAAATATGCCATAGTATCATAACTGTTTAAAGTGAAAAATTAAACACTATAACTAGGCTTATATCAGAATATAGGTGATCTGTCATTTTAAGGATACTCCTGTGAATTGGTTAGAAAGTCATGGAAGAAGGGGGTTTTTTATTTTATCACCAAATTGAAATGACTTCCACTCAGATACCTTGAATCATCAGAAGTAGAAGAGTCCTCACATGATCATCTGGGTTAGTTATTACCCTCTGACCTTATAGCAAACATCACTAGGCAATTACAGCTCCTTTCACTAAGCGTGAATACAGCTTCAGCATACCCCAGCATTCTAGACAGGAACCGTGAATAGATTTGAATTGTTAGGAGTAAGACGAACCCATTTACCATTCCTTGCTAGGTTAACCCCCTCTTTTTAGAGACATTTAAACTGAAGCCCAGAGAAGTTTAGTGACTTTCCAGGGTCAGTAAGTTTTAACTAGAATATAAGTTTCCTGCCAGGTGCAGGAAACTCATGCCTGTAGTCCCAGCACTTTGGGAGGCTGAGACAGGAGCATCGCTTGAGGCCAGGAGTTCGACACCAGCCTAGGCACCGTACTAAGACACCACACATCTCTACAAATAATAAAAGAAAATTATCCAGGTGTGGTAGTGCGTGCCTGTAGTCCGATCTGCTCAGGAGGCTGAGGCAGGAGGATCACCTGAGTCCAGGAGTTCCAGGCTACAGTGAACTAGGATTGAGCCACTGCACTCCAGCTTGTGCGACAGAGCAAGACCCTGTCTCTCAACAACAACAAAACGTCTCCTGATCCCAGGCTAAGTGCATTTCTTCATTATGCCCTGCTGCTGTGATACAGCACAGATTCCACAGAAATTCTCAAACACCACCAAAGGAAAATATTTCCAGCCTTTTCCCTTCCTTATCTGCACCCCCCCACCCCTAAAACATACAAAAACAAAACAAAAAACCACCAAAAAATTATAACAGAACACCAGTTTCCTGGTAGACAGAGGTAAAGTGGAGTGCAATAAAGCTGGATTCAAATCTCATTAACACTAGGACCTGAGCAAATTATTTTACCTCCCTGATCTTTGAGTGTGCCCTGCCTCCCCTTGTATGCTTCTCAAAGACGTTTTTTTCTTCTTTCACCTCTGCTTCCACTGCATCTTCAACAGTGCTGAGCGCGTGTGTGTGTGTATGTGTATGTGTATATGCTCAGTAAATACGTGTTAGATGAATGCAAGTATTACCATTTCAAAGGGTGGTTGTGAGTTCATGTTCAGTGTCTGGTGCCCTTGTCACTTTCCCTTAGAGACCCTTCCCTTGCTATTTTAACTCCCATAAGTCCAGATATTGGGGTTTTATTTATGTTCTTCTGGGGTAGGACTGTGATATCTGGCAACATACGGATTTAAAATGAAATAAGTTCTACTTTAGCACAGTCCATTGGGATGCCCCCATGGAGCTCAAAAGCCTCATGGGCCTTTGAACCAGATTTCTAAGCCTGTATGTTGGGAACTACCCAGTGACCCTGGTTCTTTGTGATTTGAAGACATGAAAAGGGAGTGCATCTTCAGGGGTACCCTTTTGGGCCCACCGGGCCATTGGCCAGCCAGCAGAATGTTATGGGAGGCCTCTATATTCCACGGTCAGAGATTGTGGGGGAGGTGATAGAATGGCATATTTCTCCTGCACACTCTTCTTGGTGTCTTATGCTGCTTTCATTAGTCAGTGTGAGGAAAGAAGAGGAAGGAAATTTAACGGTCTGGCATCTCTGACTAATTGGCTCTAAGTATGGAATTACTGCCTGGCTTGTTTGAGCCTTTTATACTTTCTTTCATCAGAAACTCCAATCAGGCATTTTCATTGCCCTGGAAAGCCTTTCCAGCATAGACCAGTCCAGTGCCTTCTTTCTTTGCCAGGTATCAGATGACAGAATGTCCCAACAAGGACACTGCTTAGTGCCACCAAGAGCCACATTGGCTTAGAATCTAGGTAGAGTTTTTCCAGTTCCCTGAGCTTCTGCCTTCTTGTCTGTAGAGCTGGGATTACGGGATTGTGATAAAGAATAAATAAAGTAATGCATCTTTACAGTTTATGGCACCTTGATGAGCAGTGAGGAAGTTAGTACCCTCCCCTGGCCCACACAAATTTTCTGAATTTTTGCTTAGGGATGGATAGGGGTGGGGAAGACAAAGCTCTCTGGAAAGCAGGGAAAGCCAGTTGCTGAGGGTCACTCCTGATCTATCCCCACTGGCCTGAGGAAACTGGGACAGCTCCAAAGTCATCTCTCATCTGCAATCATGGCCATATAATTGATCCCCTCCTCCTGCTCATGCCCTCTGCTGTCTTATTCTCAAGACCGCCTAATAGCTTTCCATTTCACTGGAGTGAAAGCTAGAATCCTTGCAGCAACTAGCAAGTCCCTTTGTGAGCGGGCTGCTGCCACCTCTCTGACTCCTGCCACTTTGCCCCTGCGCCCTCTGCTCCACCTTCCCTCCCTTCCTCACCAGGCACATTCCAACTCTAGGGCTTTTGCCCTTGCCATGCCTTTCCCTCAGACATCCACAGCTTACAGTCTCACTTTCTTTTGAGCCTTGTTCAGCTGCCACCTAGTCAGAAAGGCCTTCCAGTCACCTCCCCCTCCCCCACCCCATATAATTGTAGCGCCCCCACTGGCACTCTCTGTCCCTGTTCTTCTGCCTGTTTTCCTTGCCTGACATACTGTGTTTACTTGTTCATTGGCTGCCTTTCTCTTCCCACTGGAGTATAAGCTCCTTGAAGGCAGAGATTTTTGAATGTTATATTCACTACTGAATTTTAAATATTTCTTGAATAGTTGAATGTCCCCCTCTCCCAATCTCCTCGGGCTGCTCAGGGTATCCTGTGAGGTATTTCTCCTTCTGGCCTTACCTTGGGTTCCTTTTCCTCCTCCTCTCATCTGTACAGAATCCTGGGAGTATTGAGCTGCTGCTTCCTGAATTGCTGACATGTGTCAGGGCCTTGTGCTGAGCACTGTTGTTTGTTTGTTTGTTTGTTTGTTTGTTTGTTTCTTTTTTGAGACAGGATCTTGCTCTGTCACCCAGGCTGGAGTATAGTGGCATAAACAAGGTTCACTGCAGCCTTGACTTCCTGGGCTCAAGTGATTCTCCCATCTCAGCCTCCCAAGTAGCTGGGACCACAGGCATGTGCCATTGTACCTAGCTAATTTTTAAAAAATTTTTTGTAGAGAGGGGTCTCACCAAACACTGCCCCGGTTGGTCTTGAGCTCCTGGACTCAAGTGATCTGCCCGCCTCAGACTCCCCAAAGTGCTGGGATTACAGGCGTGTGCCACCAAGGCTGTCTCAGTTTATCTTCTAAACTGAGGATAATCCATTTAACTTTCCCCCTTCCTTTCACATCTCTGAGCACATATCCTGGGACATCCATTTGAATCTTCCAGTGCCCAAATGGTGTTTTCATGGAATGCCTCGGAAAAGTTTCACATAGACAGGGCCAGCATCTTTTAAGACTTTAGCTGGGTCTGTCAGAGGCTTGAGAAGCTTGTGGTTTCTGACCCAGCAAGTGGGTCTGGACACATATATACCTTTTGCTATGAGAAGAGAGAGAGAGAGCTCTGGTGGCCACAGAACCGTCTTCTCTGGCCCCTCAACTAGAAGACAGGCTGCTTATGGGGTCCTTCTGAAATTCCTGGCTCTTGAAAAGAGCTCAAACATCAGCTATCTCGAGGGCTTCCCTTTCCCCTACCCCAGAGAGGGCACTGGACTTACAACTTGCTGATCCTCAGCTTGGAGGGAAACTACCCCTCCTTACTTATTGCAGTGTTCTGTTGGCCTACATTTGGTGTAGACGATTTGCCACTGTACTAGGCTTTCCTGTGATAGGTCAAAGGTTTCAGATTACTTGAGGGTAAAGAGGTCCTAGTGGGAGTAATTGCCTCACCTGACCCTTGGATGTGCCAAAGTAGGAACTTAATGTACAACTCAAAGATTTAAATATTTTTTCTCCCTGCTTAATGATTTTCTGTTTTTCTTAAAGACCAGCATTCCAAAAAACTTAGGGGCCTTTCATGGTCTGGCCCTGCTACTAGGTTCAGTTTCAGTTTCTCAGCATCATCAGGCTCCCTCCTTCCACATGGCTTTTGCAAATGCCACTTCCTCTGTGTGGCTTGGGAAATTCTTTGCTCCTCTCTTGGCTTAGTATAGGTAACCCCTATTAATCATTCACATCTGAGTGGTACTCCTCACCTCCCAGTCTGGATCAGATTTCTGTCCTTCATAGTACTATCTTGATTTGTAATTTTATAGTCTTGACTCTACTTAAAGAATTAAGGTCTTCTCCAGGCAATAACAAATGCTGGAGAGGTTGTGAAGAAAAGGGAACCCTTGTACACTGTTGGGGGGAATGTAAATTAGTACAACTACTATAGGGAACAGTTTGGAGGTTCCTCAAAAAACTAAAAATAGAGGTACTCTATGATCCAGCAATCCCACTGCTGAGTATTTACCCAAAAGGAAGGAAATCAATATATCAAAGAGATACCTGCACTCTCATGTTTGTTGCAGCTTTGTTCACAATAGCTAAAATCTGGAAACAACCTACATGCCCATCAGCAGATGACTGGATTTTAAAAAAATGTGGTATTTATTCACAGTGGAGTACTATTCAGTCATAAAAAAGAATGAGATCATTTGCAACAACATGGATGGAACTGGAGGCCATTATGCTAAGTGAAATAAGCTAGGCACAAAGACAAACATTGTGTGTTCTCACTTATTTGTGGGATCTAAAAATCAGAACAATTGAACTCATGGAGATAGAGAGTAGGATGGTAACCAGAGGCTGGCAAGGGTAGTAGGGGGAGGTGGGAATAGTTAGTGGATACAAAAGAATAGTTAGAAAGAATGAATGAGTCTGGTATTTGCTAGCACAACAGAGTGACTATAGTCAGTAATAATTTTATTGTACATTTAAAAATAACTAAAAGAGTATAATTTGATTGTTTGTAACACAAAGGATAAATACTTGAGGGAAAGGATACCCCATTCTCTATGATGCATTACATGCCTGTATCAAAACATCTCATGTACCCCATAAATATATACACCTACTATGTACCCACAAAAATTAAAATAAAAAAATATTTTTAAAGAATTAAGGTCTTCTTGGCTGGGTGTGGTGGCTCACGCCTATAATCCCAGCACTTTGGGAGGCCGAGGCAGGCGGATCACGAGGTCAGGAGATTGAGACCATCCTGGCTAACATGGTGAAACCCTGTCTCTACTAAAAATACAAAAAATTAGCCAGGTGTGGTGGCAGGCGCCTGTAGTCCCAGCTACTCGGGAAGCTGAGGCAGGAGAATGATGTGAACCCAGGAGGCAGAGGTTGCAGTGAGCCGAGATCACGCCACTGCACTCCAGCCTGGGTGACAGAGCGAGACTCCATCTCAAAAAAAAAAAAAAAGAATTAAGGTCTTCTCTACTATCTGAAAGGTCCATGATGGGAAACCTTGCCTAATTTAACCATTCACCAGTAACTACTTGTCACGTGATTCAAGATGAAGAAGAGTTTAAAGATATGCAGGAGAGAGGACAGAAGGGGACTGGAATAAGCTTTTTTAAGTGGTTAAACTCTGGGCTTGATTTTGTAGAAAAGACTGCTCGTACTTTCTTTCTTTTCTTTTTTTTTTTTTTTGAGATGGAGTCTTGCTCTGTTGCCCAGGCTGGAGTGCAATGGTGTGATCTCAGCTCACTGCAACCTCCGCCTCCTGGGTTCAAGTGATTATCCTGCCTGAGCCTTCCGAGTAGCTGGGATTACAGGCACACAACACCATGCCTGGCTAATTTTTTTTTTTTTTGAGATGGAGTCTTGCTCTGTTGCCCAGGCTAGGGTGCAGTGGCGTGATCTCAGCTCACTGCAACCTCCGCCTCCCGGGTTCAAGCGATTCTCCTGCCTCAGCCTCCTGAATAGCTGGGACTACAGGTGCCTGCCACCATGCCCAGCTAATTTTTGTATTTTTAGTAAAGGCGGGGTTTCACCATATTGACCAGACTGGTCTCGAACTCCTGACCTTGTGATTCACCTGCCTTGCCCTCCCAAAGTGCTGGGATTACAGGCGTGAGCCACCGTGCCCAGTAATTTTGTATTTTTGTAGAGACAGGGTTTCACCATGTTGGCCAGGCTGGTCTCAAACTCCTGACCTCAGGTGATCTGCCCACCTCAGCCTCCCAAAGTACTGGGATTACAGGCGTGAGCCACCGCGCCTGGCTGTTTGCACTTTTTTTTTCCTTTCTCACCTTACTCATTTGTTGGGACCTGAGTAGAATATTCATTATGTAGCAGGGGGTTGGAGCACTGTTATAATACCAGCAGTCACAAATGTCTTAATAATCAGAATGGAGAGATGTAGTTTTGGGGCATTCTTGCCTCCACTGAGTTCTGGCCTTCACTCTTTTTCTGGTCCTTAAACATAGTAATAATGCTCATAAAAATTTTTTTAATTATCATAATTCACACACCCTACTTTCTCAAATCATTTTCATTGTCTTATTTCCTAGTCAGTTCTTGTTTATACGCACATGTCATTTATACCTGGCTACCACTATAATGTAGATACCATTGTGTATTTTGGTCCCCCACCCCACCCACTTTTGTCATACGCAACTTTTCTATAGGTTAAAATTTCTCAGCCTCAGTGCTATTGACACTTGGGCCAGATGATTTTTTGTTGTGGGGGCTGTCCTGTGTATTGTAGGATGCTCAGCAGCATCCCTAGCCTCTACCATTAAATACCAGTAGTAGCAATCACCTCAGTTATAACAACTGAAAATGTCTCTAGACATTACCAAATGTCCCCTAGGGGCCAACATCACCCCTCCTTTGAGAACCACTGCCATAGAGTCTTAATTTAAGAAAATTTATTTTTCTTCTTTTTTTTTTTTGAAATAGGGTCTTGCTCTGTTGCCCAGGTTGGAGTGCAGTGGTGCAACTTTGGCTCACTCCAACCTCTGCCTCCCAAGGCTCAAATAATCCCACCTTAGCCACCTGAGTAGCCAGGACCACAGGTATGCACCACGATGCCCAGCTAATTTTTGTATTTTTTGTAGAGACAGGGTCTCGCTCTGTTACACAGGCTGGTCTTGAGTTCCTGGGCTCAAACCATCTGCCCGCCTCGGCCTCCCAAAGTACTGGGATTACAGGTGTGAGCCACTGCACCTGGCCTTAATTAAAATTTTAAGTGAGCCATTGCTTTTGAACCCAGTGAAGGAAAAGGTCTTCCTAATAAGCTTCATGAGCAGCTGAAAAATACATGACTTTTTCTGATGGCCTGCTGAGGGAGAAGGTTTTGGAAATTTGGAACTATAAAGAACTCTCTCCTGACTGGACAGGCTGTGTTTCTGAGCCTCTCTGCAGTCTGGGGCTAGAGAATCTGGATGTTTGGTAACAATTTCTAGATTAAAACCACCAGAACCAGAAGAGTTTGGGGCCAGTGGTTTAAGTTTTTAAGTATTAATTATTAAATAATAAATACTAGCCAAATAATAGAACCAGTATTTGTCTAGTAGTTATTATGTGTCAAGCACTTTTGTATATTAGCTCATCTAGTCCTAAGAACAATCCTGCAAGGTAGGTCTTCTTATCTCCATCATATAGATGAAGAAACTGAAGCATGGAAAGGCTAACTTGTTCATGGTCACAGAGCTAAGAAGTGATGGAGCTGAGATTCAAACCTAGCAATCTGATTCCAGAGGCTATGCTTGTCAGCAACTACCACCATTTTCTGAGCACCTACTGAAATCCCTGATACTTGGCTGAGAGCATTGTAAACACGGCTTCCAAGTTTTACAACAGCTCTTCAGGGTAGTGGTATCTCAAATTTTACATCTGTGGAACCAGGGTCTTAGAGAAGCTATAATAACATCTTGTCTATGATCCCCCAGATCTCTGACCCAGAGCCTGACATACTTCCATGTATCATGTGGCCTTCCATGCATGAGTAAAAATTGTTTTATAACCTACTCTTCCCTTTTCCCCTGGAACCTCGTACAGCAAATACCTGTTAAATCCCTTCAGTGGCCAGGTGCAGTGGCTCACGCCTGTAATCCCAGCACTTTGGGAGGCCAAGGTGGGTGGATCACTTCAGGTCAGGAA
The DNA here is from genome assembly GCF_000001405.40 of Homo sapiens. Classification (NCBI taxonomy): domain Eukaryota; kingdom Metazoa; phylum Chordata; class Mammalia; order Primates; family Hominidae; genus Homo; species Homo sapiens. The sequence goes on from NC_000005.10 coordinate 140,211,742, forward strand.
TTCAAGACCAGCCTGGCCAACATAGTGAAACCCTGTTTCTACCAAAAATACAAAAATTAGCCAGGCATGGTGGCGCACACCTGTAATCCCAGCTACTGGGGAGACTGAGGCAGGAGAATTGCTTAGACCTGGGAGGCAGAGGTTGCAGTGAGCCAAGATGTCGCCACTGCACTCCAGCCTGTGTGAGAGAGTGATACCCTGCCACACACACACACGCAAAAATAAGTCCCTTCAGTAATTCAGTGCCAGTCACTAAATAAATATTACCATTTCTAATTAGATTTTATTTAGGTGCTTTGTATACATTATCATATTGAATCCATATAGCAGTCCTAGTGATATCCCATTTTAGAGATGAGGAGACTGAGATTCAGAGGGATGACATAACTAAGCTCTGTTTAAATAGTAACTAGCTGAGCTATGAATTGAACCCAGGTCTGTCTAGTTTCAAATTTGTATTCTTAACTACAGTCATGCACCGCCGCATAAGGATGTCTTGGTCAACAACAGGCCACGTAAATGACGGTGATCCCATAAGATTATAATGGAGCTGGAAAATTTCTATCCCTAGTGATGTCTTGGCCATCATGATATCGTCATAAAGTGATGTGTTACTCACATGTTTGTGGTGATGCTGGTGTAAACGAACCTACTGCGCTGCCAGCTGTATAAAAGCATGGCACATACAATTATGTACGGTACATAATACTTGATAATAAATGACTGTGTTACTGGCTTATGTGGTTTGGCGTGCAGTGGCAGGATCACAGCTCACTGCAGCCCTGACTTCTCTGGGCTCAGGTGATCCTCCCACCTCAGCCTCCCAAGTAGCTAGGACTACAGGTGCATGCCACCACACTCAGCTAATTTTTGTGAGCCACCATGCCCGGTCAGGAGTACACTCCAAAATATCAATTTAAAGTATAGTAAATATATAAACTAAGGTCAGGCACAATGGCTCACACCTGTAATCCCAGCACTTTGGGAGGCCAGAGTGAGTGGACTGCTTGAGCCCAGGAGTTTGAGACCAGCCTGGGCAATATGGCCAAACTCCATCTCTACAAAAAAATAGAAAAACAACCAGGCGTGGTGATACACGCCTGTAATCCCAGCTACTAGAGAGGCTGAGGTGAGAGAATCACTTGAGCCCAGGGAGGTCAAGGCTGCAGTGAGCCATGATCATGCTAATGCACTCCAGCCTGGACAACAGAGTGAGACTCTGTCTCAAAAACAAAACAAAAGTATATATATATATATATATATATATATGAGAGAGAGAGACAGAGAGAGAGAGAACTCCTATTTTTTTTTTTTAAGTTAACCATAAAACAGCCTCAGGCAGGTCCTTCAGGAGACATTCCAGAAGAAGTCATTAGAGATGAGCTCCATGTATGTTATTACCCCTGAAGACCTCCAGTGGGACAAGATGTGGAAGTGGAAGACAGTAATGTTAATGATACTGACCTTCTGTAGACGTAGGCTAATGTGTGGGTTTGTGTCTCAGTTTTTAACAAAAATGTTTAAAAAGTAAAAAATAAATAAATTTTAAAAATAGAAAAAGCTTATAGAATAAGGGTATAAAGAAAAAACAGTTTTGTTTAGCTGTATAATATATTTATGTTTTAAGCAAAGTGTTGGTAAAGAGTCAAAAAGTTTAAAATTTTTTTCAAAGTTACAGTAAGCTAAGGTTAGTTATTGAAGAAAGAAATTTGTTTTATAAATTTAGTATAGCCTAAGTGTATGGCAGATAGTGTAAGTGTTCAGTATATATGAAGTCTGCAGTAGGGTATTGTAATGTCCTAGGCTTTCACATTCACTCACTTACTGACTCATCTAGAGCAACTTCCAGGCCTGTAGGCTCCATTCATGGTAAGTGCTCTATATATGTATACCAGTTTTTATCTTTTATACCACATTTTTACTGTACCTTTTCTATGTTTAGACACATAGATGCTTACCATTGTTTAAAATTGCCTACAGTATTCAATATAGCAACATGCTGTACGCATTTGTAGCCTAGGAGCAATAGGTGATAGTATATATCCTAGGTGTACAGTAGGCTATACCACCTAGGTTTGTGTAAGTACACTATGATGTTCACACAATGACAAAAATGCCTAACAATGCATTTCTCAGAACATATCTCCATCATTGAGAGATGCATGACTGTATTGTACTGTTTTGTATTTTGTCAGGGAATATCCTTAAAATACTTCAAACTTAACTATAGCACAATGTGTTAGCAGTGGTAAAGGAGGAGGAGTCTGCGGGTAAGATGGTTTTTCTCTGGTGGTACTCAATTGCAACTCTCTTCACAAAAGCAGATGAGAATGGTTTTTAGTGAGTGTACTGGGGACTCAGCACCATCTTAGGCTCTCATTCCTTCTGACTTAGGTCCTTAACTTGACAGACCTACTCAGTCAGGTCCAGCACTTCAATGATGGTCTCCCTAATGACTGCACCAGCAGTGGATCTGAGTGTCATGTGATGACAGTGTGGTCATGACACTAAGGGACTGTAGACTCAAAGATGCCCTTGGATTTTTCCATCTTCTTGGGGATAGAGACAATCTGTTTTGGTCAGGTACTTTATGTAGAACATTCTATTTTGCCTTTTTAAAAGCCTCGGTTTGCCTAGCACTCAGAGGTAATGGAGTGAGGAAAGACAACTGCTCTTTGCAGATCCAATTTATTCAGCTGGCTGATGGGATGTGATCTGTGCTTGAGGGCTGAGAGCAGGCTGGGTTGGCCAGACCTGGCTGGCCTGGGGAAACAAGGTATTTTGAAGTCTGCTGCTTCCAGACCAGATGGCCTTGCTTCATTGTTCTTAGGCCCCTTTCACCCAGGAGCAGCCTGGTTTTCTGCTTTGATACTACTTTTACCCAGTCTTAAAAAACATGACACACATATGCCTATTATCTCTTGCATAGCTTTCTTCAGTTAGCTTGTTATAAACAATGAGGACATTGGTTTTGTGGGCAAGGAAAAGAAGACTACTTTGGGTAGTAAGGGAAATTGGAAGGCACAGGTGGGATAGAGTAGGGCAGTCTTAGAAGGATTGGAGCTAACCAGGCATTGTCGGGACCTCCCTATGTCAGCTGCACTCTGCAGAGCAAGTCCAGTGCTGTAGGTCATTGGTGTGGGGACCATCCGAGGTGACACGGATCTTCCCCTAGGATATATTCTTCCCAGTAGTAATGAGCCATTCCTGTACAGAAAGGGCCCAGGCTCCAGGGCCTGTGCATAGGGTGGTATGTCTCTTACCACACCAGCTGCCTGTGTGGCACAGTGCCCGTAGGCACCTAGTGCAATCTTCCCAGTGGTCAGTGTGGTTAGCCACAGGGGAAACTTGAGAAGGAACGTCTTGAAAACTGACAGCTTTTTTTCATTCTCTAAAGATTCTCATAGATTTTCATGGAAGTCACTCTCAGGAGAACTGTCTATACTAGTAGAATTTGGTGCCTTTTAAAAAATCAATTATATTCTGCTTATATTGTGGCTCCTTGGAGCCACAGAGTTGAGATGCTCTAAAAATCAGGACATGACATAGAATTATTATAATTAAAATGCTGAAAATGAAGATAGCAAGGATTGGTATCTTTATCACTGGATGAGAACTTAGCACAGCAGACAGTAACACAAGTGTGAGGACCAAGTCCAGAGCGATCAGTGGTCCAGAAGAGCTGGTTTCTTCCAAACCCCTACTTAGTTCAGCCCTGATAATAGGCTGCAGTTCCTGTTCCTGGGTTATACCCTGGCTCTCACACAGAGAAACCTGGCCACTTTTTAGAAAATCACTTTTTAAATTACAGAAATACTTTTCCTTTGACAAAGTAAATAATATGCATAATTTATTTGCATATTATTTACTTTGCATTATTAATGCATAACTGCTGCCCAGAGATAGCAGTTAACATTTTGGTATAAATGTTGTGATATAGCCCTTTTTGAAATTCATCTTGTGTGTTAGTCTCTGTCCAGAGGATGTATTTGCAGCTAATATAATGCTACATAAAAGTGTTGTTAGTATGTTGGTGTAGGGTGGGAAATAAAAAAAATAGTGTTGTTGAGTGTGTTGTTTTGTGTGTGTATATTTTTAACTTTAAAAAGTCTGTATAGGCGGGGCACAATGACTCACACCTGTAATCCCAACACTTTGGGAGGTCAAGGTGGGTGGATCACTTGAGCCCAGGAGTTTGAGACTAGCCTGGGCAATGTAGGAAAACCCTGTCCCTACAAAAAATACAAAAAATTATCTGGGCATGGTGGCACGTGCCTGTAGTCCCAGATATTTGGGAGACTGAGGCCAGAGAATCACTTGAGCCCAGGAGGTCAAGGCTGCAGTGAGCTGAGATCACTCCACTGCACTCCAGCTTGGGTAACAAAATGAGACCCTGTCTCAAAAAAAAAAAGTTTGTGTAACTTTATATAGTCTGTATATCCTCAGCTGTATCTCAGTCTCTTAGAATATGCAAGTCTTAAGGAGTGATTATCAGCTTTCACCGATGTCTCCATTTCAAATGTTAGTATCACACAGTTGATGTCATGCTGGGTTTTTTACCCACAGAGAGGTTAAGGGACTTAAATTTTACATAAATTGATTAAGCCAGGTATGTTACGCATACTCTCTGAATCCAGTGAACCTGTATCTGTAAGAGCTAGACCTTTGGGGATACAGAGCTGAAGAGGACCCAGCTTCTCCCCTGTGAGCTGAACTGGCAGTTTGGCAGGGGATGGGGGTCCGTGGAGACAGACCCATTGAGCAGATCATCGCAGTGTTTGAGTAACCTGCCCTGGTTTTCTGCTGTTCCAGGCTTACCCTGGCTCTCTGAGGGAGTGGGTTCCTTCTCCAGGAAATATTTACTTTCCTATCAACTCCCTTGGAAAATCTTATCAGCTTGTACCAGGAAGCTTGCTGCCTGTATGCTATCAGGGCTGCAATGCTTTTGGTCTCGAGAGGCTAATACTGCTCCCTTCCTTTTCTCTCCCTGCTGGGCTCAGTGGCCTTTTCCTCATTTGATCAAGGGTGCCTTGTGTAGCCAGGCTGGGATCCTGATTGGAAAAGGTAGCATACTCCTAAGGTTGCCCTGACCCATCCTCAGGGCTTTCTGAAGTAAGGGGAGGAAGTAGAGCCCTCTCCCTCTATGACACACACACACACACAAAGAGCATACGCATTCTCGTTCTGGGGGTTGTACCTGAGCTTTCTCTTGAGGTTCTAGTCATCAGGCCCTTTCTCCAGGAACACACTTGCTTAAAGACTATAACTTGGGAACAGCTTAGAAAAGATTTTGATGATTTTCAATTGCATTTTCCTTAGGGAAAAAAAAATCTCCATTAGGCTTTTTTCTTTCTTTTTTAAGTAGCGCCTTGGTTTCCTCTGAGCTTTTCCATTTACCCTTGAAATGAGTCCATTTGCTAGCCTGGGATACCTTTTCAGCCTGGAGAATTTTAGAGACAGAGACAGCGCAAGATTATATTGTGAGTTCTTAATGGGTAAAAGTGACTTTTTGCTTTTGGAGAGAATGTATATCATGGGTAATTTGTTTGTGAAGGATTAATATTTCTCTCTCCTCCTCCTGAGCCTCCAAAAAAGCCCTTTCCAAGTACCTCAGGCAGCTAGTGGGTAACCATGAACTCCCCAGGGCTGTGGGCAAGATGTCCTGGGGCTGCAGATTTGAAGCCTCTGTGAAAAAGGTGTATCCTGTGGCTACTAGGCCCACTCTCCCTGGCCTAGCTGGACTCAGGACCCTAAGCTCCCTCTGCTTGCTTGATTCTCTTCCAAGATCTTCTCCAGGCAGATTATTCCCTTTGGAATAAAGTGATGGCCCTGATATCAAGGACTACCCTCAGCCCCTTTCTAGAAAATTCAGAGTACGCCAAGATCTCTTCTGAAGGGGTTGACCTGACAGAAGTGGAGTGACTCCCTTTCTTAAGAACTTGAGAGCAGTTGGGTCTCATATTTTTCCTTATCAGTGCTTTGCAGTTGCTTCAGAGTGTCACCAGCTAAGCCCATATCTGCAGTTTCTTAATAAGACAGGCTTTTCCAACTGAGGTAAGGAGTACAAGACAGGTTATTTGTCCATCCACTCATTCATTTAGTGTGCCAGGCCTACTGAGTGCCCTGTGGTAGGCTGTGAGCATACAGTGATAAGTGGCATTGCAGTCCTCAACATTTTCATCCAGATAAAATTAGGAGCTGAGGGTCCCCAGAGTTTATCTTGGAGGTCAAAAGGAATTGCTAAATAGGACCATTTCCATTTCCCTGTTCAATCATGGGAGAAAAGTGGTGACTGTGAGAGTTGGTAGAAAGGTTCTTGGTGATAGCCCGCTCCAGCTAGCCGATATGGTCGGTGTGGTAATAAGGATGGCTGTGGTTGTGAATATCATTAGGAGGCAGTACCCCTGGCCCTCCTGGATTATCACTTTAGAGCCTAGCATCCACAGGGAGTTGGACTAAGGCAGTACCTTAGATAAACAGACATCTCTTTTTTTTCCCATTTCCATGTCTCTTGTTCATTTTTCAAAAAGACTCCAGTTCATTGTGTAAAATGCAACTGTCTGTAGGGTGTACCAGTTCTATGCAATGCCCATGTTGCTTCCAGGTGTCTTAGCGATTGGGAAGCCCTGCCTTCTGTCCTTCAGGTCTCTGTCTTGGGAGCAATAGTAGCAGCTAGAGTATACAGAATACCCGCTGTATACTAGGCACTGGCCTATGTGGATTAACTCATCAAGTTCTTGAAGAACCCAATAAGGGAATAGGTACTAATCTCATCCCTATTTTACAGGTAAGGAAACTAAAGCTGGAAGAGGCTGTCACACCCTCAAAGTGGCACTGAGGTTGGACCCTAGGGTGTCCCAACTGTAGCACTGCCTTTCTTTGCTTTTGCCCTATGTTCCTTGGTGGGCTGCCAGGCCCAAGGGATTTGGTCTGCTTGTGCTGTGATATGGACAGATGATGACAGCAGCATTGCAAACATACTATCCAGGAGGGTGGTACCCTAAGTCAAGTGTGCTATATACGGGGCTTTTGGAGTTTGCTGAGAGTCCTTCTGCTCTATCTCTTAGTTCTCCAAATTGGTAGTGCTGTAAATAAAATCACCGCTTTGGCAGCTGAACTCTACCGGATGGGGTGAAATCAGATGCCCTCTGGCCCTCCCAGCATATTTTTGGAGGGTCCCTACATACCTGCTCCATCTACAAGGCCAACCTTACTTAGTTTTCCACCTTACAGTTTTCATGGCAAGAGGCTGGTCATGATTGTGGAGACTTTTTAAATCTGGCTTCAGTGACAAGCTGGCCAAGCCTGATAGAGTTCACCATGGAAGGGAGTTGTTTCCCTAAACTCTGGCCCTGTCTTCCAGGGCCAGAGTCCTAGTTACAGTCGTACAAGCCAGGCCACCACTTCTGTCTCCTTTTCTCTGCTGGTGAAGTCTCTAGCCTCACATTTGCCAAATAATCACATCTCAGTGGGTAAAGTGGGGATTTTCAGGACCATTTGCCCTTGATTCTAGGTGGATGTCAGCTTGTGTTACAAAACAGTGTTACGAAACAGCAGGAATTGCGGTGGATAATTTGGCATAGCCCAGGCACCCTGCACAGTTCTTTGCAAATCTACAAGGAATGGCCTTTGTTTCTCTGAAATCGTGGGCAGTGTGCTGCAGGTAGTAGAGGGGAGGGGTGGGAGACAGTCCTTACAAGTGAGGGTTGCCCCCGAATCACCTTCTCACCACATTCATTGAGAATGGTCATCCTGTCCCATCCCTGACCTTGGAACTCACTGTGTACCAGCCTCTAAACTGAGGTGCGTTCAGGAGAAAACACTACTGTTTTTACTGTCATAAAATTAAGCCTGGCAGTAGAAAAAGAAAACAACCTGCGGTGCTTTGCATAAATATATCTCCTGGAGCTGTTAATCAGTAACACAGGAATCTGGTACCTTTTGAAGCCAGTTATGGTCTGTATACCTAAGATAAAACACGTTTTATGTTCATTAAAAATGATATGGCAGTGTTTACCTTCTTAGAAAATGCAGCAAGTACTATTTGAATGAGACTCCTGGGCCAGCACTCAATGTGAATCAGGCTAACATTGACGATAACAGAGTAGTCTGTGCCTGCCTGTGCCTGGACACTAATTGGAAAAACCCAACAGCTACCTCCTTGGTGATCTCTGCCCATTTGGGCAAGTTCCAAAGAGCCAGCTCCACTCAAAGTAACTTCTCTCTTTTTTTTTTCTGTAACCCAGTGCCTGAAAACCAGGAGGAAATCATTTCCCTGATTTCTGTTTAGCCTTCTAAAATCATGGCAGTAGTTGTCTTATATTCAAGGGCCACTGACATTGGGGGTTTTTGGTTTCTAAGTCATTTCCTATCTCTGTTTCACTCTTACCTTTTCTCTCCTTGCTTTATTTCTATGCTTCCCTGGTTTCAAGCATCATTCTTGCTGCTCAGCAGGGTATGAAATAACAGTTCATGCATTAATCACCCTAACCACGGTTCCATCCTGAGGGCAAGGGACTGTCAGGCCATGGTGGCCCTATCAGTCAGAAGCCAGGGCTATTAGGGCTGGCTGTGGCAGCCAGGGCCCATCTAAGATGATGCCCATTTCTTGGTGAGCCACTCACTAGCCATCGTTTATTGAATTTTCTTCTAGCAGTGCAAGAAGAGAGAAATGAGGAGAGGGCGGTAATAAGATTAACATTCCTCTCACCTTAACTCATTGAAAGGATCTGTCATGATTTTGTTCCAATTGTGTTTATAATTGGTCTTGCCCAGTTTGGCATGTGGCTGTGAGCTTCCTGAGATGGGTCTTTGTCTTCTTTTCAAGTGGTCTGTGAGCTGCCTGAGTCAGGGATGATGTCTCTTGTTTCTGGACTCCTCTGCAGGGTTGGCTGTGTCAGGAAAATGCAAAGTGAGCATGTGAGGTGGGAAGGAGACTGAGCTAAGTGTCAGCAACAGCAGCTTCTTTCTCCTTCAGCACATTTGCTGGATGTGAGATATAGTTGGAGCAGTCTAGAAGAGTCTTCAAGCAGGAGGGCAGGTGGGCACACAGGCAGGCAGAGTGGACTTACTGTTTTGTGACCATGAGGTGTCTCTGGCTGGCTGGAGTCCAGGCTGGCTCCAGGGGCCTGCAGGATTGATTCATGCTACCAAACCAAAGAGAACTGAAGCTGCTGCTGGGACAGAACATCCTGAGCCACCAACGTACAGAGTTTTGCCTGCTGTGAAGCTCAGCTCTGGTGTCTTTTTCCCCAAGTGTTGAAGTGTCCTGGAATTCTCATGTATAAACAGAGGATTAAAGAATGCAAGTTTCTTAGCTATTTAGGAGGCTGAAGCAGAAGGATCACTTCAGTCTAGGAGTTCGAGGTTACCGTGAGCTATGATTGCACCACTGCACTCCAGACTGGGTGACACAGCAAGACCCTGTCTCTTGAGAAAAGAAAAAAATAATGCAGGTTTTTATGTATGTGATAAAATTCTCATAAAATTTGCCATTTTAACCATTTTTAATGTACAATTCATTGGCATTAAGTACATTCACATTGTTGTGAAACCGTCACCACCACTCATCTCCAAAACTCTTTTCATCTTCCCAAACTGAAACTGTGTCCCTGTTGAACAACAACTCACCATTTTCTCCTACCTCCAGCCCCTAGCAACCACCATTCTACTTTCCATGTCTATGAATTTGACTACACTGAGTACCTCATATAAGTGGAATCATATAGTATTTGTCCTTCTGGACTGGCTTATTTCACTTAGCACAATGTCCTCAAGATTCATCCATGCTGTAGCGTGTGTCAGGATTTCCTTCCTTTTTTAGACTGAATAATATTCATTGCATATTTATACCACATTTCGTTTATCCATTGACACTTGGGTTGCTTCCACCTTTTGACTATGTTTCTAAATACTGCTGCTGCAAACATGGGTGTACAAATATCTGTTCAAGTCCCTACTTTCAATTCATTTGGGTAAGGGTTTAAAGCACAAGGAGCAGGATGTCTTTGAAGATCAGTTTCTGATGAATCACCGTTCTCTGCTGAGCAAAAGTCAGCTTTACTCACCATCTAATTTTAGACTCCAGCATAACTATCACTGGACACTCATAATATCAGACTTCATTTTGATATTTGATAGGCTTTCACAACATTTTATAATTCCAGTTTGATATATCCCCGATATATCCCCTTTCATTGACCACATTTCAGCTGGCCACTTCCTTATGATTGTGGAGGCACCCTTGTCACTTATTGGTGGGCACTGGACTAGGCAGTGCGCCTTACTACCGCCAGCTTGCTCTAGTGGCGTGGGCTCTTAATGACTTTGACCCTTCTCTTTCCTGACCCTAGTTGAGCTGGGCTTTTGGCCTTGTCCCCAGACCTGGCTCTTAGGACTTGAAACCATGAGCCTGCTGATGACTAAGACTGTTGAAGCCACTTGTCTTCCCCTCATGGCAGCTTTGTGCAAGCATGGTATTATCCCCCATGTCTTCCAGTTTTTGTAATCTGCTTTTGTTTCATCCAATTCTTATACAACATTTAGAATTATTGGAATTACATATGTGTAACTTCCTAGGAAAGTATATTTCTGAAATGCCTTGGCACAGGACCGGTTTTTCCCCATACCAGCTAAGGACACACTTGGGTGATAATTGGCTTCCTTGAGCCAGTGTCCATCTGTATTTGCCAGGCCACTTAGGAAGTAGAGATGGCTGGTTGTGAAACTCTTGTCTTAATGGGCATGTGATTATTCTCTGTGTTAATTTCTTCCTAGCAATTCTCTAGATTCACAAATGAGCCAACTCAAACTACTGCATAACTAAAAATACTGAGATCAGTTCCAGTGTACTGGTAGACTTTGAACTCATGACGTGGTAAGGACCTAGACTGTGGGCCATGTGGCTCTTGTGAGTGAGGCAGGGACTGCCCACTGTAGCCATCTGCCCCTGCCTAGAAGGATGTTGGTGCTGCTCATAGTTCCCAGCCAGCCTTCCCTCCCTGTGTCTCAGGCCCTGTAGGGGCAGCATGTGGAGAAAGCCTGTACCCTGCACTTTAGGAACTTAGAGTCTAGTTAGGGAATATGGGAACACTGACAATAAGCCAGCCACTTCTGAGACAGTCCTATTTTCTTTGTTCTATTCTAATAGCAGAAGTAAAAAGGAAAACATCACGGGCATACAGAATAAAAGTCTCCTATTCTTACCCCCAAAACTCTGTTCTTCTGGACACTGTACATATCCTGGCCTGTAGTCTGCCTTTTTCATCTAGATACTCACCTTGAGCCCATCTCTGCCTCAGTGCTGTATTCTTAAGGACTGCTTGATATTTCTAAGGCTGTTTTTGAATGATTGCAATTACAGTGTGCTGGCAGGAATTCAGAGTCAGAAAGACCCTTAATGGGGTAGGTCAGGAAGATCTCTTGGAGGAACCACCTAGAGATCCCAGGTTCTGGGTAGGATCCAGTGAGATGTTGCAAAGGAGAAGGAGGAGGAGGAGGACATCCTCTGCTACTTTTCTCTTCTGCTCTTCTCAGGGCTGATGGTGCCTTCTCCTGCTCTGGCACATGGCCCCTGGGGCAGGGAGTGGGAAGGATCAAACAATATTTTGTTGTCAAGGCATTTTCATCTTTGGGACCTTACTGTAGACACCACTGTCAACCCTGCTTTTTACAGATGTTGATACTGAGGTTTGGAAAGGTGAAGGGGACAGCCCAAGTCATGGGCAAAACCAGGAAGAGGAGGGAATGTCAGCTGGGTCTGAGCTGGGATGAGCTGACAAAAAGGATCAGTACATGCTTAGTACTGCGGCTACCATTTCATTACCCTGATGGTTACCTTATTTTCCGGATGCTGGAGGACAAAGGCGGGAGTTTGCCAGACAGTAGATCAGATCCTTCCCAGAAGAACAGAGATCTATGTGGGGTGTGGAATAAGAGCTCTTCACACAGTAACCCAGCTTTCAGCTGGGTCCCTGGCCTACACCCTGGGAGGGGCCTGCTCATGAATCAGGCAGCTATTTCTGGAGCTGATATGAGGCAAGGGGGCACTTTGCTGCACTGGGGTAGGCAAGCCATTCCTCTGGCAGGGAGAGAAGATCAAAGAGGTTGTTCAAAGGGTATGCAGCCAGTTCCTGGAGGGTGGCTGGTGTCTATGCTCACAAGTTATTCCAGGGTGAGCCAGCTATATACAGATCGACCCCCAAAGGCTGAGGGAGCTGAGAGGCTGACACATCCAGTTTCTCAGAAAGAAACATTTAATAGGGACTTAAGAACAGAAGCAATGTCTCAGGTGGAGGCAGGGTGGATCCCTGTACGTACTCTCCAGAAAGTATTATTTAAATAGCAAGCTTTTAGGGTAAACACATGTATAGCTGGTCATGCCTCAGAGTTTATTTTTTTGTTTGTTTGTTTTTTTGAGACGGAGTTTCGTTCTTGTTGCCCAGGCTGGAGTGCAGTGGCGAAATCTCGGCTCACCGCAACCTCTGCCTCCCGGGTTCAAGCGATTCTCCTGCCTCAGCCTCTCGAGTAGCTGGGATTACAGGCATGCGCCACCACACCCAGCTAATTTTGTATTTTTAGTAGAGATGGGGTTTCTCCATGTTGGTCAGGCTGGTCTCGAACTCCTGACCTCAGGTGATCCGCCCGCCTCGGCCTCCCAAAGTGCTGGGATTACATACGTGAGCCACCATGCCCAGCTGCCGCAGACTTTCTTACAAAACTCTAGGAAGATTAGACAAATATCTTCACTAGAGGTTATTTATGCAATAGGCATTGTTTCTTTTTTTCTTTTATTTTTGGAGACAGGGTCTTTCTCTGTCACTTGGGCTGGAATGTGGTGGTGTGATCATGACTCACTGCAGCCTCAAACTCCTGGGCTCAAGCAATCCTCCTGCTTCAGCCTCCTGAATAGCTGGGACTACAGGCATGAGCCACCACACTCAGCTACTTAAAAATTTTTTTGTAGAGATGGAGTCTCACTTTATTGCCCAGGCCAGTCTTGAACTCGTTAATTCAAGGGATCCTCCCGCCTCAGCCTCCCAAAGCACTGGGATTACAGGTGTGAGCCATCATGCCCAGCCTGGCATTGTGTTTTTATAAGGAGTTGTCTATGCTATGGGAATACATCAGTCATCGTGGTTTCACTTCAAGATGGTGTCATACCAGGCACAGTGGCTCATGCCTGTAATCCCAGTACTTTGGGAAACCAAGCAGGAGGATGGCTTGAGGCCAGGAGTTGAAGACCAGCATGGACAACATAGCAAGACCCTGTCTCTACAAAAAATTTTAAAAATTAGCCAGGTGTGGTGACATGCACCTGTTGTCCTAGCTACTTGGGAAGCAGAGGTTAAAGGATTGCTTGAGCCCAGAAGTTTGACGCTGAGGTGAGTTATGATCATGCCACTGCACTTCAGCCTGGGTAATAGAGCAAGACCCTCTCTCTAAAAAATAAAAATAAAAAAGATGGTGTCATTCTTGCCATGCAACAAACTGTTTTCCTACATAGGTGTCACTGCCCATTCAGGATCAGTGGAACGCTAGGACTGGCAGGTGGTGTAGGCAGATACAGGTGAATCCCACTGTGGGGATTCCTGCTGGGGTGACCACAGTACCTGGGTTGTTTAGGCCTTCAATCAGTGGGAGGGAGTTGGGGAAGGGGTTGTTACCAGGCATGGGCCTGGGCCTGGCAGTCAGGATACAGGAGGTGTCTGTGGCCCCTGGACTCCAGCCTCTGGCTGCCATCCTGATTGTTCCCATGTCCCATATGTTTCTCTTCTGTCCCAGGCTCAGTATACAAACTCCACATCCTCTGACTTGGAAGCTGCCCAGCCCTGAGCTCTGCCTGGGCTTCCTAGTCATACTTCCCAAAGATGTGACCGGTTTCCCTGACTTTGAACCTTGGCTCTGATGTCATGTAGTTAGTTGAGGCCAAAGGAAAACTGATGGGGACTGTTCATGTCTGTGTGTGAGCTGGAGTGAAGGAAGGTGTGCCTAGGCAGGGCCTTCGGTTCCTGGCAGTCCCCTCCCCAGCATTCTTGTATTTTCCTGCCGTGAATCTACTGGAGATAGAGATCTGGCTCTGTTCTGCTCTTCCTCTTCTCTCTGAGTGGCTTTGGGCATATCCATCCCTTGCACTGGAACTCCGTTACCTCCTCTCTACAGCGAGGGGCTAACTGATCTTGCAGGCCCCTTGCTCCTAGAATAGCCTGTGACTCTGACTCCCAGCCTCCTGTTTATTTCTGAGGCTTCTTCCCAGAGTGGGTAAACACCTCCTCTTCTTTCTCCCTGTCTACAAGAGGCCTGCTTTTGGTCAGGGGAGGGGTCTGCCTGAAAGGTCATAGGCATTTGAATAATAGTAATAACATCAGTGAGCATTTACTGAATGCTTTCCAATGTGCGAAGCACTGTGCCCAGCATTTTACATGCATAATCTCTTCATTTTCCCAGCAACCCTATGATGGGGTATAGATTACTAATATTATTCCTGTTTTATAGCAGAAGAAACTGAGGGTTGGAGAGGTTATTACCTGTCCAAGGTTACATGGCCAGTGAGTAGATGACCCTATATTTAAATTCAGCTTGATATTTTATTAAAATTCCTATTCTGGGCTGGGCGCGGTGGCTCACATCTATAATCCCAGCACTTTGGGAGGCCAAGGTAGGCGGATCACTTGAGGTCAGGAGTTCGAGACCAGCCTGGCAAACATGGTGAAAACCCGTCTCTATAAAAAATATATATATATTTATATATATATAATATATATAAATATATATTAATAATATATAATATATTTATATATATTAATAATATAATATATAATATAAATATATATTATATACTAAATATTATATATATATATATATATATATATAAAAATTAGCCAGATGTGATGGCGCATGCCTGTAATCCCAGCTACTTGGGAGGCTGAGGCAGGATAATCACTTGAACCTGGGAGGCAGAGGTTGCAGTGAGCCGAGATCGCACCCTTGTACTCCAGCCTGGGCAACAAGAGTGATACTCTGTCTCAAAAAAAAAAAAAATGTGGAGGGGATATTTCCAGGACACAGGAAAGGATGAGCCCAGTGACAGTACTGCTGATGCTGAGAGAAGGCCAAGGGGTGGGGTGGGCACTACCAAGGGTCAGCTGAGTAGACGCTGAAGTTCCTGACAAGGGTCCTGGTGCTGCTGAGGTCGCTGACTGGCAGAGGTGGAGAGCAGCAGTGTGGGAGTCAAGAATGGAGGGGCTCTGCTGAGGAAGTGAGAGGAGAAAGCGGAGTATGATGGATGTTCACACTCACTGGGGTGAGGGGAGCCAGAGGGCTGGTTAGGGACCTGGAGGTGGCCCCTGGAGCATCATGGAATCCTCAAGGCTGTGCATAGGCAGAGACCAATGGCGCCTGCTCCCTTGATGCCGTCTTCCCCAGAACCTGGCTCAGGTGGGCTCCTGAGTACCTTCCCAAACCCCAAGAGAAGAGGCTGGGGTTGATTTGGTAAATTCTGAAGTACTGCCACCTGGTGTGAAGGGCCAGGGGTTGCAAAAGAAGCCTTAATGAGCTGTTTGGGATCTTGCATGGGCAGGGGGGAGAGGGTTAATAGGGGCTCAGCCCTAGGAATTGCAGCAGTATAGGGGTCCTCTCTGGTTTGAGCTCCTTGGAGGGAGAGTTGTGATTTGATAGCATCCCCTACTTGCCAGGTTTGCCCAGCAGAAGTCCTGGTGCTAGCCTAGAACTCAGAGGCTGCAGGGCCTGAGAGGAGACAGAATTGGATTTAAGGCATATTTGATAGGTGGAACTATGGGTTAGGAGGTGCCAGGTCAGGCTATAAGAGGAGCATGGTTGTGGGGAGTTGGACCATGTGAGGTGTCTAGGTAACAGTGACTTAGGGAGGCAGCCCAGGACTGAGGATGGGGCCACTGGGGCTAGGAGCCCAGATTGGTCAGTGCCCACTGCCCCTAAAGCCCCCGGAACTATCTTAGAGCAGTTGAAATAGACGCTTGAAGAGATCCAAGGCATTCTAAAACTAGCTAGGCCCCACCCTTCTGCCATGAGGACCCCCAGGAGCAGCTTTGAGTGTGGCATTGGAATCAGACGAGCCTGGATTTGAGAAAAATGTAAAAGCAAAGTGAAAACCTCCACCTCTCTCCACACCCTGACCTTTAAGTTCTTGTATATTTCAGAAATGTGTGTGTGTGTATTTGTGTGTATATCCTTCTTATTGTACAAATAAAATAGATGCACTGCTCCAGACCTTGCTTTCATCCCTTAAATTATTGGTCACGTGGAAGAACCACCTGGTTCTTTTAGTAGTAGTCTATTATGTGGTGTGCTTTAATTTACCCAACTGGACTCACCTGATAGACATTAAGGCTAGTTTGGGGTTATTTTGATGCAGCAACAACCATACTTTACATAGATCCCTGAACGCTGGGACAATTATTTCTGCAGGATAAATTCCAGATACAAATTTTCTGGGTTGCAGTTGTTGTCTCTCCCCTTCTCCCTAAATTCTCCTTCAAAGAGATTCTGTCCATTCCCACTCCTGCTAACAGTGTATGAGAGTTATAAAATGATGATAATAATACAGAGCTGTTGGGAGGATTAAATGAAATCATATGTAAAGATTTCCGCCGGTGCCTGCCATATCAGGGCAGGCTTCAGGGGTGGGGCTCAGGGCAAGGGTTGCATTGAGAATTGGATCACTTTGGACAAGCAACAAATAAAGTACTGGGTTGGGTTTCCTGGTCAGCTTGGAGGAGAGGTGGCAGGAACAGTGGTCTGATAGCTGCTGAGTACCTGATGTGTGCCAGACACTGAAACAGGGAAAGCGCAGTGAACCAGATCAGCTTGGCCCCTGCCCTGCCCTTGTGGAGCTAACAATCTAGACAGAACCAGTCTGCAGAGTGTGGTAAGTTCTACCAGCATGCTGCCACTCCAAGTCCCCTCTGACTGGGTCTCTCTCTCCTCTGCCCGCCCTGCACCCCCTTCAACAGTGTACGTGATAGAACGGGAAAGGAAGATGGACAGCGGGTGTCAGGCAGTCCTGGCTGCTTGCTGGGCTGCTCTCTGCTGCTGCTGCCTCCTGGACAACTTGAACTGAGCAGCTAAGATCCGAGTATTTCCCTACAGCCCTGCTACCTCCTGTTACAGGAATAAACAACTACTGTTGCACAATTTCCATTTTCTTCTTTCTTTGACAATAACTCACAGATTTTTAAATTTTAGCACCTTTCATAGGTGTGAAATGGTATCTCACTAATTTGCTTTCCCTGATTACTAGTGACCTTGAACATAAACATATAAGTTTTGGGCAGTTTGTACATATCTTGTGAATTGATTATACATATTCTTAGCCTGTCTTTTCTGTTGGTTTGTCTTACTGATTTGTAGAGAATTTCTATATATTCTATCCACTAATATTTGTCTGTTTTATAGGTGTGCAAATATCTTCTTCCTATCTGACTCTCTTTTTTTTTGGAATGGAGTCTTGCTCTGTTACCCAGGCTGGAGTGCAGTGGCGTGATCTCATCTCACTGCAACCTTTACCTCCTGGGTTCAAGCAATTCTTGTGCCTCAGCCTCCCAAGTAGCTGGGATTACAGGCACGCGCCACCATACCCTGCTAATTTTTGTATCTTTTTAATAGAGACAGGGTTTTGCCATGTTTTCCAGGCTGGTCTTGAACTCCTGAATTTAAGCGATCCACCTGAGATCCAAAGTGCTGGGATTGCAGGTGTGAGCCACCATACTTGGCCTCTCTTAATCTTTTTATGGTGTATTTTCTAGTATGAGAAATTTTAGAAGTCATGTTTATCATCTTTCCCTCGTGCTTTGTATGGTTTAGTCTTTGAAAACTCATTTTCTATTCCAAGCTCATAAAAATAAGTCTATATTTTCTTTTAAAAATGTTTAAGATATAGTCGTTAGTCCACCTGATTTATTTATTTATCTATTTATTTATGTATTTATTTATTTTTTTGAGACCTAGTTTTGCTCTTGTTGCCCAGGCTGGAGTGCAATGGCATGATCTTGGCTCACTGCAACCTCCGCCTCCCTGGTTCAAGCGATTCTCCTGCCTCAGCCTCCCAAGTAGCTGGGATTACAGGCATGTGCCACCACACCCAGCTAATTTTGCATTTTTATTTTATTTTTTGAAATGAGGTATTGCTCTGTCACCCAAGCTGGAGTGCAGTGTCACGATCTCGGCTCACTGCAGCCTCTGCCTCCTGGGTTCAAGGGATTCTCTTGCCTCAGCCTCCCAAGTAGCTGGAACTACAGGCATGCACCACCATGCCCAGCTAATTTTTGTATTTTTAGTAGAGACAGGGGTTTCACCATGTTGGTCAGTATGGTCTCGAACTCCTGACCTCAGGTGATCCATCCATCTCAGCCTCCCAAAGTGCTGGGATTACAGGCGTAAGCCACCGCGCACCTGGCCCTGAATTTATTTTTTATCATGGGTGTAGGATAAGATTCTAGTTTTCTTTTTCCATCTTGGTAGTTCCAGCTGCATGTATTAATTAGATCATCCTGTTACCAAGCAAAAGGGGCTCACTGCCTGATGTGCTAGAAGCCAATTCCATGACACTGGGTTTTTGAGAAAAGAAATGCTTTTATTATAAGTTAACAATTAGACAGGATTCCAGCTCAAATCTGTCTCCCTGTCCTGGCTTTAAGGCAGTAATTTTATTAGAAAAGGTTAGAGGGGTGGATTCCAGGATGAGAGATGGTTGATGGAAGGAAAGAAGAGGTTTGGAAAGTCCTGGGGCATGTACAATAATCTCTTCATGCTACCTCTTGGATCCCATGTGCAAATTCAGGGGAGGGGTTAGCATGAAACATGCAGTGAAAATTCAGGCTGTGACATCATCAGCAGGCTCATTCTGTCCAAACTCCAGCTGGCCATATTGGTTCTAACAGATTTCACTCAGTTCTTTTGCCTCATAAGCAGAGGCGTTTCAGTGTTTCAGCAAGTTGTTTCTTGACTGCCATCTTGTAAACTCTGTTAGGGATTGGTGTCTTTAATCTTTGGGGCACAGTTTCAGTCCTTTCCCTATTAATCTGAGATGAGATTTGTCATATACCACGTTCCCATATACGAATTAGAATATGAGCTAGAATCAGGAATCTGGTGTGATGTGTACCCTCCTTCCACCAGCACGTGCATAAACACATACCTCTTATTCTTTTTCGTAATTTTCTTGGCTTTCTCGGCCTTTTACTGTTTCATCTACATTTTAGAATGTGTGTTAGTTTCTACAGAAAACCATGTTTGGCTTTGATTGGAACAGCATGTAATTTATCAAGTAATTGGTGAAAGAGTTGACATATTTACAATATTGTCTTCCCACCATGAACAAGTAATCTCTCAATTTATTTTTGTCTTCTTTTTATGTCCTTTAAGTCTTAAAATTTTCTTCACATAGTTCTCACATATTTTTATTGGTTTTTAAAATTAGATTTTTCTCCAGGTATAATTTTAATGTTACTGTGAATAGATTACTTTTTTAAAATGTTACATTTATTACTTGGTGGAAATAATTTATTCATTCCATTGGGATCACACATTAGAAAATTTTAGCCCATCTTTGTCACACCATTCCCTTGGGGGCAGTTCAGCTGTGAGGGGAGCAGTTCTTCAGTCTGTCCTATGCATGCTCCAGGGAAACCACCAGGGTTCTACAGAGACAATCATGGATTCCGTAAACGTAGCTCCAGAGTGTCAGGTGACAGACCACACAGAACAAACCCCCAATCCCTGCTTTTGCAGGGCTTATACTCTAGGGAGGGAACCAGACATTAAATAAACCCACAGGTAATAATTGACATCATACTTCCCTGTGAAGAGAAGAGACATAATGCCATGAAAACCTACAAAAGGGGAACAATCTGGCACAGTCCAAGAAGGCTTCCCCAAGGCAGTGAAGTGAGCTAAGATCTGAAAGATGTATAGATGTCAGTAGGCAAAAGTGTAGGAACAGCAGGTGCCAAGGCCCAATGGCAGGAAAGATGGTGGCTCATTTGATAAAGTGGAAAAGGAAATTGGTGTCATAGGCCGCAAGGGGACATTAGGAGCAGTTGAGAAACAGGCAGGAACAAGATGGAGGCTCATAGCCCAAGTTAAGGATTTTGGTATTTGTCTTGTGAGTAATGGGAAGCTGTTGAAGGATATTAAGCAAAGGGATGATATCACATTTGCATTTTTAAGAAATCCCTTTGGCTTCTGTGTGGAGAGTGGTTTGGAAGGGGGCACAGGTACACATGGTGATTATGGAGAGAAATGAATGCATTTGAGATATTGGGAAGTAAAATCAACCAGACTTGGTGATGGATTGGATATGGACATTGAGGAAGAAGGTAAGAGTCAGGGATGACTTCTGGGTTTCTGACTGGAACTGGGTGCCTGGTGGTGGTGTTTACAGAGGTTGGGAACAAGAGAAAGGAATCATGATTGGTTGAGAGAGAGAACAAACTGAGTTAGTTTGAGGTTTCAAAGTATCTATGAGACATTCAAGTGGAGCTGTCAGGTAAGCAATTGTATATAAACCTGAAGCTTGGAGGAGAGGTTGGGCTAGAGATGTCAATGTGGAGAGCCTTGGCATGTTGATGATCATTGAAACTGTGGCCGTGAGTAAGATCAACTTGGATGGAAATATGGAGGGAAAAGGAAAGATGGCAGTGTAGGGCTGAGCTTTAAGGAATTCTGGATGGATCTGCAAAGGAGTCAGAGAGAGAAAGCTAGGAGAATGGGATGTCCTGAGAGCTGAGTGAAGATGTATTGGGAAGAGAGGATTGATTAGTAACATCAAATGTTGCTGAGAGATTAGGTAAAGTGAGAACGCAAAAGTGTCTACACTGTTTTCACTGAGGAGGTGGACTTTTCTCCAGTTCTTGTTCTGTGAAGGAAATCAACAGAAGGAAAGACAAGACTGCTTGGAACTAGAAGACAGGGCTCCTCAGGCCTGGAGAAAGGCAGACATGTGTGTAAGCATGGAACAGGCAAGCTCACAGGTGCAAAGAACTAGCTGAGGCAGGAAGGCTAGGAACCTCCACTAAACTGGACAGAAGCATGCTAACAAAACATTGAGTTCCAAAAAGGTTAGACATCAAGTAAGGGAGTCAGGCTAATGTCACTCAGCTTTGAGCCTGAACAGAGGAGACATTGTTCCTCAAGAAGACTATGTCCTCTGCGGTAGCTGCTGGAGGGTCCAGCACATAGATAACCAAACAGATGACCATCCATGCCCTGGGGAGGTCCTTCTGAACAGTAGCAACAGTCTAGATCTTTCATGACCACCATTACAGATTTTGCTAATATACATCTTTTGAAAGGAAACTCTACATGCAACTCCAGTCTGGAAAATAGATACTATAGAATTGCTGTGGTTGAGGCAAAGAGGAACCACCCCCTACTTTTTATGAAAGCTTAGGGGCCTGAGGAATACATTTGAAAGCCCCTGGTCTTTGGGATTTTGCAGTGCATTTGGCCACAGGAGATTTGGGATGGTAGGTTTTGCCCTGGAATGTCATTCCAGGATACTGCCTTGCGAGCACAATCATCAGTGTGTTAACTGCTGGTGTATTCTATGAGGATCTGTGGATACTTTATTGCTGAGAAGTATTCCATTGTATTAGAGGTACCCCAGTTATTCATTCACCTGTTGAAGGACCATTTGGGTTGTTTCTACCTCTGAGTGATTATGAATCCATCTGCTATAAACATTGACGTTCAGGTTTTTGTGTGAACCTAAGTTTTCATTTCTCTAAGCTGAATACCCAGGAGTGGAATTTCTGGATCATATGGTAGGCTTAAGAAACTGCTACTCTTTTCCAAAGTGGCTTTGGCATCGTGCGTTCCTATCAGTAATGAATGAGAGTTCCGGTGGCTCTGCATCTTTGCCAGTACTTGATATTGTCAGCAATTTTTATTTTAGCCATTCTGATTGTATGTAGTGGCATCTCATTGTGGTTTTAATTTGTGTTTTCCTAATAGTTAGTGATGAAGTCATGTGCATATTTGCTCTCCGTATATCCTCTTTGGTGAAGTGTTTTTTCAAGTCTTTTATCCACTTTCAAATTGGGTTGTTTTCTTACTGTGGACTTTTGAGAGTTGTTATATATTTTAGATACAAGTCCTCTGTTGGCTGTGATTTGCACATATTTTCTCTGCGTCTGTAGCCTATCTTTTCATCCCCTTAACCGTGTCTTCCATGGAGCAAAAGTTTTCATTGTGATTAAGTCCAGTTTATCAATTTTTTATTTTATCACGTTTTTGGTGTCAGTCTAAGGACTCTTTGTCTAACCCCAGGTCATGAAGATGCTTTTCCATGTTTTCTTTAAAATATTTTACAGTTTTATGTTTTTCATTGAGATCTATAATCCACTTGGGGTTAGTTTTTGTATAAAATGTGAGGTTTAAAATAGCTGAGGGGTTTTGTGAGGTGTTCTGCATGCCATACCAATATTTTTCAAAATGCTTTCTCCAATGAATTGCCTTTGCTTATGTGTCAAACCAGTTAGCCATGTTCATGTGGGTCTATTATTGTCTTCTTCATTCCATTCCTTTGATCTATGTGTCTGTTTGCCAATACCATTAACCGGTTATCTTGACTACTGTAGCTTTATGTTAAATCTTCATTTTAGTCATTTTAGTTCTCTTTCCTTTCCATAAATTTTAGAATTTGTTTATCTTTATCTATTAAAAACTCCTGTTGGGATTTTTATTGAAATTGCATTAAATCTATAGATCATCATGGGGCCTAATGGGTATTTAAGTGGGATTGGTTGCTCACCCTTACATGCCATAACCTTTAATGATGGCAGGCAGCCTGCCCATTCATTTGCTGGGTTGTAATTATTCCACAGTTAAAGCCCCTAGTGTATGATTACATTGGTGTCTTTGGAAGTTGGCAGTAAATGAGGTATACTATTCATTAAATTGGGTAGGAACAGCCATTACAAGATGGCCAGTATGTTGAGGGACTTGTGGGCCGGGTTATGCTCTGAGTCAGGTCAGCCACCATCATTCACAACCGTGGTCTTCCTGTGCCTCACTTCTGAGCAGGTCATGAGCAAGATCATACACTGTTTGCTGCCATTGGAAAATCCTCCCTCCCTCGAGGTCTTTACACCGTCATCACAGGGTCATAGAACTGTCATGTACTAGGCATGATTAGGTTTTTTCTCTAGATTTTCCTTAATTTCTTCTGCCTGGTATATCAGCCTCATTCATAATTTTTTTTTTTTTTTTTGAGATGGAGTCTCACCCTTGCCCAGGCAGGAGTTCAGTGGCGCGATCTCGGCTTACTGCAACCTCCACCTCCAGGGTTCAAGCGATTCTCCTGCCTCAGCCTCCTAAGTAGCTGGGATTACAGGCGCCCGCCACCACGCCTGGCTAATTTTTATACTTTTTAGTAGAGATGGGGTTTCGCCATGTTGGCCAGGCTGGTCTTGAACTCCTGACCTCAGGTTATCTGTCTGCCTCAGCCTCCCAAAGTGCTGGGATTACAGGTTTGAGCCACCAAGCCCAGCCAGCCTCATTCATAATTATTCCTCCAAAAGCTGCATTAGGGATATGTTCATGATATATGTCATGATATAATGAACTGCTTCCTCCTCCTACTGTAGTAATGTCACCCATGACATTGGGTCTTCAGCACCAGAAAAACTTTCCTTTTTTTTTTTTTTTGAGATGGAGTCTCGCTCTGTCGCCCAGGCTGGAGTGCAGTGGTGCGATCTTGGCTCACTGCAAGCTCTGCCTCCTGGATTCACGCCATTCTCCTGCCTCAGCCTCCTGAGTAGCTGGGACTACAGGCGCCCGCCACCATGTCTGGCTAATTTTTTGTATTTTCAGTAGAGACGAGGCTTCACGGTGTTAGCCAGGATGGTCTCGATCTTCTGACCTCATGATCCGCCCACCTCAGCCTCCCAAAGTGCTGGGATTACAGGCGTGAGCCACCGCACCCAGCCCAGAAAAACATTTTGTCCTCTTCTCAAGTGTATTTTGGGGCTTCTCATACTTGTCAGCCCCTTCCTACGCTTTGATCTTGACAGTGACATCTTCCCCAGCTCACACCGTGGTCCTTTGGTCTATCTGAGGCAGTGGCATTACAAGACTCTAGCAGAAGAGTGGGTGCTGAGGAACTGCTTATGCACTCATCCTGTCCCGAGTACTCTTCCCCATTACTGCCCTTCAGTCCCCCACCAAATCTGGCTGGTGTCAAGATCAAAGTAAAACTGCTGTCTACTCTAAGCCAAATACAAAACAGTTTGTTTCTAAGGCTTGTCTTCCCCTCAGGGTGTGGAAGATTGCTTGCTAAAGTCTTGTGTAACAGAAAAGAGGACATTGCCCCCATAAACTATTTGAGATTCCCTTTTTTATTTCCGTCTCTCACCACTATGAGAAGCTCTTGGTTTTCTCCTCAGGTTTACAAAAATAAAGTGAATTATTTAAGTCTGACTTAAATTATTATCTGTACGTCTTTCATCTTTTATAAACTCATCTGGATAGAACCCATCCTGTCCACAACAAGCTATTGAGCCCCACAGTTACCTTGTGGCATTTCTGTGGATGTGCGCGTCCCTGCAGTCTTGTGGCTTGGATTGCTCACTGTATGATGTTTTGCAAGACCAAGCTTTGTACATGCACCTGGACCAGCAAACAGGAATGTACACGCTGCACCAGCACGGCAGGCACCTCGGTTCTTTAGCAGTGCTGTAAACATAGACAATGGCCTAGAAAATTATGAAAAATAGCATTTGAAATGTACTATATGATCTCACTATTTAAGAAACGCCACGATGAAACTTTCCTCTCTGTAAATTGAGAGCTTGTATTTTTGACCTGTCTTAAATGATATTAACTTTGTTCTCATTACAACATTTTCCTGTGTTATCTAAGGCAGTAGCTGTACAACTCTGTCTTCCTTCCCATCCTGTAGGAGAGGAAGCAGAGGCTCAGAGAGGTCAAGTGTCTTACTTGAAATCATCCAGCTCTGGAAGAACAGAGCCAGGACCTCGGCTCAGGTCTGCCCAACTCCCAAGTTGGTGGCAGGGACATGGGGAAAGTGGGCCCTGGTTTTAACCTCTTCTTTTGTTGGTCATAGTTTTTTAAAAGCTCTCATTTTCTCTATTTTATTTAAATGGGGTGATAACCTTCTTGTAGAGTAACATGGTCTTTACTGGAAAATGCCAAGCACTTCTGGATCTCCAGCCACTTGCCCAGGAATTGTCAGCATCCAGCACTGGAGCTGAGTTACACACGAGGGAGGATGACATGCACCCAGGAGTTCCCTCACACATGCCTTGCTCAGGCTCCTCAGCAGCCACTCCTTCTCCCGCACCCTCATGTGGAAAGTGGAAGTGTGGCGGGTGGTGGCTGAGGGGCATTCACTCGGATGTTGTGACTGTGGACAGAGTTCACTCCATATCTCAATTGACTGTTGGACCAGGTCATTCTGAGGCGATGGGCCCTGACTCTCCTTGGGACACTCTGAACAAGGAGAAACCTAGATCTGGACCTAACACACAGATCTTGGATTTAGAAGGAGAACTGGGGCACAGAGAATAGGGAGGCCTTTCATTCCCTTGATGCATAGCCACATTTCAGGTCACATGCAGCCAAGATGCTGTCTGATTTGAGGCGAGCCTGATCTTGTGCAGTGAGCACTGGGCCAGAAGGCAGGAGGGTGTGGTGACAGGCCAGGACCTGCCTCTAATTCACTATGTGACCTCAGTCAACTTCTTTCCCTTCTTTGAACTCAGCATCCTCTTACCAAAAAAGGACTGGCCAAGGTGGTCCCCAAGGCAGTTCAGACTGTAGTCCTGGCATCTGGGAAGTTCTCAATTGTCTCTATCTACAGTCAACCCTGTCCTGGTAGCCTAGCAGGTCTTGCCCAAGGATGAGACCACAGGCAGTGCTGGTGGTGCAGCCTTGTCAGGCTGGTCCAGCATGTCCATATCTACTAGATAGATTTTGTTGTTTTTCCAAAAATTGTGTTATTGGGTCTACTGTTCACAGGACTGATTGGGGGTGAATGAGATGACTCATTCACCTGGGGTTCCCTGGGCTTCATCAGTTTCTCAGAAGGCTTGGTCTTGGCCCTGGGATAGCTGCTTGGTTTTGTCCAGGGGCAGCCTCCCTCCCAGGATGCCACTTCAGGATGGTGGCAAATGCACTTCTGAAGACCTACAAGCAAGGACCCATCCACAGCTCGGCAAGCCCTCACCCTTTCCAGACCAATCCATGTAAACGCCCGCACCTGTCTGGAGAGCAATGGCAACCTGAATGCTTGTTGGGTTGGGTTGCAGTCAGGTGAGACACAGGTTGGTGGGTGAGTTGGTTGGCCAGCTCCTGGTCTACTTCACCTTGGAGTGGGTATCTTGGGACTAAGCTTCACAGAAAAGCCAGGCCAGAGCTGAAGCTGCAGGAAAAGGAGGCAGGAGGAGTAGGGCAGGAAGAGAGGCTCGGGAGGCCCAGGGAAGGCTCTGAGCTTAGTAGGCAAAGGCAGCTGCTGTTGTGGAGCCTGGGCCAAGGCTGTGCTGATTCTGTCAGCTCCATATCCATCTCCCTGTATAAGAAGGGGAAAATGGAAGAGGTTCCTACCTTCTCCTATCTTACCCTTCAAACAGTCTGATGAAAACTACAGACCCTTGATTGCCTCTGCCCAGATATTCCCTGGAAGGACAGAAGCTGGGCTGGTCCCTCTGCTGTTCCTGGTCATCCTTCGCCCTATCACTCTCCCACTCAGCACACGGACCTGGTACTTACTCACTGGCCTTGAACAGAGGCACAGTGGCATTGCCTTTAGGACATTTTGTTCTCATCAGTGTAGCCCCTTTGCGCTGGGTAGTAAACGATGCCACTGCACTTGCACATCCAAGGAAAGCTGAACTGAAACCATAGCAAGTTGAGTCTTCTCTCTCTCTGCCCCTGCAGGAGCCGTCTCATGGCTGTCTTGACGTTTTTACTTATTGGGAAAATGCTTAAAGATTTTCCCTTCCCTTCCTACCTCTGCATCTGAGCAGTAAAGGGCTATTGTGGATCCTCTGAAACCTCCCGGAAGGCTGGTTGGCCTCCTTCTGTCGGTCTAGATGCCCAATGCGGGGCAAGGGCAGTTGAGCAGACTACAGGTCCTCCTGCCCCTGGCAAAGCCATCATCTCCCCTGGTGGCACTTTTTGGAAGGTGTGGTGATTGTAGTTGTCTTAGCAGTTGAGGGCCAGCCCTGGGTGCCCATCGCTGGTCTGGGTGATAAGGGGCCACGGTGCTGCTTCCTCACTCCTGGAGCAAGAAGGCTGCAGGCATCAGAACCCTCTGGGAGGCTCTGGTCTTTCTGTTTGCCTTTCCCGCCTAGCTCTCTTGGGTTGGGACTGGTACAGACACTTGCAAAAACAAGAAGGACCTAATAAGGCTCAATTACCACATCAAGGCACTCGATTCATCATTTACAAAGTCCCAGCCATGCAGATGAAGGTTTCAGATGCCAGAATGGGGCTGAGAATTGGAGCCTTCACCTGAGAAGGCCTATACTCACACTTCCTGCAGGTCATCCCTGCCCTGACCTCTATGGAAACTGGAGCCCCACTTGCCCATTGCCTACCCAGAACCAGGTTTCTGAGTAGCCCATGTGAATGTCATCTCTGGGAATGTACAATACAGTAGTCCTAGATCCTGGGACCAAGGGGACTACTGGTTGGTGTGTCTGGTGGCCAAAGTGGCAGTGGGCACTGGTGGCCCTGGAGAAGACCCCAGGGCTTGTTGGACAGGCCTGGCATCGTCCATCTATCTTTTCTGCTTCCAGCTTGAAGGCAAGAAGGTGGGAGGTGCCCCTGCCAGAAACTGCTCAGCTCTTCCCAAAGCTGCTGCGCACCTGAGACCCAGGGCTTCCTGGGCCTTTCTGACCTAGCCTGGGCTCCTGGGCCACATCTGTGTGCTCACGCACCTCTCCCTGCACGTTCCCCACCCCACACTTGTGTTTGCATCCATGTGGCAAAGCTCTGGGTGCCTGCCCCTCTGCAGGCCCCACATCAGACTGGGGCTGAGAATACTGAGGGTTGATTCAAAGGGCTGACTGCGGGCAAGAGAGGCAAGCCAGTGCAGGGTCCCCTGGACCTGACCCCCACTCCACCTGTAGTCCCCTAGGAATAGTCCCTTCTTCTCTGGGGCCGGTTGAATAGGGTGGTCTGAGACACTAGATAGCGAATGAGGGATGAGCCTTTTGGCGCTGATGCTTATGGAAGGAAACCAGTCCTTAAGACCCTGCCCGCGTCAGGAGCTGGAACCCAGCTCCGGTCCCTAGACTGGCCACAGGGGGGCACTTGATCTCCAAGAAGCAGCTCAATCTGAGCAGCCACAGCAGGCACCAGAACCTCTTCCCAGGTTGGGCACTGACTGCTACCAACGTGCCCAGAAAGGTGGTGCCTGTTACCATCCCAGCACCCCCCCACTGCTCTTTTAACCCCTCTCCCTTTTTTCCGTCTTTTTAAAAAGGTTTATATTTTTAAATAGCATTCCAATTACAGAAATTGAGAGAAGAGTTGCCGAGATGGTAGTTTCTGTAAACAGTTTAACATCTTATGTAACCATAGTTCTGCCTGCTTTTTGTCTTCTGCTTGGCTGTAGAGGAGGCAGTTGCCAGGATGGCCCATCTCTGGTTGTGGAACACCTGGGTTGGGGCCACCTCTGCCACAGCTCCTGCTGGGTGACTCGCACTGCCAGCTAAGCCTCAGTGCACAGAGGGCCCCGGGCTTCAAGTACTGAGTGGCCCAGGACCCAGGTAGCATGGGGTGCCAGCCAGGATAGTGCACGAGTTCTCAGGCAGAGTCCCCCATTGGGAAGTGGGGAGTGACGGGGATGGTAGCAGAGCAGAATGCCAGGAATGGTGAGGCCCTGGGGTGGGTGGGGATCCTGGGGCAGAGACTAGGCTGTGCAGCTCAGTGCACCCTCTGGAGATGCAGTACCCTGAACCCTGCACCTAGAAGATGCAGTTGTAAAATTTCTGGGCCCCACCGCAGGTGCTCTGAAGAACTGTGAGGGCTGCCTTGGGGGTTTCTCCTGCGCTAGTCATCCCTGCTTTGGGCGACTGAAGCAAGGAAAACGCAGGTCACTCCCACCTCCAGACCCACGCTACTCCCCATTGCCCATCCTCCCAACAGCCCAGGAGCAGAGATTCTGTCCTCAGCTAAAGGTGAAAAGGTCCTAAGGCTTTTGGGAAACTTGGTGCTCCAGGAAATAAGTGACTCGGGTTTCTAAGTTATGTGTGGGCACTCAACGCCCCTGTCATGGCTGTCACAGCCCTCTGGTTTGAAGTCCTCCATTTTGTAGCTGCTGTTTCTAACCTCTGTCAGCACTGCCTGGGAGTAATGAGTTCAAAGTCCCTAGTTCCCCACGTTTCCAAGTATGTTATGTGAAAGCCCTGGCAAGAACGAACCTGATTAAACTGGAGGAAAAAGGTGGAGCAAGCAAGACTAGGACGTTTTTGTTTCCCCAGTTAAGCTGCCTGAGGTTCAGGGGCTCTGACAGGTGAGAAAGGCATGGCCACCGCCTCAGCCCTGTCTCTGGAGGCTGGGGAGAAGGGGAAGCAGTGAGGAGACTGACTGATGTCCTGATGCCCATGCCCCACACGGCGGTCATGAAGACTGAGTGGCCCCATGTCCAGAAAGCCCTCAGCACAGGGCCTGGCACTTGTGAATACCTCAATAAATGGTAACTTAAGAGAGCCTGTGAGGCCCCTCCCACTGCAGCCAGCCTCCAGCTGAGTCTCTGGCCTGAAGCCCAGGGATGGCCTGCACATGAATCAAGCAGGCTATTTCCAGAGCTGGCAGGGGAGGGGCTTTCTGTCCCAGGGGCAGGCGAGCCAATCCTGTGACAGGGAGAGCACAGGGAAGGGGTTATTCAAGGGGATCTGCATGCCATTGTATTCTGGTTTCCCTGTCCAGAGCTGCCCATGCAGGATCCCGGGGTGGGCAGGCCATCCAGGCAGATGGAAGGGACACTCTGCCTGGGGCTTTCCTGCTGCAGTGACCCCAGGGCCTGGGGTGGCCAGGCTTCAGTGGGTAGGGTAGGCTCTGGCTGGATGTGAGAGATGACTTTGCTGTAGCCCCAGTCACCTCTGTTCTCTTTCTGATCCCTTTTCTATCCCAGTTGGGTATGAGCAAGCCTGGCTTGCCAGAGGCTTTAGAGCCATAAAGGCCTGGGTTCGGATTCTGCCCTTGCCTCTGCCTCGTCACATGTGCTTGAACGAGAGACTTGAGCTCTCTAAGCCTCGAATTCCTTGCCTGTGAAGTGGGAATGATGGTAGTATCTACCTCAGGGTTGCTGTGAAGACGAAATCAGGTACTTGACCTTAGGAGGCCTCAGAATAAATGAGCCATTCATCCTCTCCCTCTGAGCAGGCTTTCCTGGTGAAGGGCATCTAGACCCAGACCTGTGCTGCTGAGTGGAGCCAAATGCAAGTGGACTAGGATTAAACCTGTGCCATAGGAGAAGGAAAAGGAACATGTCCGTGCAGTAGAGGGCAGCTGATACAACGGGAGGACCTGGAAAATCTCCCTACTAACCCACTCAGCGTGCCCTGTAATAGCAATGACACCAGGCTCCAGAGAGAGGCGCTGCCGAGAGAGGTCTAAAAACAGATACAAAACACAAGAAAACTGAAAGAAAACCCCTAAAGGACTGGCTTAATTGATAACATTCATGCATTCATGAACTTTGGAAAAGTGAAATGCTTACTGCTTATGAGTTTGATGACAGTGGTTGTTTTGAGATTTTCAGTGGCCACAGATTGACTAGCAGCCATTTAAAATATGTCCTTATGGGAAGAGAAGCTAATGCCGCAAATCAGCTAACAAGTAGTGGGTAGTTGGGGTCCTTCTTGACCTATGGATTTGTTTAGCACTCAGATCTCTCGATAGAGCACTTGGCCATGACAGGGCTCAGGTTTCCAGCTCCATTTGGAGGAAAAGTGAGCATGCTAGGCTCAGGAAGACACCACACAGGCTCCAGCCGCCCCATCCCACTCAGCCAGGTTTTCATCCCTGCCTTCCTTCATCGTTTATGTCAAGGTATAGAGGTTGGGGGCACATTCTGAAATTGTGTATTGCCCAGGAATGAAAAACCAGGGCTCTTGATTATTCTTTAAGGGTTTAAAGCCCCCCTTTAAAAGGAGATTTTAATTCCCTTTCCTCTGTTATTCTTGGGTGATGGGTCAGCTGTATCCCAAGAAATGACCCCCAGTTCCCCTCCAGGGGGGAAGACATGCTACCTGGTTTACAAACCAAGTAGGGTTGGCCAACTCTGGTTGCCTTGGCATGGGGCCATTCTGCAAGTTCTCTAGTACTTGTCCCTGTGAGGGTGAGGGCGTCCTGAGTCTGGAGTGGCAGGAGGGAGAAAGCAGCTGAGCTGAGCCACCCTCCTTCCATTCAGCAGCAGCAATGGCAGGAACACGGTTTCACCAGTCTGCTCAATAGTTTTCCCCTGGTGTAGCCTTCCTGTGGTCCTGGGAGGCTAACTTTGCAGGGCCTGGGGTTTGCACCAGTCCATTCTCACCCTCTTCCCTCTTCTCCCTCCAGTGTATGTGGTAGAAGACCAAAGAAGAGATGAGCTAGGACCATCCACCTGCCTCACAGCCTGCTGGACGGCTCTCTGTTGCTGCTGTCTCTGGGACATGCTCACCTGACCAGACCAGCCCAGCCGTCCTGTCCTGCCAGCTCTGCTGCCACCTCTGACAGGTGTGCCTGCCCCCATCTCTTCTGATTGCTGTTAACAAATGACTAGCTTTGCACAGACACCTCTACCTTCAGCACTATGGGATTCTAGATTAATGGGGGTTGCTACTGTTTAATTCAGTGACTTGATCTTTTTAATGTCCAAAATCCATTTCTTATTGATCTTTAAAGATGTGCTAAATGACTTTTTTGGCCAAAGGCTTAGTTGTGAAAAATATAATTTTTAAATTATACATTCAAGGTAGTGGCCAAATGTAACACATCAATCATGGAATGATTTCTCTGCTAACAGCCGCCTGTATGTTTCAATAAATTTGTCCAAAGCTCAACTGTCTGTCTAAATGATTCCAGGCCTAAGCTAAGCTACCTGGAGTCTGTGCTTGTCTCCTGGACTGTTACCATGTCTAACTAACTACTCATCTGCTCACTGAGGCTTATAAAATGTGGGTATCTATCTCAGCTAGTGGCCACCATCCAATGTATGACCAGCAGCCAATCTACCTTTTTATTCTGGT
This sequence comes from Homo sapiens, assembly GCF_000001405.40. Classification (NCBI taxonomy): domain Eukaryota; kingdom Metazoa; phylum Chordata; class Mammalia; order Primates; family Hominidae; genus Homo; species Homo sapiens. Next base: position 140,243,976 of record NC_000005.10, read on the forward strand.
GGTGATGCAAACAGTGAGGGTGCTACAAAGGCGGCCAGTTCTGAGGGCCAGGTGTTCTCCAGCTGGGTCATGGGCTCCCGGCCAAGCTACTCTCCCCGTAGTCCCACTCAGAGATAGGCTCAGGGAGGAGCATTTGCCACATCTTGCACCTGCCTTTACCCAGAGCCTAGGAAAGGGCCTTTTGGTAACCAGGGGCTGCCCCTGGAGTGGCTTCCAGGCCTGCTCCCTGGAAACCCAGGAACCTACAATTACATGGGGCCAGCCAAGAGGTTTTCCTTTTTTTTTTTTTTTTTTTTTTTTTTGAGATGATGGAGTTTCACTCTTGTTGCCCAGGCTGGAGGACAATGGCGTGATCTCGGCTCACCACAACCTCCCCCTCCTGGGTTCAAGCAATTCTCCTGCCTCAGCCTCCTGAGTAGCTGGGATTACAGGCATGTACCACCAGGCCGGGCTAATTTTGTATTTTTAGTAGAGACAGGGTTTCTCCATGTTGGTCAGTCTGGTTGCGAACTCCCAACCTCAGTTGATCTGCCCGCCTCGGCCTCCCAAAATGCTGGGATTACAGGCGTGAGCCACCGCTCCTGGCTGAAGTTTTCCCTTCTGGATGTCCCCTCACCCCTCACCCCAGCTCGTCAGCCGTGCCACTCATCTCATATTTGGCCACAGGGTGGCGCCAGGCTGCCATAGCAGCAAGTCCGATTTTCCTCCATCAGCTGGCCCGCCCAGCCCAGCCAGCCCGAGAAGCCGCAGCTGACAGCTAGCTCCCTGCCGACTCTGCCTTCCCTCCGAAGCAGTGGACGTGCTGATAAATGTTTACCGGTGCTCTCTTTAAAAAAAAAAAAAAAGCCATGTTTTGTTGCATGTCCTGTGTCTTATTTCTGATGTCCTGTGTCTTATTTCTGTGGTGTACGTGTTCTCACCATGCCATGGCTGATTTCAAGTTACCAATGTGATGTCACTGACTGGAGCTGGGAAGGGCAGCACAGGACCTGACATCATGTGGGATTTCTACCACCCAGACACAACAGAGCCAACCTCACAGATCACAGTCAGTGCACAGATAGAGCACAGATCGTGGTCAAATGTAGTAATTAGGGATGCATTTTGAATATTTATTGTCCTTGTTTTTAACATAATTTGCAAATTTACATAATTATAATGGCTGTGTTTGACAACTGGCTTGCAACAAAATTCTTGAAAATTGAATAATTGGCCCACCTGGGCTGGGATGAGCCAGCTGGATCACACCGTTGCCCCCTCAGCCTCTAGGAGGCCTCAGGATTATGGCGTCCATCTTATGATATTGGCCAAAAGGAGACAGTCTTGGAGGTGCTGCTTACTGTTGAACTTCCTTTTGGAATGTATGGGAGAAGGCAGGGAAAGGAATCTTTAGGCAGACTGCCATCCAGGGACTGCTATTCTGTTCACTGAGATTCAGCTGTGAACATCTGTTCTTTCTTCCTCTTCTGTCTACTGCATGCAGGCCCGGAAGCTGAGCGTTAGTCAAAGGTACAGGAAGGGAAAAGAGAAGAGGGCAAGGCCCATCCCCCAAGAAAGGAAGGGCTCTGATGCAGAGGGAGCAGGAGCTGAGGTGGAGACGGCCACTGCCTCTCTCACCCTCTGTTCCATCCCTCTGCTCAAGAAAACCAGGCTTAGCAGAGTGGGACAGACGCTTTTTATTGGTCTGGCTGGCGTGCCTAGTGGAAAGCTCAGGCAGAGCTTCCTATCTTGCCCTGGCTCCCATCTTCCCTCTCCTGGGAGTTCATCACACATCCCGAGAGGGAAGAGTGTCCTGGGCAGAGGTGGCAGGCAAAGCCGGGTAAAAACTCCAGGGCTGGGAAGCAAATGGGGCTCAGGGTGATGCAGAAAATGTGATGTTGCCAGGCCATCCAAATAAAGCATCCATCGGGGCAGAGGAGAAGCTGTTTCCCTGCAGACACTCCTCTGCCCCCACCAGGAATGGGAGGGGCAGGAGGAAGAGCTTCCCAGAGAGGCTCCCTACTGGGCCCTTCGTGCCATCAGCATCTCCCGGATGTTGTCCTCAGCTTCCTTAACGCTTCGCTCCAGGTAGGACTTTTTCTGCTGCAATATGAGAGACAGACAAAGGTTAGGACCAGAGTGAATGGGCCGGGCTGGAAGACACAGCTTTGATGTCCAATGGTTATGGCTTTTCCTTTGTGACAGGCAACTTTCAGGAGTATACTGCAAGCCAGGTACACACACCTGCCCACAGTGCTCCCCTCACCTCCGAACCATGGGTGATCACGGGCAGGCAGCAGGGAGAAGATGGCTTTGGTAGAAGCAAAAGTGCTCTGTGGAGGACAGGCAGTAGCACTCTTCCCCCAGAAGGAAGAAGACTCTAAAAAACAGGCGTCTCAGTACATGAAGTTATCCCAGACAGACAAAGGCCAGGAAATTCCAGGACAAAGCTCCTGTCCGTAACAGACTATCTCCTCTCAAGGTTTTCCATGGCCTGGGCCAGGCGTCTGTAGCCACTGCAGCTATAAAATGGATGGTGCACGCTCTGCCCTGTCCAGCAGGAATATGGGCTGCTGTGAGGGCTGTGGGGCTGTCTCGCATCGCACTGAGTGGGTGAGTCAGAAGGCAATCTGCTTTTCTAATGAGACTGCTGCCTGCCAGGAATCTGGGACACTAAAACACTGAGGAAAGCAGACCTTTTGGAGGCTTACCTTCTACTCCATCTGGGTCCTAAATTAAAAATCTCGGCTTAGACAAAGAACTTTCACTACTTTCAGGAGCCAAGATTTCAAAGATTAGTCAAAGGAAATGATGTCTGTACATTATTTGCCCTGTGCTCACCCCAGAAGTATGGTGGTTTTACCAGTGGTCCTTGCCCCGAGGACATAGTTGTGGCTGTATTCCCAGTTAACAGACATGAAATGAAGCCTCCGTTTTAGAGGAATACTATTCATGTCCTGAGGGAATACTCAAAATTATCACCTCCCAGGGCATATGTGACTGAGCCACACTGGAACCAGTAATACAGTCACCAGGCAGCCCAGGCCCTTCTCTCACCTCCACCCCCTTCACCCAAGCACCTGTTGATTCTGTTCCACCCATTAAAGTGCCCACAGGACTCAGGGAAGCAGGGAGAGTTTAGGGCAGAGGACAAGTGAGCTCTCTGTCCAATTAATTAGTTGTTTGTATGTTTTATTTATTTTTGAGACAAGGTCTCAGCTCAGAGTGCAATGGTGCAATCACGGTTCACTGTAGCCTCTACCTCCCACCTCAGCCCAAGTAGCTGGGACTCTAGGTGCACTGGGACTATAGATGTGTACCACCATGCCCGGCTAATTTTTTTTTTTTTTTTGTAGAAATGAGAAACTTCAATTTTTTATTTTTTGTATTGCCCAGGCTGATCTCAAACTCCTGGACCCAAGCGATCCTCCCTCCTCGGTCTCCCAAAGTGCTGGCATTACAGGCGTGAGCCACCGCGCTTAGCTATTTATTAAATGATACATATAGAGGCTTTTTCCTACAGAAGCCAAATGTGGCATACACAAATCTTTATCAGTTCTTCCGTGAACCTCTGATTCCTGTCTGTCCTCTCCTTGCTTCAAATTTCCTTAAGGCTAGAAAGAACCCTCTTTACTCATCTCCCATCTGTCCTAAGTTGCAGAGAATTCCTTGGAACACAACAGGAGCTCCATAAAAACTCATGGCCAGACACAGTGGCTCATGCCTATAATCCCAACACTTTGGGAGGCCAAGGCGGGCAGATCACCTGAGGCCAGGAGTTTAAGACCAGCCTGGCCAACATGGCAAAACCCTGTCTCTACAAAAAAATTAGACAGGTGTGGTGGGGGCACCTGTAATCCCAGCTACTTAGGGGCTGAGGCAGGAGAATCACTTGAACCCAGGAGGCGGAGGCTGCAGTGAGCCAAGGCCATGCCATCGCACTCCAGCCTGGGCAACAAGAGCAAAACTCCAACTCATGGTGACCATGATAACCATTCAATCCAATGCCTGCAAATGCATACTGCTGCTAAGGAATTTTAATTACATTGCTAAACCAAATACAGTCCTATCACTGTGATATCAGAGTGGGAATTTAAACTTCCTTTGATAAACAACTCTTTTTTTTTTTTTTGAGACGGAATCTCGCACTGTTGCCCAGGCTGGAGTGCAATGGCGCCATCTCGGCTCACTGCAACCTCCGCCTCCCGGGTTCACACGATTCTCCCGCCTCAGCCTCCCAAGTAGTTGGGATTACAGGCACACACCACCACGCTGGCTAATTTTTTCTATTTTTAGTAGAGATGGGGTTTCACTGTGTTAGCCAAGCTGGTCTCAAACTCCTGACCTCGTGATCTGCCCGCCTCGGCCTCCCAAAGTGTTGGGATTACAGGGGTGAGCCACCGTGCCAGGCCGATAAACAACTCTTAGACTTTAACTGTGGTGAGCTGAAAAAAGGCAAATACTAGTAAGCCCTGACACACACTAAAGAATGTATGTCCACTGGGTGTCACAAAGAGGGGAGCAATAGCTCGGTGCCATACACCACCTGGGCACCCTGTGGACCCCATGTGAATGCAGGGGAAAGGCGAATGGAATAAGCCCACTTCTCCTCCTACAAAAGTCCGCCAGGGCCCAGGGACTCTGGTCTGTTGCATTCAATCTCTGCCAACTTGCTGCCACAGCTGGCAAAACCATCAACTTGGAACATCAGCAAGAGCTCTTCTGCCCTCCCACCCAGACTCCCCAGCCAAACTCAGGCTATACCTCTCAGCTTTAAAAATTCCTTCTTCTGTAAAATCTCTGCTTTCTAACACTTTGATGAATTTTACCACTGCATATCCTAAAGTCTTCAGGTTTCCAAACAATGATGCAAATTAACATATCTATCTATATTTTTGTTTTGTTTCTAGAAATGGGGTCTTGTTATATTGCCCAGGCTGGCCTCAAACTCCTGGGCTCCAGCAATCCTCTTGCCTTAGAGGCATGTGCCACGATACTGCCTTCATCTTTAAATTTTTAATTAGTTTAAATAAACGTAGTAGACATTTCTTAAAAGAAAAAATTCCAACAGGACAGGACATCCCTAACATAGTGGACCTTTCTAACTGTATTTCAATAATTCCTGTCTCAGTCCCCAAGCATATTTAAGCCCAGAAGACTCTCATCATAATCAAACCCAGAACAAGGCACCTGTTGTGGGTTGAACTGAATTTGACAAAAAGATATGCTGAAGTTCTAATCTCTGGTAATTTGGAAAGAGGATCTTTGCAGATGTAACTAAGTTAAGATGAGATCATATTATATTAGGGTGGGCCCTGAATCCAATCATTAGTGTCCAAACAAGATGCTGTGAAGACCAATTCGTGGTAGCTTCAAATACAAGTAGAAAACCAAGTAGAAAACCAACACAATACCTGAAATGAGGGATGCCCCCAGACACCAATTCTACCACAATTATTTGGGGATAAGTATGATCCTAGCTTATAAAGTTTTAAGGGCAGTTACCCAGGCCTCTGCAATTCAGTATGGTCAGAGGCGTGGCAGGATTGGTCCTGTGAGTGCAGAAGAACCTTGGGAGGCCTCTGTCTCCACGGGTGTCTTAGTCTGTTTGTGTTGCTCTAAAGGAATACCTGAGGCTGGGTAATTTATGAAGAAAAGAGGTTTGTTTGGCCCACAGGTCTGCAGGCTATACAAGCATGGTGCAGCATCTGCTTCTGGAGAGGGTTTCTGGCTGCTTGCATTCGTGGTGGAAGGCGAAGGGGAGCCACCTGTACAGAAATCATGTGGCCAGAGAGGAAATGAGAGAGGAGGTGCCAGGCTCTTTTCAACAGCCAGTCAGTGAAGAAACAAAGCATGAGAACTCACTCCCATGAGAATGGTACCAAGCCATACACAAGAAACCCGCCCCCATAATCCAAACATCTCCCACCAGGCCCCACCTTCAACACTGGGGATCAAATTTTTTTGCGGGGGTTGGGGGGGTCTGGGGGTACCAAATTTCAACATGAGACCTGCCAGGGGGCAAAGAAACCCTATGCACACCACAGCAGGGGCATCCTTCATTTCCAGTGCGGTGCTGTGCTCTTGGGTAAGGGCACTAACCCCATTTAAAGGGCTCTGCCCTCATGACCTACTCATCTCCCAAATGGCCACACCTCCTAACACCATCATCTCAGGAGTTAGGATTTCAACAAAGACTTTAGGGAGAAACAACTATTCACACCACAGTACTTTTCAACTTCCAAGAAGCCATGCATGCATGGTCTTGGTTTCAGCTAAATCTCCGACCTCACCTCCAACAACTCTTCCCCGTCACTCCTTCAGCTCCAGTCACACAGGCCTCCCATGCTGCTCCTCCAATCCACCAGGTATGTTCCTGCCTGGCCTTTGCCCTTCGCTGTGCTCTCCATGTAGAAGTTCTCTTCCCCAGATATTCACATTACTCATCCCCTCACTTCCTTCAGGGCTTTCTCAAATGTTACCTTATCTGCGAGGCCTTCTTGAGTACATGCTGCCCAATACTCCCTATTCTCCTCACCTTGACTCTTCTCCAGAGCTCTTTCCACCACAGGAAGGAGAAACTGTCTGGCTTCCCTTATGAGACGGAAAGGTCCACAAGGGCAGGACTTTGTTCTGTCACCTGATACGGTCCTACCGTCTAGAAGAATGGCTGGCACATAATAGGAATTTAATGTTTGTTGAATAAAGTGCTTTAGTGTGGGAAATGACGCCTTACTGATGTACACACACTTTTTAGTTTTCCCTCCCAACTTGAATAATCAAGGAACGCCCAACAGAAGAAGCAAAGGCAGAAAATGACCATTTTCCTTCAAGGTGGTTTTCAGCTTTCGGCATTGCCCTCTCACCCCCTGCCCCTGGATATACACAGATTTAAAACTCCAACCTATCACTACAAACAATGTCAAGTATTTGAGGTAATGAATATGTTAACTAGCTTGATTTAATTATTCTACATTATATTCTTTTTATTTTTTTTTGAAACAGGGTCTTGCTCTGTTGCCTAAGGTAGAGTGCAATGGCATGATCTAGGCTCACTGCAAACTCTGCCTCCCAGGTTTAAGCAATTCTCCCATCTCAGCCTCCCGAGTAGCTGAGGATTACAGGTGAGTACCACCACACCCAGCTAATTTTTCTATCTTTAGTAGAGACGGGGTTTCACCATGTTGGCCAGGCTGGTCTCGAACTCCTGGCCTCAAATGATCCACCTGCCTCAGCCTCCCAAAGTGCTGGGATTACAGATGTGAACTACTGCACCCAGCCCACATTATATTTATAAATCATAATACTTTTACCCCATAAATCTATACAATTATGAATTACTGATTTATAATAAAATAAATAAATAATAAAACTCAAACGTTACAGATCCCAGTGGGGGCTTTGGATCTGGCCTTGCTTCCACAAACAGAACACGCCCTAACAGGCCTTAATGCTTTATCAGGTCAACTTGCAAAACTAAAAAACAAACCACCCCAATTTCCCATGTCCTGGACTCTGAAATCCTTGAGGAACTGCTCTATCCGATGTCAGCCTCAGGGCTGCTAGGAGTGACATTTGAAATCCACACTTACTACCAGCAGTCCTGGGAGGGCATCTGCTGATCTCACTGTAGCATCTTTCTGTCTTGCCGAGCAATTTCCCTCAGAATGCTTTCACAAGGGAAGTCTCTAGTGGCATCAAACCACAAAGCTCTGGGTGCAGCGACATTCTTGTGGGCCCTTGCCGTGATGACAAACTCTGAGATTTCCTGTGGGGCTCAGCATGGCCAGGGAAATGACATTGTTGGAGTTATTGCTCATCGGCCTGAGGTTCTTTTTTCCAGGAGTCAGACTGAGGGGCTGGTGTTTCATTCTCATCCTCTTACCAAGGAAAGAGGCTCCAGTCCCTAGAACTTTTCTGACATGACACAATCTCTCAAATAGACTCCTGAGGTAATACATCTTGTGACGCTATCACTACAGACTTTTTTCTTTTCTTAGGAACTTTGTCTCCAGCTCTCCTTCTCTAAATTAGTTTTTTTTTTCTTTCTTTCTTTCTTTCCTGTTTATCCTGCCTTGGGGTATTGAAAAGAGTTTTCTCCTCTCTGTCCCTCTATTTTCCCATTTGTAAGATGAGGATTTGGGCAATACCAGTGCATCCCTCCACCCCCACCCCACTCCCATTTCTACTTTAGCCACACGACACTTTCTTCACATGAACTCTTGCCTTAAAGACTAAACAAACAAAACAGGTTAAATGGAGCTCAGAGGAGAGGGGAGACATACTATGGATGTATACGGATATGTACTTTTATCTGAATAAAAATAGCCCTGCTGGCTCATCTCCTGCCCTCCAATCCAGGCATCGGAGGCAACACACAAGGCAGACTTAGGTTCCCTTCTGTTCCTGATATTCTGTGAGAGCTAAGTCCTCAGAGACCCTCTGCTGGGAGTCACGGTTTCTGACCCTGAGTGTGACCTGCCTTGGTCACATACTTCTCTCTTGTGTAAAATCCACAGCTTCCAGCTCCTGGACACCACCACCAACTTCAAGCTCTACTATTAATCAAAAAAACTGAAGGCAATGGCCATCTTTTCGCTGTCTCTACCATGACTTCCAAATTAAAAACCCAAAGCCTCACTAATTCTCGTGTTCGCTCACTGGCAGATCTGTAAAATGGTCAGAGGGTACCAACTGCCCACAATGGGGATGTTTGGCAAGAGGCCAAGAACTCACTGAGGGCTGAAGAAGCATGTTTTGATGGGGGACAAGGTTGGTAGAAGGCAGGGGAAACAAGACAAAAACAGAAAAAAAGGCAACAAGAGGACACAATCAGAGAAGGCAGGATGGAAAATGGGACAGCATGGCCACGGCTGCAGCAGGCAGGGGCAGGGCAGAGCCCTGAGGGCACATGTGCCCTGAGCCGCCAGCCTGGATGGGTGAGGAGGGCCAACAGAGGCAGGCAAAACCCCACACCTGAGAGACAGGTCTAAGCGGTCCACGGATATGCCCACTTGTAAACTCATCTGGGTGCATCCACTTCACCAGAGGACACAGCTAGGCGATATGGTAACCACTGAGCTACACCGCTGGGAGACAAATCAAAGAAAGATAAAGCAATCTTAGGCATGGAGCAGGAGAATAAAGAGAAATCTCGGAAGGAGTTACTGTCCCTGCATCTTCTAGATACTACTTTAGAAATATCCTTCAGAAAAGAAAGACAGAAAAGACCCTTCAGAGGTCTTTCTGCTGAAGGACAGGGACAAAAGACTTGCTTCAGCTAAGCGCTGACCTGTTTTCCTCCCAGGTGTGCTTTTACCTGCCGACAGACTGACACTGCTACCATATGGGGTCAGACTCCCAAACCCCACCTATGATCACATGCTGGCTAGCACCCCCAATTCAGTCTGCCAAGACGAACCCGAACCCCTACACCACTCAAGCACTTTACAGCAGATATACACGAGGGGAAAAAATTCTTCTTCAAACAACAGTGTTTAGCTGCTCGGTCCCCCTGAGGTTTAGGTGAGTTCTACCTACTGCTGCCCTCCCTAACACATCAGCTTCATGTGAGTCCCAGAGAAAGCCCAGCCTACCAGATAACCTGGGAATGACCAGATAGAAAGCTCAGAGTGAAGCACAGAGCCAGGAGCGGCAACTGTCCTAATGCAATATGGTGCTGATCAAGCCTCAGCCAAAGAATCACTACCATCTGCAGGCACCAGGTGTAAAAGGGATGATGACAAGCCAGCAAATCACGTCAAGTGATGGGGTCAAGCGATGGGCAGCTGAAGTCGGTGGGGACTTTTGGTTCAGAGAAGATTAAGGGAAGAAGGAATCTATCACTACCTTAACTATAGAAAGCAATGGCTCTCCAAGTGCAGTCCTCTCCCAGCAGCATCGGGATCACCTGCGAACTTATTAGAAGGGCATATTCTTATGCCTCGACCCAGACCAACTGAACCAGAAACCCTGGGGATGGACTACAGCAATCTGTGTTTTCACAATCCCTCCCGGGTGGCTGTGACCCACACTGAAGTTTGAGACTCAAACTTTTTGTTCTAAATCAGGAGTCAGCAAACTTTTTCTATAAAGGGCCAGATAATAAATATTTCAGGCTTTCACTGTGGGGTTATCTCTGTTACAACTACTCAGCTCTGCCATTGTAGCACAAAAGCAGTCAGACAATGTGTAAACAAATGGGTGTGGTGCAGATGAATGGGCACGGCTATGTTTCGAAAGCACAGAAACAGGCAGTGGGCTGGACGGGGCAGGCGGTGGTTTGCCAGTGTCTGTTCCTTAAAAAGATGGGGCTTTAAAGGGTAGGACTGAGTCCAGCAGTTAGAGATTTTTAACTTTCACTGAAAGCTGCCTAATAAAAGCCTACATTTCCATCTGTCCATCCTTCCATCCACTCATTCAGCTCACTGCCAAACCATTTCCCCTCCTTTATCCTTCATAAACCCTGGTCCTTGAAGTTCATGGCATCATGCTTAGCCACCGGACTCCCCCCTCCTTGTTGCTTCAATCTTCCAGTATCCTGGGCACTATCCGTCATCATCAGTGGCTCCCTGTCTCCCTCTCCACCACAGCTGTACCATTCAAGGTGACTTCAACAAGAATGTAGATGACCCACCCAATACCACAGCCTCCTCTCTCCTCACAATTTTACAGTTATCCCACCTCAGCCACCTGGTCCATGGTCATGCCCTAGGTCTTGTCAACACTAGAAGCTGCACACCTCTGAAGTGTCCATTTCACCACCACTACCTCATATTCTTCCAGGTCACTTCTGATACTCTCGCTCCAGCATTTCTTCAACCTCGTCACGCAACAACTTGTTCATTTTCCATTATGCTTCCATGGGCTTTTCCCTTCCTACCCAGCTTTGCTTATATAGTCCATCATTTATATTTATTCTCCTTATATTTACCCTTTCACCTATGTCCCTCTCTCCCTCTGTTGCACTTACCTGGGAAAATGCCAACCCAGATTAAACTCAACCATCTACCCACTCCATGCCTCACCTGAGTGGCTGAATGTTGCTGGAGGAAAATGCTAAACTGTGCTGAATGGTCTCACTTTAAATTCAGAGCCATGAATCCCAAATGGGCACTATGGAAATTCTATTAAACCTCCTTTATATGTTCATTGTCTGCTCTCCAAAATAACTATTTCATGCTTTGTCTTGTCTCCTCAAATCGCCTATTCTCCCTCCTCTCAGCTGAGAAAATAAATCTCATAAGAACTCTATCTTCCCTCTACCAAATCTACTAATCGACCTACACCTGTATGTATAGTCTCTTCTTTCTCTACTGTTAAAATTGATAGCATCCCTGTACTGTGTTTTTAAAGGAATCAAAATACAACCCTGCACTTTGGAAGGCTGAGGTGGGAGGATCACTTGAGGGAAGGAGTTTGAGACCAGCTGGCCCTTGGGCTGTAATTTACAGAACCCTGGCCGAGAATATCACCCACCTATTAGTGAGACCCTATCTCTACAGCGAGACCCCCATCTCTACAAAAATAAAAAAATCAGCTGGGCATGGTGGTGCATGTCTGTAGCCCCAGCTACTCAGAAGGCTAAGGCAGGAGGATCACTTGAGTCCAGGAGGTTGAGACTGCATGCAGTGAGCCGTGATCATGCCACTGCACTCAAGCCTGGGTGACAGAGCAAGGCCCTGTCTCAAAACAAAACAAAAACACACACACAACCCTTCCACTTAGACAATGATTTCATCCCCACATACCTTCTCAGAAACTTCACTCTTACCATTAACCTTCCTTTCTTCTTAATCTTCTATTTCTTACTCTGCAAGATCCTTCTTGGTGAGGCAAACCATTAAAAAACCCTTTCTTTACCTCTCAGTCCCCTGAAAGTACTGCCTTTTTTCTGCAAAACTTCTTGAATCGGTTTTCTAAGGCAGCTGCCTCCCCTGTCTTCCCTCCTATCTGCTCCTCAGACCTCTCCAATCACACTTCTACCTCCTCTAATGAATTGGCTGTGATTCAAGTCCAATGATCTCTATGGGTGCTTCTCTGTCATCTTACTCAACCTCTCAACAGTGTTCAACACAGTTCTTGGAACACTTTCTCCTTCTAGCTTTCATGACACCACACTTCTATTCTCCTCCGACATAACTGGCTACTCTTTCTAAGTTCTCCTTTGCTGACTACCCCTCCTCTGCTCAGCTTCCGAATGCTGCATTTCCCAAGAAGCTGTCCTGGAACTCCTCCTCTTCTCCCCATCTGCACTCCCTCTTAGAAACTCTCATCTCGGCCAGGTGTGGTGGCTCACACCTGTAATCTCAGCACTTTGGGAAGCTGAGGCATGAGAATCGCTTGAACCCAGGAGGCAGATGTTGCAGTGAGCTGAGATCAAGCCACTGTACTCCAGCGTGGGTGACAGAGCAAGCCTCCATCTCAAACAACAACAACAACAACAAAACCAATACTCTCATCTCATAGCTTTAAACATTATATGACTCCTAATTTGTATCTCCAACCCTATATCCCCTTAATTCCAGATTTAACATATCCAATTATTTATAAAACATATCCTCTTTGATGTCAAACCCAGACTTTAATATGTTTAAAACAAACACAACTGATTTATGGTCACCCCCACCCCTACCCCTCCCTGACTTCCCCATCTCAGTGAATGGCACTCATCCAACTGCTCAATGTAAAAAACAAAAAATGACAAAAAAAAAAAAAAAAAAAAAAAAGCTATGTTTTTCAAGAATGACCCTACATGGCACATCCCTGATTTTTTTCTTTTCCTCAATCCCCACACCTTCCATCCAATCCATCGGCAAATCTTATTAGCTTACTTCCAAATATATTCCCAAACTCTACTCTTCTTTCTATCTAGCACCACTGCCCTCGTCCTAGTCCAAGCCTCCATCATCTCTTGCCTGGAGGTGTGTCGTGGACACTCTCACACTGAATCAAGTTAGCCTCTGCTCAAAAAACCTCTAATGGGCCAGGCGTGGTGGCTCACACCTGTAATCCCTGCACTTCGGGAGGTTGAGGCAGGTGGATCACCTGAGGTCAGGAGTTTTGAGACCAGCCTGGACAACATGATAAAAACCCTGTCTCTACTAAAAATAAAAAAAATTAGCTGGGCATGGTGGCACACGCCTGTAATCCCAGCTACTCAGGAGGCTGAGGCAGGAGAATCGCTTGAGCCCGGGAGGTGGAGGTTGCAGTGAGCCGAGATCACGCCACTGCACTCCAGCCTGGGCAACAAGAGCAAAACTCCATCTCAAAAAAAAAAAAAAAAGCCTCTAATGGTTTCACCTCACACTTAGAAAACAAGCCAGACTCTTTAACCAAGGTGCTCAGGCTCCACATGGCCTCACTCCTGCCAACCCCTCCACTTCATTACTACTCTGTCCCCCTTTCACTTGCTTAAACAGCTCCAGCAGACTTATTTCTGTCTTAAGACAGGAATATCTCTCTGTGTAATATTTCTCTGTGACCTCCACCTGGAATGTTCTTCCTTGAGATACTTTTAGGTGGCTGTCTGCTTCTTTTCATTCACATCTTAGCTGAAATTTCACTTTTTCAGAAAGCCCTTCCCCAATTATTCAACTAAAGAAGGTCTCCAGTAACTCTCTAAAACATCACCCTTACTACATGATGGTTTCTTGTTTATTTCTTTATTGTCTGTATCTCAGTGTAAGCTCCAAAGAGTAGGGATCATGTCTGATTTGATTAATGCTATAACCCTAGCACCAAGAACTGGCACATAATTCATCTAACCAACAGGTATTGGGCACTCAGCACTCCAAAGAGCACCAACAGTAGAGAAGCGAACAAAGCACACACTTATCCCTGGAGATTATACTGTTGCAGGCCACACAGACATTTAGCTACCATTGTAATAAGGGATCTGAGGGAAACCATGGTCTTCGATGGAGGAAACATCTGATGGAATCAAGGAACTCACAGAGGGACTTGAGAACTCAGCTCTGAAGGATGAGCAGGAATTAACAAGAGGAGAGGTGAGAGTGGGGAGAGAGTAATTCCAGATAAATGGAGTCCGGCAAGTTGGGAGAACTGAATGTCAACCAGGGAGACTGAAGCACAGAGACAGAAAGGGTGAGAATACAGAGATGAGGCTGGTGAGGCTGAGTCAGATCGTGTGGGGTCTTAAGCCATATTAAAGTTCTGGAATTTATCTTGAAGGCAATGGAATGCCACTGGGTTTTAAGCAGGAGAGCAAAAGTCAAATTTCCATTAAAAACAATCTCACTCAGCTGAAGCATACAGAATGAATGAGAACAGAGCTTCCCAAAAACGTCCTATGAGTCATGAATGGGTAACAGATGTGCCCAGGATATTGATCCCTCAGTCCCTGGAGTGGCTGGGTGGTCCAGGGCAGCCAAAACCCCCCTGAGCAGTTGCCTCCAGCTTTGAGCACCTTTGTCCGGTTACCCCAGTGAATTGTGCAAATACAATTTTCTGAGAGCTGTACTGTTAAAAAAAAAAAAAAAAAAAAGCCTGGGAAGCACTGGATTAGAGAATACACGCGTGAATGTTGGAAACCTATTAGGAGGCCACTGCAATCGTCTTGGAAAGAGATGACAGTATCTTAGTGGTGACAATGGAGATGAAGAAGAGCAGATAGATTTCTGAAATATTCAGGAGGAAAATCAACAAGAGGACTTCACCACTCCCTTCATCATAACCTTCATTAGACATCAGAAGCTGAGGAGGAAGATGTCAGGAATGACTCCCAGGATGCCCAGTTGGGGCTTGCATACTGGCTTGAGGGTGCTGCCTTTCACTGAGAGAAGAAATGCAGGAGGAGGACCTGGTTTGGAAGGGAAGATTCTGAGCTTCGTTTTGGGTTTAAGGTACCTGTGAGACATCCAAATGAGATGTGAAAAACTAGATTGGCTCTGGAGTTCATGGAAGAAATCTGGGCTAGAGATATAATTTTGCATAGACGTGGTACTTGAAGTCGTGAGAATGGATGAAATTCCTAGGTAAAGAACATACAATAAGAGGACTTAGCCTTCAAGAAATTCAACATTTTAAGTCTGGAATGAAGAGCAGGAACCAGTAAATAAAACTAAAAAGGAGGGAAATGTGTGTCATAGAAACCAAAAGGAGAGTAGTTCAGGAAAAAGAATGAGGTCACTAAAAATCATTGGATATGTTCAAATAGGAAGAGTGACAACACGTCAGAAATGGTTGGGGGCTAGAAAGGGGAGCGCTACATCAAGTGGCCTGTAGGATATCTTACAACTTTAAAAAGTTGAGACCTGACCCTAACTCCATGAAGGAAAGCTAGCAGACATTTTAACTGTTACAGATGAGCCTCAAGAACATGTAATGCAGTGTCAGGACAAATAACGTTAACTCCTATCTTCAATGAGACATTGGGTTTTGTGTAGGTCCAACACAAGGGTTGTAGAAGCATCAATATAATTATGCCCAAGGAAACGATTACAGTTTCCCAATATACATTACTTTTCTTCTGTTTTGCCAACATCAAAAAGTCAAGTGCTCTTCAATAAGACGGACTAGAGGAACTGTTAAAACCCTACAAGTCTTCCAAATGAGCAAAAACAACAACAAAAAACAGTAAGTGCCAATATTTCAGTTTGTCCTCAGTTTGTCCCATTCTTACAGGAGCAAGAGATCAAATCAACAGTGTTTACAGTGGAGTTTGGCCTGTAGGCATGGTAAAGGGGTAGGTGAATAAGGGTGTGCCTGCTGAGAGAGGAAGTAAGGGTGACACCTTGCATTCTTGGAAGTGGAGGTGTAACTGACGCAACTGTGGGGTAAGATTAACATGCAGGTGTGTGTGGCTAGAGCCTAAAGTCAATCCTGATCCTGCTGTCTGCTCCAAGCAATTCCTATTTTCTTTCAGCTCCAGAATTCCTATTTTCTTTCAAGTCAACAACAACAAAGACGAACCAATTTTAAAATAAGCAAAGGATTTGTACAGGTGTTTCTTCAAAGAAGACGTATTATTGGCCAAAAAGCACATGAAAAGCTGTTCAACATTATTATCATTACAAAAATGCAAATTTAAAAAATCACAATGATAGACTATACCAACTAGGATGGCTATAATCAAAAACCGGCCAGATGCAGTGTTGCACACCTGTAATCCCAGCACTTTGGAAGGCCAACATGGGAGGATCATTTGAGCTCAGGAATTTGAAACCAGCCTGGGCAACATAGCAAGACCTCCGTCTCTACTAAAAATATAAAAACAAAAAATAAAATAAAATAAAATAAAAAACAGAAAAAAACAAGTGCTGGCAAAGATGTGGAGAAACTGGAACCCTCATATATTGCTGGTGATTTAAAATGGGGCAGCTGCTACAGAAAAGTTTGGCAGGTACTTCAATTAAAACATAAAATTACCATATGAGCCAGCTAATCCACTGTGACATACAAACAAAAACTTGTAAATGTTCATAGCAGCATTATTTACAACAGCCAAAAAGGGGAAAACAACCTAAATGTCCATCAACTGATAAATGGATAAACAAAATGTGGTACATCCATACAATGGAATATTATTCAGACATAAAAACGAGAGAAGTACTGATACATGCTATAACATGAATGAACCTTGAGACATTAAGCTAAGTGAAAGAAGCCAGACACAGAAAGCTACATACTAGATGATCCATTTATAAACACCCAAAACAGGCAAATCTGCAGAGACAGATAGAAAACAGATTCATGGTTGCCAGGTACTGAGGGAATGGGCAGTCTCACTGCTTAATAGTTAAGTTTCTTTTGGGGGCAATAAAAATGTTCTAGAATTAGACAGTGGTGATGATTATACAACATTGTGTATTTTATGTTATGTGAATTTTACCTCACTTTAAAAAATATATATATCTCCTTTTATTCTCAAAATGCTGCACCACAAGGGGAGAAGACAGGACACGGGCCGGGCACAATGGCTCATGCCTGTAATTCCAGCACTTTGGGAGGCCGAGGCAGGTAGATCACTTGAGGTCAGGAGCTGGAGACCAGCCTGGCCAACATGGTGAAACCCCGTCTCTACTAAAAATACAAAAATTAGCTGGGCCTGATGGTGCACAACTGTAATCCCAGCTACTCAGGAGGCTAAGGCAGGTGAATCGCTTGAACTCAGGAGGCGGAAGTTACAATGAGCCGAGATCACACCACTGCACTCCAGCCTGGATGACACAGTAAGACTCCATCTCAAAAAAAAAAAAAAAAAAAAGAAAGGATATTTTAAAAAAAGACAGGACATTAAATCTCTGTGTCTGAAAACAGGCATGGAAAGTAATGATTTTCACCAGCAAATCAGTCTGTACTCCACCCAAAAATTTACACATACAAACGGGTTGGGGTAAAATAAACTGCCATATTAATTGTTAAAAATTAACTTTAATGCTGTAAGCAAAAGCACTAAGCATTTAATGAGTTAATAAGGTACTGTAGTAGAGCCAATGGACAAACAAGAGTAAACTTCTATGTGATCATATCACTACTTTCCAATCAAGTAACAAATGTACACAACTAAAAAAATAGAGATACGGCAACCGGAAACCCATAAAAGGACCGGGAGACAGTGAAAACAAGCAAGAGCTCAAAGCCACGGCAGGCACAGCTACATGACTCATAGGCACCTCCTCGGCTGATTTGTATGGGTCAGCAGAGGGCAGAACTGGAGGACTACAAATATACTACAATATCAAAGGGCTATTTATAAAGCTTTCCAAAAACCTTGGCTGTCTTTTCACTAAGGAAGAGAAAAGGAAATTCATAGTGACACCTGTCAATATCACCCAAGAAAATGCTGTCCTCCAACTCAAAGTTAAACTTCTAGGTAAGACAAGCAACCCAGGATCTTTGCTCATAGCTCTCGGTGTTCTGAGGGGTATTGAGAGGTCAGGTCCACATCACCCAGTGACACTTCTCCATCCAGGGTGATGCAGGGCTCAGATCATGATGAAATCACTCTACAGAACAAACGTCACAGCCGCCCAGCTGCCACTTGTCCCCAACTCCACACCCACTAAGTTACCATAGAACTGGGGTAAACAGAGAGAATTTAATATGCTAATAGCTCTGATCTAATAGCTGACATAACACCAATTAAATTTTTAATGACACTGGAGTAATAAAAGAGCCCTTGGCATACTTCTCTTTGCAAACATGACTCAAAGGGTGGTTTTCCTTTTGCCCTTGCTTCAATTTCCAGATGCCAGGCCACTTAGAAGCCACTTATCTCTTTACTCAGAGCTGGTATTCGGGGGTTATCATTTTATAAGAAAAGGACCACAAATTTTAGAATGCCTACCTACTCAGAGTATCCAACTACAGCATAAGGAATCCCCATTTCTTTCCGAGTAAAAGTGAATGGTAAAGGGTTTGGAGTCTAGAATCTGGAATCCCAGGTTACCACTCTGATGTCCCTCTCTTTCCCTGACTGATTCTGGTTCTGGCTCCATGAAGAACACGTGACCTCCATTTCTAAATCATGGGCAGAAGCCACCAAGTTCATGAGATGGCTTCACACAGAATCCATGGCTATTAGAAAATAAGAGCAGCAGATCAAACTGACCTGCTGGCACTCGACTGTTGAGTCCACTGACCAGCCCTACCAATGGCAATGTTTGTGCTTCATATGGAATGAAAAAAACAAGTTGTTGAAAGATATAAACAACACGGTGTTACCTATTGAATACAGGATGTATATCAAACACGGAATGAAAAGATACGGACCAAATCCTTGATAGCTGTTGCTTCTGGTGAATGGGAATGAGACTGGGGAAGGTGTGGGAGGGAACACAGATGACCTCAATTTCATTAGCATCATTTGTGTAAAAAAAAAAACCAAAAAGGTAAATATTACAAAATGCTAACATTTGTTAATTCTGAATGATAAATGCACAGGTGTTTGTTAAATTAGCTTTCATACATTATTTTCCAAATTAAAAAAAAAACACCTTTTATCTTATAAGTACTTGCTGGCAATATGCTCAATCAGTAAACAGCTGATAAGCATCCACCAGAGGCAAATAATAAAATCCCGCATTAAGTATTTACTGTGTCAGGCACAGTGCTAAGTGATCTGTATTATGTTACAAGGCAGGTACTTTTCATAAGGGATAAATGTTTATCCTCACCTCCAGCTTTAATTAGTTATAGTCCCGGCCTCCTCCATCTAGTCCAGGGAAGACTGGTGGCTTTTCTGATGGGCTTGTTTGGAAGAACAAAGGGGCTCGGCCCCTTCTGCTCTGCCAGAAGCTGCTTGCTTGCAGAAGGCTCTTGTAAGTTTAACAGACAGACTCTGCCTGCCTCTGCAGAGAAAGACCTGTGGTTGTCCCACACTTATAGAGATTTGCAGGGTAAGTTCATCTATCTGTATGCCTAAATCTGGATCAATATTAAAAACCCATGACTGCTGCATACCAAAGCCACATCCTTCAACCTAATCTTTACTAATATTAAAGGTAAAATATATAAAAAGATGGAATTTTTATATCCATCTGTCTTTCAATTGGTTCCACTCTTGGGCCAGAAATAAAAGTTACTTATTGTCTCCCTTCATCCTAACACTTGCTTTTGCCATTTTACGGACGAGTGTATTTAGGCTTAAAAACACCGTATCAGTCTATTTTTGCATTACTATAAAGGAATACCTGACACTGGGTAATTTATAAAGAAAAGAAGTTTAATTGGCTCACGGTTCCACAGGCTGTACAGGCATAGCACCAACATCTGCTCAGTGTCTGGTGAGGACCTCAGGAGGCTTACAATCATGGTAGAAGGAGCCGGGCGTGGTGGCTCATGCCTGTAATCCCAGCACTTTGGGAGGCTGAGGTGGGCAGATCACGAGGTCAGGAGATCGAGACCATCCTGACTAACACAGTGAAACCCCGTCTCTACTAAAAATACAAAAAATTAGCCCGGTGTGGTGGCGGGCGCCTGTAGTCCCAGCTACTCAGGAGGCTGAAGCAGGAGAATGGCGTGAACCCGGGAGGTGGAGCTTGCAGTGAGCCGAGATTGCGCCACTGCACTCCAGCCTGGGGGTCAGAGTGAGACTCCATCTCAAAAAAAAAAAAAAAAAAAAAAAAAAAAAAAAAAAAAAATCACGGTAGAAGGCAATGGGGAGCCAGCACGTCACATGGTGAAAGCGAGGCAAAAGAGAGTGAGTGGGAAGTTCCAGACATTTAAACAACCAGATTTTGAGTGAACTGAACTGAGAACTCACTCATCACCAAGGGGATTGTGCTATGCCATTCATGAGGGATCTGCCCTCATGATCCAATCACCTCCCACCAGACCCCACCTCCAACACTGGGGATCACATTTCAACATGAGATTTGGAGGAGACAAACATCCAAACCATACCAAACACTAAGTATGTCATTTATCCAAGATGATATTAAGTGGCAGTCAGGGTTCAAATTCATATTCATCTAATTCCAGAGTTCATATTCTTAATTACTATGCCAAGGCATTATGCTATGCATATCAGAGCAAAGACAAGCAGTATCTTTTACTTGCTAAGAATCTTAAAGATGAACTTAAAAAATATTCTAAGGGTTGAAGCTTTTCTTAGTATATATTTGAATCTCACAGAGGGGACTAGGCATGGTGGGTCATGCCTGTAATCCCAACACTTTGGGAGGCTGAAGTGGGAGGACTGCTCAAGGCCAAGTTTGAGACCAGCCTGGGCAACATAGGGAGACCCTGTCTTTACAAAAAAAAAAACACAGAATTAATTATCTGAGCATGGTAGCCTGTGCCTATAGTCTCAGCTACTGAGGAGACTGAAGTAGGAGGAACACCTGAGCCCAGGAGTTCCAGGCTGCACTGAGCTATGATCACGCCACTGCACTCCAGCCTGGGTGACAAAGCAAAAGCTCATCTCCAAAAAATAAAATAAAATTTAAAATTCATTTTAAAGAGGGTAGCAATGTGTGTGTACATAATATGTGAGTATATATAGGGAACAGTAAAGGTATTAACATAAAATCCTCTTAGGGACTTTTTAACCTTCAAAACTAGTTCAAAACTCGCAGGCATCTTTGCTTCTGCCCATGTTAGTACCCACCTCCCTCAAATTTTACTCAGGATTCCACAGATCCATGGCAGACCTTTTATCTGCTATACTTTAAAAGGACTGTGTTCGGGCATCCCCTCCCTGCAGTGTTGTCCACATACAGAGCACTTGCGACTCAGGTCTAACAGAACTGACCACTTCTGCTGCCAGCCTCTGCTTGGACAGCCCATGAAAAAGCAGTCCCCTTACCACCAAGGGAGTTGAGAGCAACCCTTCAGCCTGGCCCTGTATCAGCAGAGGGTTGCCCATGTGGGTATTCACTTGGTTATTTGGACTCAAAATGGACGCCGTCCACACCTCTGTGGTCCTGCTACAGTGACCCAGGGCTCAGTCCACAAACCCTGTCCCTTCTCCAGCTATACTTTTCCCTTAGTTGACCCAAGCTAGTTCTATGACTTGAAACGCCATCTATAAACTGGCAATTTGTAGACAATTCTCCATTTTATTTCGCTAGTCCAGAGTTCCAGATTCATATATCCAACTGTCTATTCAACATCTCTACTTGGGTGTCTAATAGTAATCTCAAAGGTAAAGGCCCAAACCAAACTTTCAGTTTCCTTTTAAAATTAGTTTTGGGGGAAAAAAAAATTTAGTTTCAAAACTTGAAAACTGACTAGGAAACATTGATCTATGAATAAGCAGTAGCACATTTGTTCCTATAAACCTGCAGCAGGACCTGGAATGTCTGCAGCAGGACGATCCCTCTGTGGAGCCCAGGACATACGGAATGCTGAGTAGAAACCACACTGAATGAATAGCATTGGGACTTAGAACAGCTACTTGCACAGAACAAGCAGTACTTAGAAAAAGTGAGTAGAAGCAATGCTAATTTCATTCACTTTAATTCCTTTCCCTTAGATCTTTCCAGCCTCACTTCCCACTCACTCACTTCCCAATGGAGGGTTACACCACTGCAACCACCACTCCACTTCCAGACTTTTGTCCACACTATTCCTTGATTTGAAATGCCCTCTCCTCTGCCCTAGCCCCACCTAGCAAACTTCTAGCTGACCTTCAAAGCCCAGGTGAAATGCCCGCCCCTCTCCCATGAACCCATTCCAGATCTCTTGTGGAGAATGAGTGACATATGGGGAAGGAAGAGGAAGAAGACAGGGAGGATTTGGGCCTTAATCACAGGCCCAAAACTTCAGTTTTTCCAACTCTCTTCTTTTACTCCTATACCCAGTCACCTTGGTTCTACCTTAAAATACATCCAGAGTCTGATCACCTCCACTGTCACCATCCTGGTCCAACCTACCATCATCTCTCACCTGGATAATGCAGCAGCCTATCATTAAACTAGGGAGTAACACTGGTTTGTGACTTGAGAAATATCTAAAAGCAGGCATTTCAAAGCCTGCAATGTCTAACTGCTCAGATCCCAAAGCTATGGGTAAATACGTCAATCTTCACTAATGTATGCTTTCCCAAGATATTTGCATGGCACCTCCCCACAACAAACCCCCAGGATCTCTAATAAAAACAATCCTTTTTTACCTGTGGTATTAAAGTAATCAGGTTTAGACACCCACCCCCTTCCCCAAAATAAGAACTGCAAAGGAAAGGGTTTTGGATGAGATTTCAGACTACGAAAATCAATAAACTTCAGAATACAAAAATCAATAAGCCCTCAGGTGAGTCAACACAGAATGTGGAACACACACACACACCTAAAAATTTGCTCCTAGTTTTCACACATTCCACCACTAGAAAACTGTACACAGCAAGGGATAGGAAAGGCATTTAAATCATTCCTTCAGTGATCATCAACAGCTTTACAAGCAAGTACTAGACTGCTGTCTCTATAGAGAGCTGCTTCTATTATTATGAAGAAGTTAAGGCACAGAGAGGACAAGAGTCAAATCAAAGCAGAGCTTTATGCTGCAGTGTGGGTTACAGTTACATGCAGGTGTACTGGAATCACACATGCTGCGGTGTGGGTTAAAGTTAAATGCAGGTGTACTGGAATCACACATGCTGCAGTGTGGGTTAAAGTTAAATGCAGGTGTACTGGAATCACACTTGCTGCGGTGCGGGTTACAGTTACATGCAGGTGTACTGGAATCACACATGCTGCGGTGTAGGTTACAGTTACATGCAGGTGCACTGGAATCACACATGCTGCGGTGTGGGTTACAGTTAAATGCAGGTGCACTGGAATCACACATGCGGTTATATTTTATCAAACCACCTGACTCTGAACACTGAGTTAGGGGAGAATAGTAAATAGAAAGATTCTTATTCACACACTAACTCCCCCACTTCTAACCACCACACTCACTCTCCCTCTCTTAAAAGCTAAATGCACATTTCCATTGTCAAAAGCCACATTTAAAGATCAGCAGAAGACCACAGTTGCCTGGTTAATCTCTAGCACAACCGCTGAATCCGAGCATGCTCTTTCAGCCCCCAGGCTCTGGCTCCACACTAAGGGAATGTGGGTACCTGAGCCCTGTGGGGTTTGAGAAAAGGGAGAGCTCAAACAATGCTCTCATGAGCACTTTAAACAAAAAATCCATTCAATGAGAATGGCACCATGTTCTTTTTGCCCTTTCTCCCCAGGAACTAAATTAAACAGATTACAGACAGTAGCCAGGGCTGGCCTTAGAACCACCTCCCGCTTATTTGTTATTTTTAGCAATTCAGTCCGACAACGCCCGACAACTAAACAGGCCTAGAATAGCTAAAGGGACGGGGGATTATCAAATACTACCAGCAAAAAAAAAACGCTAGTCATCACTTCCTCCAACCCTAAGAAAGAATCATTTTCCGTGTCTTTATAGCATCACAGAGTTTGAGCCTTTAGAGTTTCATATAAAAACAGACTATGTATAAAACATCAGTGGAAACTGATAACGTTTCCTGACCTGGAAGTATTGTTCCACCCCTACATGTGTTTTCTTAAAAACAAAAGCAGAGTCAAACGAACTAAATTGTTTTACACAAAGGTTAGGAATACAATGCATCTGTGTCCATTCTGGAAAAACTTCCTCACAAGATGACTATGTAACCAAAAGAATAGCTTCGTGAATAGTGATGGAATTCAAATATTTCGATTATGCTGGCAGCAGGTAAGAGACTGAAAGCAAGACAAAGTGAGCTGGGAGAAACCTCAAATTAGACATAATTAGCAAAACAGCATTGTCCCTAGTCATTCTATTTATAAATGAAGTAATATGCAAAAATCATTTGAAAAATGAATAAAACGGTAAGATAAAAATGGTAAAAGCCCTATGAAAATGGTGTAACTGTTTGCATCAGCAGATAAACTAAAATTCACAAAAAAAGTTATTAAAATAAATAAGATACAATTCATTAAAAAGTTCATAAACGGGATGGGCACAGTGGCTCACACCTGTAATCCCAGCACTTTGGGAGGCCAAGGTGGACCGCTTGAGGCCAGGAGTTCAAGATCAGCCTGGCCAACGTGGTGAAACCCCATCTCTACTAAAATACAAAAATTAGCCGGTTATGGTGGCGCACCCTGTAATCCCAGCTACTCGGGAGGCTGAGGCAGGAAATCTTTTGAATCTGGGAGTCAGAGGCTGCAGTGAGCCAAGAATGCACCACTGCACTCCAGCCTGGGTGACAGAGTAAGACTCCATCTCAACAACAACAACAAAAAAAAGTTCATAAATACTCAAGGAATCTAAACACAGGAACATGCATGCTACTATTCTAAGTATCATATATTTTATAAGACAGGATAAAGCACTATAAATGAATAAAGTGATGTCTTCCTGGGTATGTCAATTACATATGTGGAGTTAAACTATTCAGCTCTATCTGAAAATATATTTCTAAAACAAGGTGATGCCTAATGTAGTTTACCTTTAAGCCATTACATGGACATCTCTGTGATTTAAATGACTGCAAAGATATCAAAGGAGATGCCATCACCTTGAATTACATTTTAGATATAGGTAGACAACTAGCTTCATTTTAGCTTCAAAATAGGATTCCAATTAACTTTTTATTTTTTATGTATTTTTTGAGATGGGGGGCTCGCTCTGTCACCCAGGCTGGAGTACAGTGGTGCTATCAAGGCTCACTGCAGCCTCAATCACCTGGGCTCAAGCAATCCTCCCACCTCAGCCTCTGCAGTAGCTGGGACCACAGGCATGCACCACCATGCCCAGATAGTTTTTTAATTATTTGTAGAGATGAGGTCTCACTTTGTTGCCCAGGCTGGTCTCGAACTCCAGGGCTCAAAAGATCTGCCTGCCTCAGACTCCCAAAGTGCTGGGATTATAGGCATGAGCCACAGCACCCAGCCTTATAACTTTTTTTTTTTTTTTTGAGATGGAGCTTCGCTCTTATTGCCCAGGCTGGAGTGCAATGGCATGATCTCTGCTCACCGCAACCTCCATCTCCCGGGTTCAAGCGATTCTCCTGCCTCAGCCTCCCCAGTAGCTGGGATTACAGGCATGCGCCACCACGCCCGGCTAATTTTGTATTTTTAGTAGAGATGGGGGTCTCTCCATGTTGGTCAGGCTGGTCTCGAACTCCTGACCTCAGATCATCTGCCCGCCTTGGCCTCCCAAAATGCTGGGATTATAGGCGTGAGCCACCGTGACCCGCCTTTAACTTTTTAAATTAAGACAATGATCTGGACAAAGGAAATTGTTTTTGTTTTGTTTTGCTTTCCTCCATCTTTTCATTTTAAGGGGGCATTTTTGCTCCTAAAATGGAAACTCAGAAAAAGACCAAGGTTATAACAATAAACTTAATAGAAGTGACTGGAGTGACCCTAGAGATCTTCTAATCCAATATTCTCATTTTATGTGAGGAAACTGAGGCTTAGCGTACAGCAAGAGTTAGAATGAAGAACTCCTAAATTAACATAAGGCTTTTAAAATTAGGAATTTAGGGTAATGAACGCTCTGTTGTAAATCTAGTAGACTTGGAAATTTCTATTTATGGCTGAAATGTCAACCTTTCTTTGGATCTTTTTCTGAGCTGATGTGTAGCATGCTTATTAATAAAGGTGTGGCCTTCCCCACATGAAGTATTGAACTTGCTTTTTATGGCTAGTATCTATTACCTCAGGTTGGAGGACACCTGTGATGTAAGAACAGAAACTGATCAGAGTAAGAATCTAGGATAAGGATTCTTGGCAAGGAAGTATGTAATGACATGAAAGAAAATCCAAAGTCTAACTCATTAAAAGAAATCATTCTCTAGGCAGCCTGAAAATGATTTGAGGAATCCAGGCATGGGAGGGTGGAGACTAAGGACATATGGTTAGACAGAGAAGAGTATAGACCATATAAAGCATGTAACAATGAAGGCTGAGGTCAACAACTCCCTAAAGCATTCAAAGGGATAGTTGGGTATGGGGACAGATAAGTATTCCAAGGAGAGCAACAAGGCACCCAATGTATCCAAGAAGAAAATAATAACTGAAACAAGATGCAAAAAGCTGAACTCTGGGCTAATTGGAATGCAAATCCAATTATCTTAAGTCTCTTATCTTAATCATAAAATGAAGATGCGCCACCAGGAAACAGATCAAATCAAGGGTATATCAATGTGTGTGTTAAATATCTGTAATATATATTTCAAGATAAATAAGGAAGGCTATCCAATTAAAAGAACCAATCTATGGGCCAGGCACGATGGCTTATGCCTGTAATCCCAGCACTTTGGGAGGCCGAGGCGGGCGGATAACGGGGTCAGGAGATCAAGACCATCCTGGCTAACATGGTGAAACCCTGTCTCTTCTAAAAATACAAAAAAATTAGCCGGGCGTGGTGGCGGGCGCCTGTAGTCCCAGCTACTTGGGAGGCTGAGGTAGGAGAATGGTGTGAACCTGGGAGGTGGAGCTTGCAGTGAGCCAAGATTGCGCCACTGCACTCCAGCCTGGGTGACAGAGCAAGACTCCGTCTCAAAAAAAAAGAACCAATCTATTTGAACTGCTTACATCTAAGTTCTCATTGGATCTACAATACTTCTATGAAGGAAATAAAATGCATCACAGATGCTTTATATTTGGGCAAATTTTAGCACTTGGATCATAACATATACAATGAACAAGGCATTGACAATATTAATAAGAAAAAATGCTCAAACAGAAAAAGAGCATATATGGTGGGCTTTTTCAGACCTATACCAACTCTTCTCTGAAAGCCACAAAGGAGGATTCTGCAGCTACATTAAGCCCTAAGACATCAGGACATAGAGACTATATATATAGTTCATGATAAACTCTGGGGTTTCCAACCAGCAGGCTCTCTTAGACTGAAGTCCTAAATAACCGAAAACTATTTTAAAACAAACATACATTTTTATAAATGTTAAGAATGCAAATGAGCTCTATAAAGAGATAAGTACTCATGTTTGAAATCCCAATATATGCACAATAAGAGAAATCACTTCACCCAAGACTCTCCAAGTCAAAACAACGTAGGAAAGAGATTAATTTTACATCTTGCATTGATTTCTAAGATAAAAATTTTAAAAAGACATCCATAAGTGTCTAGCTATCTAGCTACTATGGAAAGTAGGAAATCATCAAGCTAATTTTAATCATCAGGAGTGTAAACGTTTTATACTTCTTCCCAGGATGCAAGCTCTCCTGGAGTGTGGGTGGAGGGTGGTTTCTGAAAATTATCTTAGCAAGATGCTAAGATAAACTGTAAAAATACTCCATGAGAATACCTTCACTTGTTAAGAATAAAAATGGACTGTCTAGATAGATAAATTGTGGTACTTCTATATGACGGGATACTATGCAGCAATGAAATGAACAACTCACAATCTCAAGAGATAACACAGATATACTTCACAAACACAACGTGGAGAGAAAGAAGTGAGGCAAAAAAATAGTGATTTTGTTCATGTAAAGTTCAGAAACAAGCTAAACTAAATTATATATATACACACACATATATATACATAAAATACATATATACATAATATATATATTTATATACATAAGATATATATTTATATACATAAGATATATTTATACACATAAAATATATTTGTTGTTGTCTTTTGAGATGGAGTCTCACTGTGACGCCCAGGCCGGAGTGCAATAGCGTAATCTTGGCTCACTGCAACCTCCACCACCAGGGTTCAAGCGATTCTCCTGCCCCAGCCTCCCGAGTAGCTGGGGCTACAGACGCGTGCCACCAGGCCCAGCTAATTTTTGTATTTTTAGTAGAGACAGGATTTCACCATATTGGCCAGGCTGGCCTTGAACTCCTGACCTCAGGTGATCTGCCCGCCTCAGCCTCCCAAAGTGCTGGGATTACAGGCGTGAGCCACCACGCCCAGCCTAAATTATATTATTTTAGAGATACATCCATAGGTGGTAAAACCATTTTTTTTTTTTTTTGAGACAGAGTCTTGCTCTGTCACCCAGGCTGGAGTGCAGTGGCATGATCTCGGCTCACTGCAACCTCCACCTCCCGGGTTCAAGCAATTCTCGGCCTCAGCCTCCCAAGTAGCTAGGATTACAGGCGCCCACCACCACGCCCGGCTAATTTTTGTAGTTTTAGTAGAGACGGGGTTTCACCATCTTGGCCAGGCTGGTCTTGAACTCCTGACCTCATGATCTACCCGCCTCAGCCTCCCAAAGTGCTGGGATTACAGGCATGAGCCACCATGCCCGGCTGTAAAACTGTATTTTTGAAAAAGGAAATAATTATCACAAAAGTTAGGGAAGTAGTTACTTGATGGGAGAGGCAGGCAGGGATGGCACATGATTAGGCAGTGATAAACAACAAGGAGGGTTCTGGTTTCCTGACAACATTTGATTTACTGGCCTGGATAACTGACGTGTTTGCTTTATAATGATTAAGCTATAAATGTTATTTAACACATTTCTTAAATGCTACATTTCAATAAAAAATTAATGACTAAATTTTTAATGGATTATAAACTTAGAGCTATGCAAGCAGATGAACTGCTGGGCATATGTCTTGTTTAATGTTTTAAAAACATTCTATCATTGGCTCTGCTATCCCCTGCCCTCCTTTCTTCATTGAAAAACAGAGGTAAGACCAAGTCTGGCCAATATGGTGAAACCCCATCTCTACTAATGATACAAAAATTAGCCGGGCATGGTGGCATGCACCTGTAGTCCCAGCTACTCAGGAGGTTGAGGCAGAAGAATCGCTTGAACCCAGGAGGCGGAGGTTGCAGTGAGCCGAGATCGTGCCACTGCACTCTAGCCTGGGCAACAGAGCAAGACTCCATCTCAAAAAAAAAAAAAAAAAGAGAAAAACAGAGGTAAGAATCAGTGACTATCATACAGTAGAGTCCACCTGACATCACCTCCAAATGGGGGCTCCTATTATATACACCAATAGTACCAGCTCAAAAATGCAGTACTTAGGGCAAAACTGGACATCCATCCAAGTGCCTACCAGTCACCACCCATGCGATGGAAAAAATGATTCTCAACAGGCAGAGTAAAATTTCCTCAATCATGGGAATCCCTCCAAAGCATGTTCTCATCAGAGTATCAAACCTAAGCCAACTGCAGAGTGTCACAGGCACCTCCTATCCTGTTCTCTCGCCGCCATTCTTCCTATTTATTTCAGGAACCACTGTCTGACCAAAACTGTCATTTTTGTGGAAGAGTTGGGACTTTAAACGTCAAGACTTTAACAGTTTTTTTTTTTTACATATGATATGGGCTGGGGAGTTATTTCAACAGCCCTGGGATTGCAACATTCTGCATCAGAAGTGGCGCTAAGCACGCCAGACTGTCCTAGGTTTCCTTATTCTTATTCTGTTATTGCTGAGCTAACCAGGGTGGTGAAAGGGGTGGTAACCATGTTGGAGACAGAGGGGAAGGAAGCTGGTGAACCTGTATATGCATGTGCCTAAAATATAACAGACTTTAGGTTGAAGGCTGACTTTAGGTTGAAGCAGTAACTGGCCTCCACCTGGAACAAAAAAAACATAAGGCAATGGTGGCAAAAATGTGTTCAAATGTATCATTGAAAGTTTACATTTACCTCAAGGATTCCTAATAGTTGAGATTCAGAAGGTCAGGAGCTCATCTCTAGATCATCTGAATGCTGACTTAAATTTTCCTAACTGCAAAAGAGGCCCATTAATTATTTCCTGCTTACCTCCAAAAAAGTTAGCAAAACCAGAGGATGAATTTCCCACTCTTTAGAAGATATAGATCTCAATCTATCAACAGTTTTAACTCAACTTTAAAACTGAATTTTGTCAAAAAAGACTTCTACTTTCTCTTAGTACCAATGTTATACATTATAAAAAGAAAATTATTTTACAAAGACAAATGAGACATGTCATAATTCCAAATCACAGTTGTAATCATGCTATTTTCTAAAATTATGCTTGGGTACTTTTCAAATAACAACAAATACTGTATTAGGTATTATGCACTCAGTACCTTCTTTAGAAAGTTATTATCAGTATTTTTTAAAAATAGAAAATTTCCTCAAAAAATGACAAAAATAACATGGTTACTCTATCATACTAAAGCCACGATTTTGTATTTTCTCGTGAATAGGATCAGCATCACTGGTCTACTAATCACAGTTAGGATGTATTCTCTTCCAGAATTTGATCTATCACCTTTATAACGAAAGATTAAATCTACATAAACCGTGAGTCTGTTATGAAAATACTTCCCAATTAATCCCATTACAGTGATGATGGCCTGAAGAACAGTCTAACATAGGGGTATTAAAATGTAAAAAGAGGCAGAGCACAGCGGCTCACGCTTGTAATCCTAGCACTTTAGGAGGCTGAGGCAGGTGGATCACCCAGGAGTTCAAGACCAGCCTGGCCAACATGGTGAAACACAGTCTCTACTAAAAATACAAAAATTAGCCCAGGCACCTGTAATCCCAGCTACTTGGGAGGCTGAGGCAGGGGAATCACTTAAACCTGGGACATGGAGATTGCAGTGAGCCGAGATTGTGATACTGCACCCCAGCCTGGGTAACAAAGCAAGACTTCATCTCAAAAAAAAAAAAAAAAAAGTAAAAGGAAGTTCTTTTGTTTTCTTTATTCTTTGTACAATTCATAGGTTCAACAAAGAAGTTCTAAGGAAAAAAAAGACAGTAAGACTATCTTCCCACCATTAAGACACTGCTTGTGCCAGGCGCGGTGGCTCACACCTGTAATCCCAGCACTTTGGGAGGCCAAGGCAGGCAGATCACGAGGTCAGAAGATTGAGACCATCCTGGCTAACACGGTGAAACCCTGTCTCACTAAAAATACAAAAAAAATTAGCTGGGCATGGCGGGGTGTGCCTGTAGTCCCAGCTACTCGGGAGGCTGAAGCAGGAGAATGGTGTGAACCTGGGAGGCGGAGCCTGCAGTGAGCCGAGATTGCGCCACTGCACTCCAGCCTGGGAGACAGAACGAGACTCTGTCTCAAAAAAAAAAAAAAAAGACAGTGCTTGTGTTTATTCTGCTAATAAGGAATATGACTCCCTATCAAGATTAACATGAGGGCAAGTAGTACCCCCACCCCTGCCTATAAGAGACAAGGGCCAGTAGATGAGGCCACTTGGCTGGCTGATGACATAGGGCACAACATGACAAAGCTACAAAAAGCTAAACAAAGTCTAGGTAAGCTTTGCACTCATAAATAAGATCAGAAAAAAGAAATCAGGAGAGGGCAAGTATAAAGAAACAGAAAGAACAAAGCTGGGTAAAAGGGAACCTAGCAAATACTAATGAAAATGGGGTATCAGGTTAGAGAACCTGAATCAGACCAGCACCTATGTCATGGAAAAGGTTTGTCCCTCCTGCCATCTACACAAACTGTGGGTAGAGGGTGGGGAAGCATACTCGGTGGGCCAAATCAGTAAAACAAGTTAACAGCTTTTATCAAAAACTGGAACTCTGACCCCAACCAATATGAACCTTACTCTTTCAGAGATGAAAACATGATAAATAGAAATAGCATGGCCTTTGTCTACAGAGTTGGGTATAAATTGTGCCTCCCCAACTTAATACAGGGTATCTCAGAAGAGAAATTGATGATGATGATGATGATGATGATGATGATGATGATGATGATGATAATTACAGAGGATTAAAATGAAGTAGATTAGACTGACAAGAAATACTAGGTCTAGAAGAAGAGACTGCAGATTTGAAAACAGGAGCAACACCAAGGACTTGGGGAAAATCATTTAGAGCTCTAAATCTGTATCAAGCTTCCAAAGTAATAGGAAACCATATTTATGATTTACTCAACTGGTGAGAGTTTATATTTCCAAATCCCTACAATGTGCTAAGAAACTAACAGAGTAACCAGAGAACACAAGAAAGAAGCAGCTAACTTAAGACTGAGGAATCAGAAAATGGTTCTCAGGAGAAGTAATTCTATGCTAAGATCTGAAGGATTAGTAGATGGAATTGATAAAGGCAGAGGGAGGAAGTTCCCAAGTGGAGATAACTACTTTTCGAAGATCTAGCAGAATGAAAAAAGAGCAAGCTCCAAAGACTGAGAGTATTGGCCAAGTGTGGTGGCTCATGCCTGTAATCCCAGCACTCTGGGAGGCAGAGGTGGGTGGATCATCTGAGGTCAGGAGTTCAAGACCAGTCTGGCCAACATGCAAAACCCTGTCTCTACTAAAAATACAAAAATTAGCTGGGCGTGGTGGCACACACCTGTAATCCCAGAAGGGATCTCCTGCTGAGGCAGGAGAATTGTTCCAACCCAGGAGGCAGAGGTTGCTGTGAGCCAAGATAGCGCCACTGCACTCCAACCTGGGTGACAGAGTGAGACACCGTCTCAAAAAAAAAAAAAAAAAAAAAAAAAGACTGAGAGTATTTTTGCATGGCTAAAGCATACAGTATAACAGAAGGCAGAGGAAATGAGAGGGATGAGAGAAATAAACAGAAATCATATCTTTAAAGGCCTTCAAGGTATGTTAAAAAGTTTGAACTGGTTGGGCACAGTGGCTCACTCACACCTATAATCCTAGCACTTTGGGAGGCCAAGGCGGGCAGATCACCCGAGGTCAGGAGTTCGAGACCAGGCTGGCCAAAATGTTGAAACCCCGTCTCTACTAAAAATACAAAAAAATTAGCTGGGCATAGTGGCACATGCCTGTAGTCCCAGCTACTCAGGAGGCTGAGGCAGGCAGGAGAATCACTTGTACCCAGGAGGTGGAGGTTGCAGTGAGCCAAGATCATGCCATTGCACTACAGCCTGGGCAACAAGATCAAAACTCCGTCTCAAAAAAAAAAAAAAAGTTTGAACTTAACCCTAAGAACAACTATTGGTTTTACATGAGAGAGTAATATGATCAGATTTAACATTTTAGAAAGGTCATTCTAACTTAAATATGTTATAAAAAGAACTGAACGAGAGAAGGCTGGATATGGTAAAATCAGTTAATATCCTACTGCAGATGGTGGTGGCAGCCAGTTCAAAGGTGGGGAAAAATTCCAAAAGGAAATATCATTAATAAACAAAATAAGGAAGAAGTAATCTTCAGAAATACAAATTTTCCAGAATTTATTAAAAAAAAAACACTAATCCTCAGATTCAGGAAACCCAACAAATTCTAACTAAGATAAAGAAAAAAATATTAGCCACGCGTGGTAGCATGCCTGTGGTCTCAGCTACTTGGGAGGCTGAGGTGGGAGGATTGCTTAAGCCTGGGAGGTGGAGGCTGCAGTGAGCTGAGATCACCCAACTACAAGCCAACCTGAGTGACAGAGTGAGACCCCATCTCAAATTAAAAAAAAAAAGAAAAGGAATAAATCGACACCTAAACACATCCCAGAGAAACTACAAAGCATGAAAGACATAGACAAGTAAAAACAGGTAAAGAGAAAAGACAAATTAACAACAATTAGACTAACAGATGACTTCTTAACAGCAACAGTGGAAGCCACAAGTCAGTAGAATGGTTATCTTTAAAAGAGCTGACAGGTCAGGTGCTGTGGCTCACACCTGTAATCCCAGCACTTTGGGAGGCTGAGGTGGGGAGATCACTGGAGGTCAGGAGTTCAAGACCAGCCTGGCCAACATGGTGAAACCCAAACCCCGTCTCTACTAAAGATACAAAAAGTAGCCAGGCATGGTGGCTGTAATCCCAGCTACTCAGGAGGCTGATGCAGAAGAATCGCTTGAACCCAGAAGGCGGAGGCTGCAGTGAGCCAAGATCATGCCACTGCACTCCAGCCTGGACAACAGAGCAAGATGCCATCTCAAAACAATAAAAAATAAATAAATATAAACAGAAGAGCTGAGAAATTCCTAACATAAAACAAAATAAGACATACGCCCCAGTCAGGCATGGTGGCTCACACCTGTAATCCCAGCACTTTGGGAGGCCAAGGTGGGTGGATCACAAGGTCAGGAGTTCGAGACCAGTCTGGGCAACATGGTGAAACCCCATCTCTACTAAAAATACAAAAATTAGCCAGGCATGGTGGGCCTGTAGTCCCAGGTACTCAGGAGGCTGAGGCAGAAGAATCGCTTGAACCTTTGGGGCAGAGGTGGCAGTGAGCCAAGACACACCACTGGACTCCAGCCTGGGACAGAATGAGACTCTGTCTCAAAAAAAAAAAAAAAAAAAAAAAAAAAAAACAAAAAACAAAACATAAGCTCCAAACTTCGTATACAGTAATAATGAGCACTTGCCCCCCCAACACTGTATTCTCTAAATATCACTGCCCACTAAACTGACAGATTAAGGAGAAATTGATAAACACTGTCATAGAGGAAGATTCATCACATCTCTCAGTAACTAAATGAATAAGCAGATGATAATTCAGTAAGATACACACAAAATTTGAACATCACAATTAACAGTGTATATGTGCATAAGTGCACATGTGGGGGTGTGCTGAAGTAATAAAACCATAAAGTTGTAGCAGTGGAAAAGTATAGGATTGTTTCAGAGAAGAGAGGGGAGTATACACTGGGTGATACTGTTAAAAGCACAGATTAGGGAAGTACTGGAGAACATATTAAATGCTGAAATAAGGCTCATGGTAAGGAGCCCATGATGATGGGAATCAAAAAAAGAAATTGTATATAAACTGGAGTTATATTACTAAAGTAGCAAGATAAACTGTCAAATGATGGAAAACAGTATATATAGCATAATTCCTATTTTAAAAAAAGGTTGTGTATATATATGCATGTATGAATGTCTTGATATAAATATAGAAGTTTGGAATGATACAGAAACCGTAGAGGTGACATTTGGATGTACCGAGGGTGGAAAAACAAAGTAATATTTTCATTGTTTAATCATTTGTTTTATATTTTATTTATGGTGTACTTCTATTGCTTTTATAATGTAAGTAACATGTAAAATGAAAAATTAAAAAAGAAAAAAGAACTTCCTAAAAGATAAAACATTCTACCAGTATTTGAGACACTCAACAAAAGGAAACTTGCAGAAAGTAAATTTCTTAATATTCACCAGAACTCAGCAGTACGGTATTGATAAAATCATCACCTGTGGCAATTTCACCTTGATAATTGGGGTTTTTGTGTTTTTTTTTTTCCCTAAAGAGACAAGGTCTTGTTATGTTGCGCAGGCTGGAATGCCTCAGGCAATCCTCCCGCTTCAGCCTCCCGTAGCTGGGACTACAAGCATTTGCCACTGTGCCCACTCTGCTAATTTTTTAATCATGAAAGTTAACAACAAAAAAAGTTAATGTATACTTGTTATAATTTATTATTACAGAGATTGTAAGAAAAAAATCAAGGCCAGGCGCAGTGGCCTATGATTCCCAGCACTTGGGAGGCCGAGGCAGGCAGATCATCTGAGGTCGGGAGTTCGAGACCAGCCTGACCAACAAGGAGAAATCCCATCTCTACTAAAAACACAAAATTAGCAGGGCGTGGTGGCGCATGCCTGTAATCCCAGCTACTTGGGAAGCTGAGACAGGAGAATCGCTTGAAGCCAGGAGGCGGAGGTAGCAGTGAGCCGAGATCACACCATTGCACTTCAGCCTGGGCAACAAGAGCGAAACTCCGTCTCAAAAAAAAAAAAAAAAAACAAAAAAAGAAAAGAAAAGAAAAGAAAGAAAGAAAAAGAAAAAATCATTTATCCCTACGTCCCATCTAATTTCTTTAGGGTAAACAGTATTAACAATTTAATATATATCCTTACATATCATCTTCAATATTCATACACAAATGTTTGTTTTTTGTTTTCATAAAGAGAATTATAT
This sequence comes from Homo sapiens, assembly GCF_000001405.40. NCBI lineage: Eukaryota > Metazoa > Chordata > Mammalia > Primates > Hominidae > Homo > Homo sapiens. The sequence goes on from NC_000005.10 coordinate 140,280,189, forward strand.
ACATATTACCTTGCTACTTATTATTCATTAGGATAATTTTAAATATATTTACCTACAGTTGCAAAAATGCATTTTGTTTTATCTACATGAAATGATTCTGTTTGGGTTTTTAAAGATACTTTTGTTTCTTATGAGTGAAAACACAGATATCAAACTGAACCTCTTAGAACAGTTGAGCTGATTAAAATGTTAAAATAGGACACAACAACAATCTGGTTATCACAGGCTGTTTTTTCTTTACTTGGTTTTTTTGCTTTTTTGTCTTGTTTTTACAATACACTTTTCTAAGCTGCAAATCTATTATCAAGTTTGTTTCAACTATCAGTAGTTAAAAATAAGCCTAAGTAACCTAAGATACTGCATACTCCCAGGCCAGGCCAATTCAGTGCCCCTAAGAAATCCTCAGGAGGCTACAAGTTGTAGCTCCCAAATTCAGCAGAGGGCTGAGTTAGATTCTGATCCTCTGCCTCAAATAGTACTTACAGAAATTAGATGAAATGACCTATGAAGTCAATGTATCCACCCACATGTTGGGAAATCTTGGTCCCTAAGAAATAACCAGCTTTTTGTCCAGTCTAACTTTTACTATACACAGGATGGGCCTTTCACCAAAGCCCAAGAAGAATATCTCACTAAAGGTCTTAATGTATAAATAAATTATAATAATAAAAATAATAAAGTAATATTTCCAAAGATTTGCTTACTGTTACCTATCATCTTTTTCCCTAGCTAAAAAGAAAAAATTGTTCTCATTGGAGCACCATCCTTCAGATAGTTAATTGGTTATAGCTTGCTACTTTGTCCTTATATAGAACCTAATTTAGGTTAAAGAAATTACAATGTGTAAAAAAGACCCTATACCAAGATCCTCTAAAATTTATCATTATTACCCACTCTCCTGCCCATCCACCACAATCCACTACACAAGTGTTGTTTAAATATACATTACATTTTGTTTATGGTTTTGTTTTTTTTAAAGAATAAACACATTCAAGGGCAATGAACAAAATACATTCAGGTTAAAACCATCTCATCAAAATTCTCTGCAGTTCCAAAGAAGAGACTATTCTTTTTTTTTTGTTTTGGTCTTATATGCGCTATGAATATGAATATGACAGCTTCACGGCTCCAACGTAATTATAGAAAATAAAAATAATATGACATTACTTTGGCAGGCAGGCATACATTTTCATTTAATATGACACAATAAGATTACTACTTTCTCCCAAAAGTTAACTCCTATTGCCAATAAAAACTTACTTCTAGTTCTTTAATTTTTTCTTCTGCTATTTTCTGCTTCTCTAACAGCTGACTGTGAATTGCTTCCTTGGACTGAAGAATAAACCTATGAAACACAAGAAAGTTGAAAATTAAGCCACATGACTATTGAATTCATCGAAATCAATAGCTACATACTACAAATATTAAACTGAGCAAATTAAAAGGACAAATGCATATTAACATAATACGTCAAGCTCAGGAAACCACCAGAAGTTTAAACCTTCTTGGCTGAGAAGGAATAAAGGCTTAAAAGTAGATTCTGCTTTCTTATTTAATATAGGAATCAGGCAGGGAACAGTGGTGTGGGCCTACAGTCCCAGATACTCAGGAGGCTGAGGTGGGAGGATTGTTTGAGCCCAGGTGTCTGAGTCTAGTCTGGGCAACATAGCAAGACCCTGTCTCATTAAAAAAAAAAGCGGGGGGGTTGCGGGAGTTGGGCACAGTGGCTCACACCTGTAATCCCAGCACTCTGAGAGGCCGAGGCAGGAGGACTGCTTGAGCCTGGGAGTTCAAGACTAGCCCAGGCAACATGATGAGACCCATCTCTACAAAAAATAAATTTAAAATATTAGTCAGGCACAGTGGCACACGCCTGTAGTCCCAGCTACTAGGGAGGCTGAGGTGGGAGGATCAATTGAGACTGAGATATCAAAGCTGTAGTGAGCCATGATTGTGCTACTGCACTCCAGCTTGGGTAACAGAGCAAGATCCTGTCTTAAAAACATTAAAAAAAAAAAAAAAAAGAAAAGAAAATCAGGCTTCAAGTAGATTCATATGTAAAAGAAAAAATAATAAAGGAATAAAAATATATCATACGCTAAGAGAAAAGTCAACATACAAACAAATACCCTATAAGTTTTGTTTTTTCAGTTATCTGTTTCAATTTTTATCTAGATATTTTTTAAACTATATTTGTAAAGTGGAGCGCCCCTCCATTTTTTTTTTTTTTTTGTAACAGCAGTAACTCATGACCTTTTAAAGTCACAATCAAGCACTGTGTTAGGATCAATGCATTAGTGTTTATATGAGTTCCTCAAACAAAAAGCACTGTATAAGCCTTAGTATCTTTTATTATTATTTCCAGAGTGTATATAGTACCTCTGAAAAGCTCAAAATGTACAAGTGGAAATTTTCAACTTTTTCCATTTTACATCAGGCACATTATTTACCACTGATGAGGGTGGAAATATGGAGAAGTTTTAAAAATTAACACTGAAACTGTTTTATGACTTTATGTTCACAATTCTTGCTTCAGGGAAAGGAAGAACAAACTTTTATAGCCCCAAGTAAGTGAACTGAAATATTTCCCCTCCACTGGAACCAAGGGAAGACCCCAGTTATGCAAATCTCTTTCAGGACTGTCTAAGGAAGCTAAAATATATTTCAATTTAATATTGCAATTAATTAAGCAAGATTTTTCTTCTCTTTGCACTAACAGAGTTCAGCAACAAAGAACTAAACATCATCTCTTAACAAAAAGTCAAACGAGAAAACACATCAAGGTAGCAACATGCAGTTTCCTCTGCCAACCCCACAAAAACATCATTGTGCCTAGGTGGGTTCTTATCAAGAGAGTCCGTTATTATAGATATAAGACAAGTAAAAACAGACCAAAAAGGGCAATTAGCTATGCCCCAACACCTGGAAGGAAACTGCCTTGTCCCCTCTTCTTCATAACTAAGCCTTACCACACATATTAATAAAATCTGAAGAACTTCTTTTACTCCACTAATTATTAAGCTTATATCCTAATGCGGCCAGCCCAGATAATTTTTTTTTTTGAGACGGAGTCTCGCTCTGTTGCCCAGGCTGGAGTGCAGTGGCATGATCTTGGCTCACTGCAAGCTCCACCTCCCGGGTTCATGCCATTCTCCTGCCTCAGCCTCCCGAGTAGCTGGGACTACAGGCGCCCACCACCACGCCTGGCTAATTTTTTCTATTTTTTAGTAGAGACAGGGTTTCACCATGTTAGCCAGGATGGTCTCGATTTCCTGACCTCGTGATCTGCCCGCCTCGGCCTCCCAAAGTGCTGGGATTACAGGCATGAGCCACCACGCCCAGCCCAGCCCAACTGATGATCTTAGTCTTCAGTAGTAACTTGATTCTTTGTAAAACCTTACTGTATATTTACAGGAAAGAGAGCCCACATTCATGCAAAACAAGGATTAATTCCAGGTCTTTTACTATAGAACCCTTCATGTCTAAAATATTCTTACTGGATCCAAGAGATGGGTGCTATTTCAGATAAGATTATGGTTTACAGAATATTTTTCTCAGAACTAACTCATATTTGTATTTGAAGAGAAGAGTTGTTTTGAACAGTACTAAGTCTCAGTAATGTTATGTAAAAACTATTCTAAAACAAGGTGCAAGAGTCACCAAATTATGTCATGACATGTGTGATTTTACTGAGAAAGTCTTTTAGCCATGGAAATAATTTTTTGAGTAAAATATACATTTTTAAGTAGCACTGATAGCTGGCCAATGAGTACTATTCTCAAATAAAAGGTCATCAGACATCATCTTTATTAGTGTCTGGGAAAATTTCAAAGCTAAGATTAGAGGTCAAGTCATTACTTATGTGGCCTTTAAAAATAAAGTATCTGAACAGATACTAAATCTCTTGAGCAGAAAATAAAATTACTAGAAAGCAAGAACACTCAACAACAAAAACACGTTTTTCCATGACCACATATCCTTTGAGGTAGCTATACTGGACTGTGCCAACTTCAAAGGCCAGAGAGATTCCACCGAAGCTGGCCAACTTACTACTACAAACCTAAGGACATCTCAGCCACGCAAGTTTTAACAAGGATGAATGTTGGGTAAATGCAAATGTCTACCTCAAAGAGTAGTTACACAGTAAAAATTCAAACACAAAAACTTATGGAAAGTTTGGTTTAGTCCTCAATTTAAAAAATGGCAAAGATATATTGTATGAAGACTGGAAAAGGCTCCAAGAAACATCTGATTTCTGAAAAAAAGTCTTTGGAAAACATCTTTCTTATTGTTTAAAAGGGCATTGGATTATCAGATACTATGTGAAGAGAAAGGATTTATCATGATAATATAAGTCTTATCATAAGCAAATATTATGTACACAGTTGCTCAATGTAGAGAATCTCATAGTCATTCTGCCTGATTGTTTATGGAAAGCCAAATAGTAAATAAAGAATTCTGGAGTTCAAAATGTACCAATAAGGAAAAATAAACCATGAAGAGGGAAAGTATTCTCTCATGACAAATAATATGCAGATAACATGCTTAAAATACTCAGGATTATATAACCTGAATTCGAGTTGATGCTTTGCAAAAGGCCTCTTCTTTGACCTGGAAATCAGTGCCACGTGCCTCTGCACTGTCCACTCTCAAGGACTTGTAACCTGCTATTTCACTTCCTCATTTATTTGTAATTATGCCATCTGAAAACATAATTCTGAGACTTTCGGTTTTGATTATTTGAGAAACATCAGACTCCGTTTTCTAAATCATCCTGCAGTTTGGTACAACTTCCACTTTCTTATAACTCAGTATGAATCAAAACCATTGTTCACCTGCCCAAAACACAATCCCAGATCACTTGCACTGCTGCATTTTGGACACAATTTCCAAAGTATGGTCACCTAGACATATGCTATTCAGAAACAACAAAATGCTTATGACGAGTTCACTTTGGGTGGGAAATTTTTAGAGGGTGTCTAAAAACGTATCCTATTAGCATTTAGGTTTCAGGGTATTCACAAATTAAGCAGCATAGAAAAGACATAAGAATGAGCCTATCTTCAGGAGAATGGCGTGAACCCGGGAGGTGGAGTTTGCAGTGAGCCGAGATCGCGCCACTGCACTCCAGCCTGGGCAACAGAGCGAGACTCCATCTCAAAAAAAAAAAAAAAAGAATGAGCCTATCTTGCTTCTTTGCCTAACTCCACTGGTGAGGAAAGTTACTGAATTTTTACGTCGTAATTTTTAGCGTGGAAGCAAGTAGAAATAAATTGAACTTCTTTTTTTAAAATTTTTTTAAATTGAATTTATTTCTTACTTTAATCACTTCCTTAGTAAGGAAGTGATTAAAACTTTATGGCACATCCACATTGTGGACTGCTCAGTGAGTTACAGACTTCTGTTATTGGCATAATGAAGAGTAGATACCCTGAACACTCCTGATTAGAAACAAAGGAAAAAAAAATTTTTTTTTAACATTTTGTTGAACTAACACAAAAGGAAGGATTCCACAAAGGTCCAAAGTGAAGTGAAACTGGGAATTCAGGAATGTAAGACAGCAGTAAATTGGCTTTCATCCTGAGAGTTTATGCTGAATCCTGGAGACCTTAAGTATCCACACTGGCACAGAAATAGGATACAAAACAGGAGATAAAACCAAGGGGGCAGCCAGGCATAATGGCATGCACCTGTAGTCCTAGCTACTCAGAAAGCTGAGGTGTGAGGATTGCTTAAATCCAAGAGTTCAAGTCCAGCCCAGGCAACATAGCAATGCCCCATGTCTAAAAAATAAATAAATTTTTTTAAAAAAGAATGACTAATTAAATAAAAAACCAAACCGAAATTTAAAAAAAAATATTTTTTTTATTGACATGTAAAGATGTCAATATAGTAAGTTAGTAAGTAAGTAAAAACTCAAGTTTAAAAAATTAGCACGTCAGCCAGGCGTGGTGGTTCACACCTGCAATCCCTGCACTTTAGGAGGCCGAGGTGGGTGGGTCACTTGAGTTCAGGAGTTAGAGACCCGCCTGGCCAACATGGTGAAACCCCATCTCTACTAAAAATACAAAAAAATTAGCCGGTGTGGTGGCGGGTGCCTGTAATCCCAGCTACTCGAGAGGCTGAGACAGGAAAATCACTTGAACCCATGAGACGGAGGTTGCAGTGAGCCAAGATCGTACCATTGCACTCCAGCCTGGGTGACAGAGTGAGACTCTGTCTCAAAAAAAAAAAAAAAAAAGAAAAGAAAAAAGAAAAATCAGCATGTCATTCCATTTTCAAGATGAAAAAATATGTAAAATAAAAAAGGATTTACACAAAGATGAAATGGGACTGGAAAAGAAAGAGAGAGCTTTTTAAAATTCATTGCTCGAAAAATGTTTCCTCTTGAATCCTCAATTTTTTTTGCGGGGGGGGGGGGGGGGGGGGGGGCGGGGGAGACAGTCTTGCTCTGTTGCCCAGGCTGGAGTACAGTGATGCCACCTCAGCTCACTGCAAACTACGCCTCCAGGGTTCAAGCAATTCTCGTGCCTCAGCCTCTGGAGTAGCTAGGATTATGGGTGCCTGCCACCACACCCAGTTAATTTTTGTATTTTAGTAGTGATAGGAGTTTACCATGTTGTCCAGGCTAGTCTCGAACTCCTGACCTCAGGGGATCCAACCGCCTCAGCCTCCCAAAGAGCTGGGATTATATATAGGAGTGAGCCACCATGCCCGGCCAAAGTTTTCTAAGTATGTAAAAAATTACCAAGTACAAAAATAAGACCTAGTCAGGTTAAATACCTTGCCCAGCTTGTATGTATTAGATTAGAACACTCGGTCTTTTTCGTACCATATTATAGTGGCTCTAATGTAAGTTATTATAAATATGTGTGTATGTGAATATATGTATACAAATAATCCAATCAACCTTGGATTAACTAGTTGGTTAAATTTGTTTCTCACAGGAGATACAGGCAAACAATTCTGAAATTGCTTTATATGTGTATGGGGATAAATAAATAAGTAAATGGACACTGGATGGTAGGAGCCGGGTTTCTCATATGAGAGAGAAGTTACAGATACGCAAGAAAGGAAGGCTAAAATGAACCCTGTGGTATCGAAGAGTCGGAGATATCAGTATAAACTCACAATCAGCTTAGTATGTGTACAGTGATGAACAGACACAGAAACAACTGTAGATATGTACATACACATGAATTAGTAGCATATATACACATATTATCTATTGCTAGTCACCAGAGGGCCTAGAAACGGTAACACCTCAGTAGTAACAAATAAACCCAGTGACCAGATATAGATTTCTAAATAACCACTCTCCAATAAAAGGAATCAGGAACCACAGCTTCTTGGAAAAATGACTAACTATAGGGCTCGGCAGGGAAAATACAAGATGAACCTGGAGCATACTGCAGTATGAGAAGGTCAGGAAGTACAGTAAAAACAAAAAGCTAAAGAAAAGACAAGCCACAGATGGAAGAAAATATTTGCAAAACACATATCTGATAAAGGATTTGCATCTAAATTATGCAAAGAACTCTTAAAATTCAACAATAAGAAAACAAACGACCATATTTAAAACAGGCAAAAGATCTGACAGACACCTCACCAAAGATAACACAGATGGCAAATAAGCAAGTGAAAAGATATTCAACATCATATGTTATTAGGGAACTATAAAATAAAATTATGAGATACTGCCACACACCTAGTATAATGGATAAAATCCCAAACACTGAGAACACCATATGCCGATGAAGCTGTGAAGCAACAGAAACTCTCATCCACTGATGGTGGGAATGCAAAAATGGTACAGCCCACTTTGGAAGACAGTTTGGCAGCTTCTTACAAAGCTTAACAGATGATCAATCAAATGCAGTCCATTATCCAAATGAGTTGAAAACTTCCATGCACATGTGCAAATGTTTACAGCTGCTTCATTTGTAACCGCCAAAACTTGGAACCAACCAAAATATTCTTCAATAAGTGAATGGATAAACTGTCAGTACATCCATACAATAGAATATTATTCGACGACAAAACGAAATGAGGTATCAAGTCACAAAGACACAGAGGAGCCTTAAATGCATATTGCTAAGTCGAAGAAACCAGTATAGTATGAAAGGCTATATATTGCATCATTCCAACTATATGAGATTTCAGAAAACGCAAAACTATATATAGAAACAGTAAAAAGGTCAGTGGTCACCAGGGAAGACAGTGGGGAAGGAAGGGGAAGAAGAGAAGAACAGGTGGAGCACAAGGAATTTGGGGGACAGTGAAACTATACTGTATGATAACACAAAGAGTGACCCCTAATGTAAACTATGGATCTTAGTTAACAATAATTTATCAATATGTTTTCATCAATTGTAACAAATGTACCACACTAATGCCAGATGTTAATAAGAGAAGAAACAGTGTGGGAGAGAGTGGAAAGGGAGTGAGAGCTTGCTGTTCTTTCTGCTCAATTTTTCCGTACTACTAAAACTACTATAAAAAAATAAAGTTGCTGGCCGTGCACGGTGGCTCATGCCTGTAATCCCAGCACTTGGGGAGGCCAAGGCGGGCAGATCACCTGAGGTCTGTAGTTCGACACCAGCCTGGACAACATGACAAAACTCCGTCTCTACTAAAAATAAAAAAAATGAGCCAGACATGGTGGCGGGTACCTGTAGTTCCAGGTACTCGGGAGGCTGAGGCAAAGAATTGCTTGAACCCAGAAGGCGGAGTTTGCAGTGAGCCGAGATCACACCACTGCACTCCAGCCTAGGCGACAGAGGGAGACTCTGTCTCAAAAAATAATAATAATAGTTGCCAGGCACAGTGGCTCACGCCTGTAATCCCAGCACTTTGGGAGGCTGAGGTGAGGGGATCACTTGAGTCCAGGAGTTCAAGACCAGCATGGGCAACATGACAAACTCCCATCTATACAAAAAAATTTTTAAATTAGCTGGGTTTGGTGGCACATGCCTGTAATCCCAACTATTTGGGAGGCTGAGGTAGAGAACTGCTTGAGCCCAGGAGGTCAAGGGTGCAGTAAGCCACAATCACACTACTGCATTTCTAGACTGGGAGAAGGAAAAAAAAAAAAAGGAGTAAATCTCAAAGAGCTCCCAATGGTCAAAGCAGAATTATTTGAGCAACAAAATAAATAATGTAGTACTAGATTATAACAGACATACAGCACCTAGACCCTGTCATACCTAGACAAAAGCAATCTACAGATCACTGTATGCTCAAATCTAACTCTGAGGGATGCTGCTGCTTCATCTCTGTACTATGCTATCCATGTTTCCCTCATTAACTACTGTATCCATAAATCCCTCCTTCCTCTTTCTTCTCCAGTGCCCATACTACAAGCACTATGCAAGGCTCTCTGCTAAACAATCTCTACCCAAAGTCCCTAGGAGAACTCATTTATTTTCAAGGCCTCAACTTAGCTAATAACCCTCAAAATAATATCAACCACTATCACCTGCACCATGCATGTTCAGCATCTATGATCACTTCTACTTGTATGTTCCATATCACCTCAAATTCAACATGGCCCAAATTAAACTCATTTTATCAACCCATACCAACATTCCCTATAAGTAGTTTCACCATCTCGACTTCAGCTTCCATCAATATCACCACATGCAAGTCCCAAAACGGCAGATATCCTCCTTATATTTCTAATTTATCACTTTCTCTCATACTGACCCTTCACCTCACTATTCCACTTCCACCACCTTAATTTATGCTCTTATTACTAACCTCCTGAATAGCTTCCTGCCTGCCTATGCTCCCAGACTAAACTCTGCCTAATTCATCCTAAATATATCAACGGTTTTCATATAGCTAGCCCTCAGTTATTGATCACTATAATGACTGTTGATGACTTTGGCAGACATTATTGTTTATCCCATATCCATTTCCTTTTCTTTGTTGATTGAGCCCCAATTTTGTTTCGGTACTCTCTATTTTCCCAAGTAAATCAGAGAATTGAGTTCTAGGCTGAATCTTGATTGGCCTTACCCAATCATTGCAGTTGCATCCCCCAAGATTTAAGCCTAAGCATGTGACTCAGTTTCTGTCATGAAATATAAGTGGGAGACCATTAGAAGACTTCTGGAAAGGTGCTCCCATGAAGGTGACACCAGAAAACATGGCACTTTCTCACTCTGGTTGTTGTCATGCCTCAATAAAATCCCTGGAATTCCTGTAGCCAAGCTGATGACAAAGCTAGCAAACACAGGGAGAAGGGCAGGGCCAGCGTACCGAAATAAGTCGAAATGAAGCCCAGCATACGGCCCCTGAGGAGGCCTGACCTATATGACATGAGTAAATCTCAGAAGCATTACACTCAGTGAAAGTACATACTATAATGACTCCATTTATATATTGCATCTATATAAAGTTCTAAAACAGAAAAAATTAATTTACGGTCATAGAAATCACATTAGCAGCAGCCTGGAGCCAGGATTAAGGAAGGAGAGGATTCAGTTGAAAGAAGCAAGAAAGAAATTATTTTAGAGTGATGAAAATGTTCTTTATCGTGACTGGGGTGGTGGTTACATTTGTCAAAATTCACCCAACTGTACTCCTAAAATGAATGCATTTTATTCTATATAAGTTATAACTCAATAATGCTGATTCTTTAAGAAAGACATCTGATACCATAGAGGGTAGAAGAAGGGAAAAAATGAAAGACAATTAGTATCATTGTCCCCAGATGGTGAGGTACGATGAAGAAAAATAAAGCCAACAAGGGGCAAATAAGTGTGGGTGCTGGTTAGGTGTATACTTTTAAATAGGATGGTCATGAAAGGCCTCATTGCCTCTTTAGAAACAACCTGTAGGAAGAGAAAGGGTAAGCCATGGAGACACCTGGAAGAAGGCTTCAGGCAGAGAAACTGGCAAGTGCAAAAGACTTTGTCTTTTTCACTGATGAAATGGGAGGCCATTTGACTACAGTGATCTTGACTTACATTTTCAAAGGATTACTCTGGCTGATCAGTTTAAAACAGACTATAAAGGGTTAAGGACAGAAGCAAGGAGCCTAGTTAGGAAGCAACTGCCATAAACCAATGGTAAATTAGACCAGGGTGGTGGTAAGTAGAAGTCTTCAGATTCTGAACAAAATTTAAAGATAGAGTCAACAGTATTTGCTAATGAGCTGAATATAAGATTGAAAGAGAGGGGCCAAGGGTGACTCCAAGATTTGGAAGAATTTGAAGTGTGGAAAAGCCACTTAGTAATACTGAGAGAGGAGATGGTTTGTTTATAAACAGCAAAAATTTTATCTTGGCCAAGCTAATTCTGAGATGCCTATTAGACCATCACATGAAGATGTAAAGTAGGCAGCTGAATATACAAGTCTGGAGTTCAGAGAAGGGGTCTAAGTTAAAGATAAAAAATCTGGGAGTTGTCAGTATATAAAAATGCATTTAGAGATACTCCTGGATGAGATTATTAAGAGACTGAGTACATATAGACAAAAAAAAAGAAAAAAAAAATCCAAGGGCTAAGGACAAAGTAAATTTAATATTTACAAATGCAAAAGAAATGAAGACAGTAAAGGAAGCTGAAAAGGAATGGACAGTGAGGTGGGAGGAATATCAAGAAGTGGTGTCCTGCAAGCCAAGGTAAGAACGTGCTTCAAGGAAGAAAGGTCAACAGGACCAAATGGTACTGATAGGTCAAATAAGATGAGGACTGAGAACTCACTGGAATTACTGGAGAATCACTGTCCCTTCCAGAACCCAATCCCATACAAGCGTTCCTTGTTCTAGTAGAGTAACACACACTGCTATGTTCAATTTTTACTAATTAAAAATTACTGCCTATTTTTAAATCAAAACTATTACTCCTGAAATGGAAGCAGTAGTATGTTAATCTATTTTAAACATGATGTTTATTTCGGGTTACTATTTGGTATTCTAAGTATTCTGGTAAGTAAGCACCTCTGATGTTTACCACTTTTACTCTGGCTTCATCAAACCCCAAACATTCCACGTATAGGCAGTGAGTTATTCCATAACTTTTTCCAAGATATGATCTTTATTTTACTAGTAAGTTAAAATATAGCAATAGATAAAATATTTTAAAATTACTATCCAATGAGTATTAGAAGACAGACAGAGAGCAGAGTACTCCTTGTACAAAAGCAGAATGTCATAGAGAAATATAAATATACTTTGGCACAAATGCCAAAGTCTCAGTCAGACACACACATACAGGATGCATATTGTGATCCAAATCTTTTTACTCTGAGCCAGTGTAAAGGTTGGGCTTAGGGCAGTCATGCTCTTATCTATTTAAAGATACATTTTTGATACTAGACTCCTGTTGCTGTACCAATTTTGGTATCAGAATACTTCAAGTCCTCTTCAAAGTGAAAAGCATAGTAGCTTCCAAGTAATGTAGTTCATTTCAAGACAACTGATCTACTGCAAAACAAGAGTTGGTAATAAGAGTTCCTGGCCAGGACAATGAAGTAACATTCTCCCAGACAGGTCCATTTGAACTTAAATTATATAAATGAAATAAGGATACACTCTTCACAAAAGCATGGGCACTAATGGTACATGTAACACACTAGTAATCCTAAGTATTTCATCAGAGTAAAGTATATTTGCAGTTAACAGCAATTTCTGATATTATAAATAAAAAAGAATGACAAAAGGCATTACCAAGTGCGTGTTCATATATATGAACTGACTCACCTTCTAAGTCAATATTTTTCTGAGCTCCTTCTTGGATATTTCATTAAGCAGATTATGTTCCTTGACATGAACATTTCAGTCCTCTCTCTCAGATTAGATAGTAAGTTATTCCTAACTTTGCACTATGAGATAAGTGGCAGCTAAAATCAGAAAATTCTTGGTATGGCTTAAAATTGACTGTTTTCAGAGAAATTCAGCTAATTAAGTCAGTTACAGCACACAATTCCTCAGTGACAAAGTTAACAGTTCAAGACTGCTGCTACCTTAATATTTTTACATAGGAACAGCAAGCAAATGGTACTTTTCACCTTTCGCTCAGTTGCTTATCATTGACTGGAAAACACTGTAGTATCCCGCAAATGACTGCTACTTTTCATACAACAAAGGCTGATTTTGTTTAATCCTTTGTCAGTTAAAAAAAAAAAAAAAGGCCAGGTCTTTTGATGTCAGGAAATGCAGAAGCAAGCAAAGTCCACCAAGTAGCTAAATGAATCAATTACATTTATGTTTTTAAAACAGGTCCAAAGCCTAAAATAAGTAACCCCATAGCAAGTTTATTTTAGTATGTTTGTACTCTCCAAGATAACAGACTTTTCCCTTTTTTAACAATAGACATCTAATTAGCATAACATTTTCAAAATTAATTTCCTGTGTTTTGGTGAGAATCTTTAGACTGGGGCATATGGGAGGGGAAGCAGGGAAATAATTATTAAAAAGTACTCGTCTGCAGAAGAAACAGGACTATGTAATTCTTACGCAAATGTTTGTTAACTCCCTCTGGCACAAAAACAGTGATGTCATTCTAGACAGCAGTAGAGCAGAGTTATAATGAACATCAAGTTTTTAAATCACTGACAACTTAAGGAAATTAAGAATATGACTTAAAAATCTCCTCTCCCCAGAGTACTAAATCTGTGCAAGAGGAATGTGTGCCCATCTGGGGTTATATACATATTCAGCGTCAACAAAACTTAAGTCATTTTTCCCTGCACAACAGGAAAAGATGTTGTTGTTTTCCCTTAGAACTCTGGGCAATGAAAGCCATGACTTTAAATGGCTCTGTATAAAAACACAAGAAGGGTGGGTCATGTTCTATTAGTAAAAGCAGCTGAACACCAAGAACTTCTCTTTCTTCAAGTAAAATCTAAAAAGTAATCTCATCTTACTTTTGACAACTATCTTTGCTTCACTTTCTCTAAAATACAGATTAATACCTTTAAAGAGGGTATAAAATGAATTTATAAATTGGCATTTGCAATGTGACTCTCACACCAAAAGTAATCTCACACATTATTTTTTCCCCTGTAGTATGCACTAAATAAAATATCCAAATTTGATTCTGCTGAGAGCAACAATATAAACTATTTTCACTGTAATATCAACAGTATTTATCAACAATATCAATAATATTTACTATACTAAGATTTTTTAAATTTCATTTCCTAATCTCTTAGCAATAAAATATAGTATGACCATTTCTTCAGTTTTAAAATTACCTGAAATTGACTGGAAGACCAACTCTATAGCTACATGAAATTGTAAAAGGGCTGCAAAACTTGAAGCAGTATGAGCATACCCCTTTCTATTAACATTTAACATAACTAAGGGAAGCTGCATATATTTCATCCCACCTTTACTAAATGCCACGATTCAAATTATAGGTCAACATCCAAACTAAGAAATACAATCACAACAAAACCAACATAACATTCTAAACAAAGGGCAGTTCAGCCAAGCTGTCATAAAGAGTTCAGATTTCTACAACCTAAACAGTTGAAAAACTGCTTAACTATTTAGATTTTTTTTAATTGTTACCTATCAGGAATACACCTACTGTTTCACTTTCTACTTATGCCACATTTATCTTAAGTTTTACACTTCTGGATCTTTCAACCGTTAGAGATCAACCATTAAATTACTTCAACAAGTAGAAATAGTAACACCGCTCCCAAACAGCAATTTTTGCATTGCTAGACACTTATCTAGTTGGCAGATTTATACCATTGTTCATTCTTAGTTCCTTAAATGTAAAAAATACCCACAGAATGGTAGCATACCTCTAAATTAGTTTAAATATGGTACAAAGTTATTTTTAGTTAGGTTCAAGTTTTAAAAAGGCACTAATTGTTCTTTTTAAAGGCTAATCTACTCAAGTTCCTCATATTAAAAAAAAAGTTAATTTGTCTCTTTTGGAAAAAAGAAATGTTATTTATGTAATGCTCAAGCAAAAAGGGTGTTCAAATAATAGATCTGACATCAAATCAGGGTTAGGATCATACTTATTGTTCATAAAAGTAAGTTTGACATTTATTCTAATGATGGTCCTTTCAAACACTAGTATGGTTAAATGTCATTTATATGCACTTTCAAATATAATTCTTATTTTAAAAATACTCCTATCCTCTACTATGCAAAGTAGAAAAGGAAGAAAACCCCCACAAGCAATTATAAACATTTTTATCCATGAAAAAATATATACAAGAAATATTCACATAACATTTAAGATTTGTCTATTCCCTCCTTGCATGCTAGAAAGATGCAAAGACAAACACTTCCAAATACTCAGACAGATCATTCCCCAGTTGTAACTTTCATCATAGTTCTCAAAGCAGTATGGTGAGGTCAGCTCACAAACAGCTTAAGTAGCAAAACTAGAAATTGGTGGTAGTAGTATCAGGCTACATAACAGCCTCTCTAAAGAAGATGAAGTAAGAGAACTAAAATGTGCTGGCAACACGCCAAAAGACTGGATGGAATATAGCTTTGAGCAACAAATACTCAGAGCTTACAGTATATAGCAATTCATCATCTCTTATCCTGTAGCTTGACTTTCCTTGTTTTAAACCAAAAATAGCCATGTATAAGAGGTATTTAACACTACAAAATGTGTCCATACTTATGAAATGAAAGATATCTGGGTCTGCAATGATTTGTTTAACTAAATACATACCCTAAAAAAAAAAAATCTGACTTACATTCTGTGTGAAGATGAGGAAGGTAAAATGGATAAAAATACATTGATATTATTATGCATAAAATAGCCTTTATTCTCTAAGGATTATACTACCCTCAAGCATAATCTTTAAGGTTTGGGTTTTCTATATTTTTAGTTCTGAGTGTCTCTTCAACTGGCTGGTATTTAGAATTAGACAACCTTCTCAATATATTTAATGAAGAATTAATCCTGTCAGATCAGAGGACGTGATTTTGGTCAGATATAATTTTTTTGACCTTAGTCAAAATATATGTTACTTTTATAATTTCATCTTACATGGATCATATATTAAAATAGGATAATAAACTCATTCTTAAGTCTCTAACACTTTCTAAAATACTTTTTTTTCTAAGAAACCAAAAGAAAAAAGTTATTTTAGGCCAGAAAAAAGAATCAGATTCAATTCAAATCAATACACATTTAATAGCTATTTTGTGCCAGACATTATACTGAGAATGAGGAAACAAAGATAATATATATACATGGTCTCCCAGAGCTGACAATCTGGCTGGGAAGACCGACCCATTTAAACACACCTACACACTCAATGTGCTTTACTAGCTGTAGGAACAAAAGCCCTACTATCGCCAAGGAAAGAGTGAATGAGTCTGCCCCAGGGGCTGAAAAAATCTTCAGAGGCAAAGTAAGAGTAGAGCTATGTCTTGAAGGATAAGAATTTCACAAGGAAAAGAGGAATATTGCCAGCCAAGGACAATGTTATTCGCCAAAGACTGAGCAAAAGCAAAAAAGCACAAAAACATAACATGTGTGAGGAAACCTATGTGGCAAGGGTAGGATAACAATTTCTAGTACATGTGCTACTACTCTTCTACCCTCACTGTGTAACAGACATCACTAATCAATTAAAGCATGTTTAAAACCCATTTGACATCTCAAAATTCTTCTCAACATATAACACAAACTAGTAGAAGGAGGTAGGTCCATGAGATGAAATATACATGCTATCCTAACCCTGGAAAAAGAAAGTGGTGGGACTTGAGGCAAAGGGTAAATTAAGAACAGATTATGAATAACCATGAATGCAAGGCCAACAAGTTTAGATTTTATCCTGTGGACAACAGAGGATGAACAAAGGACTTTAGGAAGAATATTGATGTGATTAATTCTGAAAGATATGTGAAGAATGGATTTGGACAGACAGAATGAAGGCAGGAAGAAAGAACAGTTAAGATGCTATCATAAAAGTCCAGGCAAGAAGCAATGAGACCTGAATTTCAGCAATGGGAAAATCTACTGCATGTTCTAAAAGAAAAATGAAGTTTTGGATTTTATTATAACCATTTTATTACGGTTTTAAAATGAAAATTTGGGAAAAAGTAATATTCTAGTCAGAATTCCCAAATAACACTCAAAATGGAAAAGAAAAAACAAAGTAAGGTAAAGACTAGAATTAAAGAAGTGAATCACAATGATACCCAAAATTACTCGACTATAAATTCAGAAATAGATATCTCAGGTTTAGCATCAAGAAAGAGAACATCCTCATGACCAGACTAATACTCAGCAAGTCTTTTCTTCCTCTCAGGGCACTAATACGCTAGCCAAACAACAAACGCTATTCACCTTACATGCCCCTACAATACAGGGTCAAACTCATACTCCCGGTGAGATGCAGACAGCACTAAAGTCAAATTTAAAACAGAAGTCTGAAATCATGTAGAAGCTCAACTTTATCCAAACATTTAAAACTCCACACTTCTTTTAAGAAACGTAATTTATATGAAATAAACCTTCTGGAAATAATACCATTCTACTATTTATTAATTCATATCCTAGCCTTTAAACTCCAAAATTCTTGGTATGGAAAACAACTTATCTGTAGCACTTTGGAAAATATGTACAAAAAACAACTCTCCTAACACTTCTGCAGAACGTTTAATAAATGAAACTATTCTAATTAAAAATTAAAACTTCACTGTAGCTCAAAAGCCCAAAGGGAGTAAAACGTTTTTTCTATTTTGAAAAAGGAATTCTTTAGCTATTGCAAACAAAGGCTAGCGCAGTGATGTGAAATCCAAGTACAACATGTTAATAAAGCTGGCATTACTGTTTTAAGACCTAAGGATATTCACATTAAGGATAAAATTATCCTGTAGTGAATGCCAACAATGCATTTCATACTACACAGACACATATTCAAGGGTTCTACTTTGTTCCAATTCTTTTGTGTCCCAGTAACAAACTCTCAAATTGGGATCCTTATCCTCTTAAACTAAAATGAAATATATGAGCTTGGACATAAAATTTACTTGTGCTACATTATTCATTCTGAGAAAGCAAATCAGATGAACAATTTAACATAATCTAATTCTGAACCATAAAGATATGGATTAGTCAGTGATGAGCAGGTCTACTTCTCATGATGTCATTCCAAAGTCATTATTAAATTTTACACATGTTATTCTTTCTTCAAATCAATCACAAAACAAGTCATCCCGAGACTGAGGTCAAATTCCATTCTAACTAAAAGATCTCCAAATCTGAAGTAATGGTCTACTTACTAAGTAATACTCAAAGACCAAATTCCAGAAAAACCCTCCTCCTGTACCTCCCCCCAACTTAAAAAAAAAAAAAATCAGTCTTCTCCTTTTAGCTCACTGTAATGGAATGTGACCTGTACTTAAGGGCTTTTCCATTCCTTTTTTTCTGCTTACAGAATATGAAGCAGACCTATTCTCTCTCACAAGGGCAATATGCTTTTAAAAGAAAAAAAAGTGAAATGTACGAAGTTAATAATGTATTAATTAGAACAAACAAAAGTAAAATAATTTACTAGATTTCTCACATGTGAGTTGTCCTCCTATTAGAACAATGCATGACACTTAGAATGAGTGTATTTTTTACTTTTTTTTTTTTTGAGGCAGAGTTTCACTCTTGTTGCCCAGGCTGGAGTGTAATGGCGCAATCTCGGCTCACTGCAACCTCCACCTCCTGGGTTCGAGCAGTTCTCCTGCCTCAGTCTCGTAACTGGGATTACAGGTGTGCGCCACCATGCCTCGCTAATTTTTGTATTTTTAGTAGAGATGGGGTTTCACCATGTTGGCCAGGCTGGTCTCAAACCCCTAACCTCAGGGGATCCACCCACCTTGGCCTCCTGCAGTGCTGAGATTACAGGCATGAGCCACTATGCCTGGCCAGAATGAGTGTATTTAAATGACAATTGAATTTTTATTTTTATTTTACAACACTGATCAGACATCTGAAAGATTTATGATTTGTATCACTCCTAATAAATTAAGCAGGGAAGAGGAGGTTAAAACTGCACCTACTTAAATAAATCTTCTTCACATACAATATAATATTGCTATAAACATTTTCCATGACAAATCATTTTTATTACTGAACTTACACTTAAGTACCTAATCATAGACAGAACAGGAAAGTAAGCACTTAAGAAATGTACTTTGAGGCCAGGGGCGGTGGCTCACGCCTGTAATCCCAGCACTGTGGGAGGCCAAGGCGGGCGGATCAAGAGGAGAGATTGAGACCATCCTGGCCAACACGGTAAAACCCCATTTCTACTAAAAATACAAAAATTAGCCGGGCATGGTAGCATGCGCCTGTAGTCCCAGCTACTCAGGAGGCTGAGGCAGAATTGTTTGAACCCAAGAGGCGGAGGTTGCAGTGAGCCAGAATCACACCACTGCACTCTAGCCTGGCAACAGAGCGAGACTCTGTCTCAAAAAAAAAAAAAAAATGTACTTTAAAGTCTAAACTTAAACACTTTAATTAATCTACCTGAAGTTCAGCTCCTCATTTTAAAAAAAGAAAGCATTTAATTAGATAATCTTTAAAGTTATTTCTAAGATACTTTAACCTGCCGGGTGTGGTGACTCATATCTGTAATCCAGCACTTTGGGAGGCTGAGGTGGGCGGATCAGGAGGTCAGGAGTTCCAGACCATCCTGGCAAATATGGTAAAACCCCGTCTCTACTAAAAACACAAAAATTAGCAGGGCGTGGTGGCAAGCGCCCGTAATCCCAGTCACTCAGGAGGCTGAAGCAGGGGAATCGCTTGAACCCAGGAGACGGAGATTGCAGTGAGCCAAGATCGGGCCATTGCACTCCAGCCTGGGCGATATAGCGAAAACTCCGTCTCAAAAAGAAAAAGATACTTACTTTAAACCAAAGTTTCTTTTGTTTTGAGACAGAGTCTAGCTCTGCTGCCCAGGCTGGAGTGCAGTGGCATGATTTCGGCTCACTGCAACCTCCACCTCCGGGGTTCAAGCGACTCTCCTGCCTCAGCCTCCCAAGTAGCCAAGACTACAGGCAAGTGCCACCATGCTCAGCTAATCTTTGTATTTGTGGTAGATACAGGGTTCCACCATACTGGCCAACAGGCTGCCCTCAAGTGATCCACTCGCCTCGACCTCCCAAAGTGCCAGGATTACAGGCATGAGCCACCACTCCTGGCCTAACCCAAGTTTTAAGATGAACAAATTCTATTTAACTCGGACAAAAGCACTCCCAAAATAACTCCATTAAGGACACATTTTACTTACATTCTTCCTACACCTTCATACATGTTAGTCTCATCTACCAAAGTCATGATCTCTGTATCTGTAAGATGTGCATGCTTTTTCGTTCTGTTTAGCTGTTCAATCTGTATGTCTGCGAGCTTCACCTTCTGTTGAGTGTCAATAACTTTGGCTTGAAGCTCTGTGAAGGCCTAATAAAAACAAGTCCATGATTTAGTAGGTAAAACATTTTACAGGAAACATTTACCTCAAATCCAAATATATTAAAACAAAATATGCTAGCCAGAGACAAAGCTGTGAAATTTACCAAACATCAATAAAAGTCAACATAACTGTAAACAATCAAGTCACCATACTAAATACTGAATTTACAATCATCAGAAGATACAATCAGTGTGAAGCAAATCAAATGCATATTAAGTAATAACCATATTAAGTAGCAAGTACTCAAGGAGTAGTAAAAGAAATAAATGCAATAGTCAAGGATGAAATCCAGAGATTCAAAACAAGAACCATAAAAGTAATAACTCACTACATTTGTATTGCACAATTAGGTTTCAAAGCACTTTCTCACATTAGTTTGAAATATTAACATGGGAATATTAATATAAGAATATTAATGAGGAAATATAATAAATATCTCATTTATGCCTCTCAGTAATTCCATGAGTTAGCATTGGCAGTCTCATCATCCACAATTTACAAATTAAGTAACCAAATGAGTTAAGAGATAAAAGTGGCTTGCACAAGGTTGAACAACTACTGGGGGGAAGGCAGGTGTTATTTAAATCCATTTCTTCTAACCCCTTAGTTCAGCAATCTTTCCATTCCACTGTCTATAGTAATATTCATAATATGAACATTTTTAAGAGGAAGACCAAGAAAGAGAGTGAGAAAAAATGCAAAGCACTGGCAAAAGAATTGCATCATGATCTTCATCCACAGATACCAGGCCAAATTTGACCCTTGCGTACACTTACTTAACTGGAAGATAAACAGTTCTTGGATACTTTTGTTGAAGTGCCTGGAATGACTTTCACATGCTGTTAAATTTGTGCCTTAATAACATCTGTGACTGCAATGCACAGCAAAGGCTACTACATAATTTTTATTGTGACCTTGTTTTCACCTACTAGTAAGGTTTTGAAAGATTTACTTTGGGGAAGGGGAGGGGCCTGAAATTTCCTATTTGTCTCCACCCAAAAAAAGGACCCTGTAAAAACATTAGAAGATAAAACCTTTAAACAAGTTTTTTAATTAATTGGTTATCAAAATTATTCATTTTAAGTTTGTAATCATTTTCTTAGTTTGCATTCACCGCCCGCAAGTTTCAAATGTAGCAATAAATTCAAAAGTACCGGGAGGCAAATCCATTCACTAAACCCTGATTTAAATCGGTACTTTTAACAGAAGAAAAGGTAAATTTTTAGAATGCACAATTTTGTTTTGAAATGTAAAATTCCAGGTATCATCTGACTGCTCTATACAGCTTGCTAAGGAAGCTAGTATACCATTAAAGATGAGCTAGTATACTGTTAAAGATTAGAGACTCCACCTAAGAGCTAAATTTACAAGATTCAAGACAAGAAGAACAAAAGCAAGACACAAACACATAATATCCTCACAACACTAACAAAAGCTTCATTTGTTAGAAGCAACAGCTATTTCGGCTGTCCTATTTCTTTTACACAAGTTGACCACAGGCAGTCTTAACTAAGATGTTGCTCATCTGAAGAACTCAAAATAGTGGTCAAAAAAGTGTGAGATAAGGCAGAGAATACTGGATTCTAGTCCCAACTTCTGACAGACTTTTCTGGCACTGGTTCCTTTTCCAGAAAAGTAGATTTAAAATAGATAAATTCTAGGGTCCTTTCCAATCCACCCCACCGCACAAAGCATACTGGTTTGGGGTCATTAGTGGTGTTAGAATGCTGATCATTCTTAGATAGCAAAAATCTGAATAACAACACATTTATAAGCAACTGAGGAAAACAGGAAACCCAATTCCTTCCGATACCGGTTTTATTTGGAAAACTTTACTGGTTTTGTTTTGTTTTTGACAATTCCTTCAAAAGAAGGAGGTTTTGTTTTGTTTTGTTTGACGAGTCCTTCAAAAGAAGTGGAGGGGGGGCAAAATCCTGAAATGAACATTGCTGCTACAATGCTTGGTTTTCCGAACTGTAGATATTGCAACTTTCAAGGTACAGAACCGAATAAATGGCCTAAAAACAAAGGTTGGACTTGGAGTTTTTCAAAGCAAATGAGGCAGAATTACGGATGCCACAGCTCAGGCAAGGGGTCCGAAGGGACCCCCATTTGAAATGCTCTCTTTAGTTCTTACTATGAAAGTGAGTCCCTGAAGCCTCCAAACGCAACGAAATGTCTCTGGAGCTCAGAAAGACTGGACAAGCCCGAGACAGGCCCGCAGACTTACCCGACCCAGACCAACCGGCTCCTACCCAGCAAGAGCCGCTCGCCCCCCACCCCGTTTATGGAGACCCAGTGAGGCCTTAGGACTCTGGGAAACCATTCCCTAGTCCACTGGACCCTCCTTCCTTCTGCAAGGCTCGTGCCTCACTTGATATTCTTGTCTATAGTCCCCTCAGCCTCCAAAAAGAAGACCTCCGCCTGCCAAAGACCCTCTTTTACCTTCTTCAGCTCTAGATCCACGGGGGCGGCCATCTTGGTGCACTGTAAGCGCCTGCGCAGTGGGAGTTGGACTGAAATAGGGTGGGGAAGGGCGCGTCTTACTTTGTGCGCCGGTCTTTCTTCTGCGCCTGCGCATGAGTTGGACTAACCGGGCTTCTTATCTTTCTCTGAGAATTGACTCCTGAAATATTTGGGTTTCGGATTCCGTGTCTTCACTACCTGACCGGTCAGGTCTGGCTTGCTCCTCCGTATCTTCCAGACATAGCCCAACGCGCAGATTTCCCATGTGGCTTTAAGCAGTTTGCCAGCTAGCTTAATATGTGCTGCTAAATTGAGATGTATGTAGATGAGGTCAAACCCTCATCAGTCGATCAGTCCTTCAGCTAGTCGCTGTGCTCTCAGGAATGAGTAAGAGTAAGTCCAGAACCTCAGGCATGACAGTTTGGGAAAGACTATTGGAAAGCTTGTCTGGAGTGTTCTTTCCAAAACGAACTTATTACTTCCAAAAGCTTCCCAAAGACATTCTAGGCACAGTGGTTCTCAAGAGAGGCTGAATACGTTTGTTTAAAAACAAAAAAATGCAGGTTCTCTGGGTCTCATCTCAAACGTACTCAGAATCTTTGAGAATGGGGTCTGGAAATTTGCACTTTTGCAGACTACCCCAGTGACCTAATGGTGCAACTCCTCCGCGGATCACTTTTTTGAGAATCTCTGCCATAAAAGGACCTGGCATTTGAACCAGAATAGATAATAATTGACTTTTGGAAATGGAAAAAAAAGTTAACCTACTCTAAAAACTGTTATGCTAAGAGAAAGTGCTACATAAATAATTAGGAAATTTATTTTATTTTTTAAAAAAAGAAAGAAAGAGAGAAAGAAAACAAACTGTTAGGGAGATGAAAGGGCAGGGAATTTGGAACCAGCCTAATCTAGATTCAAGGCTTGGTCTGCCTTTAGCCTATGTCTGGTTCCATTTACTAATTGTGTGACTTTAAGCAAGTCACTTGGATATTTTGTGGGGTTTTTTTTTTTTTTTGTACGTTTGTTTGTTTCTTGAGACAGGATCTTGCTCTGTCACCCAGGCTCGAGTGCAATGGTGCAATCACGACTCACTCCAGCCTCTACCTCCCGCGCTCAAGCGATCCTCCCACCTCAGCCTCGTGAGTAGCGCTGGGACTACAGGCGCGCGCCACCCACACTCAGCTAATTTTTATATTTTTGTACAGACGGGTTTTCACCTTGTTGCCCAAGCTGGTCTCAAACTCCTGAGCTCAAACAATCCGCTCGCCTTGGTCGCCCAAAGTGCTGTAGTGCTTTGATATTAAAGGCTTGAGCCACCGCACCCGGCCACATTTTTTTTTTTTTTTTTTTTTTGAGCCAGGGTCTCGCTCTGTCACCCAGGCTGGAATGCAGTGGCACGATCTCGGCTCACTGCAACCTCTGCCTCCCAGGATCAAGTGATTCTCCTGCCTCAGCCTCCCGAGTAGCTGGGATTACAGGCGCCTGCCACCACGCCCGGCTAATTTTTGTAGTTTTGGTAGAGACGGGTTTCACCGTGTTGCCCAGGCTGGTCTCCAACTCCCAGCCTCAAGTGATCCGCCTGCCTCGGCCTCCCAAAGGGCTGGGATTACAGGCAAGCCACCACGTCCAGCATCTGCCACCTATTTTTAATGAGCTTCAGTCTTCTCATGTTTGAGAGTGACCATATTGACCTAACAGGGTTATTGTGAGAAATAAATGAGATCAGGATAAAAAGCTCCAAACATAGCTCCATGCACACAAGTAGATACTCAATAAATCACTGGTGTTAATCGCCGTCCTGTTTGTCTTTCAAAGTCCAGCAAATGGGCACTACATCCCCCATCACACAGAGCAAAGATAATCTCTCCTCTGAACTCCCCTCACAACATCTATTTCTCTCTCAAGGCATATAACACTGTCTACCTTTTTTTAGAAAACATTTTTCTTAGACTGTAAGCTCCTTGAAATCAAGAACTATGGAATAATGGTTCTTCCACCTCTTGTACCTAGAACACCTGTCACAGTGCATCACGGGAAAAAAATACAAAATGGATACTGGATGTGAATAAATTATTCTGGAAAAAAAAAAGAAGACTCATTCCTCCCCAATTTGAGAAAGAGTAAAAAGGATCTGATATTTTGATTCTCTGGGACCTTCTTAGATTCTCATTACAGATGATCAATAAATACTGACTGATTAGCCAGGCATGGTGGCATGCCCCTGTAGTCCCAGCTACTCAGGAGGCTGAGGCAGGAGAATTGTGTGAGGCCTGGAGGCCAAGGCTGCAGTGAGTGGGGATCAATTGTGTCATTGCACTCCAGCCTGAAAGACAGAGTGAGACCTTGTCTCAAAAAATAAAATAAAATAAAATAAAATAAAATAGTGATTGAATATTGAAATTCAAAAAAAGTCTGAAATACTGTCCTGTACATTACCTCATGAGACTTTTGAAAGAGTCCTCATAGAGATGTATGGACTGTAAAAGTTAAGAGCCTGGGCTAAGCTGTCAGACAACCTGGGTACAAATACTGATTATACTACTTAAGGGTAATATGATCTTAGGCAAGAGTCTTCTCTGCATTGTTTGTTTGGTCATTGTTTCTCTTTGTGTATTTGTATACTACTTCTTCCTCATGAGTTTAATTTCCTTTTTTTTTTTTTTTCTTTTTTGAGACATGGTCTCATTCTGTCACCCAGGCTAGAGTGCAGTGGTTCAATCTCAGCTCACTTCAGCCTCCACCTCCCGGGTTCCAGCAATTCTCCTGCCTCAGCCTCCCTAGTAGCTTGGATTACAGGTGCATGTCACCACCTGGCTACTTTTCGTATTTCTTGTAAAGATGGGGTTTCACCATGTTGGCCAGGCTGGTCTTGAACTCCTGACCCCAGGTGATCCACCTGCCTCAGCCTCTCAAAGTGCTGGGATTACAGGCATGAGCCACTGCACCCAGCCTAATTTCCTTCATGATAAAGGAAATCCTTCAGTAGGTTCTTTTAGTAAGAATGTCTGATAAGTAAATTCTCTTCATCTTTGTTTTACAGGTTGAATTGTGCCCCCCACAAAAGATATGTTGAAGTCCTAACTCCCAGTACCTCAGAATGTGACCCTATTTGAAAGTAGGGTTTTGGGACAGGCGTGGTGGCTCATACCTATAATCCTAGCAGTTTGGGAGACTGAGGCGGGAGGATTCTTTGAGCCCATGAGTTTGAGACCAGCCTGGACAATAGGGCGAGACCTCATCTCTACAAAAAATAAAAAAAATTAACCGAGTGTGGTGGCAGTTATCTATATTCCCAGTTACTTGGGAGGCTGCAATAGGTGCATTGCTTGAGCCCAGGAAATTGAGGCTCCAGTAAGCTATGATCTACCACTGCACTCCCACCTGGGTGACAGAGCAAAGCCATGTCTCAAAAAATAAAAAGAAAGGGAGAAAGGAAGGAAGGAAGGAAGGAAGGAAATGGAGTTTTTACAGAGGTAATCAAGTTAAATGAGGTTATTAGAGTGGGCCCTAATGCAATATGACTGATGTCTTTATAAAAAGGGGAACTTTGGACACATACAGACACACACACAAGGAGGACTATGTGAACAGACATAAGGAGAAAGCCACATCAAACCTGGGGCTATCAGGCCAGGCGTGGTGGCTCACGCCTGTAATCCCAGCACTTTGGGAGGCCAAGGCAGGCAGATCACCTGAGGTCGGGAGTTCAAGACCAGCCTGACCAACATGGAGAAGCCCCGTCTCTACCAAAAATACAAAATTAGCGGGGCGTAGTGGTGCATGCCTGTAATCCCAGCTACCCAGGAGGCTGAGGCAGGAGAATTGCTTGAACCTGGGCGGTGGAGGTTGCAGTGAGCCGAGATTGTGCCATTGCACTCCAGCCTGGGCAACAAGAGCAAAACTCTGTCTCAAAAAAACCATCTGGGGCTATCAGAAACTGGAAAAGGCAAGAAGGATTCTTCTCTTTCGGGTTTCAGATAAAACATGGCTTTGCCAACACCTTGATTTTGGACTTCTAGCCCCCAGAACTGAGACAATAAATTTGTGTTGTTTTAAGCCACCCAGTTTGTGGTACTTTGTTGTGGCAGCCCTAGAAAATGCTCTGTGTATATCTAAAAATGTACATCAGGCCAGGTGTGGTGGCTCATGCCTGGAATCCCAGCACTTTAGGAGGCCAAGGCAGAAGCATTGCTTGAGGCCAGGAGTTGAACAAGACCAGCCTGGACAACATAGTAAGACCCCATTGCTACAAAAATTTTTAAAAATTATCCAGGTGTGGCACACCTCTGTAGTCCCAGCTACTTGAGAGGCTGAGGCAGAGAATAGCTTGAGCCCAGGAGTTCAAGGTTGCAGTGAGCTATGATCTGCCACTGCACTCTAGCCAGGGTGACAGAGCAACACCCTGTCTCAAAAAAAATGTTTTTTGTTTTTTTTTTTTTTGAGACGGAGTCTCACTCTTTCACCCAGGCTGGACTGCAGTGGTGCTATCTCGGCTCACTGCAAGCTCCACCTCCCGGGTTCATGCCATTCTCCTGCCTCAGCCTCCCAAGTAGCTGGGACTACAGGCGCCCGCCACCGTGCCCAGCTAATTTTTTGTATTTTTAGTAGAGACGGGGTTTCACCGTGTTAGCCAAGATGGTCTCAATCTCCTGACCTCGTGATCCGCCTGCCTCGGCCTCCCAAAGTGCTGGGATTACAGGCGTGAGCCACCACGCCTGGCCAAAAAATATGTATATTTTTTTAAATAAATAAATGCATATCTAAAAGGTTCACCCTTATTTTTGAATGACAGCTTAGCTATATATAGAACTATAGGTTGACAATTATTATTGAAGGCATTTTTCCATAGTTTTCTGATTTTATATACTGATAAAAAGTCCTCTGTCAGGCTGCTTTTCATTTCTTTGTTAGAAATCTGTCTTTTCTCTGGTATATTTTAAGATTCACTTTGTCTTTGGGTTTTGCCCTTCTACTTTGATGTGTGTGTTTGTGTTTGTGTGTGTGTTTGTAGATTAAAAATATATACCTAAAAATTCACCTAAACCTTTATCTTAAAATGTATATTCTAAAAATCTTTCTTACTTGGTACATAGTATGCTTCTTCTTTTTTCTTTTTTTCTTTTTAATTTTTATAATAGAGATGGAGGGGGGTGTCTCACTCTGTTGCCCAGCTGGTCTCGAACTCCTGGCTTCAAGCAATCCACCTGCCTCATCTTCCCAAAGTGCTGGGATTATAGGCATTAGCCACCATGCCTGGACCATAGTATGCTTCTTTAATCTAAGGATTTATGTCAGTTCTAGAAAATGTTCAACCAGTATCTCATGCAACATTGGCTCTCATTTCTCCTTGTAGAACTCTCATTAGAAGTATGTGGAAGTATCCACATCTCTCAACCTCTATTTTACACTTACTATTTCCCTGTGCTAAACCTTAGGTTTCTACAACACTCTCCACCAACTTACTAATTTTCTTTTCAACTATGTCTCGTTTACCATTTAAAGCATCCATTAGTATTTTATTTCAGTAACCATAATCCTATTTTTAAAGACACGGGGTGTTGCTCTGTTGTCCAGCTTGGAGTGCAGTGTTGTGATCAATCATAGCTCACTACATAGTGAGAACACATCTCTACAGAAATAAAAATAGAAAATTGGCCAGGCGCGTTGGCTCATGCCTGTAATCCCAGCACTTTGGGAGGCCAAGGCAGGTGGATCACAAGGTCAGGAGTTCGAGACCAGCCTGACTAACATGGTGAAATCCCGTCTGTACTAAAAATACAAAAATTAGCTGGGCATGGTGGTGCACGCCTGTAATCCCAGCTACTCAGGAGGCTGAGGCAGGAGAATCACTTGAACCCGGGAGGTGGAGTTTGCAGTGAGCCGAGATTGCACCACTGCACTTTAGCCTGGGCGACAGAGTGAGACTCCATCTCAAAAATAAAATAAAATGAAATATTAGCCAGGCATGGTGGTATGCACCTAGCTACTCAAAAAGCTGAGGTATGAAAATCACTTGAGCCCAGGAGTTCAAGGTTACATTGAGCTATGATTGCACCACTATACTCTAACTTGGGCAACAGAGCAAGACTCTGTCTCCAAAATTTAAAAAAAAATAAATAAAAATAAAATGACAGGAAGAGACTGTGTTTGAAAGCTCTGAAGGGCTTGCAGTCCTTGGATACTTGCCCCAAAAATAAACATGATGTGCTTGCTTTATTATTGTGATAGAAAAAAACAAACTTCACACTCAAGTCTTCACTATTACAAGGATGTACTCCTGAAGCTCAGCCAGTCCACGGTTGTGGACTCTAAAATAGTGATCTCCCATTATCCCTCAGATCTACTTAATAATGCTCAATATATTTTTGTATTCAGTCAACAAAGATTTATCAAATATCTGCTAGGCACTGTTCTAGGCCCTTGAGATATAGCAATAATAACAGACAAACTCCCTGACCTCATGGAGCATCCATTCCATGGAGGGTAAGGTGAACAATAAACATACAAAATAAGAGCAGATATCAGTAAGTATTATTAAGGAAGAAAACAGCAACATGGTTAGAGACTGACTGGGTGGAGACCATTTAGGTGTGTGAAGTTCTCTGGGTGGCCATAACATTTGAGATGAGACCTAAAAAATGAATGAAAATGAACCAAACATGCAAAGAGCTTGGGAAAGAACATTCCAGACAAAAAGAATAAATAGCAAGAGCAAAGGGTTTAAGGTGGTCACAGACTTCACATATCTGAAGAATGAAAACGAAGAAGCCAGCATGAATTAGTAGGAAGAATGGTAGAAGATGACATTGGAGAGGTGAACCAGGGGCCAAACCGTGAAAGGCCTTGTAAGCTACAGTCAGCATTGGAATGTTATTCTGAGTGTGATTGGAAGCCACCGGAGTGATTTCAAGCAGGAGAATGATATGATCCCATTTGAAAGGGAACATTGTGGGTTCTAGGTGAGAATGGATTGGGGAGAGCAAGAGTGGAAGGAGGAGGACCAGTTAGGAGACTACTGCAGTAGTCCAAGAGAGAGACAGTGGTAGTCTGGATGAGGATGATAGCAGTGGAGACAGGGAGAAGTAGATGGATTCAGGTCAAGATTACTGAACTTGATGAAGGGATGGGTATGTGTTGAGAGGAGCAATGAAAGAAAGAAAGGCATCAAAGATGACTTCCAATTTCCAAAAAAGTATGCCGAGCAAAATAGACCAGACAAAATAGAGTAACATACTATAGTAACATACTACAGGTTATAGGAAATGCAAACAAATCCAAACAGATAAAAAATCAGTGGAAATACAAAAATTAGCCAAGTGTAATGGTGCATAACTGTGGGGCAAGCTACTTCAGAGGCCAAGGCAGCAGGATCACCTGAGCCTAAGAGGTTGAGGCTGCCATGAGCCGTGATCATGCCACTGCACTCCAGCCTGAGTGACAGAGCAAGACCCTGTCTCAAAAGAAAAGAAAAGAAAAGAAAAGAAAAGATTAGTGGTTGCCTGATAGGAGCAAGCAATGGGATCAGGGACTGGGAAGCAGAAAGAAGGAAGCAATTACAAAAGAGAATGAGGTAACTTTTATGGTGACGAATGCATTTATTATCTTGATGGCAGAGATGGTTTCCTGGGTGGGACATTATTAAATTGTACACTTTAATATATTCAGTTTACTGTATGTCAGGTATGCCTCAATAAAACTGTTTTTTCAAAAAGACTCCCAGCTTTTTGACCTGAACAAACTAGTTGAATGTTAATGTCTTTTACTGAGACAGGAAAGTTAATTTTTGTAATATAGTCTGTAAGCAGTCTCAAGGCTGCTCCACAGGAATAATAAGAATAATCCTTCCACTTGTGAATAGACTGTATAAGTGAGAATGTAGGTTCAGCTGCTATAGCAGAGATCCAAAATAGCAGTGGCTAAAATAAGATAGAAGCTTGTTTCTCTCTACTATACTCAACTAGGCATAAGCAGTCTAGGGCAAGTATGTGAGTCCCACAGTGCCAAAGTTCCCAGGCTCCTTCTATCTTATCCGTAAGATCCAAGATGACTCATCACTACCATGTTCATAGTCTAGCTGAAAAGACAGAAAAAAAGGGGGAGGCTCACACTTTCCCTTTAAAGGCATATCCCAGAAGTTGTGAGCATGGTTCTATTCACACCCCATTGACCCAAACAGAATTGTGGCCACTCCTGATTGCGAGAGATACCAGGACATTTATTATTACAGGCAACTGTGCGCCCATTTAAATATCAACAAATATCACGAAAGGGGAGTAGAGGACAGATATTCAAGGGAAATTAGCAGTTTTTGACATAAGTTTTCAGCTGACGAAGCTATTTCTCATTCATCATATCATTTCATCTTCACAACTTTGTGACATGGATAGACCCTAAGAGTTCATTCAGTTTGAGGGGAAGTTTAGAAGGGTGGTTAAGAGTATGCGCTTTAGAGTTTCAAATCCCATCTCCACCATTTACTAGCTGTGACATCCAAGGAAAACTGCTTAACTTCTCAGAGCTTCAGTCTCTTCAGTTGTAAAATGGAGGTAATAACAGTACCCGTTTCATAGGTTTTTATGAGGAATAAATGTGATAATGAATGCACAGTTCCAGGCATACAGTTGCACCTATGCTTACATTGTCTGTTATTACGTATCAAGTATTTGGGACCTACAGATAAATAAAAGAGCAATTCACAGTATAGTGGCAGGGGTGGGGGGTCACAGATAAATGAACAGAAAGTGACAAAATAATATGACAATTCTGCCACAAGGAAGACAATACCAGGAGCCAGACGAGCACAGGGGAGGGGCCTCTAACCCAGAAATCTTACAAGAAAAATAGGCGTATATGGCAAAGAAGGGAGAAAGGATATTCCTAGAAGAAGCCAAGACACCACAGCAAGTGAAAGCCTGGTGCCTTCAGCGAAACGCAAGTTGTCTGGCATTGCTGGAGCAGGGGAGCATGTTAACTAAGAGGAGAGGCAGAGTGGCAGATTAGGGTCAGTGGCAGAGGAACCTTTGCAGGTGACACACTTGCCAAGAAACTCTCAGCTACTCCTTCCTGCTGACCAAGTAAGTTCAGGGCTGGGACCTTACTAGGGAGAAAAGGAGCTTCCACCGTGCCTACCAAATGAAGCAGTCATAGGAAACACTGCAGGGAGAGGAAGTGAGTCGTTAGCAGGAACTGATGGTGGCTTTTCCCAGGCACCTTGCCACGTCTGATTCAATCTGTTTATGCAAAGTCCAAAGAAAGTGAATAGTTTTGATCAATCCTGATGATTTAAACCTGCGTAAGAGATGAAGCTGGGTAACAGAGCATAACAAAGACTGGATTATTTATCTTGTTGCTCATCAGAGAAAGTGGGGCCTGCCAGAGGTGAGAGCCAAAAGCAGAGACTCTCCCAAAAATAGGAAAAGAATAAAATTAGGAAACCAAAAGCCTAGGGGAGAATCCATGCCTCTGTCACTCCAGCTCACTAAGCTGAAAAAGTTCATGGTCCTTTAGAACAGGAAGAAGAATACAATGGGGTTGGGTTGAAATCTGGACAAACTCCACATACATTTATAAATAGGCACCAAAAAACACTGGTGCAGAGGAATGTTTTTCCATCTTTAGAGCCATACCTAGGACAAGGTGATTAAGGCTTTTCCCCAGGGCACCTACCTTAGCAGCCCCAGATGTTTTTAAATAAAGGTTTTCAAAATTGTGAGAAACTAAAAAAGTTAATATTGTTCTTTTTATAAATTAGAAGAATATGAGTAAAAGTAGCACCCAGTAAGCAAAAAAGTTACTTAAAATAGACAGCCCCAGATCACCACCTTATTGCTAAATCTCGCATGTAGCCACGGGCAACTCCAGGCCTACAGTTGACCAGTTCAACCTCCACAGTGGAAAGAGACAATGTCTTTCTCCTTTAGGGTTTCAGGAAGAGTTCCAGGATTGGATTTCCCTGGCATAGCTTGCGTCACATGCCCGTCTCCGAAATAATCACAAGGCCCAGAGGCCTGGACTGCTCTGATTCGGCAGGTGCAGGTCATATGGCCATTCCAGGAAGGTTAGGGGGTATCATCCTTATCCAAAAAGGACATAGACTGAGGGTAAGCGAAAGGTATCCTCTTGCCAAAAGAGAACAGTATAACTATCAAAGGAAGAGGTACTAGATGTCACAAAGAGAAAAAAAAAATAGATGTTCATTTTATACATTAGCTGCCAAAATTTCAACTTTTTTGAATTTGTCTTCTAATGAATAGGTCAATTCCATTTCATTGAGTACATGAACTTCATGATGGTGACCCCCTAGTCTTCCCCATATAGCAGTGGTCAGGGACCTCAAGAAGGCAACCTTGCTTTGCAATGAAATTCTTGGATCACTGGATGTGGAGTGTCCCATCAAAAAGGGCTGAACCCCAGACTTAATGTTTTTGCCTTTTCTAGATGAGAAACACTAAGGATTTTCTCTGTTTCATTCAAGACAAATTGTAGCAGTCACTGTTGAGAAGAGGTTGAAGTTATCTTTTTTTTTTTTTTGGAGACAGTGTCTCACTTTGTCATCCAGGCTGGAGTGCAGTGGTGTGAACACAGCTCACTGAAGCCTTGACCTCCTCGGCCCCAAGTAATCCTCCCCTCTCAGTCCCCCAAAAGTTGCTGGGGCTATAGGCATGCACCACTGCACCCGGCTAATTTTTGTATTTTTTTATAGAGATAGGGTTGTACCATGTTGCCAAGGCTGGAAAGTTGCCACTTCTTTTTGTCCCCTTAGCTAAGGTCAAATGCCTCTGCATGGGTTTGAGAAGATGGCGAAGCTTGGCTGACTGTGGGTAAGTAGTCTCCATGATCTCATAAGTCTTTGTGGGGTTTTTTGTTTGTTTGTTTTGAGACAGAGTCTCACTCTGTCATCCAGGCTGGAGTGCAGTGGCGTGATCTTGGCTCACTGCAACCTCTGCCTGCTGGGCTCAAACAATTCTCCTGCCTCAGCCTCCTGAGTAGCTAGTACTACAGGCACTCAGGTTTTGCCATGTTGGCCAGGCTGGTCTCGAACTCCTGACCTCAAGTGCTCCGCCCGCCTCAGCCTCCCAAAGTGCTGGGATTACAGGCATGAGCCACTGAGCCCGGCCAAGTCTTTGTGTTTCTAACCACAGTGATTAGTAGAAAATATAAGAGGTCACTAGCAGGAATACTTATTCTGGAACATCAGAATCTTAGGGCAGAAGGCCATGAAGAATCAGGGAACAAATTCTTCAAGGAACTCCATTAGTCCATATATTTGCCACACATCTCCACTGTGTTCTGCCATCTGAAGTATGGGGTCCTGTATAAAAATTCCACAAAATGGCCGGGTACAGTGGCTCACGGAGGCTGAAGCAGGAGAATGGCTTGAACCCGGGAGGCGGAGCTTGCAGTGAGCCGAGATGGCGCCACTGCACTCCAGCCTGGGCGACAGAGTGAGACTCCGTCTCAAAAAAAAAAAAAAAAAAAAATCCAGAAAATAGGCCGGGTGCGGTGGCTCACGCCTGTAATCCCATTACTTTGGGAGGCCGAGGCAGGTGGATCACGAGTTCAGGAGATCGAGACCATCCTGGCCAACATGGTGAAACCCCGTTTCTACTAAAAATACAAAAAAATTAGCCAGGTGTGGTGGGCGCGCCTGTCATCCCAGCTACTCAGGAGGCTGAGGCAGGAGAATCGCTTGAACCAGGGAGTCAGGGGTTGCAGTGAGCCAAGATGACGCCACTGCACTCCAGCCTCGGCGACAGAGCGAGACTCTGTCTCAAAAAAAAAAAAAAAAAAAAAAAAATTCTAGAAAATAATTCTAGACTCAGAGAGCTGGAATGGGTTGTTGGGTTCTTCCAGGCTATCCTCACTTTACAGAGAAAAATGAAGCTTATAAAGGAAGAAGGGCTTTGCCACGGTCACAGCAAATTGGTGTTAAGGCTAAGACTAGAACACAGGAGTCACAGATTCTCTTCCAGAGTTCCTTCCATTCTACCCTGTGGCCTCTCTTGGGTGGATTCAGCAAGACTACTGGGTCCCAAAACAGGAGACAAATTTGGAGTCAGGAGGCTCCATTTTTCTTGGGAATATGAGATTCCATTTTGTAGCCACTTATCGTTGGTTGCACTCAAATGTGTGGATCTTGAAAAGGGCTATGGGCCGGGCGCAGTGGTTCACGCCTGTAATCCCAGCACTTTGGGAGGCGGAGACGGGCAGATCACCTAAGGTCAGGAGTTTGAGACCAGCTTGACCAACATGGAGAAACCCTGTCTCCACTAAAAATACAAAATGAGCCAGACATGGTGGCGCGTGCCTGTAATCCCAGCTACTTGGGAGGCTGAGGCAGGAGAATCGCTTAAACTCAGAAGGTGGAAGTTGCAGTGAGCCGAGATCACGCCATTACACTCCAGCCTGGGTAACAAGAGCAAAACTCCGTCTCAAAAAAAAAAAAAAGAAAGAAAAGGGCCTCAACCCCTGAGCACAAAGAGAAGATGAGGTAGAAAAAGCCCCAGGACTCTGCTTCCCAGGGGCAAGACAAACTTGGTGTTCCTTCTGACTTGGCCTATCCATTGGGAATTCTAGGTACTTCGTAGATACCATAGGATGTCTATGATGTCCTTGGCAGTGTATGCTAAATGTTGTGTCTGCCAGGTATTTTTCTGGATCAGGATGAACATAATCTCCTCAGCATCTCAAAGGGGCCCCAAACTCTCAATAGGTTAAGAACCACTACTCTAGGCTGGGCACAGAGGCTGAGGTGGGAGGATCACTTGAGTCCAGGAGTTCAAGACCAGCCTGGGCAACATGGCAAAACCCTGCCTCTAAAAAATTTTTAAATTAGCCAGGCATAGTGGTGCGGGGCCTGTAGTCCCAGCTATTCAGAAGGCTGAGGTGGGAGAATCACCTGAGCCCAGGAGGTTGAGGCCGCAGTGAGCCATGATTATGCCACTGCATTCCAGCCTGGGCGACAGAGTAAGACCCTGTCCTCACCCCCCACCAAAAACAAAAACTAAACCAAAAAACCCCCAAGAAACACTAATCTAAAGTGACACTTCCAAACTTGGCTTATTATTAAAATTACCAGAAGAGATTTAAAAGCACTGATACCTGGGCCCTTCCTACTGGAGAGGTGGATTCAGTGGATATGTGTTGGGGCCCAGAGAATCTGCACTTTTTAGAAGCTCGCCAAGCTTAGAAACTGCAGCTCTAGAAGAAAATATTAATGAAATTAATTAATGAAAATATTAATGAAGTTAATATTAATTAATTTTCTTTATTATTTTCCCTAGAAGGGAGAAGAAAAAATTACCTCAGCACTTGGCACTTTAAAGCCATTCTGATGTAAACACTTCAGGTGTTTATGGTAAAGATAAAATTAGAATTCCTGGTAAAGAGAGGGCGCTGAAACCCAACAAGCCATAAATAAAACAATAGAATTCAGAAGGCCATGGTTCTGTTATACTGTATTGTGACCACAGCTTATACCCAGACATATCAGCTCTTTCAGTGACTTGTTTAGCCTATACTTGGTTTCCCTGACTCTACCCTCCAGTGGTTCTCGGATTCGATAAATCCCCAACTCTTAGGCAGTAGAGCATTAATGCAAATCCACCACTTGACATTTTTATAGTTTGAATTTCTTCATTTATGCATGCAACAAGAACTTAATTACCTACAGGATGCTACGTACTGCTCTAGCAGTGAACAAAATAGATACTCTCCCTGTCTTCATCACCCTTCCAGCCTAACATAGGTGCTGGATTCATTCATAGAATGAATTGGGGTTATAAAAAGATATTTTCCTTCATCTGAGTGGTTCCATCACACTGGTTTCCTCAGATTCCTGGAACACACCAAGCATCGCCTCGCCTCCAGGATTTATATACACTGGGTCCTCCTCTAGAATGCTTCCCTGCACTCTGCCTGGTCACCTACAACTTAAACCTGTGGGTCTTCACTTCAGTGACCTTTTCATGAAAATGCCTTTAACTGACTCCTCAACTTAAAGCAATTCCTGGCCAGATGCAGTGGCCCACGCCTGTAATTCCAGCACTTTGGGAGCTTAAGGTGGGCAGATTGCTTGAGCCCAGGAGTTCAAGACCAGGTTGGGCAACAAGGCAAAACCCTGTCTTTACAAGAAATACAAAAATTACCTGGGCATGGTGGCACTTGTCTGTAGTCCCAGCTACTCAGAGGCTGAGGTGGGAGGATCACCTGAGCCCCAGGAGGTCAAGGCTGCAGTGAGCCATGATCAAGCCAGTGCACTACAGCTTGGGCAACAGAGGGAAACCATATCTCAAAAAATGAATGATAATAAAATAAAGTAGTTCCTCCTGTTACCCTCTCAGATACCTTAAACTTTTCCATCATGGCATTTATCACAGTTTTTAATGGCATATTTATTTGTGTGATGATTATTAAATTTCACTTAAAAAAAGGTAATTCATAAAATACCCGCATATAAAATACAGACAGTAATAATAGCATACTAGGAAAAGAAAATTAGCTTCTGCTCCTGGCCCTCTGATTCTCAGTTCTCCTTCCCAGAGGCAAATACTCTTATCACTCTTGCATCCCTGCAAAGATCTTCTAGGTATTGTTGAGGGTCTGCATGATTATTTATTAAGTAGCTGTCTCCTCTATTAGACTGAGGGTGGATACTGTATCTACTCATTTATTGCTTTATCCCTAATACTTGGCACACAATCAGCCATTTATAGGTGTTGGTGGAATAAAGGAAAGGGCGTCAAAAGAAGAGAGATTGGGTTAATATCTAAACTGCTAGCTCTTGTACATCTCCCATGCTCCCACTCAGCACTGAGCACATAGTAAACTTTATAGATGTCCCTGGACTCCCCTAGCATTGGTTCATGAATTGTTCTCTTCGGTGAGAACTTCTTACAGCGTATTGAAACTACCATGTCTTGTCTGTGTGTCTCCCCCGTGGACTGTTAGCTCCTTGAGAATGGAGACAGGGCTTTGCTCTTCTGGAATGCTGGGCTGGGCATCCGGGAAGTCCTTGATGAGCACTTTCTGATGCTCGACTAACCTGACTCATCTGACTGTTGGCTCCCTTGCAATTCCATTCTCAAACTCTACCAGTCTGAAGCCTGCCAGTGCCATTTCAAGTTGTTACTCTTCCAATAAAGACTAGCATTTTATTCAAAACCTCTAGTCTGGAGAGATGCACTTCACTTGAGCCTTATTGCAGATTCTCATTTCTTTTAGCACTTATCTAAAAAACGGGGATAATAATGCCAAGCTTCCAGGGCTGTTGTGATAATTAAATGAGATCTTCCATAAATGGAGACAGTTGTTCGTTTCCCCACCCCCTTCAGCAAAGAGAGTATCAGTGTCTGTTTTGCTAAAAAAGAAAAGAGGTCTCTGCATGGGGTGCAGGGTCAGAAAGATACTGGGATTTTTTTTTTTTATTTTTATTTATTTATTTATTTATTTATTTTTGAGGTGGAGTCTGGCCCTGTCGCCTGGGCTGGAGTGCAGCGGCGCAATCTCAGCTCACTGCAACCTCTGCCTCCCAGGTTCAGGCTGTTATTGTGCCTCAGCTTCCCGAGTAGCTGGGATTACAGGCATGTGGCACCATGCCTGGCTAATTTTTGTATTTTTAGTAGAGACAGGGTTTCACCATGTTGGCCAGGATGGTCTCAAATTCCTGACCTCAGGTGATCTGCCCACCTTGGCCTCCTAAGGTGCTGGGATTATAGGCGTGAGCCACCACACCCGGCCAGGCAGATAACTTTCAATTGTGACCCCAGTTCAAACATTATTGAGACAGTGAGGTGAGAATCAATAATAAAGTCAAAAATTGCCCTCTTTGAACAATGACCTGAAATACAATGGCTGCATATCAAAGAAGCTGCTGAGTGACACACCCTCAGGACAAATAGAGGCTTCCGCACAGGCCATATGTATCTGTCCCTGCCTGCCCATCTGTTTCATCTTGCAGTGCTCCCTCCACTCCCTCTAGGCCCCAGCCACGCTGAACTTTATTACTCCACGCACTTTTTTGATGCCAGGCCTTTGCATATGCTCTTCCATCTGCCTGTCACCTACTCATCCATAACTCTAGGCTTAAATATCTCTTCCCAGGATGAGTGCAGTGGCTCATGCCTGTAATTCTGGTGCTTTGGGAGGCCCAGGCGGGAAGACTGCTTGAGGCCAACAGTTCAAGACCAGCCTGAACCACACAGCAAGACTCCGTCTCTACAAACAAATAAACACATAAAAATTTAAAAATCTCTTCCCCAGGAACACCCACCCCCCTTGACTTCCTGAGCCAGATTAGGTCACTATGCCACAGGTGAACCTAGGTCACCTATGTTCTTCCCTTTTCACTCATTACAGATGTAGACTCCCAAAGGGCCTTCATTCAACCATTCATTTATCTGACAATTCTTTCCAGAGTTCCTACTATGTGCTAGGCATTATTCTGGGTGCTAGGGATACAGTGGTAGACAAGATAAGACACAGATTCTACCTATGAAACTTACATTCTAGTAGGAAAAGCAGACAATACACAAATAAACTAATACAGGAACCGCAGGTTCATTCACTGCTGCATTTCCAGAATGGGCCCCAACACATAGCAGATACTCAACAAGTGCTTATTGAGGAGAAGGAAAGGAAAGTGAGGGTGAATGGCAGCCAATCTGAAGGAAGAGACAGGAGTGGCCAGTGTCAGAGCCAACAAACTAACTACCGTGGAATCATTTCACCCTAGAGGTTTGCTCAACTTGCAGGAGGGACTAAAATGGGTTGAGGCCTATCCTGTCCTGTTGGTCTCCAATAAGGAAGGGGAGGAAGTGGCTTACCTTCACTTCTGTCTGTCCTGTATCTGTGTAAACACCTACAAATAGGGACAAATGAATGAGTGCAAGCCCTGGACTCATCAAGTGATCTTATCCACTCCTGTGCCTTCCAGTGTTAGAGACTGGATAGTTGGTTGCAAAACACATTTCCTCTTTCTCATGGGTGCCCAGCTAGGCTACACTTCCCTACTTCTCTTATAGTTAGATGTGACCACATGATGAGATTTTATTGGTGGAATATGGATGGAAGTGATAGACTCTCCCATGTGTGGTCCTCCATGCCCTTATGCCCTTTCCCCATCACAGTGACCCTGGAAGCTGTGTAATATAAATGGCAGATGTCGGGTGCAGTGGCTCATGCCTGTAATCCCAGCATATTGGGAGGCCGAGGTGGGCAGATCACTGGAGGCCAGAAGTTCGAGAGCAGCCTGGCCAACACGGCGAAACCCCGTCTCTACTAAAAATATAAAAATTAGCCAAGTATGGTGGCACACACCTGTGATCCCAGCTACTCAGGAGGCTGAGGCACGAGAATCACTTGAACCCAGGAGGCAGAGGTTGCAGTGAGCTATGATCATACCACTGCACTCCAGTTTGGGCAATAGAGCTAGACCCTGTCTCAAAAAAAAAAAAAAAAAAAGATGGCAGACACAAAAGCTGGAAGGACCTGGTTCCTGAACCCCACTTGGAGAAGAGTTGCTCACTTATTAGGAACACCAGTTTGGGATTTTACCTGAGTGAGAAATAACCTACTGTGCTAGGCCATCGAGGCTGGGGAATTTTCTGTTAGAGCAGCTAGCATCATTCTTTTTTTTTTTTTTTTTTTTTTTTTTTTAAGACAGGGTCTCTTGGCTGGGGGCAGTGGCTCACGCCTGTAATCCTAACACTTTAGGAAGTCGAGGTGCACAGATCACCTGAGGTCAGGAGTTTGAGACCAGCCTGATCAACATGACAAAACCCCGTCTCTACTAAAAAATACAAAAATTAGCCAGGCATGGTGGCGTGCACCTGTAATACCAGCTACTTGGGAGGCTGAGGCAGGAGAATCTCTGGAACCCAGGATGCAGAGGTCACAGTGAGCTGAGATCATGTCACTGCACTCCAGCCTGGGTGACAGAGCGAGACTCTGTCTCAAATAAATTAATTAATTAATTAATTAATTCAGGGACTCACTCTGTTGCCCAGGATGGAGTGCAGTGGTGTGATCACGGCTCGCGGCAGGCTTGACCTCCTGCGGCTCAAGCGGTCCTCTCACCTCAGCCAGGACACCACAGGCACATGCCATCATACTCAGCTAATTTTTGTACTTTTTGTAGATACAAGGTTTCATTATGTTGCCCAGACTGCTCTCAAACTCCTGGTTTCCACCTGCCTCGGCCTCCCAAAGCGTTGGGATTACAGGAGTGAGTAACCATGCCTGGCCACCTTGATGATACACTTGCTTATTCTCTCCAGGCCAATGACCTCACTCAAGCCTGAGCCTTCCCCTGGGGTCCAGACTCAGCTCCACACCCATGCACTGGATATCCCTACTGACATGGTGGTCATGCCTTCAGACTTAGAGTGGCCAAAACTGGACTTGCTACTTTCAC
Source organism: Homo sapiens (assembly GCF_000001405.40). Lineage (NCBI taxonomy): Eukaryota > Metazoa > Chordata > Mammalia > Primates > Hominidae > Homo > Homo sapiens. The sequence continues at coordinate 140,321,474 of NC_000005.10, forward strand.
CCGCACCAGCTTCTCCTTCTCCAGTGTGGCCCATCTCAGTAAGATGGCACCACTTTCCACCCAGGCGTGCAAGCCTAAAACTCAGAGCCACCTTGGGCCCTTTTCCCTTTCTCTCATCCTCCACATATCTCCTCCATAGATCTTGAATTCATATCTTCTCTTCTTCTCCACTGCTGCTACCATCAGTGCCTAAATACCACCACAGTCTCCAGCTAACCCATCTCCCTGCTTGATTATAGCTACCCTTCAAGCCCATTCTCCAGCTGGAGTCATCCACCCCAAAACAGATCCAAGCATGCCACCCCTACCCACACTCACTTTAACACTCAGGGCTGGCTCCCTACCGCCCTGAGGATTCAGTTCAAGCTCCTTGGCACAGTCTCAAAGGCCTTGCATGATCTGGCCTGGCCTGTCTCTGCAGCCTCTTCCGCTGACCCCAAGCCAGCTGTGTACACTCTTGTCACACCAGTTAGGTTCCTCATTCACATCATCCTCCCTCTGCACTCTGGCTGTTCCCCTGGCCTAGAATACTTCAACCCCCATTCTTTACTTGCATCACAACTGCTCATCCTTCAGGCCTCAGCTTGATTTTCACTTCCTCCAAGAAGTGACCTCCCTGACCCTTGGACCAGGTCAGCCAACTTGGCACCTCCTATTGCCCAACACAACTCTCTTGACATTTGATTCTTGTGACTTAATTGTCTATTTTTCCTATTCAAGTGCAAGTTCCCGGAGGGCAGGGCCTCGGTCCTGTTCACCCTTGTGTTCTTAGCCTCCAGAAAAAAGGAGGAATCCCCGTATGTCTGTTAAATGAGTATGCGTGAGCAGTACACTCACTCAATAATTACCAACTTAGTGATATCCGTGCTATTCAATGACAGCAAACAGGTAATTCTGAGTTTGTCTGCCATCTGAGTCAAAGCAATTTGCCCCCATTTTTTTTTTTTTTTTGAGATGGAGTCTCTCCCTGTCGTCCTGGCTGGAGTGCAATGGTGGGATATCAGCTCACTGCAACCTCCGCCCCTCGAGTTCAAGCGATTCTCCTGCCTCAGCCTCCTGAGTAGCTGGAGTTACAGGTGCGCGCCACCACGCCCAGGTTAATTTTTTTTGTGTCTTTAGTAGAGACGGGGTTTCAACATGTTGCCCAGGCTGGTCTTGAACTCCTGACCTCATGATCCCCCCACCTCGGCCTCCCAAAGTGCTGGGATTACAGGTGTGAGCCACCAGGCCCGATCTGCCCCCATTTATTAATGAGGAGACAGATCCCCAAGGGAGCAAGTGATCTGCCCCAGGGAGGCAGGAGGTGAAGCAGTCACAGGGCTCTGGCAATGACCACACCACCCCTCTTCTCCCTCTGCTTCTAACTTTTCTTGTTTCTGAGGTCCAGGCGGAAATGTAATGTCATGACACATTGGGGGATTTCTTTCCTCCCCTACATTTTTCTGATGTGACTCCAGCTTGGGGGGTTGGGGGAACACAAGCCCCAGGAGGAGGGAGGCGGGTGGTGGGGAGGTTAGCAGTCACATTCCTCAGCAGCCTCTGTTTTCATAGCTCAGAGAAAGAAGAAAGAAGTTAGCAAGCTCTGGCAGACACACTGGGCATTCAGCTCCTGTTCTGGCAGCTGCAGGGGCTGGGCTGAGCACGCGCTCTGCCAAGGCCAGGGCGGCAGACACTCTCTCCAATCTCAGGCTGCCAAGATGAGGTGGAGGGGGTCAGGGCCTCTGTCTAAGATGGGGGTTCACAGAAAGAGACCCCTTCTTTCTGCTCAGGCTGGCAGCCAGTTGGCCATGAGCCATGTGTGGGAGAAGGGGAGCAGAGGGAGGCAGTGTCAGGGCCTCAGTGCAAATCCTTCCAGGTTGGAAGGCTGGTGTGGGCATCAGACAGCCCAGGGGGCTATCTCAGCTCCTCCTCCACCCTGGAGATGTTGGAGGGACAACCTCTAGGCAGATGTCCCCACCCGGCTGCTGGGGCCACTGCTGTCACATTCCAGAGGGGGCTGAGAGCCACAGAGCATGGATTGAGAACGAGCTCACCATGGAAACCAGGCTTCCTAGGAAAAGGTCACATATTTGATGTGGCTGTCATCCAGGCACCTTAAATGCCACACTGTTCCTGTTTTCTTGAGCACGCTGCCAGCAGAGAAGGCCTGAGACAATGGGGTTGGCAGTTGACCTGTTTGCCTGGTTTTAGACAGGCCCCTATCACGGTTTCCCCTTCTCAGCAAAACTCAGTGCTGTTTTTACATTGCCTGACCCCAACGTGTACCCATGTGGGCAGCCCTGCAGGCCAACCCTTGAGTCTGGCAAAGACCCACTGTGCCAAAAATCTAGAAAAGGAGGTGCAAACAAGACCCATGATGGTAAAAACTGGCAAAGCTTGTTAAGAATAGTAAAAGCTTTCGGGTATGAGTACTTACTCCATGCTGCCAGACACTGTGATAAATGCTTTACAGGCACTGTAATCTCCACAAAAAAAACCTTAATAAAAAAATTGAGGCTTTGAGAGGTTAAATAACTTATCTGAGATTATTATATAACCAGAAAATGGCATGACGAGGATTCAAACCCAGGCTTGTCTGATCTAGAGCCTGAAACTTTCACCTCTACTCTATTTCACTCATCCATTTATTCATGCACTCATTCATTTATTCAATTGTCCATCCATCCATGCATGCATCAAACATTTAGGGAAAGCCTCTGGTGTGCTGACACAGTGTGTAAAAGGACACACTCCACAACCTCCAAGAGTTCACAGTGGGAGAAATGGATGAGTAAACAATGACAATATGCGGTGTGATGAAAGCCATGGGAGAGGAGCAGCAAAGCTGCTATGGGAAGAGGACTCCTTTTCCTTGCATTGTCCAAGGCTCAGAGGTGTGAGAGCACAGGGGAGGAGAAACTAACCCAGCTGGGACAGGGGTGGGCAGCAGACTTTCTCCGGAAGGTGTCCAAACACACACCTGTAAAAGGGGTTGAACTTGGGTCACACTTCTCAGGCCTGGAGTTCCAGGGGTTGGATTTACATCCACAGGCAGGAGAGAACACTTACTCTCAAATGGACCCGATCAGGCCCCCCTTACCAAGCACAATGCTTCCCAGGGACGCCCAACTGACCAAGTACCACCGACAAAATAGAAAGAAGTCAGGCTTTCCTAGAGAACCCTGGGTGAGTACATGGTTTACACAGCTGTCCTTAACCCAGACTCTAGTGGCATGAAGAAAGAACAAGCTAGCTTCTTCCTCCTTTCACACTCCCATTGAAGACTGCCCACTGTCAAAAGCTAGAGGACAGTAGAAATAAAATTACTGCCTTAGTATAAGGAAACCAACCCAGTGACTTCTAGGTTGGGCAAGAAAATTAGGGTTGGGGAAAAGGGTGACTTAATTCCTCCCGTCTGTCTGGTTCCTACACCCACATCATATGTCTTTGGGGAAGCCTCCCACACAGGCTGTGATCCACCAACTATAGCACTCCAGCCCTGAAAGGAGCCCTTTTCCTTACATGCCCTGTTGGTTAGTAATAGCCAAGATGCTGGGTGGGAAGAAGGGAGAGAGAGAGGGAGGGAGGAAGGGATATTCTCTGAAGAGCAAGAGGGCAGCTGGCTTCTTTCACAGCTGTGTGGGTGGCAGTGAGCTAAGAGGTCCCTGTTCTCTTCTCCATCAATCAAGGGGGCAATCAAGAAAAAATGTGCAGTTTAAAAAGTTCAAAAAGAAAAATCAAACCACAACAACCTCCAAATTATATTAATTTGGTGATGGCCTGACACTCTGGAAACCAATCATGGGAAGGGGCAACCCTCACTTCCTCCTGCTCTTGGATGACGTTAGCCCTTTTTCTTTTTCTGGGGTTGGTCTCCATGGAGCAACACAGTCTGGCCTGGGTTCCTCACCACAGCAAGGAGGAAAACACAGAACTTTGTTCTCTCCTCTCTGGATAATGGTGGCCAGGATAGAAGTTCATGGGCAATGAGAAGCCTGGGCCCTCCTGCACAAGGTTGGCATCAAGCAAAATTGCATTAGCTAATAAAATAGTATCCTTGTGCAAGTTATTTCACCCCGCTGAGCCTCAGGGCCCTCCTCATTAAACTGGGAAAATAATACTACCTACCCTCCTGATGCCCTTATTTATTCCTGTCTTCAGGTCCTTTTTATTTACCTCTTCTGCCTTTTTTTTTTTTTTTGAAACAGGGTGTCGCTCTGTCACCCAGGCTGGAATGCAATGGCACAATCACAGCTCACTACAGCCTTGAACTCCTGATCTCAAGCAATCTTCCCACCTCAGCCTCCCACATAGCTGGGACCACAGGCATGTGCCACCACACCTGGCTAAGTTTTTTTCTTTTTAAAAATGATTTGTAGAGATGAGGAGATGAGGTCCCCCCTCCTGCCTCGAACTTGCAAAGTGCTGGGATTACAGGCATGGGTCACCATGCTCAGCCTCTTCTACCTCTTTTTTCTCCTCTTTGCATCCCCCTTTCTTGCACTGCCTTCTCGGTAGTCCCCTCCACCCCATATGGACTTAAATAATTCTTGATTTTCATGGCCCCTGTGAACTTGCTTCTTCCCCCATTCCTTCCCATTTTAATAGTGCCATCGTATACCCAGTTTCTCAGACTAGAATCTAAGAAGTCATCCTTGATTACCTTCTTCCCCACAACACATACATTTAATCCATTAGCATGTCTTACAGGTGATTCCTCCAAAACATATCCCGAATCTGACCATTTCCCACCCTCTGCTACCACCCTAATTCTGGCTACCATCGCCACTTGCCTAGATAACTCCAAAGTTCTCCTAACTGGTCTTGTTATTTATTTAGTTTTTAGAGATGGGGTTTTGCTATGTGGCCCAGGCTGGTCTGAAACTCCTGGGCTCAAGCAATCCTCTGGCCTCAGCCTCCCAAATTGCTGAGATTACAGGCATGCCATCTGCCATCATGCCCAGCTCCTTGTCTTGCTTCTTTTACTTTTGCCCCTTAGAACCTGTTCTCTGCATAGAAGAGTCATATTTCTGAAACATATAAATTAAATTATATCACTCTCCTACTCAAAACACTGCATGGGCTTCCAAATTGTTTGTCATGGCCTACAAAGCCCCATATGGTCCTTGCCTTGCATCTTCAACCTCTGATGACTGTGCTGCAGCTGCAGGGGCTCCCTTCTGTCCCTCACACATGCTTTGCTTTTTTTTTTTTTTTTTTCTGAGACGGAGTTTTGCGCTTGTTGCCCAGGCTGGAGTGCAATGGCGCGATCTTGGCTCACCGCAACCTCCACCTCCCAGGTTCAAGCAATTCTCCTGCCTCAGCCTTCCCAAGTAGCTGGGATTATAGGCATGTGCCACCAAGCCCGGCTAATTTTGTGTTTTTAGTAGAGATGGGGTTTCTCCATGTGGGCCAGGCTGGTCTCGAACTCCCGACCTCAGGAGATCCACTCACCTCGGCCTCCCAAAGTGCCGGGCTTACAGGCATGAGCCACTGCGCCTGGCGTTTTGCTTATTTTTGTCTCAGGGCCTTCACCTGCATGATCCCTTCCTGTCTCGGTTCAGATGGTACCTCCTCAGAGAGAGCTTCCTTGAGGCACCTACATAAATGAATTCTGTACCCACCTACTCTTGAGCACACCACTGGTGTGTGTGTATGTGCATGTTACTTATTTCTGAAACTGTCCTGTTTCTTTATCTATGCATGTATTATTGGTCCATGCCGTGTGTTGTCCGTGGTTCTTCTCCAGTGACAAGAATAGTACTTGCGGCCAGGCGCAGTGGCTCATGCCTATAATCCCAGCACTTTGAGAGGCTGAGGAGGGAAGATTGCTTGAGCCCAGGAGTTCAGGACCAGCCTGGGCAACATAGTGAGACCCTGTCTCTACAAAAAAATACAAAAATTAGCCGGGGGTAATGGTGTGTTCCTGCAGTCCCAGCTACTCAGGAGGATTGCTCGAGTCCAGGAGGTCGCAGCTATAATGAGCTGTGATCACACCACTGCACTGCACTGCAGCCAGGGTGACAGAGTGAGACCCTGTCTCAGAAAAACAAAACAAAACAAAACAAAAAAAGAATAGTTCTTGGCACATTATCAGTACCCAGTGAATTTTTTGGGTGAATAAATTAATGTCCTTGCTCCAAAATCACTTCTCTTTCTTTTCTCTGTCAAAATGCCCTCTCCTTCAGAGCATGGATCTCATTCGGAAGGTGATAGGGAGACCTCCACAAACATTTGCTGAATGAATGAAGCTGAAATGAATTACACCATCAAAGAATGCCAGCCTCTTAATGCATAGCTATTCCCAGGAGGATTAGCATTCTCAAACAGGAAGCTTGAATTTCAGGCACTGTTGACAAAGGGAAGAATTTCAGGGCAGCCGAGTTGAAGTGATATTTTTGTACAGAGTTGCTGTTCCATGGCTTCTTAAATCCAGAGATACTTATTAAGACCCTTTAGGGCTCCTTTGAAACTGAAGTTGACATTAAAATATGAAACAGTGATAGAAAAGGATTGTTTGTTTATAAGGAAAGAATTGTAGACTGGGAATCAGAAGCCTGGGTTTTAATCCTAGATGTGAGACTACAGTAAGTAATTAGCTCCTTGGACAGGTCGCTTAAGATAACCAACATTAACTGAGTATCTAGCTCATGCCTGGCCCTGAGCTAGGCACTTTACTCACACATATAATTTTTATTTTTCTGAGACAGGATTTCACTCCCTTGTCCAGGCTGGAGTGCAGTGTTGCAATCACGGTTCACTGCAGCCTCGACCTCCCAGGCTCAAGCCATCCTCCCACCTCAATAACCCAAGTAGCTGGGACTTACAGGTGCTTTCCACCAAGCCTGTCTAGCTTTTGCATTTTTTGTAGAGAGGGGTTTTTCCATGTTGCCCAAGCTGGTCTCAAACTCCTGAGCTCAAGCCATCCGCCTGCCTTGGCCTTCCAAAGTGCTGGGATTACAGGCATGAGCTACTGTGCCCAGGCACACATAAAATTTTTGCAACTCTTTAAGGTAAATATTTTTAGTGTCTCTATTTTATAGACAGGGAGACAGGTTCAGAGAGGTTAGGTGTCACGTGTGAGGGCACTTCCCTGATAACAGTGGGAGCTGGATTCAGCCACACGTTTAGGTCAGTCTGCATTCCTGTTTTCTTCCACTTCCCCCTGACAAGACCTCTTGGGCCACCTTTCAGGAATCTGTTAACTGGGGGCAACAGAAGAAACTCTTTTTTTTTTGAGATGGAGTCTTGCTGTGTCACCCAGACTGGATTACAGTGGTGCGATCTCGGCTCACTGCAATCTCTGCCTCCCGAATTCAAGTGATTCTCCTGCCTCAGCCTCTCAGGTACCTGGGATTACAGGAGTGCAGCACCACACACAGCTAATTTTTGTATTTTTAGTAGAGACAGGGTTTTACCATGTTGGCCAACCTGGTCTCAAACTCCTGACCTCAAATGATCTGCCCACCTCAGCCTCCCAAAGTGCTGGGATTACAGACATGACCCACTGTTCTGGCCCCAGAAACCCTTGAGCTCTAAGGAGTTGCTCTCTAAGATCTTTTTTCTTTTTTTCTTTCTTTTTTTTTTTTAAGAGATAGGGTCTTGCTCTGTTGCCTAGGCTGGAGTGCAGCAGTGTGATTATAGCTCACTGCAACCTCAAACTCCTGGGCTCAAAGGATCCTCCCACCTCAGCCTCCCAAGTAGCTAGAACTGCAGGTACATGCCACCACATCAGGCTAATGTTTACATTTTTTTTTTTCTGGTAGAGATGAGGGTCTCACTATGTTGCCCAGGCTGGCCTCGAACTCCTGGCCTCAAGTGATTATTCTGCCTCAGCCTCCCAAAGTGCTAGGAATCCAGGTGTGAGCGACTGTGTCCAGCCATTAAGTTCCTGTTAGTATTATTTCTCCATCATATTATTTCTGGATATGGGAAAAGAGAAAACAACTGTGGGACAGAGAGCTCATTTAGGAATGTAGCTTAGTGTTTACAGTGAAGGTTTGAAAATTAGGCTCCTTGAGTTTACATTCTGCCTTTACCACTTTCCTTAGGCATACATTTAACATCTCTCAATTGCTTCTCAATTTTCCTCATCTATAACACGGATACAGTAAGTTGTGTTGAGATGTAAATGAGATAGTGCCTGTAAAGTGTGCAGCCCAGTGTGCGATACATACTGAGCATTCCATGAAATGTTAAATGTTTATTAAGCGAATAATGATTATTATGAACACTATAAAAGAAAGTTTCTCAAAGGAGGCTGAAAGGGGAGCCCAGAGAGAAGAGGTAGATGCTTTTTAGTGCTCAGGGAGGGCCAGATTTCTTCTGACAGCCCGTCTTGAGAAATGGCTGCAGGTTCAGAGGCTCCTAGGGCCACTGTATAAACCAAGAAGATGCCCAGAGGAGCTCCAGAGGACCTCTGCTGAAGGGAATTCCCATGAGAAACAGGGGTAGAGGAGCGAGCAGTTGAAAGGCAGGAAGCCCTGAGCCTGCAGGAAACATTAGCTGGAGAAACAAAGTGTGCTTGGAAAAGCCCAGCTCAGGACAAGAGCTTGAGACTGAAAGCTTGGAAGCAGGAAAGGGAGCCCCAGGAGAGTTCAAAGTAACTCACTACTCCAGTTATTTCTGATGTCTTTATTATTCTCTCTGATTACCACAGATAATACATTGGTACTTCATAGAACTTTATGCAATGCAAATAGCAAAGGAGTTCCCTATTCAAGTTTTTAAATTTTTTTTTTTTTTTTTTTTTTAGACAGGGCCTCACTCTGTCACCCAGGCTGGAGTGCAGTGGTACAACACAGCTCACTGCAGCCTCAACGTCCTAGGCTGAAGTGATCCTCCTGCCTCAGCCTCCCAAGTAGCTGGGATTACAAGCACACACCATCATGCCTGGCTAATTTTTTTTTTTTTTTTTTTTTTTTTTTGAGATGGAATCTTACTCTGTTGCCCAGGCTGGAGTGCAATGGTGCGATCTCGGATCACTGCAAACTTCTGTCTCCCAGGTTCAAGAGATTCTCCTGCCTCAGCCTCCCAAGTAGCTGGGATTACAGGCGTCTGTCACCACGCCTGGCTAATTTTTGTATTTTTAGTAGAGACGGGGTTTCACTATGTTGGCCAGGCTGGTCTCAAACTCCTAACCTTAGGTGATCCACCTGCCTCGGCCTCCCAAAGTGCTGGGATTACAGGTGTGGGCCACCGCGCTTGGCCTGGCTAATTTTTTTATTTTTTGTAGAAACAGGGTTTCACCATGTTGCCCAGGCTGGCCTTGAACTCCTGGGCTCAAGTGATCCTCCTGCCTCTGCCTTCCAAAGAGCTGAGATTACAGATGTGACCCACCACAGCTGGCCCTAAAAATTCATATTTGGTGAATTTCTCAAAGTGAATACGCTCGTGTAGCCCGCATCCCAACCATGGCACAACTTATCAGAACACCAGAAGTCCCTCTCTTCCAGTCTTTACTGATCACGATGGGAGTCTTTTTCCTGATTTTTTTTCACCATAGTTTTGCCTGTTTTTAAATTTTAAGTAAATGGAATCACGCAGTATATACTTTTTTGTGAATCTGGCTTCTTTCACTGAGCAATATGTTTTGCAACTCATTCCTATTGCTATTTAGTACTTCACTGTATAGATATATCCCCAATTTATTCATTTTTATCATCAAATACTGATGGGTATTTGGATGGTTTCCAGTTTTTAGTTATTATAAATAATGCTTGGATTAATGTTGTGCATATCTTTTTTTTTTTTTTTTTTTGAGAAGGAGTCTCACTCTGTCGCCCAGGCTGGAGTGCAATGGCGCGATCTCCACTCACTGCAACCTCCACCTGCCAGGTTCAAGCAATTCTCCTGCCTCAGCCTCCAAAGTAGCTGGGACTACAGCCACATATCACCATGACTGGCTAAGTTTTTGTATTTTTAATAGAGACGGGGTCTCACCATGCTGGCCAGGCTGGTCTCGAACTCCTGACCTCATGATCCACCTGTCTCAGCCACCTAAAGTGCTGGGATTACAGGCTTGAGCCAGAGTGCCCAGCCTCTTGTGCATATCTTCTGGTGAACATATGCACTCATTTCTCTTGAATCCCCAGAAGTGGAATTACTCCTGGGGTATGCATATGTTCAGCTTCAATAGTTACTAGTGCCTAAAGTCTTGAAAGGATGTTCCAAGTATATACAAGATCTCCGTGTGGGCTCCTGGAGAAACTTCAGAATATCACAACTCTGCAAGGGAAGAGGATGAGGAAGGGGCAGCCCAGTGGCACTTGTCCAGTGCTACTGCACTGCCCCAGTCCACTTGATGGACTGTCCAATCCACCAGGACACATGACATGCCCCAAATTCCACTTTCATTTTGTCACCACCATCCACATTCCCCAACAGAGACCCCTCTCTAATCCAATCACACTTTCAGGGCAGCATTGGATTGCATGTCTGTCCACTTGCTGGCATTGGACTGAATTGTATTTCCTACATTCATTCATCCAGGTAACAAATATTGAGTGCCTACCACTCAATTGCATTGTCTTAGAATCTAGGAGAGGAGCAATGTACACACCCCTACCCTCATGGAGCTAACATTTTCATAGGAGGAGATGGACTATAAACAAATAGGAATATGTTAGTGGTGATAAAAAGCAATGTAAGAAGAGTAAGAGTAGGATGGGAGAAGGAATGTGCTGTTGTTTAATACGGTGGTCAGGGAAGGCCTGCAGAGCAGACAAGATCTGAAAGACATGATCACTCTGGCTATTACACTGGAAATATGTTATATGGAAGCAAGATGGAACTAGAAAGGCAGAGGCCATCACAAAAGTGCAGGCATGAGATGATGCGAAATTGGACTGGGTGATGGTAGTGGCAGTGATGAGAAGTGGTTGCATACAGCATGTATTCTAAAGGTAGGGCTGACAAGATTTGCTGATGGATTGGCTGTGGAGCAAGATAGGGTAGTCAAAGACATCTTGTTCTTGCCAGAAGCAATGCCTGCTCATATGTGCAGCATAGGAGTAGATCCTGAGTCCAGGGCCTGTTGACTGAATGGGTGGATATCTTCCCTGATTACAGCCAGCTAAACATGCTGTGCGAAAGATCTGTTCTTTCTTATCTCAGAGATAGCATGGTATAAGTACTAAGACAAAATAATTGGAGCCAGACTACTAGTCCCAGCTCTGTCATTTACTAGCTGTGTATCCTCAGGCAAGTTACACAACCACTTTGAGCCTCAGTTTCCCCTTCTGGAAAAATGGGACAGTAATAGTACCTGCATCGCAGAATTGTTGTGGTAGTATACATAAATAGGCCTGGTATAGAGCCTACCACCAAGTCAGGGCTTAGGAAATAACTAAGTTAAACCAGTTCCCGGTTAAAACAAACAGACAAAAGGCTATGGAATAAGGGTTATCTTTATTTGGATTGCAAAGTATAAATATGAACCAGGTTTGGAAATACAAGTTGTAACAGTTCAGAAATGGCACCAGAAACTTCCAGAAAGGACCATGACAGCATAACTTCATCGTTTTGGTGAGGTGGGTGGGATTATACAAAGCCTTCCCCACCTCCAACCTTCTCGGTAGCAATTGGCAGGTAATCAGTTACCAAGAACAGTCAGCTCCAATGTTCCCTGTTCCTTCTCAGCCTTTTGCTTTGCTAATACCTTCTCCAGACTGTCCTCTGCTGCACTGACCCCTGCATGGAGTAGCACCAGAAGAATGGCAGGAGTTAGAGAAATGTCTTGACACAAGGGAAAGTGAGTTCCCACGCTGTGGGCCTGGGGCCATGGGGGTGAGGGACCAGGAAAGCTACAGGCATGGAAGCCCAACCTCTTCTGAGACTTGGCAGGGAGAGGACACGGGGAGACACTGATATCTGTTACACTTTGACATCAGCACCTTGGGCTTTCAAAACACAAATGGTAGACAAAATCGCCTAGGCAAGACTGAAGTCCAACTCATAGAGTGGCTCTGACCAAGTTAACCCCTACATCCTGACCATACAGAGCTCCCGCAGTGGCACTCTGACCACGGAAGATCTGCAGAAATGTAGACAGACAATAAATTACTACAGATGGGTCACAGAACCATCCTAGCTTTGTGGCAAAGGTGGGTGGCACTAAGCCAGATTGTGGGGATGAGGAGTGGAGGGCCAGGAAATTGCCAAAGTAACAGTCTAGGCACTTGAAATATTATTGTTAGATTGTTAAAAACTAAATAAATTAACATACATAGAATAAAATAAATATATAATTTAAGAGGCATTTACAAACAACAACAACAAAAATAGTTGTTATTTTTCCATCTGGGTAGAAGTCCCAAAATTCAGTTCTCAGGCTTGTGGTATTTCACAGTTAACTCATCAAATCCAGCACTGGAGGGTCCCAATGGCAGATCCCTTGGTGGTACTTGAGTACATGGCTTCTCAATCTTTGTTGCTTTCTTCCAGTTCACAAATCTTTCCTTCTTGCTCTCCTTCTTCTTCTTCTTTTTTTTTTTCAGTCAAAGATCCTGGAGCATATGGAATTTAACCGGCATTCTAATCCAGAAGATAAGTGTTTAAACAAACTTATGAGGGGAAGTGGGGTTTGGTGGAGGGGAATCAGAAGGGCATGAAGGTCCCTTGCTTTTGCTTTCTTCTTACCCAGATACCATCGGACATACTCTGTTTGGCACTTGAAGGCTCTGGTATTTTGGCAAAGCAATTATGGGAGGCCCAATCCTAGACGGCAACTGGGGACGAAGGAGTCTTTGTGACTAGATGGAAGTCTTTCCCCTCTGCAGTCTGAAATCACCTTGTGTCTTCTCAGAGGTAGCAGTCCCCAGCCGATTCCTAAAGCACAAAAGGAAGGCATGTAAAGCCAGGTCCAGTCTAAAGAAGTCTTAAGATTTTCCTGGTCCAGTCTTTTTTATTTTTAAACTTTTTGAGACAGGGTTTCACTCTGTCTCCCAGGGGAGGAGAGGGGAGGGGAAGGGAGGGGATGAGGGTGGGAGAAGCTGTCCTCTCAGGCATCTCTCTTAGGTGTCTCTCTAGCAACTTTTACCTTAAGTGAAGCACTGAGTCTTTTTGAAAATAATTCTGCAATGGGATATTAATGTCACAGTAGCCTGGCCCCCAACCCCTATATGAAGAATTCAGCACCCACTGAAGCACAGCCAGGAAAGGGGACAAAGGATAATCATGTCATGGGGCAAAGGATGGAGCGTTACCTTGAGCACAAGTCTCTCTCAGTGGGAATTAGTCATGCCCAACTTCACTTTCTCTTCATTTTCCACATCATAACCTCCTCTCCTATGGTACCTGAGGAAGATAAGTTTTGTGAATAAGCCCTGCCTGCTATGACAAAGTGCAGGTCCAGAGCAGGTCCTTCCAAAGAACTCTGCCATGGTGGTTTCCTCTACTACTTGGAAAAGCCCAGGCAGTAGGGCAGCCCAAACTCTGGTCAAAGGCCCAACTGCCCCGAGGAACTCCTGTCTCTAATAGCAGGATGCAATTTACAAATAGCTTTCACCTCATTTACGTGATCCTCACAACATCCTTATGAGGTAGATGGACAAACATTACAATCACTACAAGGTTACAATCCTCAGAAAGACAGTAACTTGTTCCAGGTCTCATGACAGATGAGTTACACTGCTTGAAAACAGGCATAGAGCTAGGCACGGTGGCTCATGCCTGTAATCCCAGCACTTTGGGAGGCCGAGGCGGGCAGATCACGAGGTCAGGAGATCGAGACCATCCTGGCTAACATGGTGAAACCCCGTCTCTACTAAAAAATAGAAAAAATTAGCTGGGTGTGGTGGCGGGTGCCTGTAGTCCCAGCTACTCAGGAGGCTGAGGCAGGAGAATGGCGTGAACCCAGGAGGCGGAGTTTGCAGTGAGCCGAGATCACACCACTGCACTCCAGCCTGGGCGACAGAGCAAGACTCTGTCTCAAAAAAAAAAAAAAAAAAAGAAAGAAAGAAAACAGGCATAGAGTGCTTGGTGGGTCTCCCAAGCTAGAGCATACCTGGATTAGAAAGCAGGGCCTGAGGTCCAGACGCCTCAGAAGTGGAAGGATATACCACTAGCACCACCCACACCTTGACTACCAAACCACATACTAATGCCATCAAAGAACAGCCAGGAGAAAGAAATGTGTGACAAAGTGACTCCATGAGTGGGTAGCTGGGTCATGGAGGCAGGAAAAGAACTCCTGTGAGGAGCAGAACCTGCTATGGCCTCGCAAATTTGACCCTGGGCTCTAGACACAGGACTCATGTCATGCCAGAAATACCAGGTTTTTGGAGAATCTACACCCCGGAGCTAGCCCATGATTTGGAAAGATTGAGGGAAGTGCATGTGACCATCAAGGAGAGGGCCCAGGAGGAGGAAGAAAGGGAGTGATTTGCAGAAACAGCCTGCAGGGGACCCCAACACTCACCTAAACATGAGAAGCCCCACGATGACCAGCAGACAGACAGATGACAGCACCACAGCCACCACGGCCAGGATGGTTGTGTGGTCATAGGTATATAAGCGATTTTCCACTGGGAGGCTCAGCCCATGACACCTCTCTCCATGGTAACCCGGGTGGCAGCTAGTTCAAGACAGAACAAGAAGGAGATGGAGTTAGTGCTTTGGCCTCTCTTGGCAATGGCCCACCTGCATAAGCCAAACCCCATTCCTCATACCCTCAGCCTGTCAATCCCTGACCACGATCCCTGCCCATCCTCCATCCTTCTCCTCTAGTAGAAAACTCTTTAAAGCCCCTCTGAAAGCTCTGTAGCATTCCTCTCTCACTTGACACCCTCCCCTTTTCCATTTCCTCTGGTTCTCTGGGCTGAGAATCCTGTTCTAGGCATGGAAAAAGCAAGGGAGGACTTGAAGGCCTCAGCTAGATATGTTCCACGTGTGGCTGATTTATGACATGTGTGTTCAGGCGTTCTGTTTAAGCCACTTATGAGGGCTTGGGCACAAGAGCTGGTAGGCTAAATTGAGGGAATTCGTATCACTCCCTCCAGTGAGGCCCCTCAACATTCTGACCCAGAAATAAACCCAGCCTTCCCCATCGTGCTTCCAGCGTCCAGTCCCTCTCCACTGCTGTCCAGCCTATTAATAGGCCCTGTGCCTCTGCCAGGAGTCGTTTTTCTCAAGTTTCCTTCATTTAACTCCAGCTCCCCCTGGGTGCAGGGCCCAACTTGGGAGCTCAACTCTGGCCTTTGGCCTCTGCACGCTGAGCTACCAGGCCTCTTTCATCACAGGACAAACCAAACAAATCAAGAAACATCTTTCTGCCCAGCTGCCCTGCCAGAGCATGGAAGACTGTCAGAAACAATCCCTTGGCTCTTCTCACTCAAGAAATAAATCACATGGCAACTGCCTTTTCTTTTTCTTTTTCTTTTTTTTTTTTTTTTTTTGAGACAGAGTCTTGCTCTGTCTCCCAGGCTGGAGTGCAGTGGCGCAATCTTGGCTCACTGCAACCCCTACCTCCGGATTCAAGTGATTCTCCTGCCCCAGCCTCCCAAGTAGCTGGGATTACAGGTGCCCGCCACCACGCCCAGCTAATTTTTGTAATTTTTTAGAAGAGACGGAGTTTCACCATGTTAACTAGGCTGGTCTCAAACTCCTGACCTCAGGTGATCCACCCGCCTCTGCCTCCCAATGTGCAAGGATTACAGGCATGAGCCACCACACCGGGCTGGCAACTGCCTTTTCTAACACAAAGCATTTCCTTGAAGCTCTTAGAAAGACTCAGACGTGCTTACAGTTGAAGAAGCACATTCACATCCTTTCCTTTATCTGAGCATCCCAGAGATCCTTTGATATAAGTAGGAGCCCTGTTTTACAGAAAGGTGGAGTGGTTTTCCCAAGGTCACACAGTAAGACAGAAATGAAGATGTAGATGTAGATTGTCTGACTCTGAGCTCAGTGTGCTGCCCACTCACACCTGACAACTGCCTACCATCCAGCCAGGGGGCACAGTGGCACTGTCTGCCTGAGGACTTTAGACCACCAGCTGCTGAAGGAAGCACCAAGAACCTGGTGGCCCTCTTTTCTGAGCTGTGCTTTCTCTGGGAAGGAGGTGCTTTCTCTGGTACCTCAGAACAAGGAATCCCTTCTTCCTGCGGACAGAGCACCAGGGAAGCTCCAAGAGACAGACTTGTCCACAACCAGCAGTGGCAGAGGGGCCAGGCTGGGTGGTACTGCATTCTTGCTTTCCTGCCCTGAGCCTCTCCCTGCCCTAGTTCCTCCTGGGTACTTCGAGAAACCACCTCACAGCAGGATAAATGTAGGTCAGGCCCACTATACGTATAGCACAGTCCACAGTTCCTTGCCCAGCCTCTCCATGTATCTGTCCCATCAGCCCATGTAGGCCTAAAAGCGACCCCTATCCTGCCAGGACATAGAGGACACTTGCACAAGCACCCCTGGAAAATCACTTGTGCACAGCAGTTTACCATTCACAAGCCACTAGCCTTATCTACTAGCTCAACTGAGCCTCCTAACATTCTGGTAGGCAGGTACAACCCCATATTACAGATGGAAAAGCTAAGATTAAGGGTCAGAGAAATTAAGTGATTCACCAAAAGTGGCACAACTAGGAAGCAGCAGGGCTAAGACTAGGAACAAGTCTTGGCAGATTCCAAATTCATCATTCCTTCCACTTTGAACAATGCAGGATAGCGCAGGTAACTCCAAGGAAGCATATCTGATAGGCTCCTGGGGGGCAGTCTGACCCTTCTCTCTGACTATGTTATTATTATTTATTACTCATAACTTGAATAATAAAGAATAATAATTAGCAATCATTGAAGGCTTACCATGAGCCAAGTACTTTGTGCTAACTGCTTTACAAGAATTATTTCATTTAAAGCCAGCTCTGTGAAGGAGAAGTTACTAGCCCCATTTTAAAGATGGACTGAGGCTTAGCTTTTGTTAAACACCTCGCCCAAGGTTACAAAGCTAGTGAGTCGTAGAGCCAGGATTCAACAGCAGTCTGGATGACTTCAGAGACTTTGCTTTCCTGGGAGGAGGGAAGCTGAAGTTGAGTCTGTTTTTCACTTCCAGTCCATCATTCAAACTCCACAGGTAGTTACTCAGAAGATAGAAATAAAGTTTGGCCTCAGAGTCCCGCAATTCAGTTACATAATCCCTCCACCCCCACCCTGAGTCAAAAGGATAATAATGTAAACATCCTAATATTACCTACCTCCCCCTCCCTTTGCAGACAACTCCTGGCTTCCCCAGAGAAGGAGGGGGGATGAGTACATTCCAAGCATCCCAGGGTAGGGGCAAAATTTTGTGTCTTGTCCAGAGCCAGCCACCCACCAGACTAGGACACATTCTTCCCACCCACGTCTGTGACCCATTTCAGAACTTGTATTACAACAGATGCAAGAACCCTCTAGGGTCCAGAGACATCTTCCAAACTGGATTTCTCCACCTTTACCCCAGGAGGTGGAGGGGACACGTCTGGATGGAGGAGACTGAGTGCATGAGTTCCAGACTGGTTCTGCTGCTATTTCTAGCCAGGTAATTTTGGGCAAGTCACGTTACCTTTCTAAACATTGGTTTCCTCATGTAAAACACAGGGATAAGAAATGCCTACTTCACTAGAGTATTGTGAAAAGATAAAATGAGGTAATACAAATGAAAGGGCTTTATAAAGGCCAAGTCCCACATTGTGTGAGTTATTACATAATCAGACTCCAGAGGTTACTGCCCATGGCCTGAGGAATGGGGCACCCAAGTCAGATGGAGACAAGAGAAGCGGGATCACCATTCCTTCTTAGCACCTGGGCAGTGAGGCCAAGTAGAGCCCCCTAGCCTGTCTCTCCTCCAGCTCTGAGTCCTCCTCAGCCCAAGTGTCCCCAGTTTTCCTCCAGCCACAGGAAACTCTGCAGCCAATTTCTGGGTAGGCAACTAGTCAGGAATCCCAGGAAACTACTCTTTTATTTATTTATTATTATTATTTTTTTGAGATGGAGTTTTGCTCTTGTTGCCTAGGCTGGAGTGCAATGGCACTATCTCGGCTCACTGCAAGTTCTGCCTCCTGGGTTTGAGAGATTCTCCTGCCTCAGCCTCTCTAGTAGCTGAGATTACAGGCGCCCGCCACAACACCCAGCTAATTTTTGTATTTTTAGTAGAGACGGGGGTTTCTCTATGTTGGCCAGGCTGGTCTCGAACTCCTGACCTCAGGCGACCCACGTGCCTCGGCCTCCCAAAGTGCTGTGATTACAGGTGTGAGCCACTGTGCCCAGCAGAAACTACTCTTTGAGGGCAACTTTTGGCTGGTGACACAAAAAGGGTTTTCCTGTTCATGGTGGCTGCAGAGGGCTAGTTTAGGAAGCCAGCTAGCCTCAGGCTCACCACAGCAGCCTGGACACACCCTGGCTAGTGGTTCCTGGGTCTGGAGTCAAACAAGAGCCACAAAGATCCCCAGATGAACGTGCACAGATGTCACATTCCCCCAAACCAGGATTTCTGTCTTCTTGCTGCTTTCTGCCCTGAGTAGCAAGGGCAGGAGGCAGTAGGGGGCCAGTCCAGACATGCAATCAACCCCCTGAAAATCTGCCCAGGAAGTGGTGGCCCACGCCTGTAATCCCAGCACTTTGGGAGTCCAAGGCAGGCTGATTACTTGAGGTTAGGAGTTCAAGACCAGCCTGGCCAACATGGTGAAACCCCATCTCCACAAAAATTTAAAAATTAGCCAGATGTGGGGGCATGTGCCTGTAATACCAGCTGCTCAGGAGGCTGAAGCAGGAAAATCACTTTAATCTGGGAGGCGGAGGCTGCAGAGAGCCGAGATTGTGTCACTGCACTCCAGCCTGGGTGACAGAGCGAGATTCCATCTCAAAAAAAAAAAAGGCTAGATATGGTGGCTCATGCCTGTAATCCCAGCACTTTGGGAGGCTGAGGCAGGCGGATCACCTGAGGTCAAGAGTTCAAGACCAGCCTGGCCAACACGGCAAAACTACGTCTCTACTAAAAATATAAAAATTATTAATTCGGCATGGTGGCAGGTGCCTGTAGTCCCAGCCACTTAGGAGGCTGAGGCAGGAGAATTGCTTGAACCCAGGAGGCAGAGGTTGCAGTGAGCTGAGATCACACCACTGCACCCCAGCATGGGAGACAGAGTGAGACTCTGTCTCAAAAAAAAAAAAAAAAAAAAAAAGAAAGAAAGAAAGAAAAGAACAAAGAAAAAGAAAATTCTGCCCAAGAAGTTAATGTAAAGTTTTCAAATCAGATTGCTGTGCTGTTAGACTAGTAAAAGAATAAGAGACCTCTAGGACAACAGCTGCCCTCTGCCCTCTATAAAATGCTGCTCCAACTCTATAAGGACAGATACAGGAAAGAAAGATGAAAGCCAACACCCAGTACAGCTTGAGGGCATGAAAAGCATGTTGGACTAGGAGTCAGGTACTGAGACTCTGTCTTATTTCCAACTACTTATTTAGCTATTGACCTCAGGCAAATTACTTCCTATTTTCTGGCTCCAGTTTCATCACCTTTCAAGTAGAGGTACCAAGTCCTGCCTACTCAGCAGAGGGCTTTTGAAAAATCCCAGGAAACTATATCTCTCCAGCTCCTAAAGTAGTGTCTGCCACCAAATAGGGGCTCAACATACTTGGGCTCAACTCATATTATATATAAACACTGAAACTCTGGGACAAAGGAGATATGACATCATTATAGTTATCACTATCCCTAGGGACCACTGGGAAGGTGGCCTGGGCACCCATATCAGGTTCTCTGGGTTTAGGTGGTCATCCGAGTCCAGCTCTCCAGGAGGGCAACCTTATAAGGCCTCTCAACCACACAGTGCAAGCCCCACATCCATCCACCAAAATGCCCAGGACCAATCTGGTATAGACAGATTCCTGACCTCAATCCACCTTGACTACTTGAGTCACCTTCTTCACCCTGTACTAATGATGCCATTTTACAAATTTAAGATGAACATTTCCCACCCTGTCCCAAGACCTTGGGAAGGATAATATGGGGGCTTTCTATGCCACTCTTAAACAACTCCCTCTAATACCAAGCTCCTGACAAGGATGTTATAGGAAAGGATGCACAAGTGACTGTGGACATGGTGGGGAGTGATGGGTCTGTCTGCCAACTGCCAAATACAGGGCAGCTCTGCTGTGTGTGATCAGACAAAACAAGGAAGCTTTAAAAAGCTAAGGGATCTGCACCAATCACCAGTAGAAGGGATGCCAGGCACGCCGCCTTCTTGACAGGCTGGAGGCAGTGTGCATACAACAGTCTCTTGGCCCTGTCCAGAGTCTCCCACTAAGGCCCCCAGAGCCTCCCTCCCCACAGGGAAGGGAATGGATGTTTGCAGCCTGACGCAGGGTGTTGGCCTCAGGCACAGTGGCAACATTATGCCTGCCAGAGAGCATGGCAGTGCTGTCATCCCTGAGGGGTTGCCAAGGCAGCCGTTTGCTGGGTTTGGCTTAGGAGAGAGGCTAAGGAACCCACAGCCCCTCCACCCACACACCTACCCAGGGAAGGGGTGATGTTGCCTGACCGGGGGCTGATGCCTAATGGGTCAGGTTCCATTTCCTGTGAACCCTGCACAAAGGAATTGTTCTCTCACAACGTGGCCAAAGGCCAGTACTCTCCATGTCTCCCACCTCCTCGTCCTTGCTGGGATAAGGAAGAAGAAAGAGAGGCCTCAACCTGCCGCCATGATGATCCCTCTCTGTACAGTCCT
This sequence comes from Homo sapiens, assembly GCF_000001405.40. Taxonomy (NCBI): domain Eukaryota; kingdom Metazoa; phylum Chordata; class Mammalia; order Primates; family Hominidae; genus Homo; species Homo sapiens. The sequence goes on from NC_000005.10 coordinate 140,342,151, forward strand.
GCCATGCCTCACAGTCAATCCACATTTGCACACTTACATGCACATAAACCCAAATACACACATACCTATACATCATGCATCCAAATGCACTTCCTACCTTCCCACAGGAGCTCTACTCTGCCCTGGAAGCCCACTCTGCCATGTTTCCTACTGGCTTCTCCCTCCCAGAGTAGGGCATCAGGCAAGAATTAAGGGCCTGCCTTCAGGTGCCAGCTGTCCTAGCCACATGCTCATTTCTGGGCAAGCAGGAAATGTCCCCAAGGATTAAAGCACGTCACAAAACCATACCACAGGAAATTGCATCCTATAGGGGGGAGGGGGCTTCCGCTGACTAAAAATATATTTCCCCTCCTCCCAACTTCCGCCCAGAGGTTGAGAAGAAACTGGGTGAAATTATGAATTCAAGGAACAGTGACAACGAGGAACAGCCACGTGGCTGACAAAGTGTGCTGATGAGATTCAGCCCTGGGGAAGGGGCACTTACATGCAGGAGGGAGCCCGGAGCTCCTTCACATATTTGCATTCTCCATGGATGCAGAAGTCCTTGTATTTCCGAAGACATGGGTCCCTCTTCTTCCCTAGCCCCTTGCCTTTCTTCTTTCTTTTCCCGTGCTCCTCCTTGTTTGGTGTGGCCAGTGCTTGTGGCTTGGAGGATAAAGTGACTGTAGGAGAAAAGCACTCTGTTAAAGTCTGACTCTTTGGGAAGAAAATCAGAAGAGCATAGTGCTTGAAAGGAGTATATATGCTTTGATTCCACCTGAAGTCAGAGATCTGGGAAGGCCCCTTAGCTCAGTGCCTCCTAAGAGGCAGAAGGAAGAGCAGGAAGATTGGGCAGAACCACCAGAAAGAGGGAACCTCGGTAGGAAGTAGAAGCTAGGGTGGGTCCCAAGGAAGGCATTTCACAGTCTCTGTGTAAGAGCCTCATTCTCAGAATGCTTTTGTTGAGTAACTGGGCAATTCTACCAACCTCACCTCCACCCCACTGTCCACCTTACACCCCCATCTCCTACTCCCCCACACCCACTTCATTCTATTTTGGCCTTCAATCAGCCTCATTTCCTGATGCTGTACTCAGTGAACCACTTGCAGAAAGACAGTGTCACACACAAAAATTGCTTCTAGAGAAGGTACTTGGAGGTTCTGGGGTTGGAGGGCTCCTAATATAAGAACAGTGTCCATGTGTTCAGGTGGTCTCTTCTGGGGCACCCCTTAGTACTATGAGCCCAGGGCAGAGCCTGGCTCAGGAACAGCAAGCAGGCCAGCCCTGGTCACGGCCTTGCTTTTTCAACTTCAAGCAAAATATTTAACTTGCATACCCTTTACAGCTCACCCACTTTCTCAAAGATTCATTCATATTTAACCCCCAATGTCCTGTTTATAGCTCTCTGGATTGGGGGGTACAGGGTGTACAAGGGATAGAAAAATGGAAAGTAAGGAACTGTCCAGAAGGAACTGGAACAATGATGACTCCCTCCTTCTTTCCATGCTTCAGAGAGACTGGGGGAAAAACAGCCTCACCCAGATATCCAGCTGGGATTGACCAGGGACTATGCCTATCAGCCCAATCCCACCCTTTTATCCCCCATCAGGAAAAAGGTGCCCACATCCATGGCTACAGCCATGTGTCTTACAGAAGGGTAAGCATGATACGTTAGACTAGAGACTTAGAGTCTCAAGCTAGAGGGACTTCAAAGAATACCATGTGGCCAGGCACGGTGGCTCACGCCTGTAATCCCAACACTTTGGGAGGCTGAGGCAGGTGGATCACCTGAGGTCGGGAGTTCGAGACCAGCCTTGCCAACATGGCAAAAATCTCATCTCTACAAAAAATACAAAAATTAGCCGGGCGTGGTGGTGTGTGCCTGTTATCGCAGCTACTCAGGAGGCTGAGGCAGGAGAATCACTTGAACCTGGGAGGCAGAGATTGCAGTGAGCTGAGATCGTGCCATTGCACTCCAGCCTGGGTGACAGAGTGAGACTATGTTTAAAAAAAAAAAAAAGAAAAAAAGAAAAAACTCATGGCAGGCAGAGTGACTTACTCAAGGTCATGCAGGATTGGGATTAGAACTGTGTTCTCTGGACTTCACTCCAATGTCCTTCCTCACCACACCAAGCTGCCTCACACACTCCCATCTCCTCCCTCTCACAAGTCTAGAGCACCTGAGATGCTGATCCAGGCATGAATGGGCTCTGAAGTCCATAGACCTGTGCTCCAATTTCAGCTATTTACTGTGGGCAGTCACTTAACTCCTCTGAACCTCAGGTTCTCAGTAAAATGTGGATAGCCAAAGTAACTATCTCAAAAGGTTGCTATAAGTGTTACATTAGCCAGGATAACATATCAAGTGCCTAGAACACAGTAGGAATTTAATAAATGGTAGCAGTCATTTATTTTAGGTGGTAGGATCCCCAGACCTGAAAAATAGTCCTTGCCCAGCAAAGCCAAAAGAAGGGAAGAGAAGTAGGTGCCAGCAGCCCCCACAGTCTTTCATTTCCTCTCATCCAGTCCCAGGCCCCCTCAGAGCTCAGAAGGTGATACAGGTGGTCAGAGGAACCCAGTGACCAGAGCTTCGGGGAGAGCAAGGCAGGGGGGCCAAGCCAATCAGAAAGGGGAGGGAGAAGGTGCAGGGTGACAGCCAGGCTCCTGCCATGGACAGGGAGCAGTGAGTCAGGTCTGCAGAGGTAAGAGGAGCAGCCGTGTGGGTGGGGGGTGGGGGTGGGGTGAGTCACAGCCCAGCCCTGCCCAGCCTAGGAGGAGAGGGCCAGGAGAATCCAGGCTGTTCAGGTCATGGGCAACCCCAGAGGGCCACTGGGAGAGGATGAAGTATGGGAGCCCAGGCTCAGTTTTGGAGTATGTGCTTGATTTATACAAAGTAGAGAGAGTATCCAAGGAAAGCTCCTGGGAATGAGGGAGAAGGGCAGCTGAGGAGCAGGTGGAACTAGAACAGGTGGGCATCTGTCCAACCAAATATAGTCATTCCAGGGTACAGTGCTGAGTCCTTGCTCTACTCTGGATAATCTCCTCAGGTTTGGAGGCAGGAGAGCTGGCAGGCTCTGGACTCTGCCCTGTACCTGTACTTGGCCACAGCCAAAGAGGCTGGTTGGAGGATCCTACACAGCCCTCCCCATTTGGAGTCTCCTCAGGAATGCAAGGTGCTCAGTAAGCTGCAGGTTTCCGGTAGCATTCACAGATATCCAGCATTTTAATACAGCCCCCTAGGGGCTCAGTGCTCACCATTCACAGCCTCATCTAGGGCGGCCAAGAGCTCCTCATTCCCCTCTGTTTCCCCAATCTGGAGACAGGTGGATGGAGGAGGCCAACACTGCACACTTTCTAGAGATGTGCCTGGGCATCTCCGCATGTGTTACCTCTATTTTATATATAATAGTCATTTGATATGGGAATTAGAACTGGCGCCCATTTTTACATAGTAGCTCTAGGGAAAGCATCTCAACCATTCCTTGTTCCTATCACCCAGCTTACCTAAGAAGAACGTAACAACCCCAGACAACACGTCTGATTCAATTTGCCCCGGAGTACCCAGAAGGGCAGCAACCCAGCAGGTGAGGCAATGACAAGAGAGAGAGAGTGGGACCTATATTCCAGGATCCCCCAGTGCCCATCAGGCCGATCAGCTTTTCCCCGAGGTTCTCCATGAATACCCTCAACCCACAGTATTGCCCAAACAGCAAGAATCTTGGATCTGCTTATTCTTCAACAGCCCACCAAGGTCCAAGGATGGGGGGCCTCCACACCCACCTCTCAAAAGGTCCAGATCTGCCTCTTGCAAGTCACGGACTTTCCGGTCCCGGCCGCCTCCTAGGGGTAGCAGCTGGTCCGTGGATACAGTGGGAGGGTCCGGGTTGCTGGTTCCAGCAGCTAGCCCTCTCCGAAGCCGCTCCAGGCTCTCGCCAGTCACCAGTGCCGAGAGAACTGCGGGCGAGAGGCCAGGCCGCATCAGACACCCGCCCAGACCCCTGACCAACACGCACCGATGCCGACGCCCGTCCGCCAGAGCGCAAGGGCCCCACCAAGTGGCCCGTGCCGGGTGCGCTGCGGCGACCTTCCCCCATGCCCCCAGCACAACGCCCCCATCCCCCCGATCTCCGGGGGCGTCGGCAGCCCTCTTACCTGCAGCCAGAAAGAGCTTCAGCACCACCGACGGCAGCAGCTTCATGGTCCCGCACCGAGAGGAGGCGGCGAGGCACCAGTCACTTTCGAAGCGGCGGCCACTGGGCGCTGGCACCAGAGCTGGGCGGCGGAGCTCAGGAGATTCCGCCGGGCACCGTCTGCCGCCCGCCTCTGCGTGCAAGCCTGGCCGGGACCCAGGCGCAGCTCGCTCTTCTTGAGTGTCTTGTCTTGCTCACTCAGCCCGCCCGCGCGGCCGCCCGACCCCGCGCGCCTAGGTCAGGCCAGCCAGCAGCGTGGCCCGCGTAGCTCCTTCGGCCGAATGAGCGCTGCCCGGCTCGCGGCCGGGAATAAGGCTCCAGGAGGCGCGGAAGCTCCGCCCCGCCCGGCGCCGCCCCCTCCCTCCTCCCGTGCTGGGAAGCTCGCCCGGCTCGCGGCGCCGGCAGCGCAGCCCCCGACCCCGCGGGCGCGGCGGAGGACTGGGCGGGAGGAGAGGGCGGCGTTCACAATTTTTGGGACCAGGCCGAGGCAGCCGCGGCCTGATTGTGGGTAGGGCTACTGACCGGCAGGTGGCGGAGAGCGGTTCCTACCTTTCCCCAAACGCCTGTCACTCTGCAGCCTTGTGACTGACTGCTGAGCTGAGTTCTGTTCCGGGCCTGGCCTCTTGCTTCATCTAAGCCCCATACCAGGGGTCTCCATCCCTGTCACCCTCTAAGTTTCAGAAGCCCACCTTTTGGCCTACCAACACGGCAAGTATCAAATAATAATTAATTCATCTATCATTTAAAAATTAGACACGTGAATGCCAGCCGTTCTCATAAACCCGAGATAACCAGAGTTGAAGTTGCAGGCACTTAGTATCAATCCAGCAAAAGCAAAGGAAGTTAGTACTCTCTTAGTCTCTGGAGTGGCTTCCTCCCATCTTCCCTCAGGGGACATTAGGATTTTTGAACTATGGGTTGTAATTCCCAGGCTTCTGAGATTGGAGAGACACAGGTTGTGAAACAAGCCTTATTCTTTTCCTTGCCTTTGACTGCCACCTTTTTCCTCAACATAAAAAATGAGCCACCCTCCCATAGGACCCAGCTGGCTAACCTAGATTGCTGTTTCACAGACACTAGGTGTTTCTCTTCCAACCCATGTGCTTTTGCAGGGGTCTTCTGGAGTCACTGTCCTGACCCAAAGAAATGAGTGTCTCAGTAGGTATTTCAGTTTCCAGGGACGTGCTGGGGAGAGAGTTGTTTGACACAGGGCTGGGTTGGCTTTCAGAGCCCTGAAATTGTGCCAGATAGAGCACTTGCCGGATTCTGCCTGTGTGTAGGGATAAAAACAGGCCTGCTATTTATACACAGTCTATCCCACTGTCCCTCCCTATCCCCACCTTTGCAGGGGTCAGTCTGGCCCTGCCCTCTTAACTTGCTCCAGTAACCTAGGCCTAGGTTTCCATAGTGCACTGGAATCACTACAGACCTGAGTTTGAATCCTGCCTTTGCTACTTACTGTGTGACCTTGGACAAGAAACTTAATTTCACTGAGCCTCAGTTTTGACGTCTCTCAAATGGAAAAAATAATAACAATAATAATAATGACTACTTTGTAGGGAGCTTTTTGAGAAATGAATGCGGGAACACATAAAAGTAGTTAGTATAGTGCCAGGCACACTATAAGCTCTCAATAAATGTGACCCATTATTATTGTTGCTGTTAATAATAATCACTAAGCACTTGACCACTCTATTTCCTTAGAGGCCTCTTTTCTCTCACTTCTCTAGATCGCTTGCCTTCCCCTAGGCCATATCTGAGGCTTTATGATATAGTTGGGCTGGTTTCAGACAGAAGCTCACCTGTCACCTATTTGGCTAAGAGCCACTGTTAGATTATCCTTTTGGGTGATGAGTATCGGGCCTAGGACCTCAGTGCATGGTCACCGCCCAAGCCATGACTTTGCCCTCCCTCAGCAGCTGCCTGGCCACCTGCTTCCCCAAAACAAAGCCACCTTGGGGTCAAGGCTCTCCCCAGGGGAGGGTGGAGAGAAACACTTCCTGACACATGGTCAAATCACCCCCTTTCCCCCACCCTCGCCAGAGTCACACCCTGCTCTCTTGCCCCAGCCTGCCTTTCTCCCTTCACATGCTCTGTCCTTCCGCCTTCTCACCCCCACATCAGCCTCAGTCCCATTCATGGGGCAACTCCAAACTTTCATCACACCTGGAGCCTCACCCCAGCTAGGTTTGTGTGTCAGCCAGGTTTTACAGGAAGGGCCTGAAAAAAGAAGATAAAAAGCTTGAATTGGATTTGGGACAGTCACTTCCCCTCTCAGAATCTTGGATGTCTCTGAGCAAAGAAAAGGAATCACAATTCATGCTGAGGCAATCTCATTAACTCAATTATATCATAAACATTAACTGAACATTTTTGGGGGGCACTGGGGACATAGAAATAAATAAGACAGCCCAGGACCTGCTTTCACAGAGCTTATATTCTATAGTAGACAGGCAGCACATTAAGGAAATAAACAAGGAAAAACATATCCTATAGTGATAACTGCTAAGATGAAAGTTAAAATACAATGATGTGCTGTAGGATAATATGTTCCAGTGCCCAGGATGACACTTTAAACTGATTAGCAAAGCCTTCTCTGAGCAGGTGACATGTAAGCTGAGGCCTGAATGAGAAGAAGAAATCAGATTTGGGATCATCTATGACAAAAGCATTCCAAGATGTGCAAATAGTGCAAAGACTCTGAAATGGAAAAAAGTTGGGAGCATTCAAGGAAAAGCAAGAGGGCCAAAAAAGGAGAGATATGGGATGATATTGGAACAAAGGCTAGCAACAGATAAAAGAGGACGTTATAAGCCAAGGTAGACACTGGATTTTATGCCCCATTATTGTCAGAATCATATGAGATGTCAATGAGACAGCACTGTCATGCAGGATTCCTCCATATTGTCCCCTCCTCCTGCTCAGGTCTCCCCCACCTGCTCTCTGGATGTCAGGTTGTCAAATGCCAGGAACATAGTCCTAAGGAAGTAGAGTTCAGACAGACAAGCCTGCTTTTATTGACTGTCTATTGACCATGAGCAAACTGAGGCTTGGAGACTGATTAGCCCTGGGCCACCAGTGAGTCAGAAGGGGGCAAGTGCAGAGCAGAAACCCTGGCATCCTGCTTCCCAGCCCATGCGAGTTTCCTGGGCCTCTGGAAAGGCAGGCTCCATGGGACTCTGAGTGCTGCTGACTCACTGCTAGGCCAGAGTTCTTGATTTGGAGAGAGCACTTGCTCCCCAGTGGGGAGGACCTGGAAGAAAGCGGTGCTAGTGGTGACAATTCCCCTGTAATCAACACTGCACATGCATTATCTTGCTTGATCCTCACAACATCCCCCAAACTAGACACTGTTATCATCATCTGCATTTTAAAGGATTGAAGCTTTAAAAGGTAACATCCCAAGGTCACCCAGCTAGTGAGTGTCTCAGCCTCAATTTGAAACCCCCTCGTTCACTTGGGCTTGTGCTCTCCTAAGCTCAACACTCAAATGGATGAGACGACAGCCGCCATCTCTATGCTTCTGTGGAGGGTAACATTATCAGTTTTACTGAGTTTCAGTCCTTCATCTGTTCTGAGGGATAATAAGAAACTCTGGCTCACTAGACTGGAAGGATGCTTAGGTAAGCACAGCAGGGCAGCTAATGAAATGGATACAGTCTTGGGAGTCAGATACTTGGGGGTTCAAATTTTGTTGGTTTTTTTTTCTTTCTAACTTTGAACATGTTATTCAATTTCTCTTACCTACAGTTTGCTCACCTGAAAAGTGGGGACAATAATAGTAGTTATTATTATAGGGCTTTTGTGATGATTCAGTCAGATCATGTGTATAAAGCGGAATATGATGCCTGGCACATAGTAGGTACTTACTCAATGACAGCGGTTATTATGACCAAATTTTTTTCTTGCTTTCTTTCCTTTTTCTTTTTAAGTGGGAACTTGAATAAAATGTTGGTTTATCATGAGCTAGCCATCCTCAGAGATGAAGTGTTCCTTTCTGGGAGATGGCCATGCTTATCAAAGAGATGCTAGATCTGCAAGGCCACCCAGAGTTTTGGAAACCTCAACCCAAAAAAGCAACTCAGGCTCAGAGGTCAGAGGGAAGCTGTGCCCCCTGGGGGAGAGGATTCAGCTGCCTTCTCATTCCCCTCTGACCAGAAGTGAATCCTGCACAGCCCTTGAACTCTGCTGCGTTGGGGAGAGGGGTAAAGAAGGGCACCTCCATTAAGGGTAGGTCTGACCATGAGCCCAGAGTTACCCAAACTTGGAATGTCAGGATGAGGGGTCATTGCTTCTTGGCCCAGGCTGGCTTCTCTCACCCCATCTGAGACAGTTAATCAAACAGTTTGGGCATACAGCTGGATTAGATTAGAATTCAGGCCTGCCCTTTGGAGCCCCCGTGTACCTTCTTATGCTGGCTGGGCACCTGGAAGTAGCGTGCTTCATGCATATTCAGGGATGAACAGGCTCTGCTGTCTGATTGTTTGGGGCTAGGATCTATTTGAATAGGATGAAGGATAGGAATGGATGAGATAGGGGGAGGCTTTTGGAGGTGAGGGGGTTTCAGGAATCCCTGTCATCTCCAGAAGATGTTGAGGAAGGAATATTTATAATGTGCTGGATCCCAAACCATCCTTCTCTATTTCTGGTCCCATTTTTGTGACTTTGAATGATTAACATCTCCAGACCAAGGACTTTGCCCCTACAGCCATCCCCTCTGTGTTGGCCAGCACAGAGAGAAAGTGATTCCTCCCTCATTACACACCCATCTCTCTCTTCAAGCCTCAGATTCCTCAAGTGAAAAATGAGAACTTGAAACAATTACCCTGCATTCAGGCACCGGCCAGTATGTCCATCATGAATTATTTGCTGTCATGTTGCTGTCAAAAGACTTGAGGAGGCTGGGCGCGGTGGCTCATGCCTGTAATCCCAGCCCTTTGGGAGGCTGAGGTGGGCAAATCACCTGAGGTCAGGAGTTCGAGACCAGCCTGGCCAACATGGCAAAACCCTGTCTCTATTTATTAGTACAAAAATTAGCCGAGCGTTGTGGCAGGCACCTGTTATCCCAGCTACTCAGGAGGCTGAGGCAGGAGAATCACTTGAGCCTGGGAGGTGCAGGTTGCGGTGAGCTGTGATGGCACCACTGCACTCTAGACTGGGCGACAAAGCAAGACTCCGTCTCAAAAAAAAAAAAAAAAAAAAGACTTGGGGAGACAATTCTATAACAATTGACAGTGCCTGATTTACAGGATGTGATAACCTTTCTCTCTGTGTCTCAGCTTCTTCGTCTATAAGTGGGGAGAATAACAATCTACTTAGGAGGTTCTTGTGACAACTGAAGGAGATAGCATCTCTGAAGTGCTTGGCAAAATGAAAAGCCCTATATAAATACGTCAGAGCTCCTGTTAACTTTTCTGGTGCTTAACCTTGGAATGTGGTCACATCACATTCTGTACCAGGAATGTACAAGTTCGGTTACTCTTAGAAATGCAGTTGCAGGTCTGCAATTTAACAATTTCACATTATCCATTTGCTCGTTTTTTTAACTAAGGGTTGGTCTAAGACAATGGTTCGCAAAGAAAGAGATACTGCCCCCTAGGGGACATTTCAGGAATTTAGTTGTCACTGACTGGGGAGTCCTCAGGCATTTGGGAGAAAAAGGGGTCAGGAAATTACCTGACTGCTTTTGAGTGTCCTACCAAACACATATCGGTAAAAAGCTTGGTTGTAATAACTTGAGCCTAGAATCATCTCTAATTTACACAAAAATATAACAAGAGTTTTTGCAATGACTTCCAGGAATGAAATTAGTGTGAGTTGTTCATTTTGGTGATATCTGAGCTACCAATACAATGCACCTGTTATCAGGCAGTATTTATAGCTGTGACATTCAAGGTAAATCTGTGTGATTGTAATCAATGGGCTACTTCATTGAGATTTCTGAGTAGTTGTTAGCAGGCATTTGCCAATTGAAATAATGTTATTTTAAAAATCATTTTATCTTTTATATTAATTACGGTTTTTTAAATTATTTTGTAGAGAGAGGGTCTTGCTCTGTTGCCCAGGCTGGGATGCAGTAGCACCATCATGGCTCACTGCAGCCTCAATCTCCTGGGTTCAAGCGATCCTCCTGCCCCAGCCTCCTAAGTAGCTAGGACTATAGGCATGCACCACCACACTCAGCTAATTTTTAATTTTTTGTAGAGATAGGGTCTCACTATTTTGCCTAGGCTGGTCTGAAACTCCTGGGCTCAAGCAATCCTTCTGCCTTGGCCTCCCAAATTGTTGGGATTAAAGGTGTGAGCCACCACACCCAGCCAGTATTAATTTCTTTAGAGTAAATGTACAGATAGGATATTATCTTTAAACTTCATTTCAGGATAGTAAAGGGGTGTTAACATTATTTGTCATAAAAAAATGAAATATTGATTCTGAAAGGATTGAGAACCACGGACACAAGAGATACTCACATGAAAAGCCTTTCTATGGCTGGGTGTGGTGGCTCATGTCTATAATCTCAATACTTTGGGAGGCCGAGGTGGGAGGATCACTTGAACTCAGGAGTTCAAGACCAGCCTAGGCAACATAGTGGGACCCTCCCTCTACAAAAAAGACAAAAATTAGCTGGGCATGGTGGCATGCACCTGTAGTCCCAACTACGCTGAGGTAGGAGGATTGCTTAAGCTCAGGAGATGGAAGTTGAGGCTGCTGTGAGCCATGATCGTGTCACTGTACTTCCAGCCTGGGCTACAGAGCAAGACTGTGTCTAAAAGAACAACAACAAAAAAAGCTTTTCTATATATCCTTTGTAAAAGTGCTCTTCCAGATACTATTCCATATAAGGTCCCATGTAATAAATTCCTCTGGTAATGTAGTCTTGACTATCATGGCTATCTGGTATAGGTACTTCCTTTTATTATTAGATAATAACAGGTGTGGAACTCATATGTTCTTTTTTTGCCTCAACTGCCAGGAAGCTCACAGTTAAGTTTTGAGACTCAGTTGCAGTCGTTATCCTTAGCCCAGCATTTTGAGGATAATTTATTTTTTAGACAGGATCTTGCTCTGTCACCCAGGCTGGGGCGCAGTGGTGCGACCACAGCCTACTGCAGCCTTGACCTCCCAGGCTCAAGTGATCATCCCACCTCAGCTTCCCAAGTAGCTGGGACTACAGGTGCACCACCATGCCCAGTTAATTTTTTTTTTATTTTTAGTAGAGATGACATATCACTATGTTGTCTGGGCTGGTCTCCAACTCCTGAACTCAAGTGATCCTCCTTCCTTGGCCTCCCAAAGTGCTGGGATTACAGGTGTGAGCCACCACGCCCAGTCAGACAATTTCTTTCCCTTCCAATTTGATTTAATTATGGGGCTCTCTAGTCATTCTTTATTTTCATTTTATTTCAGAGTTGGGGTTTCACTCCATTGCCTAGGCTGGAGTACAGTGGTGTGATGACAGTTCATTGCAGCCTTGAACTCCTGGGCTCAAGCAACTCTCTTGCCTCAGCCTCCTGAGTAGCTGGGGACTACAGGCACATGCCACCATGCCTAATTAAAAAAAAATTTTTTTTTTCGGTAGAGGCGGGGTCCGGCTATGTTGCCCAGGCTGGTCTCAAACTCCTGGCCACAAGTGATTCTCCTGCCTTGGCCCCACAAAGTGCTGGAATTATAGGCATGAGCCACCTCACTCAGCCCATTCTTTAAATATTTACTTGTTATCTATGTCTTTTATTGTAAGCCGCCTTTAAATCTTTTCTGGAAGTAGGAGGAGCATAAATAATGAAGGTGAAACTCAAATATCATGCACCTGCAGTCTCCTTCCTAGTACTTTCTGAGTCGGGAAGTCTAGGTTGGAGGGGCCTGGAAAGCCTGAGTCAGAGCAGTTGATGGTGGGCTCAGGTGGTCTCATCCTGCAGACTAGATGTCTCTGACACCTCATCCTCTTTCCCCTCAACGGTCTTCACCTTTGTGAAGGAGTGTGGGCACTGTGAGGAGTCGAAGCAGATTCCAGCTATCAGAGCCCACTCCAAGTCTTGGTTGGATCTTGGTGGCCTGGGTTAAGAGTGGGTCAAGGAAGGGCACCCTAGCTCTGGGGTCACAGAAGTCCAAAGCTACAAGTGGAGAGACTCCTTCCACACAACACACACTCCTGTAGCACGCTGTCTGCATCCCTCAGAGCAGAGGCTCTGAAGCTCAGGCTGAGGCATCAGACTGATGCCGTTTTGAACCCTGGGTGTACTCGCTCCTAGCTCTGCTTTGGGCAGGGTACCTCTCTGAGCCTGTTTCCTCATTCAGAAGTAGGAATGATACCTACCTCAGAGGGCTTCACTATTAGGATTATCTCACTGAGATAATCTGTGCAGTGCCAAGGCAGCACCTAGAACACAGCAAGTGCTCAGTACCTGGCAGCAGCTGGGCATCCTAGTCTACCTTGGATTGGTAATTCTCATGCTCTTGTTTGCTTCCCCCAGCGGTGAGCTCCTCCAGGCAAGAGTGTGCATTAAACCTCGGCTCCTGGCTCACAGGCTCAGGGACCATGGCAAACTGCTTAATGTTTCTGAGGCTCAGTGTTCTTACTAGTAAAATGGGGATAATGAAGTCTACTTCAAATTTTGGGTGTGAGTAAAATTATTAACAGTGGTCATTTTTGGGTAAGGGTATGATGAAAAAATTTATGTTTTGTAAGCATTTTTCTCCTATGGGCATTTTCTGTTTTTTTCTTCTGTAACAAACATGAAATATTTGTGTATTTTAAGTCACTTTTCAAAACATGCTTCTTCTTAAGAAAGCCACTGGGTGTGGTGGCTCACACTTGTAATCCTAGCACTTTGGGATGCTGAGGTGGAAAGAGCTCTTGAGCCCAAGTGGTAGAGACTGCAGTGAGCTATGTTTGCACCACTGTACCCTAGCCTGGGCAACAAAGCAAGACCCAGTCTCCAAAAAAAAAAAAAAAAAAAAAAGAAAAGAAAACTTAAATGTATTGAGTGCTTACTATATTTTAGGCATTGCTCTAAGCACTTTTTTTGTTTGTTTGTTTGTTTTGTTTTGTTTTTGAGTCTCACTCTTGTTGCCTAGGCTGGAGTGCAGTGACATGATCTCGGCTCACTGCAACCTCCACCTCTCGGGTTCAAGTGATTCTCCTGCCTAGCTGAGACTACAGGCATGTGCCACTAGGCCCAGCTAGTTTTTGTATTTTTAGTAGAGACGGGGTTTCACCATGTTGGCTAGGCTGGTCTCAAACTCCTGACCTCAGGTGATCCACCGCTTCTGCCTCCCAAAGTGCTGGGATTACAGGCGTGAACCACCGTGCCCGGCCTCTACACACTTTATACACGTTATCTCTAATTCTCACAACACTCCTCTGAGGAAGTTAGTATTTACACCCTAGTTTTATAAATTGGGCTTAAGGAAATTGCACAATTTGCCCAGCTCGTTGTAAGTAAACCTATAAATGTGATAAAATTGCATAAAGCTACACACATACACACATGAGTGCATATGGAAATTGGTGAAATCTGATTAAGGCCTGCAGTCTATTTAACAATATAGTACCTATGTCATTTTTCTGGTTTTGATATTGTACTACTGTCATGAAAGAAGTTACCACCAGACGAAGCTGGATGAAAGCTGGAGATTTGCAATTTCTTGTGAATCTATAATTAGACTCACATTAATAAATATTTTAATTTATGTTTATTTATATATTTATTTTTTAATGAGTGAAACAATAAGTTTGTTTTTGTTTTGTTTTGTTTTGAGACAGGGTCTCGCTCTGTTGCCCAGACTGGAGTACAGTGGCACGATCTGGGCTCACTGCAGCCGCAACCTCTCTCGGGCTCAAGCGATCCTCCCACCACAACCTCCTGAGTAGCTAGCAGCACATGCGTGTGCCACCATGCCCTGCTAGTTTTCTGTATTTTTTGTAGAGATGGGGTTTTGCCATGTTGCTCAGGGTGGTCTCGACCTCCTGAGCTCAAGTGATCCATCCGCATCAGCCTCCCGAAGTGCTGGGATTACAGGTGTGAGCCACCGTGCCCAGCCAATAAGATTTTTTTGTTTTGTTTTTTTAAAGTGTTAAAAACCTTGTAAGGGGCTGGGTGTGGAGGCTCATGCCTGTAATCCTAGCACTATGGGAAGCCATTGGCTTGCACCCAGGAGTTCGAGACCAGCCTGGGCAACATATGAGCCCCTCTCTACAAAATATTTAAAAGTTAGCCAGACTTGGTGGCACGTGCCTGTAGTCCCAGCTACTTAGGAGGCTGAGGCAGGAGGGTCACTTGAGCCCAGGAGTTTGAGGTTGCAGTGAGCTATGATTGCTACTGCACTCCAGCCTGGATGGCAGAGTAAGACCCTGTGTCAAAAAAAGAAAGGAAGAAAGAAAGAAGGAAAATTTAGATTCAGCAAAGATAAACCTCTTCTCCACTTGCCGAAAGTGAGCAAGCCAAGCATCCTATTCCTGAGGCCACTTCCTCTCACTTAAGGTCCAGTGTACTGCATGAAAGTATGATTTGAACCTTGGAAATAATCTACCCCAACTGTCTCCACTTACATGTAAGAAAATGGAGCCTTGGAGAAGGGAAGGGTCTTACTCAAAGACATCCAATAAGTCTGTGACTAAGCCAGGATGAGAACCCAGTCTTTGAACTCCTAGGTCAGGGTTTTTTCCAGCGCCCACACACAGGGCTGCTCACCCACACAGCACATCTTCCCTGGGCCTTGTCTGGGAGACCACTGGTGCCCACAGGCCAACCCTCACCAGCCTACCCAGCCCAGGGCACTCAGGCCCAGAGGTGGAAGTGAGACCTGGGGAGGGTGGAGGCATGGTGGCCCCCTATTCCAGGCAGCACTGTGAGCCAGGGTAGTTGGGGCCACAGAAAGGGCAAGGATAGACACTCTGAACTTTGGCAGGAGTTGGGTGGGAAGGGAACATGTATGTATGTGCATGTGGGGGAGGTACTCACGCCAAATCCTTGCTCCCATCCCCCTCAGGCTCCTTTGAGTCACTTGTCCGTAAGGTTGGGGCACATTCTTGAAGGGAGTGGTCACAGGGGTTCAAGGCCCATTCAGTCCGCAGGCCAGTTTCTATTCCTCCTGGCACTGAAACCACCTCCTCACTCAGACTCAGCACCCCTCCCCAACTGGAAATATAGTGACATGCTCTTCTAATTCCTGCCCTGGGACCTCCTTGGACCAGACGCGAGGCTGGGGGTAGGGCCGGCCTGGGTGCCCTTTCTCAGGGGATGGATTCTTGGTATTCAATATGTGGGGTGTGGCTGACCTACATTCAGATGAGCCTGATTGGCCCTCCCTTCCCCATCCTGTTGTTCTTCCCCAACCCCCCATCTCTCCGGGCCATTCCGCGGTGGGCCAGGGCAAGGCTGAGGGTTTAGGATCTCTCCCTGCCATCTGGGCATCTCCATCTCTGCGCCCCGGCAGGTCTGCAGCCACTGGGCCTAAGGGAGCGGCCCTAGCAATCCGGTCTGAGGGGAGCAGTGCCCTCGTGTGGCCTCCAGGAGAAGCGCGGCTCTTTTCTCAGCCCGGTCCTTTGTATGCTCTCATTGAACAAGTATTTATTGAGAGCCACTACGTGCCAGGCGCCGCTCTAGGCGCCGCGGCCAAGACAGATACCTGCTCCACGGACTGTGCATTTCAGCGTGTGCGTGCGTGGACAGTCAGGCAATAAATGATAAACAAATACATAAATGAGGCAGTTACTAGTAGTGGTAACTGCTAGGAAGAAAATAAAACAGAGAAATGTGATGGAGAGTGACCCAAGAGAGAAACTTAGGGTAGGATGGGCCGGGCGCGGTGCTCACGCCTGTAATCCCTGCACTTTGGAAGGCCGAGGCGGGTGGATCACGAGTTCAGGAGATCGAGACCATACTGGCTAACACGGTGAAACTCCGTCTCTACCAATACAAAAAAAAAAAAAAAAAAAAGAAAGAAATTAGCCGGACGTGGTGGCGGGCGCCTGTAGTCCCAGCTACTCTGGAGGCTGAGGCAGGAGAATGGCGTGAACACGGGAGGCGGAGCTTGCAGTAAGCCGAGATCATGCCACTGCACTCCAGCCTGGGCAACAGAGCGAGACTCCGTCTCAAAAAAAAAAAAAAAAAAAAAAAAGAAAGAAACTTAGGATAGGATGGAAAAGGAAGATTTCCGTGAGTAGCTAACGTCTGAGATGAGACCTAGGTCACAGATTGTCATGTAAGGATATGGGGGAAAGGCTTTCCTTACAGAGAAAATAGATCCTGCAAAGATCCTCAGGCAGGAACAGGTTTTGCAGAACAGGTGAAGGCCAGTGTGGTTAGAAAGGAGTGAGCGAGGGGAGGCTGGTGTGAGATGCCGTCAGAGAGGTGGGTTGGGGCCAGGGTGTGAATCTTGCAGGCCACGACAAGGAGCTTGATTTTTTTTTCTTCTTCTTCTAGGAGTAATGGGAGTGTGTTGGGTGAGTATTGAACCGAAGAGTAATGTGGCTCAACTGCCTTTTGAAAGGACATGTATGGTGTGGAGGATGGACTTTGGGCAAGGGAGGAAGAGTGGAAGCAGGGGGGTTATTACAAGAGACCAGGAAGCTACTGAAATAATTCAGGTGAGAAATGATGGTTGTTTGAATCAGGGTAGCAGTGCTGGAGGTGGGGAGATGTGGTTGGATTATGGGTATATTTTGAAGATAGAGTCAACAGGATTTGCAAATAATGGACCACATTTTCCTTTGCTCATTTAGCTCCAGGAACTCCTTCACTTACACCCCCTAGTGGGCTCCTCCATCCTCACAGGGCAGATCCCAGGGACACAGCTAAATTAGGGAATTCCTAAGTGTTGTTGGACAAAAGAATTTAAGACTCGTTAGCTGGGCAGCCAGGCACAGTGGCTTACGCTTGTAATCCTAGCACTTTGGGAGGCTGAGGCGGATGGATCACCTGAGGTCAGGAGTTTTTGAGACCAGCCTGGCCAACATGGTGAAACCCTGTCTCTACTAAAAATATAAAAATCAGCCAGGCCTGGTGGCACATGTCTGTAATCTCAGCTACTTGGGAGGCTGAGGCAGGAGAATCACTTGAACCCAAGAGGTGAAGGTTGCAGTGAGCTGAGATCACACCACTGCACTCCAGCCTGGGCGACAGAGCGAGACTCCGTCTCAAAAATAAAATAAAATAAAATAAAAGACTTAGCTGGGCATGGTGGCGTGCACCTGTAGTCCCAACTACCTTGGAGGCTGAGGTGGGAGGATCACTTGAGCTAGGAGGTCAAAGGTGCAGTGAGCTATAACTGTGCCACTACACTCCAGACTGGGTGAGAGAGTGAGACCCTGTCTCAAAAAAAAAGAAAAGAAAAGAATTTAAGACTCAGACACTAGGTCTTCCACCATTATCCCATTTAATGGGCAGGTCCTCTGCCTGCTATCTCCCTTACCCTGTCTGGCTTCCATGGACTCAATTATTTATTAGGTCCCTGTTTGTCCAAATAGGTGTGTCTGTGGCCCCAGGGGTGTGTTGGTGACACCCAAAACAGTCCTGGGTGTTTGGTATTTATATTTGATACAAGTGAGGGGGGCAGCAAAATCTGGGGGTACCAAGTCCTCAGACCCAAGCCAATCATTTACTCCTGTTTCTTTACACAAAACACAGTGGGATCAGACCTGATACCACAGGAAATGCACATACACATTTTGGCCCCAGGTTGGGCATTTCTGGAGAGCCTGGGAAAGGCCAGACTAGTCTTACAAATACTCTTATGCCAGCAGGGGGTGGGGTAAGCAAGTAGGGGAGTAGGTGACCGGTAGAGTCTGGAGTCAGCAGGCCTTGTTCTGTTTGTGTTGTGCTGCAGTGGGGGATGCATTATAAATGCAACCAGCCAGAGGGCCCCTGGCTTCAGAACCTAGGACTGTACTGGTTCTGAGATTCTGTGCAAGCCTCATGGAAATGAAGCTGCCAGGCCAGGAAGGGTTTGAAGCCTCCAGTGCTCCTAGAAATATTCCTTCAGGGGAGCTGGACAGCAACCCTGACCCTGGCACCGGCCCCAGCCCTGATGGCCCCTCAGACACAGAGAGCAAGGAACTGGGAGTACCCAAAGACCCTCTGCTCTTCATTCAGCTGAATGAGCTGCTGGGCTGGCCCCAGGCGCTGGAGTGGAGAGAGACAGGCAGGTAAGTTGGATGCAGGCCAGTTCTGTGGGATCCTTCCCCTTCCCCAGCTGGAGCCTCCTATATGTCCCCCAGCGCTTCTTATGGGGCTGCCCAAAATTAGGATTTTCCCAGCTGTGTTCCCTTATTTCAGGGTCTTACCTTCCATGATGCCCAGCCTCCTCTGCAGTCTAGTTTTGAGATCCCCAAGACCCTAGATGAGGGGTGACTGCCAGGGTGGGGGGGAGACTTCACACCACTGGGCCCAGGATGCCCTCATTGCCTTGCCTTCCCTAGCTCCTCTGCATCTCTGCTCCTGGACATGGGAGAAATGCCCTCAATAACACTGTCTACCCACCTTCATCACAGGTGGGTACTGTTTGAGGAGAAGTTGGAGGTGGCTGCAGGCCGGTGGAGTGCCCCCCACGTGCCCACCCTGGCACTGCCCAGCCTCCAGAAGCTCCGCAGCCTGCTGGCCGAGGGCCTTGTACTGCTGGACTGCCCAGCTCAGAGCCTCCTGGAGCTCGTGGGTAGGCTGGGATCCTTTGCAGGAAGGGCCTGGGTAGCCATGCCTTTTCCCCAGGATTTCCCCTCCAAAGTCTTGAAATCTTCCAGAGCCCATCCCTACCCCTCCTAGGATTGTCTACCCTTGTCACAGGGTGGACATGGAAAAGCAGGGTGGAGGAGCAAGTTCATTGGCCCTGGCATTCTGAGACTCCCAGAAGGGAAAGGTGTCTGGGCAGAGGGAGAAGGGGAAGAGTGTGCGGCAGGGAACTCTCAGGAAGGAGATGACCCCCAATCCATTCTCCAGAGCAGGTGACCAGGGTGGAGTCGCTGAGCCCAGAGCTGAGAGGGCAGTTGCAGGCCTTGCTGCTGCAGAGACCCCAGCATTACAACCAGACCACAGGCACCAGGCCCTGCTGGGGTGAGAGCCCCTCCCTGGGCCCAGGACCAAGACCCTGGTGTGGCAGGGTCTCAGATCTCCCCTGCACCTTCCAGGGCTAGAAGTAGCCCAGGCTTAGTTCAGGCTCCAACCCAGGACTCATGAGCAAGAGGAAACTGGTGGTAATGTTGTGGGGAGAAGATTCAGGGGGCTAGAATCGTAAGAGAGTTCTGTGAAGACATGTACTTGGTAGGCACTAGGCCTACCATTTGATCTTCACAGTATCTCATTTGATCTTCACAACCACCCTGTAAATAGTACCACAATTATCCCCATTTTAGTGGTGAGAAAACTGTGGCTCAGAGTGGAGAAGGGTATACTCTAATTCTTACAGCTTGTCAGTGGCAAAAGTGATTAGGGAATCCTGGTGGATCCACCCCCAAAGCCTGTGGTCTTAATCACTGCATAATCCTGTTTTGTAGGCTCTACTCATCCAAGAAAGGCTTCTGACAATGAGGAAGCCCCCCTGAGGGAACAGGTTTGTGGCCCTTCCTTGGGGTCCCTTTCCAGTGGCTGGGAGAGGGGTTAGAAATTAACAAAAGTCTACTCTCCACTGGATTTCTCATCATTTGAGATCTTATCCTCCCCAAATAACCTTTCATATTCTGTGTCTCCTTGAACCCCCATCCAGTGTCAGAACCCCCTGAGACAGAAGCTACCTCCAGGAGCTGAGGCAGGGACTGTGCTGGCAGGGGAGCTGGGCTTCCTGGCACAGCCACTGGGAGCCTTTGTTCGACTGCGGAACCCTGTGGTACTGGGGTCCCTTACTGAGGTGTCCCTCCCAAGCAGGTGAGGCTACTGAGTGAGTGGGAGTCAGGGATCCCAGAACCTAGAAGGGTCTTTACTGAGGAGGGGAAGGAGGGTCTCAGTCTGATTCTCTGAGGCTGTGGGGAGGATGGTGCTCAGGGGTCTGGGGAGAGAGTAGTGGTCAGGGCTGCATGGTAGGTGTGCAAATGAGTGTGTTTATGGGAGCTGATAGGTCAGAGCTGAGCATCAGAGGCCAGGGCTGCCCTGTGGGAAAGCAGCCTGTGAATCTCTGGGGCCTGGTTCCTTCCTCAGGTTTTTCTGCCTTCTCCTGGGCCCCTGTATGCTGGGAAAGGGCTACCATGAGATGGGACGGGCAGCAGCTGTCCTCCTCAGTGACCCGGTGAGCTGAGCAGGTGTGTGTGTGTGCGCGCGCACGCGTGCATGCCTGTGTGTGTGTGCACACATGCATACATGCATGGGCTCATGTGAGTGTGTGTGTGTGGACTCTGTATGTGTCCCTAAATACAGCAATGAGGCACAGTGAGCACTGAGACTGAAGTTTCCTCGTCTCCTAGTGCAGCCCCATTACTGGATGAGTGCTGGCACACTGTAGGCACTCAATAGATACCCACTGAATGAATGAATTAATGCATGCATAAAGGAATGTGTGAATGACTTGTCTGCCTCTGTGACTTGTGTCTGTCTAGTTTTGAGACTATGAAAATGCATGTAAGAGACCAGGTTTGCACTTACCACCCATTCTGTGCCCCCATTCCCAGCAATTCCAGTGGTCAGTTCGTCGGGCCAGCAACCTTCATGACCTTCTGGCAGCCCTGGATGCATTCCTAGAGGAGGTGACAGTGCTTCCCCCAGGTCGGTGGGACCCAACAGCCCGGATTCCCCCGCCCAAATGTCTGCCATCTCAGCACAAAAGGTACCTGGGAGCCATCATCCCATACAGATTCCTGCCCATATAGGCCCTGGGTCTAATTCCATTGTTGAGGAGGGGTGGTGTCCCAGGAAAGAGATAGGGACCTATCTTTGGATTTGGAGTCAGGCAGACCTAACTCTGAGTTCTGCTGGACTACTCTCTCGCTAAGAGACCTGAACAAAGACCTTCCCTGCCCGAGCCTGGCTTTCACAGGTCGCAATATGACCTGGACCTTCTAGAGGCCCAGGTGTCGCCATGGTTCCCTCGCCGGCAGAGACAAGAGCAGCCGCTAGGGGGCAGGGCGCCACGAGCTCTGGACCGAGTCGCAGACTGGTTGGAGATCCTCAGCCAACCTGGGGTTCCCCTCCTCCTCAGGCTTCCCTCGCAACAGCGGGAGATCAGAGGTCCCGCCGTCCCGCGCCTGACCTCGGCTGAGGACAGGCACCGCCATGGGCCACACGCACACAGCCCGGAGTTGCAGCGGACCGGCAGGTGAGGCGAGCTGGGAGGAAACAAGGGTAGGTGACCTGGGGGAGGGGAGGAGTCACAGGGAAACTGAGGTGTGTGCTCACTGTGGGAGGGGCTCACCCGGTCACAGGGAAAGTAGCGGGGATGCGGGTGTGGAGTGTGAAAACCTGGATCACTGACGACCCTCGGGCGGGAGGCTGTTTGGGGGCCTTATCCAGGACGTGCGCAGGAAGGTCCCGTGGTACCCCAGCGATTTCTTGGACGCCCTGCATCTCCAGTGCTTCTCGGCCGTACTCTACATTTACCTGGCCACTGTCACTAATGCCATCACTTTTGGGGGTCTGCTGGGAGATGCCACTGATGGTGCCCAGGTGGGTAGGGCCCAGGGGGCAGGCACAAGCGTTGGTGTCCCCTAGTCCATCCCTTCCCCTGGGACTATGGGTAAGTTAAGGAGGCTCTCCCAAAGCTTCAAAGGACCCCGAGGACTTCAGGGTCCTGTGCTGAGCCCCTGTTGGCTTCCAGGGAGTGCTGGAAAGTTTCCTGGGCACAGCAGTGGCTGGAGCTGCCTTCTGCCTGATGGCAGGCCAGCCCCTCACCATTCTGAGCAGCACGGGGCCAGTGCTGGTCTTTGAGCGCCTGCTCTTCTCTTTCAGCAGGTAGGAGAGCTCCCCCCATCACCGGACCCTCACTAGTGCCATGGTCAGCCTGCTCCTGGCTGGGTGAATAGGAGAGAGTGGGAGCTATCTGTTTGGGTTGAGGGACACCTGACCTGGGTTTAGTGGGAAGCAGACAGCCCTGCTAAGCCAGCCTTCCTGTCTCTCATCCCCACAGAGATTACAGCCTGGACTACCTGCCCTTCCGCCTATGGGTGGGCATCTGGGTGGCTACCTTTTGCCTGGTGCTGGTGGCCACAGAGGCCAGTGTGCTGGTGCGCTACTTCACCCGCTTCACTGAGGAAGGTTTCTGTGCCCTCATCAGCCTCATCTTCATCTACGATGCTGTGGGCAAAATGCTGAACTTGACCCATACCTATCCTATCCAGAAGCCTGGGTCCTCTGCCTACGGGTGCCTCTGCCAATACCCAGGCCCAGGAGGTGGGTAAGGGAAACAGGGACCTTGGTCAGGTGAAGAAGGATGTAGGGAAGGGGAGGGGCTGCACCCTTACTATCCCCCCTGGTTAAGTTCAGCAAAATGCTGCATACTTACCCAATAACTGGCAGTACTATTTACACTCTGGTTCTGAATCAATTGAGAAATAAGACAACAGAAGGCCTGATATCATCTTCCTTTCTGACAACACTGATAAAGGAACATGGGTTATATCTGTGGGTGAATGGGCTTCCTAATGATGAAGCCAAAATTGAATAGACTTACCCACCAGTCGTGGAAGCACTGGTTTGAGACTATCTTACCCCAGGGGAGTAGAGCTAAATACATACATCAAACAGGCAGCTTATACTCGAGAGAGGGGAGAGAAAGGGGCAGGGCCAGGTATGCCCAGCTTCATTTCCTGAAATCACCAATCAAATATATCACTGCTCTTCTGGGTGAGAGTGGCCGGCCAGGTGGAGAGAGGCTTGGAGTATTACACTTGCATATATCCCTCCACATGGAAGGCAACCCCAGGACTGGGAAGAAGTGGCCTCTCTATATGTTCTCCTATCAGTGCTAGGCATGAACAAGACCAGTTCTAGCCCTGGTGGAAACACACAGATTTGTATACTCCTCTATTCAGCCAACATTTGCTGAGCATCTACTGTGGCCAGGTCCAGTGCTTGGTACCAGGGATGCAGATGGGTAGAGAATTTGAGAGGATGGGGGCATGAGACAATGTCCTTCTCGCACACTTGGTAGTGATAGAGTCAGCAGACAGATGAGTCACAATTAAGAACTCTGGTTCACCTGGACCCATCAGATAAGAATTTTATGGGGCTGGAGGAGGTTCCCAGGGGAGGGAACATACATCTGAATTCTTCTCTGCTTCCCAGGAAATGAGTCTCAATGGATAAGGACAAGGCCAAAAGACAGAGACGACATTGTAAGCATGGTGAGGGACTGCTCCTGGGAGGTTCTAGGAAGGAAAGGGTGGAGACCAAGGCAGTCGGTGGTTTCTAGCTCTTCCTACCCATAGGTTAAGGAAACCTTCATAGGTGAGTAAAGCTTAGCCATTTCCTACAGCTGGGAACTTCCCATCCTGGGCCCCTGGTGTCTCTGTGGGTCCCTCCTCCCTTGAAGTTGGTCCAGGAGAGCAGGACATTTACTCCATTGCCTATAACTCCACTCCTGACCCTCCTGTGTACAGGACTTAGGCCTGATCAATGCATCCTTGCTGCCGCCACCTGAGTGCACCCGGCAGGGAGGCCACCCTCGTGGCCCTGGCTGTCATACAGTCCCAGACATTGCCTTCTTCTCCCTTCTCCTCTTCCTTACTTCTTTCTTCTTTGCTATGGCCCTCAAGTGTGTAAAGACCAGCCGCTTCTTCCCCTCTGTGGTGAGTTTCACCTTTCTTTCTGTGGGAGAGGCCTGACTCTAAGCTTTGGGTCCTATCTGTGATGGGAAGTGGTGTGGAAAAAGAGAGATGGCAGGCCTGGACCTGACTGAGTGTCCACTGTGTGCCAGGTGCGCAAAGGGCTCAGCGACTTCTCCTCAGTCCTGGCCATCCTGCTCGGCTGTGGCCTTGATGCTTTCCTGGGCCTAGCCACACCAAAGCTCATGGTACCCAGAGAGTTCAAGGTGAGAGCCAGGGAAGAGGGTTGGGGGACCAGAGGGGAAAGCAGGGCCAGCAGACCATGGGGAAGGAAAATGAATAAATCCCACACTTCTCTAAGCTTCTTTCTTCACTAATAAGCTAGAGATAGTAATAATAATGGCCTCACAGGGTTGTCATGAGGATTAAATGAAGTACTGCAGCAGACACGTGAGTACAGAGAATACACGGTAGCTATTATTACAGGGTATGGGTTAAGAGAATGGGTTCTGATCAGCCAGCCCTGGGTTTGAGTTCCAGTTCTTCCACTTCCCAGCTATGCATTAGGCAAGTTAATGCACATTTCTAAGCCTCAATTTCTTCGTCTATAAAATGGAAATAATAAAATGACAATAGTTCCTACCCCGTAGATTGTTTTGAGGTTTACAGAAGATCACAGTGGAAAGCACTTACCACATGCCTGGCACATACCAAGTCCTCAATAAATGTTAGCTATTATTGTTACGGGATTGCCCCACCCTTGGCGTGGCCCTGCCCACTCCACTACTCCTCACTCTCTTCTTCCCACCCCACGTTGCCTACCCTGATCCAGGAAAGCTGGAACTCCCTTTCCAGGGCATGACAGTGTGCAGGACAAGGCTTAGCACTGATTTCTAGACTTTGCCTTTGCATTTGGAGACCTCCTCTCCAAATTCCCCCAAGACAGGAGAGCAGGGAGGAATCCAGCTGGGGCAGCAACTGGGGCCCCCTCCCCAACACATATGCTTGTAATCAGCGTGGACACAGACACACCCAGCCCTGTCCCTGCCTCAGATCAAGGCAGGTCTGAGCCTGAGTTGCCCCACCCGGGATAGGGGGAGAGGGATCTCTAGGGAGCAGGGCTCTGTACATCAAGAAGTGTGTGTAGGCCACATGTGCCACCTCCTTCTGTTCCAGGGAGGGAGGGACCCTGAACCAAAGTCCAGAGCCCCTGGTTCCAGCCTGACCTCAGGGCTGGTCTCCTTCCATCTGCTGTCTTTTAAGGCACTGGGATGCTTTGAACCAGCTATGCACACACAGCCCACTAGCATCTAGTGACTTGGGGTGGGGGCAGGTTGTGGAAGAATGCCAAGGTTGAGATGTGCAGGTGAGATGCTCTTGGGAGACCCACTCCAACCTGTCCATGAAATGCCCTCCTCCAGCCCACACTCCCTGGGCGTGGCTGGCTGGTGTCACCTTTTGGAGCCAACCCCTGGTGGTGGAGTGTGGCAGCTGCCCTGCCTGCCCTGCTGCTGTCTATCCTCATCTTCATGGACCAACAGATCACAGCAGTCATCCTCAACCGCATGGAATACAGACTGCAGGTAAGGCCTGCTGGGTAAGGCCCAAGACCAAGGGACAGAAGCTCCAGGGGAGTCTACGCTCCTCCTCTCCTACCTCAGAGGACAGAGGGCTGGGGCCTGGGCTAGCTTCATCCTCATTGCCCCCACCACTACCTGCAGAAGGGAGCTGGCTTCCACCTGGACCTCTTCTGTGTGGCTGTGCTGATGCTACTCACATCAGCGCTTGGACTGCCTTGGTATGTCTCAGCCACTGTCATCTCCCTGGCTCACATGGACAGTCTTCGGAGAGAGAGCAGAGCCTGTGCCCCCGGGGAGCGCCCCAACTTCCTGGGTATCAGGTGAGGGCGGTATTTAGGAAGTGGAGTAAGAGGTGGGCAGCAAGGTAAGGCAAAGGGGAACATGGCAGAGTTACTTGGGCAGCTTAAATTCTAAGCTGGTGTCCCACAAGCATTGCAGTGGCAGAATGAGTGAGTTCTGGGCTCTGAGATGGGTGAGTCAGATCTTCCCCTCTCTCCCCTCAGCCATGGGGACTGGGAGGGGCCTCAAGAGGATTATCATCCATGCAAAGGTAGAGGCAGCCAGGGCTGAAGTGGAGGGTCAGGTGCCACCTAATAATCCTCACTCAATGTAGAAGTTACAAAGGAATCCATCATAAAAGCAATTTTGGAACTGTTGGAAGCACAGTCTAAGTATCTAAAGTATATGAAATCAACTTGATAAATTGTGAAATGTAAGTCTTTATGGCAGTGTAAACATTGCTAATTTTCCATCAAAATAAAAATAAGGAGCAACTATGAACTTGAATTGATGGAGAGGTCTGGGACTCTCACCTTGAAGTGCTCTGCCCCTTCCTCTCCACCAATTTTTCACATCAAGCTAAGGGCTCATCCCTCTGGGTGACCTACTGGGGTATTCCTCTAGTTTTCTCTTGCTGCCGGGGTCTGTACTGGTATTCAGCCAGGATCTCCAGTCTGGATACCCCAGGGACTCTCCCAGACCTCAGCTAACTCCTCCCTCTCCCCACAGGGAACAGAGGCTGACAGGCCTGGTGGTGTTCATCCTTACAGGAGCCTCCATCTTCCTGGCACCTGTGCTCAAGGTACCTTTGTTATACAAGCCAGGATCAGGGTCAGTGTAGTAATAATAGGAGCACAGCAAGAACTGACAGTAGTTGAATACTTACAGTGTGCCAGGTGCTCTGTTAAGTTTTCTCCATACATGGTCTCATTTAATCCTCACATTAACCCTGAAAGGAGTATGTACCTTACAAATGAGGCAGATGAAGTTTAAAGAGGCAAAGAAACTTGCAAGAGCCCATCAAAAGAGCCAGTTTTTCAGATCTGTCTGAGAACTCAAACGCTTATCCAATGGGCTTTTTACCCAGTGGAGCAAGGTGTGGGTGTGCCACCACCATCCCCTAGGGTCTAAGTGCTACCCTTGCTCTAGCCTCCCAACAAACCTGAGACTAAGAGTATGATCAGCCCAGGTGCGGTGGCTCATGCCTGTAATCCCAGCACTTTGGGAGGCTGAGGTGGGAGGATCACTTGAGCGCAGAAGTTTGAGACCTACCTGGGCAACATAAGGAGACTCTGTCTCTGCAAAAAATAAAAAAGGTAGCTGGGCATGGTGGTGTGTGCCTAAGGTGGAAGGATCGCTTGAGCCCAGGAGTTTGAGAGTGCAGTAGGTGGTGATCACTGGATGACAAGAGCAAGAATGTCTCAAAAAAAAAAAACAAAAAAAAACCAAAAAACAACAACAGAAAAACTTTGAGGCAAAAAGCCTTCACTTCTCCTTCACCAGAGGTATATGGAATATTTGCTATATGCAAGACTGCTAGGCACTTGGGAGAAGTACGGGTCAGTGGAATATTGAAAAGAAATATGGAACTAAGCCCCTACCAGCAACACACACAAATGAGCAAAAATTAAGTAACAAGTAATAGCAAAAAGGTTGAACAAGCCAAGACAGCAAGCAGTCAAGGAGGGTGTGGAGAATGTCAGACAAGGGTCACTGGCAGGACGACAAGAGGTTAGGGAAGGGAAAGGTCATGGAAGCTGGGTGAAAGTGGAGTAGGGAAAGAGCCAGATGGACCGGATCAGCCACTTACTAACTGGGTGACTCTCATTTACAGACATTTACAGAGCATAAACCATATGCTAGGCCGGGTGTGGTGGCTCACACCTGTAATCCCAGCACTTTGGGAGGCCGAGGTGGGCGGATTGCTTGAGCTCAGGAGTTTGAGACCAGCCTGTGCAACATGGCGAAACCCCGTCTCTACAAAAAATACAAAAGTTAGCTGGGCATGGTTGTGTGCACCTGTAGTCTCAGCTACTTGGGAGGCTAAGGTGGGAGCATCACTTGAGCCCAGGAGGTCTAGGCTGCAATGAGCCAGGTTTGTGACACTGGACTCCAGCCTGGGCAACAGAGTGAGATCTTGTCTCAAAAAACAAAACAAAACAAAAAATCCCAAAAAACAGAAAACCCTAAACAAAAAAACAAACAAAAACCCACATGCCACGCACTGTTCTAGGTACTGGGGATATAATGGTGCTCAAAAGAAATCATTTTTCTAACCTTACAACCTGGTGAGAGGAGAAAGATTTTTAAAAATTAAAACAAGAAGCCAGGCACGGTGGCTCACGCCTGTAATCCCAGCACTTTGGGAGGCTGAGGCGGGTGGATCATCTGAGGTCAGGAGTTCGAGTCTAGCCTGGCCAACATGGCGAAACCCCATCTCTACTAAAAATATAAAAGTTAGCTGGGCGTGGTGGGGGGTGCCTATAATCCCAGCTACTTGGGAGGCTGAGGTATGAGAATCGCTTGAGCCTGGGGGGATGGAGGTTGCAGTGAGCCGAGATCAAGCCACATCACTCCAGTCTGGGTGGAAGAACGAAACTCCACCTCAAAAAAAAAAAAACAAAAACAAAAAAACAAATTAAAACAAGAGAATAGGATAACTTTAGATAGTGATAACTTCTGTGAAAAATAAAAGAAGATAAGATGATTAAGAGTGCCAGGGGCTACTTTAGATGGGGCCTGAAGTTAAAAAGTCAATGAAGACCTTTCAGGGTGTCATGAGAGGAGGCATGAGTAATAAGAATAAACTGGTCATGAGAAAGTCTGGGGGAAGAGCATTTTAGGTGGAGGGAATAGCAAAGCAAAAGGCTTTGCAAGGGGTAGGAACAAACTTGGGCATGTTGAGGGAAGGAAAGGCGGTTAGTATAGTGGGAGCATAAAGAACAGAAGGAAATGTGATAGATAAGATTGGAATGGTAGGCCAGGTAATGGACAAAGTTACTTAGTCCCTCTGAAATTCAATTTCCCAATCTGTAAAATGAAGGCAATAATAACATTTACTTCATCTAATTGATTTGAGGATTCAATAAGATCGGCATGAAACATGTGAAAGGAAAGGCAAGGCCTGGGCAGACCTGGATGCTAGATGCTAGAGGGATCTAGGGCATCTGGGCATCCTGGGGCATCTGGGAGGTTGGCAGAGGTAAACTTTGATAACTCTCTGCTTCTTTCTACCAGTTCATTCCAATGCCTGTGCTCTATGGCATCTTCCTGTATATGGGGGTGGCAGCGCTCAGCAGCATTCAGGTGAGCCCATTAAAATCACCTAACAAAAGAAAAAAGAAGAATAAAAAGACAAACAAAAAAGAACAAAATTACCTAGCAACCCTACTCCTTTTTTCTTTTCTGCTGGCATCTCCTGCTTACACTTGCCAATTTCCCTCTTACTCTCTTTTTCCTGTCTCTCCTGGACTCAGGGACTCGGCTGCCATGCTCTCTGCCTGCTCCCAGTGCTGGGCTATGATAGCTATCAGTGACACCCTCCTATCAGGCTACCTGAGTGCCCTGCTTTCCTCTTCCTCTTGTTCCCCTAGTTCACTAATAGGGTGAAGCTGTTGTTGATGCCAGCAAAACACCAGCCAGACCTGCTACTCTTGCGGCATGTGCCTCTGACCAGGGTCCACCTCTTCACAGCCATCCAGCTTGCCTGTCTGGGGCTGCTTTGGATAATCAAGTCTACCCCTGCAGCCATCATCTTCCCCCTCATGGTAAGCTGAGGCAGGGTTGGGCTGTGTCCTGGAGGGTCTTGGGAGACTCTGAGCCTGGAAGGGTGGCCAAGGCCTCCACGAGAGGAAGAATCTCCCCTCTCACTCGCTGTGGCTCTCCCTGGTTGGGAATCCTAAGACAAAGAAAAAGATGGCAGGATGATACCTATGTATGGGCTAGTCCTGGGATACCTGATTCACCTCTTTTCCCAACCTCTTTGGAGTGATCAGCCACAGGTAAGAATATAAAACCCAGAAGAAATCTGAGGTCTTGGTAGAGGAAATGGTGACACTTTTATTACTCAGTGAGGTGATAACATAGGTGGCTTCTGGCCTTGTTCTTATTGAGGAAGTTAAGAGTCACAGGCTTTGCAGTAGAATCAATCTGCTTATATATCCCAGATGTGTGACCTCTGGGAAGTAACTAATCACTTGGGGTCTCAGTTTCCTTCCCTGTACAATGGGAATAATTTATTCTATCTACCTCATAGGAATGTGCTAGCATTCAGTGAAACTGATATACAATGCCTAGCACATAGGAAGTGCTCAATAAGTGTTACTATTGTTAATGTTCCTACTACTGTTGCTGACAGGCCTGGGCCATGTTTCTATTCCTGCAGTTGCTGGGCCTTGTGGGGGTCCGAAAGGCCCTGGAGAGGGTCTTCTCACCACAGGAACTCCTCTGGCTGGATGAGCTGATGCCAGAGGAGGAGAGAAGCATCCCTGAGAAGGGGCTGGAGCCAGAACACTCATTCAGTGGAAGTGACAGTGAAGATGTGAGCTCCAGGCTGGGTCCTCTCAGGAGAATGTGTCAGGGTTTGGGAGAGCGTTCTTGTCCAGGAGCTGTCCCTAAATAATATCTCCAGTAAGCCCGCAGATCTGATCAACAGTCACTTCCCTTATCTGTGTATGGACATAGGCAGACTGAAGGGGTGAAGGAAATCTTTCTTCATAGGACAGGGGCCCTCGATGTGGGTGGAAAGGGCTGAGGCTTCAGCTCAAGTGGGCTGTCTTTCTCAACTCTGATCTTTGTTTTGTCTCACTGTGGGTTTACCTCTATGTTGTCTTTCACTATCTGTCTTTCTATCTATTCTCAATCCATCTTGGGATCTGTCTTCCACAGTCAGAGCTGATGTATCAGCCAAAGGCTCCAGAAATCAACATTTCTGTGAATTAGCTGGAGTAGGAGTCTGGGAGTGGAGACCCCAGGAAACAGCATGAGGTGAGGGTGTGAGGGAAGTGCTCCTGATGTTGAGGATGGGAGGTGCGGGTTCAGACCTTGGAACTCTCCAGTGTGTTGGCCAGCCCTGTTTTCTCCTTACTCCAGTCCCTTAGGAATCCTAGATTGGGGGTGCTGGGGTGTAGAAGGGTCTCTTCCTAGCGAAGAGTAACTGGCAAGGGTGCCTGGGCTTGGCTCCCTGTGGTTCTGAAGTTTGGTCAGTAGAGGGAGCTCAAACTCACACCAAATGAGAAGTGGAAATGGGTGTTGTGGGGGGCGGTGCCCTGGCAAAAGAATGGGAAAGAGTGGGAAGGAAGAGGAAGGGAGGAGAAAGCCTGGTGCTCCTTTCCCTTGCTTGGAAGGCTCCCCCCTTAGGCTGCTGAGAA
This sequence comes from Homo sapiens, assembly GCF_000001405.40. NCBI lineage: Eukaryota > Metazoa > Chordata > Mammalia > Primates > Hominidae > Homo > Homo sapiens. The sequence continues at coordinate 140,373,227 of NC_000005.10, forward strand.
CCACACTCCAGACTTGTGGAGGAAATCTCTATCACTTGTCCTCTCTGCCATTCCTTCATTTTATTCATCCATATATCAAGCATTTTCTGAGTACCTATCATGCAGTATCTTGGTACTAGAGATACAGTAGTGAGTAAGACAGTCATGGTCCCTGACCTCAGGAAACTTAAATCCCAGTGGGAGAGTAGACAAATAAACAGACAATTGTTAGAGTGGGATAGTGCTGATAAGGGAATAACAGGGGCCATGGGAGCAGGGCTTCTGACCTCTTCTTGGAGAATAGTAAGGTGGAGTGGTGAGAGTTGGTGAAGGTGGGGTGGTGGTGGTTGGGTGGTGGGTGTTCCATTTCTAAGAGGAAATGGTCCATAATTTGAAATCCAAATAATGAATAGAAGCTAGCCAGGTAGCTGGGCACAGCAGCACACAATTGTAGTGCCAGCTACTAGGGAGGCTGAGGCAAGAGGATTCTTTGAGCCCAGGACTTCAAGCTGTAGTGTGCAATAATCACGACTGTGAATAGCCAGTGCACTCCAGCCTGGGCAACATAGTGAGATCCTGTCTCTAAAAAAATTTTTTTTAAAAGGAGCAAGCCAGGACAAGATGGAGGGAAAATATTCTAAGGAAGGCCACAGCATGTACAAAAGCCTACAACTGGTTGCCTTTAAAAAGCTGAGCTCTCTTTTGGGGCTGGGTACAGTGGTTTACACCTGTAATCCCAGCACTTTGGGAGGCAGAGGTGGGTGGATCACTTGAGTTCAGGAGTTTGAGACCAGCCTGGCCAACATAGTGAAACTCTGTCTCTACTAAAAAATAATAAAATTAGCCGGGTGTGGTGGTGCATGCCTGTAAGAGGCTGAGGCAGGAGAATCACTTGAACCTGGGAGGTGGAGGTTCGGAAGTTGCAGTGAGCCGAGATTGTGCCACTGCACTCCAGCCTGGGCGACGGAGCGAGACTCCGTCTCAAAAAAAAAATCAAAAACAAAAATCTCTCTTTTAGGCCATAGAACACCCTCATCTTCATGCTTCTCCAAGCTCAAGAGCCTAAGAGCCAGGCCAGGCACGGTGGCTCACGCCTGTAATCCCAGCACTTTGGGAGGCCGAGGCGGGTGGATTACTTGAGGTCAGGAGTTTGAGATCAGCCTGGCCAACATGGTGAAACCCTGTCTCTACTAAAAATACAAAAATTAGCTGGGTGTGGTGGCAGACACCTGTAATCCCAGCTACTGGAGAGGAGAATTGCCTGAACCCGGGAGGCGGAGGTTGCAGTGAGCCGAGATTGCACCATTGCACTCCAGCCTGGGCGACAAGAGCAAAACTCCCTCTCAAAAAAAAAAAAAAAAAAAAAAAAAGCACCTAAGGGCCTCTGACACTTGCAATGGGAAATTTGGGGGACTGGAGACTGGAGAGAGAAAGGGGAATTCACTGGCTGGCCCCGAACAAGATCTTCTGGGCGCTCCTTATCTCTTATCACTCTTTTTGCTCTGTTCTTTGCAGTAGTATGTCCCCTGAGCACTTGCTTTGGCCTCACCATGTCTTCTATTAGTTCACAGGTGCTTACTCAGGAAGTCAGGACATTTTTGGCCTTTGGCTTAACTTCCAGATGCTCAGTCGGCTTGGGGAAGGACTGAAGGGCAGCTGCCAAGACCTCAGTTACCTCCTGACCTGAGGGTGGAGAGTGGCAGGAAGCAAGCATGTTTGCTGTGCACTTAGGAAAGGCTGGTGAGCCAGAGGGACTGATCAGGCCCCATTCACTCTCTACTCATTAAAAGGTCCTGAGCCACGAAGCGCTTCCCATTTTGAACTTTCTGTCCTCACAGATTCTGTTTGACAGAATCTAAGGGCCATCAGGGAACTCTTTTCATCTTGCAAAGAGAAAAAGCCAGTCTTTCCAGAATAAATATTCATCTGTTTGAAATAGTTTTTTACACATATAAAAATAATTTTTGGCTGGGTGTGGTGGCACATGCCTGTAGTCCTAGCACTTTGGGAGGCTGAGGTGGGTCCAGAGTAGCCTGAACAACAGAGTGAAACCTTGTTTCCACACACACACACACACACACACACACACACACACAAAAAAAAAAAAACCAAAAAAAAATTAGCTAGGTGTGGTGGTGCATGCCTGTGGTCCCAGCTACTCAGGAAGCTGAGGCAGGAGGATCGATTGCTTGAGCCTGGAGGATCACTTGAGTCTGAGAGGTCGAGGCTACAGTGAGCCATGATCATGCCACTGCACTCCAGACACAGGAACAGAGCGAGAACCTGTCTCAAATTTTTTTTTAAAAAAAGAAGCAAAAAAAGCCGGGTGTAGTGGCTCACGCCTGTAATCCCAGCACTTTGGGAGGCCGAGGTGGTTGGATCATGAGATCAGGAGTTCGAGACCAGCCTGACCAACACGGTGAAACCCCATCTCTACTAAAAATACAAAAATTAGCCAGGCGTGGTGGCACGCACTTGTAATCCCAGCTACTGAGGAGGCTGAGGCAGAAGAATCACTTGAACCAGGGAGGCGGAGGTTGCAGTGAGCCAAGATTGTGCCATTGCATTCCAGCCTGGGCAGCAGAGTGAGACTTTGTCTCAAAAAAAAAAAAAAAAAAAAAAAAAAAAAAAAAAGAAGAAGCAAGAAAAAAAATCTTGGGCTGGGCATGGTGGCTCACGCCTGTAATCCTAGCACTGTGGGAGGCCGAGGTGGGTGGATCACTTGAGGTCAGGAGTTTGAGACCAGTCTGGCCAACATGGCAAAACCTCGTCTCTACTAAAAATGTAAAAATTAGCCTGGCATGGTGGCATGTGCCTGTAATCCCAGCTACTTGGGAGGCTGAGGCAGGAGAATCGCTTGAACCAGAAGACAGAGGCTGCAGTGAGCCAAGATCACACCACTGCACTCTAGCCTGGGCAACAGAGCAAGACTGTGTCTCAAAAACAAACAAGCAAACGAACAAAAAACATGTTGATGCATGTAGTTGTAGTTTGTTTTCATTGCTAGGTAGCACTCCATTGTATAACTCTACCACAATTCAATTATCCAGTTTTCTATTGACTCACAGAATTCACTGGTGAAGCCACTGGGGCCTGGAGGTTGCTTTGCGGAAAGTTTAAGTTGATTCAAATTCTTTAATTTTCAGGTTCTTTATTTCTTCTTCAGCCATTTTTGGTGAATTGTATTTTTCTGGGAATCTATTGATTTTATCTAATTTTTCATATTTATTGACATAAAGTTATTATAACTCTTACCTGCTTAATATCTGTAGCACATTTAGTTATGGTTTTCTTATTTCTCTTTGTTTTTGATTCTTGGTTACTCTTGCAAGTTAAGCTATTTTATTAGTCTTTTTAAATTAACTTTTGGCTTTGTTGATCTTCTCTACTGAATGTTTCTCTACTTCATTAATTTCTGCTCTTTATTTTCTTCTTTCTGTTTTCTTTATGTTTATTGCTGTTTTTTAATTTCTTATCTCCTTTTTTTCAGCCTTATTTGTTTCCTAATGTAAACACTACTGCTATGAATTTCCTCCTAAGTACTACTTGTATCTTACAGGTTTTGATATATAATCTTCTCATTACCATTTATTTCTTCTAAGTATTTTCTAATTTCTACTGATTTCTCCTTTGATCCACAAGTTGTTGAAAAGTGCATTTAAAAATTTTCCAAACTTTTTTTTCCTTTATCTTTTTGTAACTGATTTCTAACTTAATTTCATTTAGATACTTATGAGGAGGCCAGGAGCAGTGGCTCATGCCTGTAATCCCAGCACTTTGGGAGGCTGAGGCAGGTGGATCACGAGGTCAGGAGTTCGAAACCATCCTGGCTAACACGGTGAAACCTCGTCTCTACTAAAAATACAAAAAATTAGCCGGGCGTGGTGATGGGCGACTGTAGTCCCAGCTACTTGGAAGGCTGAGGCAGGAGAATAGCGTGAACCCAGGAGATGGAGCCTGCAGTGAGCCGAGATCATGCCACTGCACTCCAGGCTGGGGGACAGAGCAAGACTCCATCACACACACACACACACACACACACACACACACACACACACACACACCTATCAGTTAGATACTTATGAGGCTAACTTTATGGCCTGGAATGTTGTTAATTTTTGTAAATGTTCCATGTGTACTTGAAAATAATGCTTATTCTCCAATTTTCTCTTTTTTTTTTTTTTTTTTTTTTTTGAGACGGAGTCTCGCTCTGTCGCCCAGGCTGGAGTGCAGTGGCGGGATCTCGGCTCATTGCAACCTCCGCCTCCTGGGTTCAAGCGATTCTTCTGCCTCAGCCTCCGGAGTAGCTGGGATTACAGGTGCCTGCCACGACGCCCGGCTAATTTTTGTATTTTTACTAGAGACGGGATTTCACCATGTTGGCCAAGCTGGTCTTGAACTCCTGACCTCAGGTGATCCAACTGCCTTGGCCTCCCAAAGTGCTGGGATTGCAGGCGTGAGCCACTGCGCCCGGCCCTCCAATTTTCTATTTCTATTAGGCCAGCCTACTAACTGTGCTGTTCCAGATGTTCTATATATGGCATGACTTTCTTCGGCCTGTTTGAACTAGCAAGTACTAGGGAAGGTATTTTAATAAACCTATTATGATAATAAATTCGTCACTATCTCCTTGAAGAATTTGTCAATTTTTGCTTTTATGTATTTTTAAATGCTGTGTTTTGAGTGCTTTCTAGTTTAGAATTGTTATATCTTACTGGTTAATTGATCCTTTTATTATTTTGTAATGATTTTATTTTGTAGTGATTAGTAATTCTTTCTGCTTAATAGTTATTTTGTCTGCTAGAAATATAGTTAAATTAGCTTTCTTGTGATTAGAATTTACCTATATTATATATTTCCATTCTTTGAATTTTAGTGTTTCTGTGTTCTTATATTTTACCTGTATTTTTCGTAATCATCATGTGGTCAGATTTAGTTTTTTTTGTATTTACTTTTATTTTATTTTACATAAAAAATTTTTTAGAGGCAAGGTCTCACTCTGTCACCCAGGCTGGAGCGTAGTGGCATGATCTTGGCTCACTGCAGCCTCAACCTCCTGGGCTGAAGAGATCCCCCTGCCTCAGCCTCCTGAGTAGCTTGGACTACAAGCACACACCTCCGTGCCCTGCTTATTTATTTATTTATTTTTTATTTATTTATTTGAGATGGAGTCTCACTCTGTTGCCCAAGCTAGAGTACAGTGGTACGTTCTTGGCTCACTGCAACCTCCACCTCCCGGGCTCAAGCAATTCTCCTGCCTCAGCCTCCTAAGTAGCTGGGATTACAGGTGCATACCACCATGCCCATCTAATTTTTTTGTATTTTAGTAGAGACGGGGTTTCACCATGTTGCCCAGGGTAGTTTCAAACTCCTGAGCTCAGGCAATCCAGCCGCCTTGGCCTCCCACAGTGCTGAGATTACAGGCGTGAGCCATCGTGCCTGGCCACTCTGCTTATTTATTTATTTTTTCTTAATTTTTGTAGAGACAGGGTCTCACTATGTTGCCCATTCTGGTCTCAAACTCCTGGCCTCAAGTAGTCCTCCTGCCTTGACCTCCCAAAGTGCTGGGATTATAGGTGTGAACCACTGCACTGGCCCAGGATTTTGTTTTTGTTTTTTTTAATTAATTAATTAATTAATTAATTATTTTGAGACAAAGTTTCGCTCTTGTTGTCCAGGCTGGAGTGCAATGGTGCAATCTTGGCTCACTATAACCTCTGCCTCCTGAGTTCAAGAGATTCTCCTGCTTCAGCCTCCCAAATAGCTGGTATTACAGGCATGCACCACCATGCCCAGCTAATTTGTTTTTTTTTTTTTTTTTTTTGAGATAGGGTCTCACCTGTCATGCAGCCTGAAGTGCAGTAGCACAAATATGGTTCACTGCAGCCTCAAACTTCTCAGCTCAAGTGATCCTCCCACCTCAGCCTCCTGAGTAGCTGGGAGCACAGGTGTGTGCCACCATGCTTGACTACTTTTTAAAATTTTTTGTAGAGATGGGGTCTCACTATGTTGCCCAGGCTGGTCACAAACTCCTGGGCTCAAGCAATCCTCCTGCCTTGGCCTATAGAAGTGCTGGGATTACAGGCGCCAGCCACTATGCCTGGCCAGGTTTTTTGTTTTTAAATCCAATTTGACAATCCATCTTTTAGCTAGAAAATTTAGTACATTTACATTTAGAGTAATTTCTAATATATTTGATTTTGTTTTATTTGCTTTTTATTTCCTATTTTTCTGTTCCTCTTTTCTCCTTTTCTTACCTTATTTTAGATGGATCGAGCTATTTTTGTACTTTTTCTTTTCCACTTTCCTCCCTTTACTTGCTTGGGATATAAGAAAAAGGGAGGTCAAAGATGACTCCCGTGTTTTGGGTCTCAGCAACAGGAAGAATGGAATTGCCATTGACTTGAGTTCATATTTGGGCATTATGATGCTATTTATTTATTTATTTATATTTTTGAGATGGAGTCTGGCTCTGTGTCCCAGGCTGGAGTGCAGTGGCATGATCTCAGCTCACTGCAAGCTCCGCCTCCCGGGTTCATGCCATTCTCCTGCCTCAGCCTCCTGAGTAGCTGGGACTACAGGCGTCCGCCACCATGCCCAGCTAATTTTTTTGTATTTTTAGTAGAGATGGGGTTTCACTGTGTTAGCCAGGATGGTCTCGATCTCCTGACCTCATGATCCACCCGCCTCGGCCTCCCGAAGTGCTGGGATTACAGGCGTGAGCCACCGTGCCCGGCCCATTTATTTATTTTTATTTATTTATTTAGCAGAGACAGGTTTCACCATGTTGGCCAGGCTGGTCTCGAACTCCTGACCTCAAAGCAATCCACTCGCCTCAGCCTCCCAAAGTGTTGGGATTACAGGCGTGAGCTACTATGCCTGGCCGTATGATGCATTTTAGACAATCAAGTAAAGATGTCAAATGGGCAGCTGGACATGCAAATCTGAAGTACAGAAGGAAATCTGAGTCAGAGATAAAATTTATAATTTTATTAGAGTACAAATTATATTGAAAACACAGACTATATACGATTGCCAAGGAAGTACAATCAGAGAACAGATCCAAGGACCAAGTCTTAGAACTCTTCACTGTTAAAAGGTTAAGAGATAGAGGAGCAACCAGGAAAGGAGAAGACTGAGGAGTGGCCAGTGATATGGAATCAAAACTGGGAGTTAAGAAAATGTTTCAGGGAGAATTGATTTTGGTTAATTTGTCTTGGGGTCATTCTAACTCTTTACTTTTGTGTTATCTCATTATGAATTTTAAAGTTAAAAATTATATTTAACCTATCATTTTAGTTGTTTTTTGGGGAAGATTGTTCAGAAATTATAATCCATACAATGTCAGAAATGGAAATTGTACCAACCCTTTTTTCAATATTATAAAGAAAAACCCTGGCTGGACGCAGTGCCTCATGCCTTATAATCCCAGGATTTTGGGTAGCTGAGTGGGGAGGATCGCTTGCGGCCTCAGGAGTTCAAGGCCAGCCTGGGCAACATAGTGAGACCCTGTCTCTACAAAAAAAAAAAACATAAAAAATTAGCTGGACATGGTGGCACATCCTGTCGTCCCAGCTACTCAGGGTGGGGGTGGGGATGGGGCAAGGGGTGCTCTAAGGTGGGAGGATCACTTGAGCACAGGAGTTTGAAGCTATAGTGAGCTGTGATTGCACCACTGCACTCCAGCCTGAGTGACACAGAGAGATCCTGTCTCAAAATAAAGTCTAAATTTAAACTATACTTAAAAAAAAAGTACTGGAGTTTCACTCTTGTTGCCCAGGCTAGAGTGCAGTGGCATGATCTCGGCTTACTGCAGCCTCCACCTCTGGGGGTTCAAGTGACTAACCTGCCTCAGCCTCCCGAGTAGCTGGGACTGTAGGCACCTGTCACCATGCCCATCTAATTTGTTTGTAGTTTTAGTAGAGACGGGGTTTCTCCATGTTAGCCAGGCTGGTCTCCAACTCCTGACCTCAGGTGATCCACCTGCCTCAGCCTCCCAAAGTGCTGGGATTACAGGCGTGAGCCACCGTGCCCAGCCAATAATTTTTTTTTTAGAGATAGGTTCTCGCTATGTTGCCCAGACTGGTCTCAAGCTCCTGGGCTCAAGCAATCCCCCGCCTTGGCCTCCTAAAGTGCTGGGATTACGGCATGAGCTACTGCACCCAGCCAAGTGATACTCTGGGCACGTATTTCTCTCAATCGATAGCTACTTAGACTATCATATCAGGGTTTTTCTTTTTATTTATTTAATTTATTTTTGAGACAGGGTCTTGCTCTGTTGCCCAGACTGGAGTGCAGTGGTGCAAGCATAGCTCACTGCAGTCTTGATCTCACAGGCTCTAGCAATCCTCTTGCCTCTGCCTGCCTAGGCTGAGGGGCTACAGGACTACAGGGACCGAGGGGCTACAGTGCAGCTGGGACTACAGGTGCACACCACCACACCTGGTTAATTTTTAAAATTATCTGTAGAGATGGTGTCTTGCTATATTGCCCAGGCTAGTCTCAAACTCCTGAACTCAAGCAATCCTCCCACGTTGGCCTTTCAAACTGATGGGATTACAGGCATGAGCCATTGTGCCCACCCTAAATTTAGACTTTAAAAATAAATGTATATTTTACTCATTTCAACAGCATCTACATATTGTTGAAAACATCTTCATTTAGACTTGCTTATTTAAGCATTCAACAAACACTTATTGAACATCAACAATGTACTGTCAGATAGGTTTCTGATTTCATGGAGTTTACCTTGTAGTGAAGGAGGGGCAAAGAAAAGGTAAGATAATCTCAGATAATGACAAGTACTCTGAAGAAATTAAAATAGGATATGATAGAAAACATTACTTAAGATGGGTGTTCAGGGAAGACCTCTCTGAGGGGATTGCCTTTAAGCTGAGACTTGAGTGACAAGGAGTAAGTGAAAGTATCATCTGCCTACAGTCAAGGAGTGACACATATACACATAAATTTAAGTCCCCAGATTAAGAACCACTGTCAGCCAGGAGCAGTGACTCATGCCTGTAGTCTCAGCACTTTGGGAGGCTAAGGTGGGAGGATTGCTTGAACCCAAGAGTTTGAGACCAGCCTGCATAAGAGGGTGAGACTCCATCTCTACAAAAATAATAAAAAAATAAGCTAGGCATGGTGATGCGTACCTGTAGTCCCCTTAGCTTGTTCAGTTCAGGTCACGTGAGCCAAGATATTCCTTTCTTGGCTCTAAACCATAGGTTTGAGTTTTTGTCAGTAAAATAGGGCCAAGAGCCTGGATTTTCAGTCTAGGGTGCTGGAAAGGTTAATTGATGCCTGTAACATTCTTTAAGATCTTTAGATGAAAGACTCGGGGCTGTATACAGAATTACCAAGGGCTTGGAAGCTCTTCCCTTCCAAGCCCCAGGGAAAATCCCTTCATATCAGTAACCTAGGCCTTTCCTCTCCAGTCTGTAGCTGTGGGACAATGGTTCTCAAACTTTTGCAGGCATTAGAATCAAAGGTTGTGATGTGAATTCCCAGGCTCTCTGCCTGAGATTCTGATTCTCCCTGAGGTTCTGAATTCTTACCTTCTTAGTTCTGTATTCTTCTGTACCCTTGTCTGGTGTCTCATGCTTCCCAATACTCTACATTTTTGTCTCTGCAAATGGATCTGAGGGTGTACTTGTCCATATAAACTATTGTCAGAGACATCTTTGGCTTTTTTTTTTCCCTGAAGGCAATCCAGAGCAGAGATTGGGGAAGGCAGGAATGTGTCTGTATCTACTTCTCAAATGTACATTGACATTCATTAGGAGGAGAGTTTGGGATAATTATTTGAATGAAAGGAGGGAGGAATTGCTGACTGGCACAAAATGAGAGAAGGTGAGTACAAGGAAAGCAACCCTGGTTTGAGGGCCAAGTTCATTGCCTCTTTCCTCTTTTCCTGGTGCTGAATCCTACTAAAGGGCTGTCCAGGGATTGGTCTTTCATTCATTCATCCATTCAACAAATGCATATTAAATATATTATATGCCAGGCAGTAGGAATTCAGTGTTAACTAAGACAGGATCTCTCCTCTCCTGTATTTTTCTGTCTCCCCTACTAGAATGGAGACATTCTAGTAGAAAAACACATATAAGCTGGGTGCCGTGGTACATGCCTGTAGTCCCAGCTATGAGGGAGGGTGAGATGGAAGGATTGCTCAAGCGCAGGAATTTGAGGCTGCAGTGAGCCATGATTAGATTGTTGTACTGTCCTCCAGCCTGGGCAACAGAGTGAGACTCTGTCTCAAGAAAAAAAAAAAAAAAAAGTCAGCCTTGATAAAAGGAAGGAGGAAGTGGAGGGTGGAGGGAAACATTCTTGGCAAAGGAAACATGAGTTCAAAGGCCATCAGGCAGGAAAAACTTTGAAATGCTTGAGAAACTGAAAGAAGGACTATCTTGCTGGAGTGGAGGAGTGAGAGAGAGAATATTGCAGGATGAGGTTGGAGAGGGTGAGGATTAGGGTTTATAGGTCACCATAATTAATGCCTTGGAAGAAGTAGTGTGGGCAAGGGAGCCTTGCCACTTGGGGTAAGAATAGTAGTGGCCAACCTAGAATAGCCAAAACAATCTTGAAAATGAAGAACCAAGTTGGAGGACTCGCATTTTCTGATTTCAGAACTTACTACAAAGCTATAATAATCAAGACAGTGTGTGGTACTGTCATAAGGATAGACATACAGATAAGTAGAATTGATAGTCCAGAAACAAACCCTCACACTTATGGTCAATTAATTTTTGATAAGGTTGCCAAGACAATTCAATGGTGAAAAAATAGTCTTTTTTCTTTTTCTTTTTCTTTCTTTTTTTTTTTTTTTTTTTGAGATGGGAGTCTCATTCTGTTGCCCAGGCTGGAGTGCAGTAGCATGATCTCGGCTCACTGCAACCTCTGCCTCCCAGGTTCAAGCAATCCTCCCACCTCAGCCTCCCAAGTAGCTGGGACTACAGGCGTGCACCACCACACCGGGCTAATTTTTATATTTTTAGTAGAGTCAGGGTTTCACCATATTGGCCAGGCTAGTCTTGAACTCCTCACCTCAGGTGATCCACCCACCTCAGCCTCCCAAAGTGTGGGATTACAGGCATGAGCCAACGTGCCTGACTGAAAGGATCATCTTTTTGATACATGGTGCTGAGAAAACTAGATATCCACATGCAAAAGAATGAAGCTGAACACCTACTTCACATCGTATGTAAAAATTAACTCAAAATGGATCAATAACCTAAATGTAAGAGCTAAAATATTTCTTAGAAGAAAACATAGGTATAAATCTTTATGACCTTGGATTTGGCAATGGTTTCTTAGATATGATACCAAAAGCACAAGGAACAAAAGAAAAAAAAAAACAAATTGGACATCATCAAAATAAAAAACTTCTGTGCACCAAATGACACTGCCTAGAAAGTGAAAAGACAACCCACAGAATGGGATAAAATATTTGCAAATATAAAACTGATAAGGGACCCAAGATAATTTAAAACTTATGTCCACATAAAGACATACACAAATGTTCATAGCCGCATTATTTATGACAGACAAAAAGTAGAAATAACCCAAAAGAGTCACCAACCCAAACTGATGAATGGATAAGTAAAATGTGTTATATCCATACAGTGAAATATTATTTGGCCATAAAATGGAATGCAGCACCCACACATGCTACAAGAAGAATAAACCTTGAAAAACATCATTCTAAGTGAATGAAGCCAGTTACAAGGATCATATATTATTCCATTTATATGAAATATCCATAATAGGCAAATCTATAAAGTCATAAAGTGAACTAGTGGTTGCCTAGGGCTGGGGGCCTAGGGATAATGGCTATGGGGTGCAGGAATTCTTTTTAGGAGTGAAGAAAATGTTCTAAAATAGATGTGATAAGCACGGCATGGTGGCACACACCTGTAGTTCCTGCTACTCAGGAGGCTGAGGCCAGGAGTTAGAGGCCACAGTGTGCTATGATCTTGTATGTGAACAGCCACTGCACTCCAGCCTGAGCAACATAGCAAGATCTCATCTCTAAAAGTTAAAAAAAAAAAAAAAAGATGTGATGATTGCACAGCTCTGCATATAATAAAAGTTATTGACTTGAACACTTTGAGTGAATTGTGTGATATGTGAGTTATATTTTAAGAAAGCTATTAAGGTGGGGTGCAGTAGCTCATGTCTGTGATCCCAGCACTTTGGGAGGCCAAGGTAGGAGGATTGCTTGAGTCCAGGAGTTTCAGGTTGCAGTGAGTTATGGTTGCACCACTGCACTCCATCCTGGGCAACAGAGCAAGACTCTGTCTCTAAAAAAAAATAGATAAAAAAAATAAAGCTGTTAAAAAATAAAAAGAATGGTAAGGGCCAGAACCTAACAGCAAGGTCAAAATGGGGAGGTTGAAAACCTCTAGGGCCTCCAAGACCAAAGGAATTACCACTTCTGGACAAGAACTGGGGAATTTTTCAGTACCAATTCCAGGAACCTACTAGCTAAGTGAACCCAAGGGAAGAATCATGGCCTTGGGGGGTTTCTCCAGGTTGTTTTCAGAGACATGTTTGTTCACCTTCCATTAATATATCCACTTACAAAGGGGATTATAATGTGCAGTGATGCAAACTAGACCATGTTCCTTCACTAGATCCTCTGCTATTTTCCCTATCTATTTTTGAGACAGTCTTGCTGTGTCAGCCAGGCTGGAGTGCATTGGTGGGATGTCAGCTCACTGCAACCTCTGCTTCTTGGGTTCAAGCGATCCTCCCACCTTAACCTCCCAAGTAGCTGGGACTATAGGCGCCTGCCACCATGCTCATTTAAGTTTTGTATCTTTTGTAGAGATGGAGTTTCACCATGTTGGCCAGGCTGGTCTCAAACTCCTGAGCTCAAGTAATCTGCCCACCTCAGCCTCCCAAAGTGCTGGGATTACAGGTGTGAGCCACTGTGCCCGGCTTCCTCTGCCATTTTCTTTCTTTCTTTTTCTTTTTTTTTGAGACGGGTTTCCACTCTTGTTGCCCAGGCTGGAGGGCAATGATGCAATCTTGGCTCACTGCAACCTCAGCTGCTGGGGTTCAAGCAATTCTCCTGCCTCAGCTTCCCAGGTAGTTGGGATTACAGGTGCACGCCACCATGCCTGGCTAATTTTTGTATTTTTAGTAGAGACGGGGTTTCACCATGTTGACCAGGCTGGTCTCGAACTCCTGACCTCAGGTGAATCTGCCTGCCTCGGCTTCCCAAAGTGCTGGGATTACAAGCATGAGCCACCACAGCTGACCAAAAAAATTTTTTTCAAAACAAAAAAATTTAATGAGAAGAGTGGCATCTTCAATGTCTGGCTTTATAAAAGCTTGATTCTTATATCTGCTTCTGTATTCAGTCAAATCCATGAGTGTTTTGGTTGAAGAATATGAAGAAAATCTGGCTCAACACAGCTATGTAGTTGGAAAAGGAAGAAATACTTCAACAGATTTTTCAGAAAACTGGATATTCCCTTCAATACACCAAAATCCAACAACTGTTAGTTTCTTAAAGGTTGAGACCATAACTATAAAATGTCCATACTCTGTTATATTAAAATCCATTGGTCTATCACATACTTTCATTCTGTGTTGTTGTTTTGAGACAGGGTCTTGCTCAGCTACCCAGGGTGGAGTGCAGTGTCTGCAATCACTGCTCATTTCAGCCTTGACTTCCTGGGCTCAGGCGATCCTCCCACCTCAGACTACAGGCATGTGCCACCACACCCAGCTAATTTTTTATATTTTTAGTAGAGACAGGGTTTTGCCATGTTGCCTAGGCTGATCTTGAACTTCTGAGCTCAAGTGATCCTCCAGCTTTGGCCTCCCAAAGTGCTGGGATTATAGGCATGAGCCACGGTGCCCAGCCCTAATCAAAAAAAATTATTTGTAGAGACAGGGTGTCCCTATGTTGCCCAGGCTGGTCTGGAACTCGTGGGCTCAAGCGATCCTCCTGCCTCAGCCTCCCAAAGTGCTGGGATTACAGGCCTATTATGTACTTTCTTTTTTTTTTTTTTAGATGGAGTCTCGCTCTGTTGCCCAGGCTGGAGTGCAGTGGTGCCATCTCAGCTCACTGTAACCTCTGCCTCCTGGGTTCAAGCGATTCTCATACCTCAGCCTCCCGAGTAGCTGGGACTACAGGTGCTCACCACCATACCCAGCTAATTTTTGTATTGTTAATAGAGACGGGGTTTCACTATGTTGGCCAGTCTGGTCTCGAACTCCTGACCTCAAGTGATCCACCTGCCTTGGCCTCCCAAAATGTTGGGATTACAGGCATGAGCCACCGCGCCTGGCCTAATATACTTTCAGTGGATCTTTTACACATGTATGATTTTGTAACATCATGATTGGTCATTTGGAAAACATTGGTTCACTGAACTGTGCAGATCTTTCAAATATTGACACATTTTTATTATATAATATAAAAAACACATTTATTAATACCATGATTTATCTCATCAAAAAAGTTTTTAAAGCTTTTAGAAAACTGTCAACCAGGAATATATACAATTTTCCAAAATTCTCATTTTTGCTCAAAGGTTTTGAATTTTATCATTGGAAATAAATATTGTCAGGTGTTTTCCTTCAAGTGACAGGCTCCAGAGAATGTCTGCCAAATATCCACATCTGAATTACCAACATTTGCCTGTCAGTGCTATTTTCAAGTAAAAATGGTGTTCTATGAAAACAAAAAAGGCCAATGCAGCTTGCAACCAAAATAGCTATGCTCCTTGAGATAACAAATGTACTTTGATATATAGCAGAAGTGCTCTGTGTATCCTTCTCATTTCCTCACATAGAATATTAAAAACACTTGTACTCAAGGGTCAAGTTTTAATAAAATTAATTTTTACTGCTTCATCAAGGATTCTTAATAAAATCGGCCTTTTCCTGCTTTGAGTGCCCAATGGGGAAGAATACATTTACTGCTAGTACAGTTTGATACCATTACCTAATACTGTGCTGAGGTACCAGCTATCTTTGTTTGTTTTTTAGAAACAGGAGCTCACTCTGTTGCCCAGGCTGGATTGCAGTGGTGAGATCATAGCTCACTGTAGCCTTAAACTCCTGGGCTCAAGCAATCCTCCTGCCTTGGCCTCTTGAGTAGCAGGGACTACAGGCGTGCACCACCACACCCAGCAGTACCAGCAAATTTTTAGCCCCCCCCCCCATTGCTTTTGTACCATCAGTGCAAGTCAATATAGTGAAAAATAATATATTAGAATTATAATGAAAATAGTTTTGACTTCATGGATTCCCCTGAAAAGGTCTTGAGGGCTGCAGGAATCTATAGAGCATACTCTGAGAATTGTGGCAATATGGCCAGGCGCGGTGGCTCCTCCCTGTAATCCCAGCACTTTGGGAGGCAAAGGCGGGTGGATCATCTGAGGTCAGAAGCTCAAGACCAGACTGGCCAACATAGTGAAACCCTGTCTCTACTAAAAATACAAAATTAGCTGGGTGTGGTGGCGGGCTCCTGTAGTCCCAGCTACTTGGGAGGTTGAGGCAGAAGAATTGCTTGAACCTGGGAGATGGAGGTTGCAGTGAGCCAAGATCAAGCCACTGCACTCCAGGCTGGGTGACAGAGCGAGACTCCATCTTAAAATAAAATAAAATAAAAAGCTGGGTGTGGTAGTGCATGCCTGTAATCCCAGCTACTTGAGAAGCTGAGGCACAAGAATCACTTGAACCTGGGAGGCAGAGGTTGCAGTGAGCTGAGACCGTGCCACTGCACTCCAGCCTGGGTGATAAAGTGAGACTCCGTCTAGCCAGGTGGGGGTAAGAATTCACCGGGTGTGGTGGCTCACGCCTGTAATCCCAGCACTTTGGGAAGCCAAGGCAGGTGGATTACTTGAGGTCGCGAGTTCAAGACCAGCCTGGCCAATATGGTGAAACTCCGTCTCTACTACACACACACACACACACACACACACACACACACACACACACACACACACAATTAGCCAGGTGTGGTGGTGCATGCCTGTAATCCCAGCTACTCTGGAGGCTGAGGCAGGAGAATCGCTTGAACCTGGGAATCGGAGGTTGCAGTGAGCCGAGATTGTGCCACTACACTCCAGCCTGGGCATCGCAGCAAGACTTTGTCTCAAAAACAACAACAAAATTGTGGTAATATACCCGTGTATGTGTGTGTATGTCAAAGTATAAGTGAAATATTTCTTCCCTAAGTTCACATTTCTCTGAGTTAAATGTAACTCCCTAGATTTTGCCCAAAAAAGTACATTCTAACTTTTTTAAATTTTATTTTTCTTCTTAATTTGTTGGATAAACACACTAATAATAACAATAAAGATTTTCAAAAACAAAAAAAATCTACTAACTCTCTAAAGTTTGGTTTTAAGGTAATAACTGGGGTGGTTTTGGAAAATAGTTTTGTTACCAAGGTGTTACATACTCATTGTAAACAAATTCAAACAATATATGCACAAATAAAATGATATACTTCTAGTAAAAAACTGAAATAATTTCACTTTTTCCCTCACTTGGCA
Source organism: Homo sapiens (assembly GCF_000001405.40). NCBI lineage: Eukaryota > Metazoa > Chordata > Mammalia > Primates > Hominidae > Homo > Homo sapiens. The sequence goes on from NC_000005.10 coordinate 140,389,726, forward strand.
GTGTACCATGCACAATCAGCCTTCTGATTTTCTTCTTTTTTTTTTTTTTTTGAGATAGAGTCTTGCTCTGTCGTCAGGCTGGAGTGCAGTGGCGTGATTTTGGCTCATTGCATCCTCCGCCTCCTGGGTTCAGGCTATTCCCCTGCCTCAGCCTTCCAAGTAGTTGGGACTACAGGCGCGAGCCACCACGGCCAGCTAATTTTTTGTGTTTTAGTAGAGACAGGGTTTCACCATGTTGGTCAGGATGGTCTCAATCTCCTGACCTCGTGATCTGCCCACCTCAGCCTCTCAAAGTGCTGGGGTTACAGGCGTGAGCCACTGTGCCTGGCCTCTTCATTCTTTTTAACAAGTATATTGTAGGTCATGTTATAACTGTACCGCAGCTTACTTAGCCACTTATTGATAGACAAGTAAGGTTTGTCTGTTTTGAGACAGAGTCTCACTCTTTTGTCCAAGCTGGAGTGCAGTGGCATGATCTTGCACACTGCAACCTCCGTTTCCCAGCTTCAAGTGATTCTCGTGCCTCAGTCTCCTGAGAAGCTGGGACTACAGGTGTGCACCAACCCCCTGGCTAATGTTTTTTCTTTTTTTTTGAGACAGTCTCGCTCTGTCACCGAGGTTGGAGTGCAGCGGTGTGATCTCAGCTCACTGCAACCTTTGCTCCAAGGTTCAAGCGATTCTCCTGCCTCAGCCTCCCGAGTAGCTGGGATTACAGGCATCTGCCACCATGCCTGGCTAATTTTTGTATTTTTTAGTAGAGACGAAGTTTCGCCATGTTGGTCAGGCTGGTCTCAAACTCCTGACCTCAAGTGATCCACCCATCTTGGCCTCCCAAAGTGCTGGGATTACAGGTGTGAGCCACCCTGTCTGGCTTTTTTTTTTTTTTTTTTAAGTAGAGATAGGGTTTCACCATGTGGCCAGGCTGGTCTTGAACTCCTGACCTCAAATGATCCGTCTGCCTCAGTCTCCCAAAGTGCTGGGATTATAGGAGTGAGCCACCGTGCCTAGCCCTGACAAGTAAGGTTTTAATTAATGTCCCTGTACACATTTTTTTTTTTTTTTTTTAGTTAATGTGTGAGGGTTTCTGTGCCACTTTTCCTCCAGAGTTGGAAATGGATTTGCTAAATCAAAGGGTAGTTGCACTTAAAAAAAAAAAAAAAAAAAAAAAAGAAGGACCGGGCACATGGCTCACGCCTGTAAACCCAGCACTTTGGGAGGCTGAGGTGGGTGGATCACTTGAGGTCAGAATTTCCAGGCCAGACTGGCAAACATGGTGAAACCCCATCTCTACTAAAAATACAAAAATTAGCCGAGTGTGGTGGCATATGTCTGTAATCCCAGCTACTTGGGAGGCTGAGGCAGAAGAATTGCTTGAACCCAGAAGACGGAGGTTGCAGTGAGTTGAGATCACACCACTGTACTCCAGCCTGGGCGACAGAGACTCTGTTTCAAAAAAATAAAATGAAGGCACCTCCAAACTTATTTCCCTAAAGATTGTATCAATTACACTACTGCTAATGGTATACAGAGAGTGCAACAGGGAACTTGTGAGAGTAATTGTTGGGCATGAGGATTACCAGGCTCTGAATAGTGGTCAACCAGTGCTTTGAAGGGTTTTTAAATATTTCTGAGCCCTTCAGTCACTCTCCAGGAATTCTAATATTCATTTGAAATCCCTGGTATACAGAAAAGTATTGCTGTTTTCTTTGGACTCTCTAGTATGGCTCAATCTTGATTTAAAATGTTGCCAGCTTATGGGTGGAGCCATTGGGACAGTTTAGGGCTTTAACCAAACTCCAGAGGCCACAACAGGCCTGCCCATATGTCCTGCATAACTCTGAATGGTGATGCAATTCTTTTCAACTGACGAACCTTTTGCATTGACTAAATCTCTGCTGGAGAAGTCCAACTTTGGCTGTTTTTCTTTTCTTTTTTTTTCCCTTGACATCAGAGGTGTAAATGCCAGGGTCTAAGAAGGGCTTCTAGGTGAAAAGCTTCAGAGTAGAGTCCTGACCACTATATTTCTTAATAGCTTCTGTGAGCTTATATCAGACTCATGTCTGGCCTAGACTTTCTACAAGTGTCCTTTCGGGGCCATAGCCACTTCCTTGGGAAAGAACACTTGGTAGGTGGCACTGTTACCTGCCCTGCAGGTGAATGCCATGCTGTGTCTCCTGATTTATGGGACTGTCTTGATGAAAAAGGGGTGTGGCAAACTGAGTTGAGTTCAAACACTCCACAAGAGTCTCCAAGATCAGCCTTCAGAGTGACTCAGTCCTCACTTATAAGCCCAAATTGCTCTTTGAGTTGGAGTCCTTGGTCTGCTCCTTTCTCATTGTGGTAAGCAATTATGTACTTCAGGTTCTCACAGGAAATATCAGAGGGTAATGGATGGGTCATGTAAAATCACTTCAGAGATTTTATTGGGAGATACTGATCCTAATGCTCACTCCTTGTTACTCCTCTATTTAAAAAAAATTGTAAGGCTGGGCATGGTGGCTCACACCTGTAATCCCAGCACTTTGGGAGGCCGAGGCGGGCGGATCACCTGAGGTCAGGAGTTCAAGACCAGCCTGGCCAACATGGTGAAACCCCATCTCTACTAAAAATACAAAATTAGCTGGGCATGGTGACACACGCCTGTAATCCCAGCTACTTGGGAGGCTGAGGCAGGAGAATCGCTTGAACTTGGGAGGTGGAGGTTGCAGTGAGTTGAGATCATCCCATTGGACTCCAGCCTGGGCAAGAAGAGCGAAACTCCATCTCAAAAAAAAAAAAAGGCGGGGCGGGGGGATTGTGAAAAACTAAAACACCCCTCAAGGGTTCTTCTGACTCAAAAGTGCTGATTCACTAAATGCCAGGCCACCATAACCTGTAAAATAAGAGGATTCTTGCTGCTGCGGTTGCTATCTAGCTGTTCTCTCATCAGAAAAAGTGCTCAGACCATAAGATTCAAAATTTTCACCAATTCTGGGATGTTCTAAAGTCTGTGGCAGAAGGACATGGTACCAGCCAAGGAGAGCTTCTACAAAAGGTGGGTGTGGCTGCCTAAGTTGCAGTGGTAAGAGGACATGTGAAAAAGGATGTTTGGGGTCACTAGCTTCAGGTTTACCAAGTGTGGGATAGAAGAAGCAGAGGGTTCACTGTAATGCACAAGGTAGAGTTCTGGATTTCTCCCAGTAACTTATTGATTGTCAGTTCTTAGAACCCTCTTCTTGTCAAAGAGCTTGTATAACTGTAGACCAGAACATCTGGGCTGAACTACACACTTACTGGTACTTATTTCTCAATGTGACTCTTGGTTTTTCCTTTTTTTTTAGATGGAGTCTCACTCTGCCACTCAGGCTGGAGTGCACTGGTGCAATCTCGGCTCACTGCAACCTCTGCCTCCCAGGTTCAAGCGATTCTTCTGCCTCAGCCTCTTGAATAGCTGGGACTATGGGCACCTGCCATCACGCCCGGCTAATTTTTGTATTTTTAGTAGAGACGGGGTTTCTCCATGTTGGCCAGGCTGGTCTTGAACTCCTGACCTTGTGATCCGCCTGTCTCAGCCTCCCAAAGTGTTGGGATTATGGGTGTAAGCCACTGTGCTGGACGGCTTTTCCTTTTAATTAGTACTGAAGTGAGAAAGCTCATAGAATTACTGCTGGGACTCATATTTTCAGTACAATCCTTCCAATGGAAGCAATACACAAAAATATTCACCAAGGACTCACCTGGGGGAAGAGTGGATTAATCTTCATTGTCAACCAATATGACCTTTCTGCAGAGAGATGTTTAACTTTTGCAAAAAGCAAAGCTACAACTTGATGTCTTTTAAAAATTTGGGCCAGGTGTGGTGGCTCACATCTATAATCCCAGCACTTTGGGAGACTGAGGCAGGTGGATCGCTTGAGCCCAGGAGTTTGAGAGCAGCCTGGGTAACATGGCAAAAACCCTGTCTCTACCAAAATACAAAAAAACACAACAAAACAAAACAAAACAAGCTGGGCATGGTGGTGTGCACCTGTAGTTCCAGCTACTTGGAAGGTTGAGGTGGGAGGGTGGCTTGAGCCTGGGAGGTTGAGGCTGTAGTGAGACTGCACCACTGCACTACTCCAACCTAGGTAACAGGAGCAAGACCCTGTCAAAAAAAAAAAAAGTTTTCAGTTACAGAGTTACAGTAAATCTAACTGTGTTTCTGTCCAGTTGAAGGTTTGGAGGTTTCTGGCTGACTCAGCAAGTAATGTTCTACCTAGGTGAAGTTCTTCTCATTGCTGTCTGAAACCAAACACATAAAGTAAATCCATCATGTTTAGCTTTGTTGTTGTTTTGGGTTTTTTTTGTTTGTTTTGTTTTTTTTTGAGATGGAGTCTCGCTCTGTCACCCAGGCTGCAGTGCAGTGGTGTGATCTCGGCTCACTGCAGTCTCTTGCCTCCCAGGTTCAAGCGATTCTCCTGCCTCAGCCTCCCAAGTAGCTGGGATTATAGCACCCACCACCATGCCTGGCTAAGCTTTGTATAATAATAATAATAATAATAATTATTATTATTATTATTAGTAGTAGTAGTAGTAGTAGTAGTAGTAGTAGTAGTAGTAGTAGTAGAGACGGGGTTTCACCATGTTGGCCAGGCTGGTTTTGAACTCCTGACCTCAAGTGATCCACCTACCTCAGCCTCGAAAAGTGCTGGGATTACAGGTATGAGCCACTGCGCCTGGCCTAAGGCAAGTTTAGCCTTGAAGAAACTTTTAAGCTCTCTTCCAAAGTGGCTGTACTGTTTTGCATTCTTACCAGAATGAGAATTCTTGCTGCTCTGCCTTCTTGCCAGTAATTGGTATTGCCACTTATTTGGATTTTAGCCATTCTAATAGGTGGAAATAAAATTTTAAAGAAGGATCTTGATGCATAATGCCACATTTATTTTCAGAAAGTTTGTATAGATCTGGAGTAACTTTTGTTCCTATACTCTTTTGTTTCCCACATTTCATCAGGTGCAAAGGTTATACTGATTCTTTTTTTGTTGTTGTTGAGACAAGGTCTCACTCTGTCACCCAGGCTGGTGAGTAGTGGTGCGATCATAGCTCACTGTAGCCTTGACCTCCTGTGCTCAAGCAATCCTCCCACCTCAGCCTCCCAAGTAGCTGGGATTACAGGTACACACCTCCACGCTTGGCTACCTTTTTTTTTTTTTTTTTTGTAGAGATAGGGAGTCTTGTTTTGTTGCCCAGGCTGGTCTCAAACTCCTGGGCTCAAGTGATCCTCCTGCCTTGGCCTTCCAAAGTGCTGGGATTACAGGCATGAGCAACTGTGCCTGGACTTCATGCTGATTACACTTATTGACAGTTTCTTTTTCTCCATTCTGAAAGCCACTTCCCTAATCCGGTGTTCATTATCTCATACCTGGGCAAAAAGCTGCAGCCAGATTGCTTGTTTCCTACACTCCAGTATCTCCTTGTTCTAACCCAATTTACTCAATTCAGCTAAAACAAAAAAAATCTGTAATCTTCCTTTAACAATTTTTATCTTGATAACTGTGCTTTTTGAAAACTATGGTGGGTGGCCTATTGAACCAAATTTATGTATTTATTTTTAGTTTTGTAGAGATGGGGGTCTTGTTATTTTGCCCAGGCTGGTCTCAAACTCCGGGCTCAAGCAATCCTCCTATTTTGGCCTCCCAATATGCTGGGATTACAAGTGTGAGTCACTGCTTCTGGCCTGAGAAGGATATCTAAAAACCTAATAATATGGTTTGTGTATGAGAGGAGGTCTAGGTATTTAGTGGGGAAAGTAAAAATACTCTTTTCCTCATTTTATATTCATTTTATTCTTTTTTTTTTTTTTTTTTTTTTTTTTTAGTAGAGACGGGGTTTCACCGTGTTAGCCAGGATGGTCTCGATCTCCTGACCTCATGACCCGCCCACCTCGGCCTCCCAAAATGCTGGGATTACAGGCATGAGCCACCGCGCCCGGCCCATTTTATTTTTTTCCACATGCCTGCTGTGTCAAATTGTTTTGTTCTTTTTGAAATTTGAACCATGTGAATGTATTAACTATCAGATTTTTTTTTTTTTTTTTTTTGAGACAGAGTCTCACTCTGTTGCCCAGGCTGGAGTGCAGTGGCACGATCTCGGCTCACTGCAATCTCCGCCTCCTGGGCTCAAGCAATTCTCCTGCCTCAGCCTCCAGAGTAGCTGGGATTACAGGGGCCCACCACCACACCTGGCTAATTTGTGTAAACTATTAGATTTTTTAATGTGAAATTCCATGGTCTAAGAAACTAACAATATAGTTGGAGAAACCAGAAGCCAAGTTTTAAATGTTTCCAACTATTACAAGGGAGGAAGATATATTTGATGGTAGTCAGGGATAACTTCACCTAGGGTGCTGATTAGCAGATTTATAAGAAGGATATAATGGTTGAAGCATGTTTACCTGATTGATGAATTTCCTCTGCTTTTGAGGTTGCCATGGAATCGATGTAATATAGTGGGAAGAGCATGGGTTTTGGGATCAAGCAGAAATAAATTCAAATCCCAGCTTTTCTATATGCTGGCCTTATAACCTTGGGCAAGTTATTTAACAATTTTGAAGTTTCAACTTCCTCATCTATAAAATGGGTAAAATCTGAATAGGATTATTATAAAGGTTAAATGACCTCCAAGTGCAACAAATATGTTGGTTTACTTCTTATATAGATGGGCTGAACTGAGATGGATTGGCATATAGGAATAAAATGTCCGGAGAAAATGCAGGTTGCATGTGAAAGAACTTCATGTAGCTAAAGTCCCTGCATCTATAATTTAGTTTGTCAATCTCATATTATGGGATTTGAAGACTCTTATTATTTCAGAAGTTTTAGAAACCCTTGGGCTAGCTGGGCACAGTGGCTCACACCCATAATCTCAGCACTTTGGGAGGCCGAGGCAGGAGGACTGCTTGAGCCCAGGGGTTAGAGGCCAGCAGCCTGAGCAACCTAGGGAGACCGCTGTCTCCACAAATAATTAAAAAAAAATAGCTGGGCATGGTGGTCCACTCCTGTGGTCCCAGCTTTGGGAAGCTAAGGTGGGAGAATCGCTTGAGCCTGCGAGGTTGAGGCTGCAGTGAGCAGGTGATTGCACCACTGCACTTCAGCCCCAGAGACAGGGTGAGAACCTGTCTCAAAAAAACAAAATAACAAAATAAAAATCCTTCGGCTATACAGTTTTTATGTTTTTTTTTTTTTTTTTTTGAGACGGAGTCTTGCTCTGTCGCCCAGGCTGGAGTGCAGTGTCAAGATCTCGGCTCACTGCAAGCTCTGCCTCCCAGGTTCACGCCATTCTCCTGCCTCAGCCTCCCGAGTAGCTGGGACTACAGGTGCCCACCACCATGCCCAGCTAATTTTTTTTGTATTTTCAGTAGAGATGAGGTTTCACCGTGTTAGCCAGGATGGCCTCAATCTCCTGACCTCGTGATCCGCCCGCCTGGGCCTCCCAAAGTGCTGGGATTACAGGTGTGAGCCACCGTGCCCGGCCATGTGTTTTTTATCCTTCTTGATCTGAAAGATGGTCAAAACACAGTGCTTTGAAACACATTATAAGTAGATTCTAAATAGTCCCACTGGCTTTTTTTTCTTCTTTATTCCATAGAGACTCAAAATTCCCAATGCTTACTATATTTCAAGGCCATGGCAGGTTATTGGGAAAAGTTTTCAATTAGCAATAATGATGCCTTTGGCTATGATACTGCCACTGAGCAAATCTCCACTCCATTTTTTTTCTTGAGACAGAGTCTCGCTCTGTCACCCAGGCTGGAGTGCAATGGCGTGTTCTCAGCTCACTGCAACCTCTGCCTCCCAGATTCAAGCGATTCTCCTGACTCAGCCTCCTGAGTAGCTGGGATTACAGGTGCGTGCCACCACGCCCAGCTAATTTTTGTATTTTTAGTAGAAATGGGGTTTCGCCATGTTGATCAGGCTGGTCTCGAACTCCTGACCTTGTGATCCACCCGCCTCAGCCTCCCAAAGTGCTGGGATTACAGGCATGAGACCCCACACCCAGCCCAATTTTTGTATTTTTAGTAGAGACAGGATTTCACCATGTTGGCCAGGATGGTCTTGAACTCCTGACCTCAAGTGATCCACCCACCTCAGCCTCCCAAAGTGCTGGTATTACAGGCATGAGCCACCATACCTGGCCTGAGTGTGATTTTATTTATTTGTCAAATGTATCACTTGATATTGTGATGATTTATCAATGAGTTTTCAAATTTTAAAACCATAGGAATGTAGTATATATGGAACTATTGAATCACATTTTCTTTCTTTCTTTTTTTTTTTTTTTCGAGACAAAGTTTCACTCATGTTGCCCAGGCTGAAGTGCCGTGGTGTGATCTTGGCTCACTGAAACCTCTGCCTCCCAGGTGCAAGCAATTCTCCCGCCTCAGCCTCCTGAGTAGCTGGGATTATAGGCGCCCACCACCACGCCTGGCTAATTTTTTGTATTTTTAGTAGAGACGGGGTTTCATCATGTTGGCCAGGCTGGTCTGGAACTCCTGACCTCGGGTGATCCACCCACCTTGGCCTCCCAAAGTACTGGGATTACAGGCGTGAGCCACCATGCCCAGCCATTAAATCACATTTAATAGAGATTCTATATAGCAGTCACCAAAATATAGGAGACTAGGAGTTCCTAATTCCCATACTGACTGTCAAACTACTGACAAGTATCTCAAGTAAAGGTCCTGGTGAAACAAAGATTATTGCTCAATCACATTTCTTTAGCTATACTCAGGGTTAGTTGCTAGGCACTGAGTAAAGAGAGTGTTTTCTTCCCTCTCAAATAAATTGAGAAAAATGTATATATATCCAGATTTCCTTTCCCTGTGTCCTTGAGAGTCATTGTATTTGTTTAAAGAATTTAATGAGTTTGTTCAGGGAGTTGCATCAGAAATTATTTTTGTATCAGTAGTAAGCATGACAACTAGTTCCTTTGTAATGCTGTACCAGTCAATACCTGTTTTTGCCTAAGGATGTATCCATACCAATTCTGGATAATCCAGCTTTGAAGTGGGTTGGGCAGTGCCAGGTTTCTTTTGTTGGTGTTATTAGTTTGGGTTGTGACTTAGTCACACATGCCTTGAAAACTTAACAGCACTGAGGATATAGGCTAATTAAGTTCCACAAATGCTAACTAAAGCCAGTGTACATAGCATTTACATTAAAATAGTTCTCTAGAATAGGTACAAGACTTTTTTTTAACATTTTCTACAACTTATTTATTATCTAGAAAGAACATTTAACAAACATGTTCTGCTCATAGAAAACACTATCCTTTACATGTGAAATGTCAAAATGAGCAATTACTAAGCCAAAGAAATGTTTATGATATTCAAAATGTTTTTTAAATAAATGTTTGGCAGAATCAACTTTTAAAGTTATTTTAAAAATCATTATATTCTTATAAAATTTTAAGATCCCAGTTTAAGGATGACGAAATATTAAATATTGCACAGTTGAGATATATAAAGGCCTTTGTTAAAGTTGTAAGAGAGGAGAAAATGACTTTTTTTTTTTTTTTTTGAGACTGAGTCTTGCTCTGTCGCCAGGCTGCAGTGCAGTGGTGCGATCTCGGCTCACTGCAACCTCCGCCTCCTGGGTTCAAGCGATTCTCTTGCCTCAGCCACCCGAGTAGCTGGGATTACAGGCACGCGCCGCCACACTTGGCTAATTTTTGTATTTTTAGTAGAGACGGGGTTTCACCATGTTGGCCAGGATGGTCTCCATCTCCTGACCTCGTGATCCGCTCACCTCTGCCTCCCAAGGTGCTGGGATTACAGGTGTGAGCCACTGCGCCCGGCCATTTTTTTTTTTTTCAGCCAAATTCTGTTATCATATGGACATTCTCTGGGTCAAAGGATATTTTCCATACAAACCACCAGACTCCTTTTTTGGTCATGTCTGATTAAAGGATTAGATAGAAACCGTTTTTTTTTTATTTTTTTAATTTTTTTAGACAGGGCACCGCTCTGTTGCTCAGGCTGGAGTTCAGTGGCACGATCTCGGCTCACTGCAACCTCCATCTCCCAGGCTCAGGGGATCCCTCCCACCTCAGCCTCCTGAGTAGCTGGAATTACAGGCATGCACCACCATGCTCGGCTAATTTTTTTTTTTTTTTTGAGACGATGTGTTGCTCTGTCGCCTAACCTGGAGTGCAGTGGCACGATCTTGGCTCACTGCAAACTTCGCCTCCTGGGTTCAAGTGATTCTCCTGCCTCAGCCTCCCGAGTAGCTGGGATTACAGGCACGCACCATCACATCTGGCTAATTTTTGTATTTTTAGTATAGACGGGGTTTCGCCATGTTGGCCAGGCTGGTCTAGAACTCCTAACCTCAAATGATCCGCCCACCTAGGCCTCCCAAAGTGCTGGGATTAACAGGCGTGAGTCACCGCGCCGAGCCCAATTTTTGTATTTTTGGTAAAGACGGGATTTCACCATGTTGCCTAGGCTGGGCTCGAACTACTGGGTTCAAATGATCCGCCCGCCTCAACATCCCATAGTGTTGGGATTACAGGCGTGAGCCACGGCGCCCGCTATAGAATCTGAATATTTTTAACCCCCCTCTTTACTGACAAGATAAAGACAGAGATAGAGAGATGCATATAGGGAGGAAGAGATCTCCTTAGAGGAGGGAAGACCACCACAGCTAGCCTTGTTTTGCACCACACAGATCTGATTAGAACTAGAATTAGTTGGGCTGGCAGGACCCAGGGGCGAGCAGAGAGTTCCTGAAGGAAGAGGAGACAATAACTAGCAAAAATGAGTCTTTCCTGTAAGTTTGGGACTTTGCTAAGCGCTATATTATCATCTAATTTATTCATAACAACAACCCAATGAGGAAGGTACTAATATTACTCCCATTTCACAGAGGAGCGAGTTGAAAGTCACAAAAATGAAACAGCAAACGCGCCGAAGTCAGGCAGCAAGTAAGTGGCAGCACCAGAACTCGAAACTGCCTCGGAGCATGCACTCTTCACCACCCCGTTCCACCTTGAGGTCGGATTCCGCACGCCGTTCGCGGCATTCCCACCTTCCTACGTGGGACAGTTCCCGGTACTGAGGCATGGCGCTGTCCAGCCCTCAGGCCCGCAGCCGTCCGCAAGCAGGAGAACGCGGCCCCGCTGGGCGATCCTGCCCGAAGGCGCCCGAACTGCGGCGCGCGGCCGGGTCCTGGCGGGCGGGTCGAGTCTCCCCAAGGCGGCCATCCCAAGCAGCTCCCCGGATGTCCCTCAGACCCGCGCGCTAGGCTCAACTCAGAAAGGCGGGAGGCGCGAAGCGAGATCGGCCTTGCCCCTCGACTGTCCCCTCATCGCTCCCCGTCCTCTATTCCCTCCCAAATAGCCCCCGGCAAATAGGTTACACATCTTCACCTGTCCCAGAGGTGGTGACTGCTCTAGTGACTGACGCTACGCTCCTCCAACCAGGCAATGGCAGGAAGGTGGAGCCTTCCTAAGACTGATGGCTTCCTTTCTCCAATCCCGGTGCAGCTATTCTCCGGCCATAGTCTCGGCGCCCAGCGGAGAGCGACAGGTGGGAGCTGCGTTACTTCGGCGCCTCTTGCATCCTTGACGTAGAAGTTTCACCAAGCGCAGGGTGAAGTCTACTCCAAATTTGACCAATTCTTGCGGGTCATCACTTCAGCAGTCATTTTATTCAGAAGTGGAAATTTCCCGGCCCTTTCCCGTCACCTCAGATGAGGGCGGGATCAATGGTACTCCCACAGGCCAATTGTACCACGCGACGTCCCGCGACAAAGTGACCGACACTTTATGGCGCCAATGAATTCTCCCATTGTTCGGGGTCACTATGACTGACCACAAGGCCAACTAATCCACTTTAAGGTCGTGACGCGATAGTCAGGCGGGTTGGCCAATAGACATAGGAAAAGAGCGGAAGTCAGCTGGTGAAGAGTGGGAGGCGGGTGTTCGCAACCGCCTAGGCCTGCGCGGGTCAACGCAGCTTGGCGGCTGCGAGCCAGCGAGCGGCGCGTGACGAAGAGCCTGAGCGACGGGTCACTTTGGCCAATGATCTGCAGCCGCCAGGGTATTGCAGCCAGTGGCGAGTCGAGGGGGCGGGAGGCAGCAGGTTAGGCAGTGAGAAGTTAGTGGCGCTGCTGGGACGGGGGAAAGGAGACGCTTCTTCCTCTTGCTGCTCTTCTCGTTCCCGAGATCAGCGGCGGCGGTGACCGCGAGTGGGTCGGCACCGTCTCCGGCTCCGGGTGCGAACAATGCTGACTGATAGCGGAGGCGGCGGCACCTCCTTTGAGGAGGACCTGGACTCTGTGGCTCCGCGATCCGCCCCAGCTGGGGCCTCGGAGCCGCCTCCGCCGGGAGGGGTCGGTCTGGGGATCCGCACCGTGAGGCTCTTTGGGGAGGCCGGGCCAGCGTCGGGAGTCGGCAGCAGCGGCGGCGGCGGCAGCGGCAGCGGTACGGGCGGAGGGGACGCGGCGCTGGATTTCAAGTTGGCGGCTGCCGTGCTGAGGACCGGGGGTGGAGGTGGTGCCTCTGGCAGTGACGAGGACGAAGTGTCCGAGGTAAGGCTCCGGGACCCTCGCCTCCCACACATTGTGAGGCGTGAATTCTCTTTGGGTAGGCTCTGGGCCGGGGCCATCCTCCCGCTTCCCTGGTGGAGCCCTTCTGTGACAGCGGTCGGCTCCATGGCGGCGGTGGCCGCGGTGAGGGCCTAGTGAGCCCTCGGCTTACTCTTTAGCTCGAGCGGGACAGGTTCCCGTCACCATTCGTAGACCCACAATAGGGAGTCCTTTGGTCTCTGAGCTTCGCGCGGGAACAGGGACTCCTCAGGCTGCCTCCCGCCCACCCTGCTTTGGAGTTGGGGGTGGGGGGCGGGGTCTTGCCAGAGTCCCTGCCCTTGGTACTGAGAGAGACAAACAGAGACAGAGACAGAGCTGGTGCAAAGATCGTTTCTCTTCTTTGCCTCTCCTCAGAGTTGAGGGATACGTTTATTTGCCTTCTGCCTTGTGTGTGTCTTACCTGTGTGCTTAAGGACGGTTCTTATTCTCCCTCTTCAGTTTGAGACAGGTTTGAGTATTAGGGATCTCTCGGCTTTTACCCTGAAAAATCACGTGACTCCTCCTTCTGGGACCTTTTGTGAAGTTAGACAGGAAAAGGAAGTTCCAGGGCATCCCTGAGCTTCGGAATAGCTGGGTAGCTGAACTCGGAGGTTTTAGGCTTGGAGAAAGTGGGGCAACCTGTGGAAACCTCTTCTTTTTTTTTTTTTTTTTTTTTTTTTTGAGATGGAGTTTCGCTCTTGTTGTCCACGCTAGAATACACGTGATCTCAGCTCACTGCAACCTCCGCCTCCCGGGTTCAAGCGATTCTCCTGCCTCAGCCTCCCGAGTAGCTGGGATTACAGGCGTGCGCCACCACGCCCGACTAATTTTGTATTTTTATTAGATACGGGGTTTCACCATGTTGGTCAGGCTGGTCTCGAACTCCTGACCTCAGGTGATCCGCCCGCCTCGGCCTCCCAAAGTGCTGGGATTACAGGTATGAGCCACCGTGCCCGGCTGGACACCTTCACTCTGCCTTTGCAGTGAAGTCCTTCATTTCTTTAACTCTTCTGTGTGTACTCTAATGTGTACACATTTTTAGGTCTGAGCAACCTGGGATGGTAGGCATTAACTTCTTTTGGGTTCTGGGGAAAAAGGGGCGGGTTTTGTTTTTGTTTTTTGAGATGGAGTTTCGCTCTGTCGCCAGGCTGGAGTGCAGTGGCGCGATCTCGGCACACTGCAACCTCCGCCTCCTGGGTTCAAGCGATTCCCCTGCCTTAGCCTCCTGAGTAGCTGGGACTACAGGCGCGTGCCACCACTCCCGGCTAATATTTTGTATTTTTTAGTAAAGACAGGGTTTCACCATGTCCAGGATGGTCTCGATCTCCTGACCTTGTGATCCCAAGGGGCGGTATTTTATGTGTATACTTTTTTCTGTTGACTGTGGCTTGCGTAGAGTACTGTACCGTGATTGTTTTAAGTGCTCAGAGTATTTCTTCTATTTTGGTTCTGAGGTGCCTGAGTTGTCACCTGTGACCAGTTATTTTAACCTCTGGTCTTGGTGTTAAAGTACAGGAATTTCTCTGTGTGTACTAACAATCCCGGCTCTTGGATTTGAGAGGAATAAGGAGAAATTATTTGTGGGTTACAGACTGCAGTTAGTATACTGTCTTATCATTCTAGGTCTGAACAGGGTTTTATTTAATATTTAAAACCTTAGTACATTCTGACCCTAACATTTTGCTTTGGAAAAAAAAGTGTGTGGGTTATAAGGCGGGTAGTCCCTTGAATGTCTACGTCTTTGAATTTCACGGTAAGGGAAATAACTTCTAAGCCAAGGTGAGAGAAATGTTTTATTTGAGTAGGCAGTTATGGGGAGAGACTCTGGAGTATCCCTGCTCTTGGTCTTGTGGAAGGCTTTATTTTATCCTTTCAGTGAAACGTGAGAGATTAAGCTAGAACACAGTACTTTTTAGCTAGGAAATGAAGTGTGGGGGATATCCTTAGACTAAAGATTAGAGCTTATTTTCTATGAAACTTGTAAATGAGAATCTGAAAGAGTTTGCTTTGGTCTAAATGTGATAGAAAAAGGGGACCTTGATTTTCTTGACCATTTTTACATAATTGTCATGGGTGAGATGAAAGGTCACTCATTTGCCTTTTTTTTTAATTTTAATTTTTTGTTTTTTTTGTTTTTTTTGAGACTGTGTCTTGCTCTTGTCACCCAGGCTGGAGTGCGGTGGCTCGATCTTGGCTCACTGCAACCCCCGTCTCCCAGGTTCAAGCTATTTTCCTGCCTCAGCCTCCCTAGTAACTGGGATTCCAGGTGCCTGCTACCACGACTGGCTAATTTTTTTGTATTTTTAGTAGAGACGAGGTTTTACCATGTTGGCCAGGTGGGTCTCAAACTCCTGACCTCAGGTGATCGCCCTCTCAGAGTGCTGGGATTACAGGCATGAGCCACCACGCCCGGCCTTAATTTTTTTTTTTTTTTTGAGACAGGTTTTGCTATGTTGTCCAGGCTAGCCTCAAACTCCTGGGCTCGGGTGGTCCTCCTACCTCAGCCTCCTAAGTAGCTGGGACTATAGGCACACGCTACTGTGCCTGGCAACCATTTGCTTTTTTATAAGTAATAGTCTTAAATTTCTTCACAGGTAGAGCACTAGTTTGCCCCCAAAGTCATAAATTTGTCTCTCTCTCTTTCTGACTGTGCATGTCTGTGTGTGTGTGTGTGTGTGTGTGTGTGTGTGTGTGTGTGTGTGTGTATGTGTAATGGTCTTTGGAGTCTCCATACCATGTAATTAAAGCTATGGGCAGAATCCATGCCTTTTGTATTTTTGAAGCTTATTGTAGAAGTCATGTGTTGGTGATTCCTACACCCACTTAGTGGTGCCTAATGTTAGAAGAGCCCCATATTCTCCTGTTTACTTATGTTTTCTGTGCCTAAAAGGATTTACAGGTTAAGAGTACATGTAGACCTCATTTTTGGAATGGAAGTTTCTAGGATACCCACTTTAGCCTAATCTAAGATGATGCTTAGTGGGTGTATAGATGCTTTCTTAATCTGTGTAAGCAGGAAATTTTTTTTGGGTCCTGTTTCTCCCATATCACATAGAGAGGAAATTCTTGGAGTATCTAGTCTTTATAGTATGTGTGGTAGAGTATAGTCTGTGCCTTTGTGAATAAAATGACCTGTTTTGGCCAAGCAAAAATTTTCCCTTTTCTTTTTCTGTCTGACAAGATGAGCTGTCTTCTTTTATTATTATTGCCTTTGAATTTTCAGTGTGAAAAGGTAACAGTGTTCTTCAAAAAATACTCATGTAATTGGCATTTGATGAATAATACTAAAATCCTCCGTCTCATCTTTCCTAAATATTTTGTTTATTTTTATTTATTTTTTTGAGACAGGGTCTCATTCTGTCACCCAGGCTGGAGTGCAGTGGCACGATCTTGGCTCACTGCAACCTCCGCCTCCTGGGTTCAAGCGATTCTTCTGTCTCACCCTCCTGAGTAGCTGGGATTACAGATATCCACCACCACTCCCAGGTAATTTTTATATTTTTGGTAGAGACAGCGTTTTGTCACGTTGGCCAGGCTGGTCTCAAACTTCTGGCCTCAAGTGATTCTCCCACCTTGGTCTCCCAAAGTGTTGGGATTACAGGTGTGAGCCACCATGCCTGGCCTTCATTTTTCCTAAATATTTATAACCACCGGGCATGGTGGCTCACGCCTGTAATCACAGCACTTTGGGAGGCCAAGGCGGGTGGATCAGCTGAGGTCAGGAGTTAGAGACCAGCCTGGCCAACATGGCAAAATTCTGTCTCTATTAAAACAAAAAATTAGCCGGGCTTGGTGGAGGGCGCCTGTAATCTGAGTTACTCAGGAGGCTGAGGGAGGAGAATCGCTTGAACCCAGGAGGCAGAGGTTGCAGTGAGCCGAGATCACGCCACTGCCCTCCAGGCAGGGTGACAGAGAGAGACTCTGTCTCAAAAAAAAAAAAAAATAAATTATTTTAGAAACAAGTACCTAGACATCCAAAAAGATGATGAATTGGTGTGTAGTTTGGGAGTGAAGTTTGTCTTGTTGCTCTAATGGGGCAGGATTAGGTGAGAAATAAGAAATGTGGAGCCCTAGTATTTTTGCTCTAGAATTAGTTGGTCTTCTACATTTTGTGTACAGAGGAGTAGACCCTCTAAGGACCTCTTTATATTTAATATCAGAGCCAAGAGCTGAGAAAAAACAAGCTACTCTTTCTTGCTGGCCAAGCAAAAGACCTTTTGGTTAGAGGAATGGACTCACATCTTTCAGTACATTTTTTTTTTTTTTTTGAGATGGAGTCTTGTCGCCCAGGCTGGCACGATCTTAGCTCACTGCAACCTCTGCTTCCTGCATTCAAGTGATTCTCCTGCCTCAGTAGTGAGATTACAAGTGCGTGCCACCATGCCTGGCTAATTTTTCTATCTTTAGCAGAAATGGGGGTTTCACCATATTGGCCAGGCTGGTCTCGAACTCCTGACCTCAGGTGATCTGCTCGCCTAGGTCTCCCAAAGTGCTGGGATTACAGCCGTGAGTCACCCACCTGGCCCTTTTGTTATTTTAAACATTGGGGTAAATACCTGCTTCGTATTTCTTCAGGCATTCTTAGCATGTTTCTTAGCTATCGAAGCCCTTGATTAGAAGAGCTAGCACTGCATTGAATCCTATTAAGAAATGTATCCATGTTCAGAATAGAAGTTAGGTTAAAAATTTCTTAAAAACCACTTTAGGCCTGGTGCGGTGGCTAACGCCTGTAATCCCAGCACTTTGGGAGGCCGAGGTGGGTGGGTCACAAGATCAGGAGTTTGAGACCAGCCAGACCAACATGGTGAAACCCCATCTCTACTAAAAAACAAAAATTAGGTGGGCGTGGTGGCACGCACCTGCAATCTCAGCCTACTCAGGAGGCTGAGGCAGGAGAATTGCTTGAACCTGGGAGGCAGAAGTCGCAGTGAGCTGAGATCGCGTCACTGCACTCCAGCCTGGGTGACAGAGTGAGACTCCATCTCCAAAAAAAAAAAAAAAACCACTTTAAAAAATGGTTTTTATTTTAAATTTTTATTTATTTATTTTGAGATTAGGATTACAGGTGTGAGCCACCACACCCAGCCTATTTTTATTTATTTATTTATTTTTAGAGATGGGCTTTTGCTCTGTCACCCAGGCTGGAATGCAGTGGCATGATCATAGTTCACTGCAACCTCGAATTCCTGGGCTCAAGCAATCCTACTGCCTCAGCCTCCCAAAGAGCTAG
Source organism: Homo sapiens (assembly GCF_000001405.40). Classification (NCBI taxonomy): domain Eukaryota; kingdom Metazoa; phylum Chordata; class Mammalia; order Primates; family Hominidae; genus Homo; species Homo sapiens. The sequence goes on from NC_000005.10 coordinate 140,407,540, forward strand.
GTCTAACTAGAGGTGTACTCCACCACTCCACCTGATTTAAAAAAAAAAAAATGTTGCCCAGGCTAGTCTTGAACTCCTGGCCTCAAGGGATCCTTCTGCCTGGGCCTCCAAAAATGCAGAGATTACAAGTTGTAAGCCACTGTGCCTGACCGAAAAACCAATTTTTAAATTTTAATTTTAGAATTGTGGTCTTTTAATTTTTTTAGCAAATCGAAATAAAAATACAGTTTCTAAAGAAAAGATTGTGTGAGACATGGTTTTCAATTTTTGTCGTAAGAATGAATGTGTGTGTATATGTGTGTTTGTGTGTGTATGTGTGTGTGTGACGGCCCTCTTTTAAAATTATTACAAAAGTGGCCGGGCGCGGTGGCTCACGCCTGTAATCCCACCACTTTGGGAGGCCAAAGCGGATGGATCATCTGAGGTCAGGAGTTTGAGACCAGCCTGGCCAACATGGTGAAAGCCTGTCTCTACTAAAAATACAAAAATTAGCTGGGTATGGTGGCAGGCGCCTGTAATCCTAGCCACTTGGGAGGCTGAGGCAGGAGAATCTCTTGAACCCGGGAGACGGAGGCTGCAGTCAGCCAAGATCATACCAGTGCACTCCAGTCTGGGTAACAGAGCAAGACTCCATCTCAAAAAATTAGAAAATAATAAAATTATTACAAAATAGTTACTTGTTGAAAAACTCAACAATATAGATAGTAGGTATAAGGGGAAAAGTAAAAGTGCTTCTTCCCACCCCCATTAATTCTTCAAATTCTACCCTTCAAGGTAACCAATATTAAAATTTTTCATTCAGTAAATTTTCTAGGCCTATCTTTCTATGTATATATGTATATATGTTCATATACACATACTTTAAAGGCATATCAAATTTAAAAGTGTAGCTTTATATCACACTGAGGTTTTTTTCTTGAAGCAGGTGCTGTATTTACAATTATATAAAAGCACGCAGAAATTGTATTTAGCTCTGAAAATATAGCACAAGCTTTGTAGGGATTCCTTTTTCCCTGAAAATTACTTTTAACATCAAAAGCAAAAGTCATACAGAAATCCCATCCTGATTTTCTCCAGTAGGTAAGGAGTTGGGTCATATCCTTTAAGATTGTTTATGATCTATATATAATCTGTTTTTTAATTTTTAATTAAATTTTTTTTACCGTTATGTGTTTTGAGAGATGGGGGTCTCGCTTTTTTGCCCAGGCTGGCTGTTGCCCTGGCTACACAGTGCGGTGGCATGGTCATAACTCTATGTGGTCTCCCACTCCTGGGCTCAAGCAATCCTTCTGCTTCAGCCTCCCAAGTAGTCAGGACTACAGGGGACTATAGGTGTGCACCACAATACTTGGCTAGTATGATCTATAATCTAGAGCAGTTTCTCAAGAGCAACATATAGACATTTTGGGACAGAGAATTCTTTGTTGTGAGGGGCTCTCCTGTGCATTAGAAGCATCCCTGGCCTCTACCCACTAGATGCCAGTAGAACCCGATTATGATAGCCAAAAATTGTTCAGACGTTGCCAAATGTCTCCTAGGGACAAAATCACTCCTGGTTGAGAGCTACCGGTCTAGAGGCCACTCTTGTCAGGAATGGTAGTTTTGTTATACTCTGTATTCAAACTTAAGGTAAACAAGGTGAGTCACTGCTTTTAATAGCATTTCAGGACTTATGCTTATAACCTGAACAAGGGAGAAATAGAAGGTACTGAAAGGTTTAATATAAAACTAGCATGCACTGCTGTAAATTTTCTATGGTAAATGTATCATTTTGGGGAACTTTCACTTAAAATATATTATTTTTCAAAAAGTTCAGTTGTCCATGAAAATGAATTTTTAAAAAACTTTTATGGGGACTTCCAGTTTGTTCAAAGTAGAAATGCTTTATTCCATAAATTATCATTTGTAGTGATAACATAGGAAATATAACTTTGTATTCTAGTGGGCTAATTTTGGAGACTTTGGAAATGCTTATTGAATAAAAAGAATTATATGTTATTACTGTAACAATTTTTTTTTTTTTTTTTTGAGTCAGAGGAGCCTTGCTCTGTCACCCAGGCTGGAGTGCAGTGGCAGGATCTCGGCTCACTGCAGCCTCCACCTCCTGGGTTCAAGTGATTCTCCTGCCTCAGCCTCCTGAGTAGCTGGGACTACAGGCCCGTGCCACCACGCTCGGCTAATTTTTTGTATTTTTAGTAGAGACGGTGTTTCACTGTGTTACCCAGGATGGTCTCGGTCTCCTGACCTTGTGATCCACCCGCCTCAGCCTCCCAAAGTGCTGGGATTACAGGTGTGAGCCACCGCGCCCAGCCACAATTTTTTGTATGTTGCACAAATATCAACCTTTCACAAGCTTCATGATGTAAAGCCTTAAGACTTTACATATAAAATGATGCATTGATAAGTATATTTATGTGAATGGTGGGGTTGATGCAGAGTTGATTAGTATGGGTGGAGGAAAACTTTTTGGGAAACTTTAAGTATGAGAGGTTTTTGTTGTTATTAGTATATTTTCAATAGATAATTACATTCATATAGTTCATAAGTCAAAGTAATATAAGGGCAGATACAGTGAAGTCTCAATCTCACCCTGCTCCCACATATCTTGCTCTTTATACTTTTAATAAAAGTATTATATAGCCTTTCAGAATTTCTTTATGAAAATACAACTATGTGTATTTTCCCTACTGTTACACAGATGGTAAGATGCTATTTATGTGAAATTTTTAAATGGTAAATTTGAGAAGGATTTAGACTTTTTTAAAAAATTAAAGTGATAAATTATGTTATGAATGAAGGATGGAGGTGAGTTTAAGCACATTCCTTTCTGAGTCTATTTGTTAGTAGAGTGCTGATTGACTAGATGAATTCAAAATCAGTTCTGGCCTTCTGATTCAGTGATCACTAATATAAATAAAATATGTTACTTTAAAGAAAAGCAAAACAGTTTTAAACAGTTTTAGCCTTGAATTGGCAAGTAAACAAAATAAATGACAAGTTTACCAAATTTTTTTTTTTGGCCAAATTTACTTTCTCAGAACTAAAGTTGTAATAAATAAAATCAATTCTTTTTTTAAACCCACTATAAAGGAACTGTTTCAATGTATCTGTCTTCACAGACCTTATTGATCACATTTCCCTCTCCTATTGCTTGTCTATAGAGTCATAGAATCTTGGTGATAATCCTATCTCATCTCATTTTTAGGTAACTGCTACCATTTATTGAATGCTTATTATATACCAGTACCGTACTAGATACTTTCGTTATTTTATTTAATCGTTTCATCACCCCTTTGAGGTAGGTATTATCTACATTTTTATAGATGAATAAGTGTAGGCTCAGAGAGTTTTTAGAGTAATGAATCTAAAAAACAAAAAAATGGTTAAAATGTTATATGGCTAGTGACTGGTAAAGGTGGGATTTGAATGTGATACTGAATTTAGAGCCCATACTGTTATTTTGCTTCAAATTAAGAAATATGTAGTTTTTGGTTACCAAATGCTGTTTTTTAAATAAATCATTGTTTAGTTCCTATTGAAGTTTTCACAGATGTAAAGTAAAATGGAGAAAATAAGCAGGATGTAGTGAATTTCTAATGAAGCTATTTTTTCCCACTTTTTTCTATTTTGACAAATACTCTTCCTACTTTTACAAAATGAATTTTTAAAACTATCTGTACTTAACAGAATATCAACTGGAAACTTCATTTGGGACCCTGGATAAAAGCCTCAGAAGTCTGGGAACTGTTGAGCTAAATGACTTGCCCAGATCACACAGTTAATATGTAGCAGTCAAGACTGAAAAATAGGCCATCTGATTCCCATTCTAGTTATCCTACCTTCCAGATTCTCCTAACTTTCTTTTGATGCATTATATTAATGAGTTTAATTAGTTGCTTATAAATGCCTCTTTCAAACTATTATAGTTTATAATCCATAGTTGATCTTGTTGGAAAAGTTTTTTTTTTTTTTTGGCTGTTTTTTTTTTGGTTTGTTTGAGAACGGAGTCTCACTCTGTTGCCCAGGCTGGAGTGTAATGGTGCAATCTTGGCTCACTGCAACCTCTGCCTCCCGAGTTCAAGCAATTCTCCTGCCTCAGCCTCCTGAGTAGCTGGGATTATAGGCGGCCACCACCATACCCAGCTAATTTTTTTTTGTATTTTTAGTAGAGATGGGGTTTCACCATGTTGGCCAGGCTGGTCTCGAACTCCTGACCTCAGACTATCTGCCCACCTCAGCCTCCCAAAGTGCTGGGATTATAGGCTTGAGCCACTGTGCCTGGCCTTTTTTTAAATTTTTTTTTTTTTGAGACAGGGTCCCGTTATGTCACCCAAGCTGGAGTGCGGTGGTGCAGGAGTGCAGTGGCTCACGATCGTATGGCGCAATCACGGCTCAGGCAGCCTTGACCTTCTGGGCTCAAGCGATCCTCCCCTTTCAGCCTCCCAAGTGTCTGGGACCACAGGCGCACACCACCGTACCCTGCTAATTTTTAAATTAAATTTAATTAATTAATTTTTTCCGACACACAGTCTTAGTTGCCCAGGCTGGAGTGCAGTGGCGGATCTCAGCTCACTGCAACCTCCGCCTCCTGGGTTCAGGCAATTCTCCTGCCTTAGCCTCCCAAGTAGCTAGGATTACAGGTGCGTGCCACCATGCCCCGCTAATTTGTTGTATTTTTAGTAGAGATGGGGTTTCACCATGTTGACCACGCTGGTCTCAAACTCCTGACCTTGTGATCTGCCCACCTCCCAAAGTGCTGCGATTACAGGCGTGAGCCACCGTGCCCGGCTATTTTTTTTGTAGTTACAAGGTCTCATTATGTTGTCCAGGCTGGTCTCAAACTCCTGAGCTCAAGGGATCCTCCTGCAGTGGCCTCCCAGAGGGCCAAGATTACAGGCATGAGCTACCACGCCTGGCCGGAAAAGTTTTATATTTTTTAATGAAATTACTGTCATGTAGATCAGCATAAGAGAGTGTACCACTAGAGTATAGGGGGAGCACTATTCTAAAGAAATTTTGTAATGAACTTAATTGGAAAGTTCAGGTCTTTCATTATTCATTTAAAAAGGATTAAGAAATAATTAAAACCATTGAAATAGAAAGGCATATGCCCAACTTTGCAGCTTTGCCAATATGGGAAATATTTGTTTTACAATATTGTTATATTCCAATTATTTTGTAAAAATTGTAATCTGCTTTTCTATTGATAGTTACAGACAGTGCATGGTTCCTGTGAGTAAAGATCAATTGACTTATGATGATTGACTAGTTTACCTTTCTTCCTGCCAAGTTTACCTAAACCAGGAAGAAAGTAAGGTTGTATATAAAAAAATTTGTTGGACTGAAATTTAGCAACTATTTGTGGAAGAGCACATTTTGCTCTTCCTCTGCTACATAGACTTCTGTTCTCACAAAGTTTTCCACTTACTGAATAGATACTGTTTTCAGTAGTAGAAAGGATGTTTTTTTAAAAAATGTAGATATCCCACTGTATGCTAGTGATTGATTCATCTGTATTAGTATGCAATTTTGAAAAGAGAAAGGCAAGTATATCCCTAGAGGTTACCCCTAAGAACCAACTAAGAACCAAAGAGTTAAACAAGAAAACAGTTTATTAAGTTGCCAAGGTAAGTTTGATGTGTTTAAAAATTTACAATGAGGACAATTAGATTGAGAACGAGTTTGTTTTTTAGATTTTGGTAAAATATTCATAACATAAAATCTATCATTTTAACCATTTTTTTGTTTTTGTTTTAAAATTGTGGTAGAATATGTATATATAACATAAACTTTACCATTTTAATCACATTTATACTTTAACCACTGTACATGTATGTTAAATGTACAGTTCAGTGGCATTAAGTGTATTTACATTGTTGTGCAACCTTCACCATCAACCATCTCCAGAACTTTCTCATCTTCCAAACTGAAATTCTGTACTTGTTAAACAATAATTCTCCCATTCTCCCTTCCCCCAACCCCTAGCAACTACCATTCTACGTTTTCTCTCTATGAATTTTACTACTTATATAATTGGAATCATGCAGTATTTGTCCTTCTGTGACTGGCTTTGTTCTCTTAGCATAATGTCTTCAGGGTTAATCCAGTTGTTGCTTGTGTCAAAATTTTATTCTTTTAAAGTTAAATTCAATTGTGTGTGTATATGTATGTGTGTGTGTATATATGTACACACATGCACACTCCCTATATTTTATTTATCTGTTCATTTGGGTTTTTTTGTTTGTTTTGTTTTTTTTTGGAGATGGAGTCTTGCTCTGTCACCCAGGCTGGAGTGCAGTGGCACGATCTCAGCTCACTGCAACCTCCACCTCCTGGGTTCAAGTGATTCTCCTGCTTCAGCCTCCCGAGTAGCTGAGACTACAGGAGTGTGCCACCATGCCTGGCTAATTTTTGTATTTTTAGTGGAGATGGGGTTTTGCTATGTAGGCCAGGCTTGTCTCAAACTCCTGACCTCATGTGATCCACTCGCCTCGACCTCCTAAAGTGCTGGGATTACAGGTGTGAGCCACTGTGCCCGGTCTATCTGTTCATCTGTTGATGGACACTTGGATTGCTTCCACCATTGGGCTATTATGAATAATGCTGTTATGAACATAGATATGCAAATATCTCTTTGAGGCCTGCATTCAATTATTTTAGGTATATACCCAGAAATGGAATTGCTGGATCATATGGTAATTCTATTTTTAATTTTTTGAGGAACTGCAATACTGTGTTCTATATCAGCTATATCATTTGACATTCCTAACAGCAAAGCACAAGGAAGGGTTCTAATTTCTCCATATTCTAGCCAACAGTTATTTATGTTTGTTTTTTGATAATAGCAATTCTAATGGGTATGAAGTGGTATTTCATTGGGGTTTTGATTTGTTATTTCCCTAATGATTAGTAGTGTTAAGCATCTTTTCATATGCTTATTGGCCATTTCTGTATCTTTGGTGAAATGTCTATTCAAATCCATTGTACATTTAAAAAGAAATTGTATTGCCGATTAGGCACAGTGGCTCACGCCTGTAATCCCAGCACTTTGGGAGGCTGAGGCAGAAAGATCATCTGAGCCCAGGAGTTCAGAACCAGCCTGGGCAATATAGGGAACCCTGTCTCTACAAAAAGTAAAAAAAAATTAGCCAGGCATGGTGGCACATGCCTGTAGTCCCAGCTACTCAAGAGGCTGAGGTGGGAGGATTGCTTGGGCCTGTGTGGTCGAGGCTGCAATAAGCTGTGACTGCCACTGTCACTGCACTCCAGCCTGGGTGACAAGAGTGAGACCCTGTCTCAAAAAAAAAAAAAAATTGTGTTGTTTGTTTTTTATTGTTTAGTTGTAGGAATTCTTTATATATTCTGGATATTAATCCCTTATCAGATACATAATTAACAAATATTTGCCTTCATTCTGTAGCTTGTCATTTCATTCTGTTGCTGTAGTGTCCTTTCATGAACAAAAAGTTTCTAATTTTGATGAACCTAATTTATCTGTTTTTTTATTTTGTCGTATGCTTATGATGTCATGAAATTATTGCCATCTCCAGTGTCATGAAGATTTTCAGGCGTGGTGGTTCACACCTATAATCCCAGCGCTTTGGGGGGCCGAGGCGGGCCGATCACAAGGTCAGGAGTTTGAGACCAGCCTGACCAACATGGTGAAATCCCATCTCTACTAAAAAATACAAAAATTAGCCGGGCATGGTGGTGCCTGCCTGTAATCCCAGCTACTCAGGAGGCTGAGTCAGGAGAATTGCTGAACCTGGGAGGCGGAGGTTGCAGTGAGCTGAGATCTTGCCACTGCACTCCAGCCTGGGTGACAGAGCGAGACTTCGTCTTAAGAAAAAAAAAAAGAGTTTTATAGTCTAAGCTTTTAAATTTACGCCTTTGATACCTCTTTTTTTTTTTTTTTTTGAGATGGAGTCTTGCTCTGTCGCCCAGGCTGGAGTACAATGGTGCGATCTCGGCTCACTGTAACCTCCACCTTCTGGGTTCAGGCGATTCTCCTGCCTCAGCCTCCCAAGTAGCTGGGATTACAGGTGCACGCCACCACGCCCAGCTAATTTTTGTATTTTTAGTAGATAGGGGGTTTGCCATGTTGGCCAGGCTGGTCTTGAACTCCTGACCTCAAGTGATCTGCCTGCCTCTGCCTCCCAAAGTGCTGGGATTACAGGCCTCAGCCACCGCACCCAGCCGCCTTTGATACATTTTGAGTTAATTTTTTAAAATTTATTTTTATTTATTTATTTATTTATTTTATTATACTTTAAGTTCTAGGGTACATGTGCACAACCTGCAGGTTTGTTACATATGTACACATGTGCCATGTTGGTGTGCTGTACCCATTAACTTGTCATGTACATTAGGTATATTTCCTAATGCTATCCCTTCCCCCTCCCCTGACCCCACGACAGGCCCCGGTGTGTGATGTTCCCCACCCTGTGTCCAAGTGTTCTCATTGTTCAATTCCCACCTATGAGTGAGAACGTGCAGTGTCTGGTTTTCTGTCCTTGCAATAGTTTGCTCAGAATGATGGTTTCCAGCTTCATCCATGTCCCTACAAAGGATACAAACTCATCCTTTCTTATGGCTGCATAGCATTCCATGGTGTGCATGTGGTACATTTTCTTAATCCAGTCTATCATTGATGGATGTTTGGGTTGGTTCCAAGTCTTTGCTATTGTGAATAGTGCCGCAGTAAACGTACGTGTGCGTGTGTCTTTATAGCAGCATGATTTATAATCCTTTGGGTATATACCCAGTAATGGGATGGCTGGGTCAAATGGTATTTCTAGTTCTAGATCCTTGAGGAATCGCCAAGTTAATTTTTGTATATGGTATAAGGTAAGGTCCAATTTCATGCTTTTGCTTGTGGATATCCAGTTTTTTAGCACCATTTGTTAAAGACCATTATTTTCCCATTGAATGGCCTTGGCATCCTTGTCAAAAATCAATTGACCATATATAAGTGGGTTTACTTTCTTGACTCTCTGATCTATTCCATTGGTCTATATGTCTGTCTCTTTGCCACCATCCTCTTTTGATTACTGTAGCTTTATAGTAAGTTGAAATTAGGAAGCATTAGTCTTTCAAATTTGTTCTTTTTTTTAATTTTAATTTTTTATAGAGATGAGGTCTTACTATGTTGTCCAGGCTGGTCTCAAACTCCTGGCCTCAAGTGATCCTCCCACCTTGGCCTCCTAAAATGCTGGGATTACAAGTGTGAGGCACCATGCCTAACCTGTTCTTCTTTTTTAAGATTATTTTGACTATTCTGGGTCTTTTGAGATCCCATATTAATTTTAGGATGGGTTTTTTTTTTTTTAATTTCTGCAAAAAGTGCCATTGAGATTCAATAGGGATTGTATTGAATCTATAGATTGTTTTGGATGAGAAAAACTTTTAATACAAATTTTATGTAATTGTTTTATTATAATAATTATTAGCAAATCAAAGGACTTGATCTGGACAAAATATTAAAAAGCATCTATGATGGAGAGGCTGCCAGACTCAGTCAACTGATGTTCTCCCTGAAGCCATTGAACCCAAAATAACATGGGATGTTTACTTTGAGTATATGTTTTTGAAATATAATCCTTATTTTTTCCTGATTTATCCTCATATTGACTAATTTGTGAGTGATCAGGATATGTCGTATATTGATTAAATGCTAGAAAGAATATTCTTTATCCTTTATATGATTAGATATGAGCTCAGTCTTGGAAAAATTATCTCAATATGGTATTAAACTTAGATAAATGAACCTGTAGTTATCATTATGACAAAGGAGCAAATCCCAAAAGGGACAGTAGTGGATACATTCTCTTTTTTTTTGGTTATTATTTATGTATTTATTTATTTAATTAAACATTTTTTTAATTAAAAAATTTTTTAATTTAAAATTTTTAATTTAATTAATAATTAATTAAAGACAGTGTCTCTGTCACTCAGGCTTGAGTGTAGTGGCACGATCTTGGCTTACTGCAACCTCCACCTCCAGAGCTCAAGCCATCCTCCCACCTCGGCCTCCTAAGTATAGCTGGGACTATAGGTGCATGCCACCATGTCTGGCTAATTTTTGTATTTTTTGTAGAGATGGGCTTTGCCATGTTGCCCAGGCTGGTGGTCCTGAACCTCCTGAGCTCAAGCAGTCTGCCTGCGTCGGCCTCCCAGAGTGCTGGGATTACAGGCATGCGCCACTGCACCCAACCCAGTTACTTTTTATTGTGATATAATTTCAAACTTACTGGAAAGTTGTAAGAATAGTACAAGGAACTTTTCCCATATAGTCTTTTTTTTTTTTTTTTTTTTTGAGACAGAGTCTCGCTCTGTCGTCGCTCAGGCTGGAGTGGAGTGGCACAGTCTTGGCTCACTGCAACCTCCGCCTCCTGGGTTCAAGCAATTCTCCTGCTTCAGCCCCCCGAGTAGCTGGGATTACAGGTGCCTGCCACCACGCCCGGCTAGTTTTTTTGTATTTTTAGTAGAGATGGGGTTTCACCATGTTGTCCAGGCCAGTCTCAAACTCCCGACCTCAGGCGATCTGCCCTCCTCGGCCTCCCAAAGTGCTGGGATTACAGGCGTGAGCCACCGGGTCCAGCCTTCTTTTTTTTTTTTTTTTTTTTGAGATAGGATCTCACTGTCACCTAACCTGGAGTTAAGAGTGGCACAGTCACGGTTCACTGCAGCCTCAACCTCCCCAGGCTCAGGTGATCCACTTCAGCCTCCTCAGTAGCTGGGACTACAGATGTGCACCACTACAGTGGCTAATTTGTTTTTTGTATTTTTTGTAGAGTCAGGGTTTTGTCATGTTGCCCAGGCTGTTCTCAAATTCCTGAGCTCAAGCAGTCCTCCTGCCTTGGCCTCCCAAAGTGTTGGGATTACTGGTGTGAGCCACTACGCCTGGCCCATTGGTTTTTAATATATTCACAAAGTTGTATGACCATCAACTAACTATTCTAAAACACTTTTATCACTCCCAAAAGAAGCCGTGTACTCCTTAGCAGTCTTTTCCCATTCTCACCTTCCCCCAGCCCCTCATAATCACTAATCCACTTTCTGTCTGTATGTATTTGCCTAATCTGGGCATTTCGTATAAACAGAATCATATAATATGTGGTTATTTGTGCCTGATTTCTTTCACTTAACATATTGTTTTAAAGATTTCTACAATATTGTAGCAGGTATCAATACTTTTTGTTTTGCTTTTGAGTCCGAGTCTTGCTCTGTCACCCAGGCTGCAGTGCAGTGGGGCAGTCATATCTCATTGCAGCCTCCAGTTCTTGGGCTCAAGTGATTCTCGTGCCTCAGCCTCGCGAGTAGCTGGGATTACAGGCATGTGCCAACACTCCTGGCTAATTTTTGTATTTTTAGTAGAGATAGGGTTTCACCATGTTGCCCAGGCTGGTCTCGAACTCCTGGCCTCTAGTGATCCACTTGCCTTGGCCTCCCAAAGTGCTGGAGTTATAGGCATGAGCCATCATACCTGTCCTACTGCCAATTCTCTGCAGCTGTACTATTTAACATTCCTACCAGCAATGTACAAGAGTTCCATTCTTCTCATCTTCACTAACATTTGTTATTTTTCTTTCTTTTCTCTCTTTTTTTTTTTTATTACAGCCATTCTAGTGAGTGTGAGGTGGTATCTAATTGTGGTTTTGATTTGCATTTCCCTAATGATTAATGATGTTGAGCATCTTTTCATGTGCTTATTGGTCATATGTATATCTTTGAAGAAATATCTATTCAAATATTTTTCCTGTTGATTGGGTTTTTTTTATAGCTATGTGTTTGTTTTTTCTTTTCTTTTTTAAATTTGTTTTAGGAAAAAAATTCTGGATGCTAGTTCCTTAACAGATCCATGATTTGCAAATATTTTCTCCCATTCTGTGAGTTGTCTTCATTTTCTTTCTTTCTTTTTTTTTTTTTTTTTTTGTTTTTGAGATGGTCTCACTCTGTCACCCAGGCTGGAATGTAGTTGCCCAATCATAGCTCACTGAAGCCTCAAACTTCTGGGTTCAAGTGATCCTCCAACCTCAGCTTCTGGAATAGTTGGGACTATCAGCATGTACCACTGTGCCTGGCTGATTTTTAATTTTTTTGTAGATATGGAGTATCAGTATATTGCCCAGACTGGTCTTGAGGTCTTGAACTCCTAAGCTCAAGTGATTCTCCTGCCTGTCTTTTCTTTCTTTCTCTCTCTCTTTCTTTTCTTTTCTCTTCTCTTTCCTTTCTTTTTCTTTCTTTCTTTCTTTCTTTCTTTCTTTCTTTCTTTCTTTCTTTCTTTCTTTCTTTCTTTTTCTTTCTCTTTCTTTTTTTCTTTCTTTTCTTTCTTTCTTCTTCTGTCCTTCCTTCCTTCCTTCCGTCTGTCCTTCCTTCCCCCTCCCCTCCCCTCCCCTCCCCTCCCCTCCCCTCCCCTCCCCTCCCCTCCCCTCCCCTCTCCTCCCCTCCGCTCCTCCTCCCCTCCCCTCTCCACACAGTCTCCCTCCCTCTGTTGCCCAGGCTGGAATGTAGTTGCTCCATCATGGCTCACTGCAGCCTCAGCCTCTCAGGCTCAAACAATTCTCCCCTCAGCCTCCCAAGTAGCTGGACTACAGGTGCACACCACCATGCCCAGCTAATTTTACTGTTTGTACAGACAAGGTCTCACCATTTTGCCCAGGCTGGTCTCAAACTCCTGGCCTCAGGCAGTCCTCCCGCCTTGGCCTCTCAAAGTGCTGGGATTATATGCATGAGCCACCATACCCAGTCTTGTCTTCACTTTCTTGTGTCACTTGAAGTTTAAAAATTTTGATGACGCCCAATTTATATATTTATCTTTTTGCTTGTGCTCTTGTTGTCATGTCTAAGAAACCATTGCGTAATCCAAGATGACAAAGATTTATGATTTATGCCTGTTTTCTTCTGAGACTTGCATAGTTTTAGCTCTTACATTTAGGTCTCTGATCCAATTTGAGTTAATTTTTATATATAAGGCGTGAGGTAGAGGTCTAACTTGATTCTTTTGAATGTGCATACCCAGTTTTTTCAGCATAATTTGTTGAAAAGACTATTTCTATCCCCCTTGAATTGTCTTTGCACCCTTTTCAAAAATCAGTTGACTACGTGTGAGGGTTTATTTCTGGACTGTCTGTTCTATTCATTGATCTATATGTCTCCCTATGCCAGTTCCACACTGTCTTGATTACTGTAGCTTTTTGCAGTAAGTTTTGAAATGAGAAAGTGTAAGTCTTCTGACTTTGTTATTTTTCATTGTTGTTTTGGTTATTCTGGGTTATTGGTTATTGGTTATATTCTTGTTCTCTTGATGTGGTCTTTAGGAGAGGTATAGTAGGAGGTGTTTAATATGATGCAGAATTTGTGGTAATAGACAAATGATTCAACCCCCTCCTTCCCACTTCCATAACATTCTAGCTCTTGAAATTTCTGTACCTTTCTATATGCTGTAGGTGGGGAGAAATTCATGTAATTTAAACCATGTAATTTAAATTTGCCAGACTGCTAGGAGAACAAGTTGTAGTATCAATGTTTGTTTTCCTTTTTTTAACCCGTTTACCCTGTGCATCCCCTCTCTCACAAAGCCTGAGTATATGTTTTAGAAGAGGTAAGACCGAAGAGGAAGGAGATGGTTGGTTTGGGTAGTTGTCTTCTGAGTGGACTAGTCTCCAAGAAGAATATGGACAGAATTTCTTTTTCCAGGGCAACAAACAAATGGATAATTGGAATAAACTATAAAACATGGTAATTAGAGTTTTTACTTTTTTTTTTTTTTTTTTTTTTTGAGACAGTTTCGCTCTTGTCGCCCAGGCTGGCGTGCAGTGGCGTGATCTCGGCTCACTGCAACCTCTGCCTCCTGGGTTCAAGCGATTATCCTGCCTTTGCCTCCTGAGTAGCTGGGATTACAGGGGCCGGCCACCACACCCAGCTAATTTTTGTATTTTTAGTAGAGACGAGGTTTCACCATGTTAGCCAGATTGCTCTCAAACTCCTGACCTCAAGTGATCCACCCACCTTGGCCTCCCAGAGTGTTGGGATTACAGGCTTGAGCCACCGTGCCCGGCCGAGTTTTTGCATCTCGTAACACCTGCTTAAGGAGGTGTAAATTCAATGTTTAAGTAACATACAGTTTGACTTCCAAGCCAGTATTGTCACAGTCTTATCACTTGCTCTAATGCTTCTAGTTTTGTTAGGTTACTAATTATTTCAGCTCAGTGAACAATAAGAGTCTGTACTATATTTTGGTACCTGTCTTACTTGGGACTTGACTGATAGGTTAGCAATGAAAAGTTTATTTTCTTTTAGTTTGAAGAGACCATTATTTGAGGCTATACTTAAAATCATGGATTTGACCTATTACCAACCCCTCAACAGAATTTAGAATTATATGATGATATAGTATCACGAGTACTATTGTATATATCTCCTTGTTGCTGATCTGTTGAAATTATTCACTCATTCTCTACAGAAGAAAATCTTGGTTAATTTGGGGTAGGACTTCTTCATGAACTCACATTTTGCATAACAGAATTATGTCCTTTAAAGGTTAGAGTCCTTGGTAGTTTAAGAATTCTGATTGGTATTTTAGAGTGGATTGATTGATTGAGACGGAGTTTCACTCTTGTCGCCCAGGCTGGAGTGCAGTGGCATGATCTTGGCTCATTTCAACCTCCGCCTCCTGGGTACAAGCAATTCTCCTACCGCACCCTCCCGAGTAGCTGGGATTACAGGCGCCCACCACCACGCCCGGCTAATTTTTTGTATTTCTTAGGAGAGATGGGGTTTCACCATGTTGGGCAGGCTGGTCTCAAACTCCTGACCTCAGGTGATCTGCCTGCCTCTGTGTCCCAAGGTGCTGGGATTACAGGCATCAGCCACCACACCTGGCCTAGAGTGGATTTATTTATTCACAATTATTTATTTAGAGCCTACTATTTGTTAAGCTTTGTGCTAGACTTTGGACTACAAAGATGAAAAAATATGTTCCCTGTCCTTAAAGACATCAGTCTTCCAGCACTTTGGGGGGCTGAGGCACTTTATGTTCTGGGCGGATCGTGAGGTCAGGAGTTCGAGACCAGCCTGATCAACATGGTGAAACCCCGTCTCTACTAAAAATACAAAAAATTTAGCAGGGTGTAGTGGTACGCACCTGTAATCCCAGATACTCAGGAGGCTGAGGCTGGAGAATCGCTTGAACCTGGGAGGTGGAGGTTGCAGTGAGCCAAGATTGCACCATTGCACTCCAGCCTGGGTGACGGAGCAAGACTCTGTCTTGGGGGGGAAAAAAGACATCAGTCTTTTCAGGAATATTAATATTCCTGGTAATGAAAAAAGAAGGTAAATTATTGTTTATTTTTTGAGACAGGGTCTTGCTCTTTCGCCCAGGCTGGAGTGCAGTGGTGCGATCATGGCTCACTGCAAACTCTACCTCCTGGGTTCAAGCAATCCTCCCACCTCAAACCTCCCCTTCCACACCCCACCCCTGCAGCTGGGACTACAGGCATCCGCAGCCACACTCCACACTCAGCTAATTTTAAAATATTTTTTGGTGGAGGTGAGGTCTCAATACCTAGGGTAGTTTGGAAGTTCTGGCCTTAAGTGATCGTCCTGCCTTGGCCTTCCAAACTGCTGGGATTACAGGCATGAGCCACCATGCCCAGCCTATTTATTCAAATTATATTTGTCATTCTAAACTCTTTTTAGATATTAATAAATTGTATTTGAGTGTTCTAGGCATTGTGCACTTTAATTGCATCACCTCATTTAATTTTCTCATGGTTCTGTGACAGTCCAAGATACCAAATTCAATGTGTGGATCATTGCCCTGTGTTAGTTGGATGATCACTCTAAAGATTGATATTTGAGTGTCTTGCTTCAGGAGATTGATGGGCTCTAAGTGGCAGGTTTAAAGGGGCAGTAATTTAAAATGGAAGGATGCATAGTCCATCAGCATAAGATTGTCTTGTGCTTATTTTTGAGCAAAACCACAACTGCTCCTTATTATGTTCTGTAAACTCGCCAAGCCTGTGATGCTTCAGGGCCTTTGGCACTTCTGGTTCCCTCTGTCAGGTACATTCTCTTAGATATCCATGTGGCTTCCCTTTCACTTCTATTATGTTTCATTTAAGAGACCTTCCAACTATTAATACCTACTGTATGTATATTGCATAAACATCTCAGGCTCATTAATTCTAAAACTGAACTCATACTTTCCCCTTGCACTCCACTATGATGAATGTGTCCCCCAAAGTTCATGTGTTAGAAACTTGGTTCCTAGTTCAACAGTGTTAGGAGGTTGGGCCTAATAAGAGGTAACTGAGTCATTAGGACTTCTCACAGGAGCTGGTTAACTATCCTGAGTCGCTTTATTGTAAAGCACATTTGGCCCCCTCTTCCATTAGCTCTCTCTCCCATGCTGTCTTGTCATTCTGTCACTCTTTTGGCCAAAATCCTTCCCATTTCGTAGATAAAGGATCCAAATTCCTTGGTATGGCAGACATAGTTATTTAGGATTTGGCGTTGTCTATCTTTCCAACTATATCCTTATGCTCTATTTGCTTTTTATATTCTAGCCATACTAAATTGCTGTAGTTCTTAGAACATATCAAGCTCTTATATACCCTGGTATATATACTTCCACTGCTTTGGCATCAAGAATAATAATACTAGCTACTATATATATATAGAGAGAGAGAGAGAGAGAGAGACAGAGACAGAGATAGAGATGTATCACACACACATCTATATATACACACACGCACTCATCTAGACAATATCTTGTTCTGTCATCCAGGCTGGAATGCAGTGGCTTGATCATGGTTCACTGTAGCCTTGAACTCCTGGGTTCAAGTCATCTTCCCGCCCCAGCCTCCCAAGCAGCTCTGACTCCTCCGGTGCATGCTAGTATGTCTGGCTATTTTTAGTTTTTAATTTTATTTTTTGTAGAGATGATATGTTCAAAAACTACAGCAATTTGGTATGGCTAGAATATAAAAAGCAAATAGAATACAACAAGGATATAGTTGGAAAGATAGTCAAAGCCAAATCCTAAATAACTATATGTGCCATACAAAGAAATTTGGATCCTTTACCTAAGAAATGGGAGGGATTTTAGCCAAAGGAGTGATATGATTGATCTGGTATTAGAGTTAGTGGGCTTGATAATCTGTTACATTTAATTTAAATTCCAAAGTTATTTTCTGACAATATGATTGTTAGGACAGCTGTAGATTTTCTGTTCACTACACTGGTTAGTATTTGTTTTAGTTACACTCTGTTGTTTAGAAGATTCACTTCATCCACTTTGGTGTAGTGAAAAGGGTGTAAACTTTGTTGTCTGAAACACATAGCTTCAGATCCTCACATGGTTTTGTGATCTTGGGCCAGTCACTTAACATTAAGTAGTTAAGATGGTTGAATAAAATAGTATATGGAAAAGGCTGATACATATGAGACATTTTATTAATGGTAGCCTATTATGTTTTTAAAGGTACTTAATAGTAGATTTTTAAAAAGATTTTTCCTTCTCCTGTTTTCAGTTAGGGACTTCAAAAGATAATAGATTCTGTGTTAAAGCTATAGTTTAAAAATGAAGTTTTTGTGTTCGAGCAAAGTGGGGATAATTTTCTTCAGCTTTAACTTAGATTTAGGAAAAGCATGATGGTTCTTTTTTGTGCTACATGAAGCTAACCAATTTCAGAAAACCCAAGATATGATTTCTGTTTTTTATTACTGTTTTTTATTAAGACAGGGTCTTACACTTTTGCCCAGGCTGGAGTGCAGTGGTGTGATCATGGCTCATGCAGCCTCTACCTTCTCCAGCTCAAATGATCCTGCCGCCTCAGCCTCCCAAGTAGCTGGGACTATAGGTATGCACCACCATGCCCAGCTAATTTTTGTTTTTTGTAGAGACAGGGTTTCACCCTGTTGCCCAGGCTGGTTTCTAACTACTGAGCTCAAGCAATCTGCCCACCTTAGCCTCGCTAAGTGCTGGGATTACAGGCATGAGCCACTGCCCCAGGCCTCTTTTCTGTTTTTTGAGAAGGGGGGATTGTGAGTCTGAGACTGGGGGGGAATAAAGTTTTCATTGTAGAAAGAACCTTGAAAAGCTTTTATGTTAATGAATATAGCCTTTTTATTCCAGTATTTTAAGATGTTTTTGCTGAGTATATTAGGCCTTTTTGTAACAACAAAACTCACCCCTAAGTTTGTCATTATTTGGTGCTAAATTACAACAGTATTACTTTTTGCCTTTGAGTTGATCTTAGGGCATGATTATGGTGGTTGCTACTGCTAGAATTTTGGAGTACTGTGTGTTTTGCAAAAAGGAATTGTTATGTCCTTCAGTAATTACTTCTTGGAACACTGGCCCATCCTTTTTGCTGTTCTGAGTAGAGATCAACAATAGGCATTCCAAAATGGTGCTGATCCTGACTTAAAGTGGAGGGCTCACGTTGGGTAGGGGAAGGATAAGACATGTTGGCCTATTCAAATATACATAAGAAAAAGAGGACTAGCGAGTACATGTTTTAAAAATGTATATTTTGGTTGTTTAAAATACCTTCCCATTTTAAATGATCAAATCTGAATTTCTTAAGGGAGCTTCTTTTTTTGGGACAGAGTCTCGCTCTGCCGCCCAGGCTGGAGTACGGTGGCATGATCTTGGCTCACTGCAACTTCTGCCTCCTATGCTCAAGCAATTCTCCTGCCTCAGGTCCCCAGTAGCTGGGACTACAGGCACACACCATCACGCCTGGCTAATTTTTGTATTTTTGGTAGAGACAGGATTTTGCCATGTTGCCCAGGCTGGTCTTGAACTCCTAACCTCAGGTGATCTGCCTGCCTCAGCCTTCCAAAGTGCTGGGGTTACAAGGTGTGAGCCACTGCGCCCAGCTGGGAGCTTTATTTTTGAAGGTTGGTGAGGAGAGGTAGAATGAGATAAAGGTTTAGTCTTTCCTTGAACTTTTTTATTTATTTATTTATTTATTTATTTATTTTTTTATTGATCATTCTTGGGTGTTTCTCGCAGAGGGGGATTTGGCAGGG
This sequence comes from Homo sapiens, assembly GCF_000001405.40. Taxonomy (NCBI): domain Eukaryota; kingdom Metazoa; phylum Chordata; class Mammalia; order Primates; family Hominidae; genus Homo; species Homo sapiens. The sequence goes on from NC_000005.10 coordinate 140,426,581, forward strand.
TCACAGGACAATAGCGGAGGGAAGGTCAGCAGATAAACAAGTGAACAAAGGTCTCTGGTTTTCCTAGGCAGAGGACCCTGCGGCCTTCCGCAGTGTTTGTGTCCCTGGGTACTTGAGACCAGGGAGTGGTGATGACTCTTAAAGAGCATGCTGCCTTCAAGCATCTGTTTAACAAAGCACATCTTGCACCGCCCTTAATCCATTCAACCCTGAGTGGATACAGCACATGTTTCAGAGAGCATAGGGTTGGGGGCAAGGTCACAGATCAACAGGATCCCATGGCAGAATAATTTCTCTTAGTACAGAACAAAATGAAAAGTCTCCCATGTCTACCTCTTTCTACACAGACACGGCAACCATCCGATTTCTCAATCTTTTCCCCACCTTTCCCCCCTTTCTATTCCACAAAACAGCCATTGTCATCATGGCCCGTTCTCAATGAGCTGTTGGGTACACCTCCCAGACGGGGTGGTGGCCGGGCGGAGGGGCTCCTCACTTCCCAGTAGGGGCAGCCGGGCAGAGGCGCCCCTCACTTCCCGGACGGGGCGGCTGGCCGGGCAGGGGGCTGACCCCCCCCACCTCCCTCCCGGACGGGGCAGCTGGCCGGGCAGAGGGGCTCCTCACTTCCCAGTAGGGGCGGCCGGGCAGAGGTGCCCCTCACCTCCCAGACGGGGTGGCTGGCCGGGCGGGGGGCTGACCCCCCCACCTCCCTCCCGGACGGGGCGGCTGGCCGGGTGGGGGGCCGACCCCCCCACCTCCCTCCCGGACGGGGCGGCTGGCCAGGCGGGGGGCTGACCCCCCCCCACCTCCCTCCCCGACGGGCGGCTGGCCGGGCGGGGGGCTGACCCCCCAACCTCTCTCCCGGACGGGGCGGCTGGCCGGGCAGAGGGGCTCCTCACTTCCCAGTAGGGGCGGCCGGGCAGAGGCGCCCCTCACCTCCCGGACGGGGCGGCTGGCCGGGCGGGGGGCTGACCCCCCCACCTCCCTTGCGGACGGGGCGGCTGGCCGGGCGGGGGGCTGACGCCCCCACCTCCCTCCCGGACGGGGCGGCTGGCCGGGCGGGGGGCTGACCCCCCCACCTCCCTCCCGGACGGGGCGGCCGGCCAGGCAGAGGGGCTCCTCACTTCCCAGTAGGGGCGGCCGGGCAGAGGCGCCCCTCACCTCCCGGACAGGGCGGCTGGCCGGGCGGGGGGCTGATCCCCCCACCTCCCTCCCGGACAGGGTGGCTGCCGGGCGGAGACGTTCCTCACTTCCCAGACGGGGTGGCTGCTGGGCGGAGGGGCTCCTCACTTCTCAGACGGGGCGGCTGCCAGGTGGAGGGGCTCCTCACTTCTCAGACGGGGCGGTTGCCAGGCAGAGGGTCTCCTCACTTCTCAGACGGGGCGGCCAGGCAGAGACACTCCTCACATCCCGGACAGGGCGGCAGGGCAGAGGCACTCCCCACATCCCGGACGATGGGCAGCCGGGCAGAGACGCTCCTCACTTCCTAGATGGGATGGCGGCCGGGAAGAGGTGCTCCTCACTTCCTAGATGGGATGGCGGCTGGGCAGAGACGCTCCTCACTTTCCAGACTGGGCAGCCAGGCAGAGGGGCTCCTCACATCCCAGACGATGGGCGGCCAGGCAGAGACGCTCCTCACTTCCCAGACGGGGTGGCGGCCGGGCAGAGGCTGCAATCTCGGCACTTTGGGAGGCCAAGGCAGGCTGCTGGGAGGTGGAGGTTGCAGCGAGCCGAGATCACGCCACTGCACTCCAGCCTGGGCACCATTGAGCACTGAGTGAACGAGACTCCGTCTGCAATCCCGGCACCTCGGGAGGCCGAGGCTGGCGGATCACTCGCGGTTAGGAGCTGGAGACCAGCCCGGCCAACACAGCGAAACCCTGCCTCCACCAAAAAAACACGAAAACCAGTCAGGCGTGGTGGCGCACGCCTGCAATCGCAGGCACTCGGCAGGCTGAGGCAGGAGAATCAGGCAGGGAGGTTGCAGTGAGCCCAGATGGCAGCAGTACAGTCCAGCTTTGGCTCGGCATCAGAGGGAGACCGTGGAAAGAGAGGGAGAGGGAGACCGTGGGGAGAGGGAGAGGGCGAGGGCGAGGGCGAGGTCCTTGAACTTTTTCATAGCTCCAGTTGAAATTCATGAGAGTGGTGATGACTCTTTGTTTTGTTTTTTTAAATTAACCAGCCTAGAATATTCTTTTTATTTTTATTTTTATTTTTATTGAGACGGAGTCTTGCTCTGTTGCCCAGGTTAGAGTGCAGTGGCGCGATCTTGGCTCACTGCAACCTCTGCTGCCTGGGTTCAAGCGATTCTCGTGTGTCAGCCTCCCGAGTAGCTGTGACTACAGGCATGCACCATGAGGTCTGGCAAATTTTTTTTGTATTTTTAGTAGAGACAGGGTTTCACCATGTTGGCCAGGCTGGTCTCGAACTCCTGACCTCAGGTGATCCACTAGCCTTGGCCTCCCAAAGTGCTGGGATTACAGGCATAAGCTACCATGCCCGGCCTAGAATTTTTTTTTTTTTTTTTTTGTGAGATGGAGTCTCGCTCTGTTGTCCAGGCTGAAGTGCAGTGGCACAATCTCGGTTCACTCTAACCTCCACCTCCCAGGTTCAAGCAATTCTCCTGCCTCAGCCTCCCGAGTAGCTGGGACTACAGGCGCCTGCCACCACGCCCGGCTAATTTTTGTATTTTTAGTAAAGACGGGGTTTCACCATATTGGCCAGGCTGGTCTCGATTTCCTGACCTTGTGATCCACCCGCCTCGGCCTCCCAAAGTGCTGGGATTACAGGTGTGAGCCACTGCGCCCAGCCTGGCCTAGAATATTCTTAAAGGATACCAGAAATGAAATTTGTGGCTACTAATATTTGACTCTCTAACTCAAAATATAAATTTATTTAACATGTTAAAAGTAAAAATTTCATAATCCAATTCCAAGGGCTCTGTGGAAAACAATGTATTTTTCATTTATATTTAAGAGCTTGGCTGGTGTTCTTTTTTTTGTTCCCTGCATTGTATGACCACAGGACTAGAGAATACATAAACAAATATATGTAATGTACATGTTTTATGATAGAATATTATTTTTTACTATTAATAACATTTTCTGTGTTAGCTAGCAATTACTATTTCTAGAAATACAGTCTGAGAGAAGTTAATTAGTTATTGATCAATGTAATATGAGATATTATTATTTTATTACAGTATAAGACTTAAAGCATATTACTATTATTGGAAGTTTTAATTATAGCGCTACATAGAAACTGTTTTAATGTGGACGTGAGTTTTGGTTAAATCATAGCTGGATTAATAAATGATTTTTCAAACTAGACTTTGGCCAGAGTGACTGACTGTTCTTTTAGGTGATAATAGCTGAGTCTGTGGTAATCTCTCTTGGTAACTGTTGCATCCAGTGGTTCATTTCTGAAATGTCAAAATGGAATAAAAATGGGACAAAATGCTTGTCCCCCTTCTCCCTTCTCCTCCCTTTTGTTTGTTTTAGTTGAAGCTAAAAACCACACTCCCATACTCCTTGTTTTTTGTTTTTTGTTTTTAAGGCAAGAAGGAAAAATAACCTTTTGAGGAGGAAGACAAAGGTTTTTGTCTTTAGTATTTCAGGAGATATAAGGGAAAAACAGGTAGTTTTTGATGGGCCGTATTCCTTTACCACTCTTTTTCCTCCACCCTTTATTCTTGTACCTAGTCAGAGGTAGGAAAAAAGATTCTTTGGTGTTTAGAACTTGCCTTTGGCAAAAAATAATACTGCTATAAGTGGATGTATTTATTTGCTGCTGAATGTAGCTACTGAATAGAGATGAGCTATGTAACAGTATCATCAGGCAATAAGAACATTGCTGTGATGTTATAGCTATATGTAAGAAAGTATAAGGCTTTTATATTCATTTGCTTGATGAAGACTAATTTCATTAGACATACTATTATTTTGGGCTTATCTGTTATATATAGACATGGTTTCTGTACTCTATCACCAAGCCTTTTATATTAAGTATACAGAATGTATACAGAATTTGTCATATTTAACATATCTCCACGTAGCTATAAATGGTTTCCATCTTTTTTTTTTTTTTTTTTTGACAGAGTCTCACTCTGTCGCCCAGGGTCCAGGTTGAAGTGGAATGGCATGATCATGGCATATAGCAGCCTCAACCTCCTGGGCTCAGGCGATCCTCCCACCTCAGTTTCTTGAGTAGCTGGAACCACAGGCACATGGCCACCATGCCTGGCTAATTTTTAAAAATTATTTTTCGTAGAGACAAGGTCTCACTATGTTGCCCAGGCTGGTCTTGAACTCCTGGGCTCAAGCAGTCCTCCTCCCTCAGTCTCCCAAAGTGTTGGGATTACAAGCATGGGCCACATGTACCCAGCCAGCTGTATTTTGAAGTAATGCTAATGCAATCTGAATTGTAAGAATATGTTTCAGCAGATTTGTTAGGTAAGATATTTGTGAACCGCCAAAAGTAATCTCTCAAATATTTCCAAAATAATAAGCATAATGGGATATTTTGTCCTTTTATTGATTCCACATTGAGACAGACATTTTTAAAGTTATAAAGAGGGTGGGACAAAGGAAACAGTAGTGCTTTTTGGGAAATCTGATTGATACAAATGTATTCATATCATTTATCTGTATGGTTTTGTATTAACTATAACTCATTCTGGGTTTTTTTCCCACAAGTATTGTGGATATTTAAAATTTTATCATATGGGTCAGATATTAGATGTAAAATGCATAAAACCACACTCAAAAGTTCAAGTGAGTGCTGATAAAATGCATCATGTTAGATTCTCAGTATGATTCTTCCACTTTGAAAAGGTGGAGAAAATAGACACTGTGGTGAGGGACAGGACAAAAGAATTGTAATTACACAGAATCATGTTCTAAAAATTATATTTATATGGTGGTTTATTGTTTCAAAATGCTTTTACCTTCATTACCTCATTTCAGGATTTCAATAGCACTGTAAGGTAGGTGGGGCAGATAGTGTCTTTGTTTATTGAGGAAGAAATAGAATGTCAGAAAGGTTGAGTATTATGTCTGAATTTACACACAATGCCTGATAGAACTGGTACTTGAACCTTATTCTCTTGATCTCCAGTGTAATATGCTCTCCATTATGTCTTACTGCCTAATTGAAACTTGAGTTTACATCCACTGTAAGACGTAGAATTAACTCAATAAATTATCTTATGCATTATATTTTCAGAGAAGTTATCAGCCTCTGAAGCAAGGGACACATCACCATTTTGTATTTTTCTTCTGAATTTGATTCTTCCCAAGCACTTATGAATGTGCCATCTTATTTACCTGATGCTATTATTGACACCCAGGAAGTCACTGCTACTGGTTCTTTCTCTCTCTAATGGTGGTAATCAGGCAGGCAATGAACAGTCTGTCACCTTTTATATGGTCTACTCAAATCTATTCCCAGTTGTTCTTTCTAGCCTAATGCCATAGTTGTATTCTAGATACCTTATATCTTTTAAAAATTGAGATATAATTCGTATGCCATAAGATATAGCATTTTAAAGTCTACATTTCAGTGATTTTTAGTATATTTACAAGGTTGTATAGCAATCACTACTATCTAATGCCAGAACATTTTCATCAATCCAAAAAGAAACTTCAGACTCACTTACAGTCACTCCTATTCTTCCCTTCTCCACTCCCAAGGCAACCTATTGTCTTTTTCTATGGATTTGCCTATGCTGGACATTTCATATAAATGGGATCATATAATGGGACCTTTTGTGTCTCCCTTCTTTCACTAAACATAATGTTTTCAAGGTTCATCTATATCATGTATTTCTTCCTTTTGATGGCTGCATAATATTCAATTGCATGGATATATATCATATTTGGTTTATTCATCTACTGATGGACATTTGGGTTGTTTCTACTTTTTGGCTGTTATAAAGAATGCAGGTATGAACGTTTGTGTTTAAGTTTTTGTATGAACATGTATATTTTTAATTATCCTAGGTATATACCTAAGAAGTAGAATTATTGGGTCATATGATAATTCTATGTTTAACTTTTGAAGAACTGTCAAACTGTTTCCACAGTGGCTACACCACTATGTTTCCACCAGCAATGCAGAAAGACCTTATATTAATTTTTTTTTTTTAAGAGACAGTGTCTTGCTCTGTCATCCACATGGAATACAGTCGTACAATCATAGCTCAGTGTAATTTTGAACTTCTGGGCTCAAATGATCCACCTCAGCCTCATGAGTAGCTGGGACTACAGTTTTATGCCATGACGCTAGGCTAATTTTAAAATTTTTTGTAGAGACAAGATCTCACTAGGTTCCCAGGCTGGTCTTAAACTCCTGGCCTCAAATGATCCCCCCCACCCTGGCTTCCCAAAGTGCTGGGTTTATAGACGTGAGCCACTGTGCTCGGCTCGTACCTTACATTTTTTGAGTGGACAATTCATCTCCAAGCCCCACCCCCTTCCCCCCCCCAAAAAAAAAACGGGGGTTTCTTTTGGAGATAGTCTTGCCGTGTTCCCCAGGCTGGAGTGCAGTGCCACAGTCTCAGCTCACTGCAACCTCTGCCTCCTGTGTTCAAGCGATTCTTGTGCCTTAGCCTCCCAAATAGCTGATTACAATCATGTGCCACCACACCCAGCTAATTTTGTATTTTTAGTACAGACAGGGTTTCGCCATGTTGGCCAGGCTAGTCTTGAACACCTGGCCTCAAGTGATCTGTCCGCCTTGGCTTCCCAAAGTGTGGAATTACAGGCATGAGCCACCACACCCAGCCTCCAAGCCTATTTTTTATTTCATTTTCTGCCTCTATCTGAAATATACTTCCTCTTCTGCCCACCTCTACCCCTATGTCTAACTACCTATTGAAATTCTGTGCATCCTTCAAAGCCTAGTTCAAATGTTGCTTCTTGTGCAAAGTCTTCACGGGTTACTAGGGCTGGAAGTGATTTCTCCCTCATTAGTGCATATAGTTGTATCATTTATTTCTCTTTGAGGCCTTTTGTAATAGTTGTTGGAGTCTTTCTTATTTCTTCTACCACATTTTTGTATTATCATAGTGAGAGAGAGATATATATATCTCAAATGCGCCTTTAGTAAATATTGAGAGAATGAGAGACTACTGGAAATCCTTAACTTGGCTTTTTAAAATGTTACATGAGACATATAATATTTATAAAATAGGAATATTAATATGTAAATACTATTTTAAATAAATAATTTTATAATTTTTCCACTGGAATGATGTTTTTACCTGTCCTTCCAACTGGCAGGTATGTATATCTGCAAATATCTCTTAATTTCTTGGCCTTACATTAAGCTGTTGTATGAGCAGTTGCTTTTCAAGGTCATTTGACAACTGGTTGCCTGCATTTATCTATTGGATCTGGCATCTTTGTCTGTAGTTACATGTTAAAGAAGCTGTGTTACAGTATAGCTCAATGTTTTTAGGTCTGAAGTTAAAGATTCATTTTGTAAAATTATAGTACATCATTAGATAATAAAATAAGTTATTTTAACTTTACTGTCTTTATTAGGCTATATTTATTTGGTGTCCATTGTGAAAATTGATGACCAACTAGCCAGATATGCCAAATAATGTAGTCCAGATACTGTGGTCCTTTTTTTTATAAATGTGTGATATCCTAGTGGTTAAAAGCATGGACTCTGTAGGTATGTGGCCTGAGTTTGAAACCTTATTTTTTTTGTTTGTTAGCTGTGTGACCTTGAAGAAGTACTTAATCTTTCTGTTCCTGATGTTTTTCTTTATCTACAAATATGTTAATTTTTCCTGGCTATACATATTTGCATATTACAGTAATATATATAGTATATATATTATCTGTATATTATACAAATTACATATATGCCATACATGTTATATGTATATACGTATATATGTATATGATATACATTACATATATTATGTAAATAATATACATACTACATATTACTCATGAGTACTCATGTTCATATTTACATATATACACATATGTACATTTAGCAAAATAAGAATCATACTGTTTTGAATCTTGTGTATTTTATTTAATTTTATGAATATTCTCATGCCATTAAATATGCTTCAAAAACTTTTTTTTTAATTTTTTATTTCTTCTCACAGTTGAGCCAGTGGTCACAAAAACATTGTTTTTAATGACTGCATGGTAGTCCATCATGTAAATGTACAACATGTATTTCCCAAATTCTGTATTATAATTTTTCCTCATTTTTGGAATTTCAGTTAATGCTGCAGTGAACATCCTTGCACACTAATTTTTGTCTGGCTTTCAGAAAATTTTTTAGTGAGCTTTTTAAGGTATTTTGATACACGTTTCCAAATTGCTTCCCAGAAGGGTTGTATATATTTTATTTAAGAAAATACATTTTGAATTAATTTTATTTGAAATTGGAGGGTTACATGTTTATTTTTGTAAGTTGATTTTTGCTTATACCATTCATTCATTTCAACAAGTATGTATTAAATTCATACTATGTGCCAGGTATTCGTAGGCCCAACGTATAGCACTGTAAACAAAGTACAGTTTTTAACCTCATGGAGTGTTCCTGTCTAAAGGTCTCCAGGTATCAGTGGGTTAGTTTTTATTTTCCCTCATTTCAGAGTCAGAATTGAATAAATTATTTAGAAAAGAGGAAAACTTTTCTCTTAATGACCTATCTATGCTATCAAGTTTGTTGTTGTTGTTGTTGTTGTTGTTGTTTGTTCTATTCTATCTAGTCTATATGGATTTTCTCAGGGTTATGTTCATGTACTTGTTTCAATAAAAAGTAAATGCTTTTTTTTTTTTTGAGATGGAGTTTTTGCTGTGTTGCCCAGGCTAGAGTACAATGGCACGATCTCGGCTCACAGCAACCTGCGTCTTCTCCTGGGTTCAAGCAATTCTGCCTCAGTCTCCTGAGTAGCTGGGATTACAGGCACCACCTCACCACGCCCGGCTAATTTTTATATTTTTAGTAGAGATGAGGTTTCACCATGTTGGCCAGGATGGTCTCAAACTCTTGACCCCAGGTAATCCCCCTGCCTCAGCCTTCCAAAGTGCTAGGATTACAGGTGTGAGCCACTGCGCCCAGCCCCTGCTTTTCTTTTTTCAGTATTAATTTTTTTTTTTAATAGATATGGGGTTTCACCTTGTTGCCCAGGCTGGTGTCAAACTCCTGAGCTCAAGCGATCTGCCTGTCTGGCCCTCCCAAACTGCTAGGATCACAGGCGTGGGCCACTGTGACTGGCCTTAATATTGCTTTTCATGCTCTGTATTAGTCACAGAATATACAATGCTCTTGAGGAAACTTCAGTGTATGTGTGTTATACCTGTAGTCATGTCTGAAGGTAAACAGTCACAATGTCCTTCAAAGTCCATTCCCATACTCCCTTGTTTCTATAATAATTTTTCTGCTTATATTTAAGTTCTAATTAAGAAGTCATATTACCTTAAATTGTAGTTATTCTAATCATATTGATATCAGTTTCATGGATATTGCATCTTTATTTCATTAACAGGTTGAATCATTTATTTTGGACCAAGAAGATCTGGATAACCCAGTGCTTAAAACAACATCAGAGATATTCTTATCAAGTACTGCAGAAGGAGCAGACTTACGCACTGTGGATCCAGAGACACAGGCACGACTAGAAGCATTGCTAGAAGCAGCAGGTACTTTATTTTTTGTTTTATCTTTTTCATATCTTTAAAAGTCTAGATCTCTTTACAGTTACATGAGATTATCCCCAAATTCTATAACATTATACAAAATTTAAAATCTCTAAAATTTATTTTACTTTTTATCTCCCAAAGAAAATGTTCACATTTTGTATTTCTGGGCTCAACTCATATATTTTTAAGGTATTAAGATAATGAGCGTCCAGGCGCAGTGGCTCACGCCTGTAATCCCAGCACTTTGGGAGGCTGAGGCAGGCGGATTGCCTGAGCTCGGAGTTCAAGACCAACCTGGGCAACATGATGAAACCCTGTCTCTACTAAAATAGAAAAAAATTAGCCAGGTATGGCGGTGTGCGCCTGTAGTCCCAGCTACTCAGGCAGCTGAGGCAGGAGAATTGCTTGAACCCTAGAGGGGGAGGTTTCAGTGAGCCGAGATCATGCCATAGCACTCCATCCTGGGCAACAGAGCGAGACTCCGTCTGAAAAAAAAAAAAAAAAGATAATCAGCTAGTTATCAAGGAAAACTTACCTGTTAGCCATTATAAAATAAAAATGTGGGAGATAAATTTAGTTAATCAGTTTATGACTTCTTTATCTGTACTGATTTAGGGAGCTGCATGTTGATTACTTGTGTATTCACTTTAATCTATGTTTAACTTGATTTTAAATAGCTAATTTTTTTATATGTAATGCATATTATAAAATAGCTAAAGCAATGTGAAATATATTAAGTAGATAACAAAACCTTCCCGTTTTCTGTCAAGGTTTACATATACTTCTAGACTTTTCCCCTTATGATAATATAAATACATGTATATGTTTGAACATACATGATTGTTATAAATGAAGTAGGAATAATACACAAAATACAATTTTTTTCCCCATATAATTTATTGTGGGTATCCTTCCATGACAGTTTATGTTGATCTTTCTCCTTTTATTGAAGGGTACCATAATATTCTGTTGCTTGGATGAACCATAATTAATTTTTCCAATTTTAGCTTATATCCAGTTTTTCAGTATCACAAATAATGTTATAGTTTATAGCCTTATATATCTGTAACTTTTCTTACTTGTGCAAGTATCTCTTTAGGACAGATTTTTAGAAAGTATTATCAATGGGTAAGAATACATTTGCATTTAAAATTTTAGCAACTGGCTGGGCGCCATGGCTCATGCCTGTAATCCCAGCACTTCGGGAGGCCGAGGCAGGTGGATCACTTGAGGTCAGGACTTCGAGACCAGCCTGGCCCACATGGTGAAACCTCGTCTTTACTAAAAAAAATACAAAAATTAACTGGGCGTGGCGGCGCACCCCTGTAATCCCAGCTACTCGAGAGGCTGAGGCAGGAGAATCGCTTGAACCCAGAAGGCGGAGGTTGCAGTGAGTTGGGATTGTGCCACTGCACTTCAGTCTGGGTGACAGAGCAAGACTCCGTCTCAAAAAAATAAGTAAAATAAAATTTTGACAACTATTATTAAATTAGTCCCTCAAGTTTGTGCCTGTATTTATTTCTTTATTCACTCAAAAATCAACAATTTTTGAGAGGGCCTCACACCTCAGACATTGTTTTGTCAATTTCATAAATGAAAAATACCTCACCATTTTAGTTTGCATTCATGTTATATCATTAGTAGATTGTGTGGTAGCTCTTTATAAATGACGATATAAATTCATTGGGTATTGTGTATATAATTTTTTAATTTTAATTTTATTTGTAAGAATGAATTTAATTTAAAATGTTGCCCCAGAAGATGGTTGTGACCAAAGGAAGAAACAATTGAATTGTTTGTTACAGTATTACAGACTGTCTCCCCTCTGAAGATACTACTGAAAATAGTAAAGACAGATATCCTGTACTAGAGATCTTATGGTGTGACTATGTATTTTGAAAGAAATCTCATTTATTTGATAGACAGCCTCATATGAAGTTACATGTGGATTAGGTAGAGGACAAATTAATATTATGTGCATTGTAAAGGTAGAAAGACTAAAACATAGGTGGTTATGCCATGGCCTTTTGACATTAGTGGCAGAATTGAATTGATAAGCCTTATCTTCTGTCAACCTAACCTATGGATTCTATACCATTTCTTTTTCCTAGATAATAGTGTTTAGAAATATAATTACAATTTGCACTTTTATACTTTTTTTTTTGTTGTTCTGCACTACCTGATTGATTGATGCACACTGAAGGAATTGGCAAATTGTCAACTGCTGATGGTAAAGCTTTTGCAGATCCTGAGGTACTCCGGAGACTGACATCCTCAGTTAGTTGTGCACTGGATGAAGCTGCTGCTGCACTGACACGGATGAAAGCAGAAAACAGCCACAATGCAGGACAAGTGGACACGTATGTGTTTAATGACTTTTGGATATTAGACATTTTCTTGAATAGATTTTGGGGAAGTAGCCAATTTTGGTTAAATATATCTTTTGGTGGAGCTTATAAACTTTAGCTGAAAGGATATTACATTTTAAGTGGATATATAAATGTATATGTATTATGTAGCTATACAAATGGATATTTTTGTTTCTTCATTCAGCTCTTATTCGTTGAGCATTCTTGTGGAATGTATTACACTAGAGTCTCTGAGAAATCCAAACTGAATAAGATCTGTTTTCCAGTTATAAGGAAGTTACTTATTCTAAAAGTTATTATAGTAAACTCTAAACCGAGTGCTTGAGTACTAATACATGAAACGAGTTACTAATGCAGTAGTGTAGTTGCTTGCTACTCAAATATGGTCCATGGACTGGCAGTATCAGCATCACCTCAGAGCTTGTGAGAAATGCAGAATCCCGGGCCCTACTCCATATCTACTGAATCAGAATCTGCATTTTAACAAGAAATACGAGTAACTCGTACACATTAAAGTTTGAGACTCGGTGGTCTAGTTAGTCATTCTGTGGTAAAATAGTTTTCTTAGGTTTTCGCCTTCACTGTTACTAAGTAAAAATTTCAGCCATAGGATTATATCCCAAAATATCTTTGGGAATCATTATACAAGTAGAGTTTAAAAACTTGTGCATCTAATACAGGGGTGTCCAAATTTTGGGTTCCCTGGTCTACATTGGAAGAAGAAGAATTGTCTTGGGCCACACATAAAATACAAACACTAGAGGCCAGGCATGGTGGCTCATGTTTGTAACCAAGCACTTTGGGAGGCCAAGGTAGGTGGATCACTTCAGGCCAGGAGTTCAAGACCAGCCTGGACAACATGGTGAAAACGCATCTCTCCTAAAAATACAAAAATTAGCCAGCTGTGGTGGCACACATCTGTAATCCCAGCTACTTGAGAGGCTAAGACACAAGAATCACTTGAACCTGGGAGGTGGAGGTTGCAGTGAGCCAAGATTGTGCCACTGCATTCCAGCCTGGGCAACAGAGTGAGACTCTGTCTCAAAACCAAAACAAAACAAAATACAAACACTAATGATAGCTGATGAGCGAAAAGAAAAAAAAAAATTGCAAAAAAATTTCATAATGTTTTAAGAAAGTTTACAAAAATTTGTGTTGGGTTGCTTTCAAAGCTGTCCTGGGCCGTGGGTTGGACATGCTTGGTCTAATGCTTTAAAAAACTTTATTTAAAATTTGTTGTAATATGTTAGGAGATTTTAAAAGATAAAAATGACAGCTGGTTTCAAATTCACTCACTGGCTTTCTGGCTTGGTTGATAAACATGAATAATTGAAGTTGCAGACAAAATGCTCAGCAAGTAATATGTTCATATAATTTTTTCTTTTACTGCATTAACATTTTTCTTTGTGTGACTATTTATATTTAATATAATTTATCATAGGACCCCCGAGTCTTTTTGTTTCGGTTAATTGTTGAATGGTTTTGTTTCCAGTCGCAGTCTAGCAGAAGCTTGTTCAGATGGGGATGTTAATGCTGTTCGTAAATTGCTAGATGAAGGCAGAAGTGTAAATGAACATACAGAAGAAGGAGAAAGCCTGCTGTGTTTGGCTTGTTCAGCAGGGTATTATGAATTAGCACAAGTAAGCAGAAATAATCTTTAGTGATTAAAATTGTGGAAGGGTTTTGATGTTTTATTTATTTTTGTCACTTATAAGATAGATTATAATTAGAGGCCAGAGTCTTCTCTTCCCCCATCCTCCTTCCCTTTTTGGTAGTGGGTAAAGTAGAAACAGATAACACAGTTTATTTTGTTGCCGGTACATGTAACTGAGAATGATCCATTTTTCTGCCACTTACTCAAAGCTAATCCTAATGAATAAGAAACAAATAGATATAATAATAATTTTAAATTTGTCCTTTGAAATAATATACAGCTATAATGGAAAGTAGTCATTATTTTCATCACATTCAGGTTACCCCAATTCTTTTAATTTTTTTCCTTCTATGTTAGAACAGTACTGGGAATTAACCATGTTTTTACCAGTTTCTGTCTTGTGAGTATAGTTTTGCTGTTCTTTGGCTAGATAACCTCAAGCATAACATTCTTTGACAAGAGCCATCACATTTTATAATAGGATGGCTAATATGATTGCATACTTTATTTAAATATTAATATGTAATGATATTGTAAAATATGTAACCTGGCATGTTAAGCAGTGAGTATTGGCATAATTTTTTCAAAAGGTCATTATTGATTTTTTCCCACCCCTATTCTAGAAGAATATCTTCAGAGATTCAGTATATTCTCTAGAAATACTATTGAATAGTAAGAATTAACAATTTCTCTGTCTGTATATGTGTTTTAAAGGTATTGCTTGCTATGCATGCTAATGTTGAAGATCGAGGGAATAAAGGAGACATAACTCCCCTGATGGCAGCTTCCAGTGGAGGTTACTTAGATATTGTGAAATTATTACTTCTTCATGATGCTGATGTCAACTCCCAGTCTGCAACAGGTATGTAGAAAATGATGTATTAATTGGGAGAAAAAATTGACATAATTATTACCTGAGAGAGAGAAAAATTAGATTTCTGAGGAAAACCAGTATAAACCTACAGAAAAATCTTAGCCCTTGTGTAGAATCTTTGAGTAAAATACAAATTAATTTGACATCCTCAAAAGTCTTTAAAACACACTTAGAGTCTCCTGTAGTCAAGACTGAGTTTTTGTGGTATGAACATAATGGAATATTATTCAGACTTAAAAAAGGAGGAGATCCTGCCATTTGCCACAACATGGATGGACCTGAAGGACATTATGCTAAGTGGAATAAGCCAGACACAGAAAGGAAAGTATTGCATGATCTCACTTTTTTTTTTCCCCCACAGTCTTATGGACATAGGTATGCATGATCTCACTGAATATTGAAAATTTACAAAAAGCGTTAAATATATAGAGATAAGACATTGGTTACCGGGTCAGGGGTGGGGAGAAGAAATCGGAGAAGTAGGTAAAAGGATACAAAGTAGCAAATATGTAGAATGAACAAGTCAAAAAGCTTGATGTATAACATGAGGACTATAATTAATAATAGTGTATTATATTCAGGATTTTTTGCTAAATGAGTAGATTATGCTGCTCTTGCCACAGGGGGCAAAATTGGGTAACTATATGAGAAAAATATGTTAATTTGTTCTATAGTAACCATTTTACTATATATGTATCTTATAACAACATGTCATATACCTTATGTATGTAATATATATGGAGGCAAAATTATAAACTGTATTTCTTATAATTCTTTATCTTCAATACAATACTCTTTAGATTATAGATAAACCTGAGTGTTTACCCTATAGGGTTTTACATGTTGAGTTTGCTGAATACATTTACTAATAAGATATTCTTTTTTTTTTTTTTTTTTTTTTTTGAGATGGAGTCTCACTCTGTCACCCAGGCTGGAGTGCAGTGGCACGATCTTGGCTCACTGCAACCTCCACCTCCCAGGTTCAAGAGATTCTCTTGCCTCAGTTTCCCAAGTAGCTGGGATTACAGGCGAGTACCACCACTCCCGGCTAATTTTTTGTACTTTTTTAGTAGAGACGGGGGTTTCACCATGTTGGCCAGGCTGGTCTTGAACTCCTGATCTCATGTGATCTGCCCGCCTCAGCCTCCCAAAGTGCTGGGATTACAGATGTGAGCCACCAAGCCTGGCTGAGATATTCTTGTATAGCAACAGTCCCCAACCTTTTTGACACCAGAGACAATTGGAAGACAATTTTTCCACACGTGGGGGAGGGAGGAGGGGATGTTTTCGGGATGAAACTGTTTCACCTCAGATAGTCAGTTGTCTCATAGGAGTGTGCAGCCTAAATCCCTCGCCCGTCATTTATTTGAACTGAGCAGCTTTGTGCATACTATAGTTGGAACCCTTGAAAGTGGCTCCCTGTATTAATTAAATACAGAAAATATCTCTTATATTTACATAAAAGAAGACAGTTAATGTTAGAGTGTGTTGGTGAACCACCAGATTGATTTACTTAATTTTTTATCTGATTATGAAAATAATATATGCTCATTGTAAGAACATTTCAGAAATGCTGAGAAGTAGGAAGAATAAAAGATTACTCTCCCATAAACTCTGTGGCACAGAAATCACTGCTATTACTGTGTTAGTTTAGTTCCTTCCAGTATTTTTGATGTATAAAATTATGTAGTTGAAATTATACCCTATGTGCAATTTTGTTTGACTTCACTTATTTTCTATTTTATTAACTTTTTTTTTGTTTTTTTTTTGAGATGGAGTCTCGCACTGTTGCCCAGACTGGAGTGCAGTGGTGCGATCTCAGCTCACTGCAAGCTCTGCCTTCCAGGTTCACGCCATTCTCCTGCCTCAGCCTCCCTAGTAGCTGGGACTACAGGTGCCCGCCACCACGCCTGGCTAATTTTTTGTATTTTTAGTAGAGACGGGGTTTCACCGTGTTAGCCAGGATGGTCTCGATCTCGACCTTGTGATCCACCCACCTCGGCCTCCCAAAGTGCTGGGATTATAGGCGTGAGCCATCGCTCCAGGCCTATTTTATTAACTTCTTAACAAACTTTTTTAAAGGTTGTGTAATATTTCCTTGAATTGATATACCACAAATTTTAGGGGCAGAGGGCATTAATTGGTTGTGAACTATAGCAAAAGTTGTTAAATTAAGATGATAAAATCAATTGCTTTGTTCTGGTTAACAGCATTATGCTATATACACACTCCTTTGAAAAATACCCAAAAAAAAGGCCGGGCGTGGTGGCTCACGCCTGTAATCCCAGCACTTTGGGAGGCTGAGGTGGGAGGATCACGAGGTCAGGAGATCGAGACTATCCTGGCTAACACGGTGAAACCCCGTCTCTACTAAAAATGCAAAAAAATTAGCTAGGCATGGTGGCAGGCGCCTGTAGTCCCAGCTACTCGGGAGGCTGAGGCAGGAGAATGGCATGAACCCAGGAGGCGGAGCTTGCAGTGAGCCGAGATCGTGTCGCCTGGGCGACAGAGCGAGACTCCGTCTATAAAAAAAAAAAAAAAAGAAAAATACTCAAAAAAGAGGGTACTGCCAACAAGGAAGTTTTAAATTTCCCCTTGAGGATTCTTGGTGATCATCAAATTCAGTGGTTTTTAAGGTTGTTTTCTGTCAAATAACTCTAACTTTAAGCCAAACAGTATATGGAAGCACAGATATAATATTACACAGATAAAAGAGGAGTTGATCTAAAGTAGAGATAGTTGGGGGCTTTAATTTCTGGAACCTAGGTCTCCCCATCTTCTTCTGTGCTGAGGAACTTCTTGGAAGCGGGGATTCTAAAGTTCTTTGGAAGACAGTTTGAAAACCACCATGTTGTTCTCAGTACCTTTATTTTTAAAAAGTAGGTGAACATTTTGAGAGAGAAAAGGGCTTGGTTGAGATGAAGTCCCCCCCCCCCTTTTTTTTTTTTTTAGCTGAAATAGATACACTATGTAGAAGGAAGGGATTATTATATACCATGCAGTAAGCACATGCTCTTTGATGGGCTCCTCCGTACACTCTCCATGTGGCCATTTCAGACATTCTTCTCAAACCCCACAGATACCCCTCCTCGCTTCCACTGATTTCCTTAACTCATACTTCATTGGGAAAATAGAGATTTCCAGAAGGAAATTGCATCATCTTCTCACCAATAATTTCTAGTCAAGTTCGTATTTTAATTAATTCGTTCATTTTGTTCAGTAAGTTGCACCTACTGCCTGCATGTCAGAATCACTTAAGAGAGCTTGTTAAAAATACAGGTTCCTAGAAGTCTTCCTTCTGTACTCCAAAGCAGTCAGTCTCAGGAGAGACCAGGGATCATAAACCATAGCTCTGTATTGCAGCTCTGTGAGGGGATGTGGTCACCTGCCTTTACTTAATGCATTTTGTTTGATGCCAGATGTCCTTTTCTGCCTTTAGGAATCCTACTTAACTTTTGAGGCCCAGTCCAAATGTAGCTGCTGCTGCTTTTTAAAAAAACAAACAAAAAATCCCAGTTTTATTGAGATATAATTCATATACCATAAAATTCACTTGATTTAAGTATACAATAATGATTTTTAGTAAATTTATAGAGTTGTACAATCTAATTGTAGAATATTCCCATCACCACAGAAAGATCTCTATGCCCATTTGGAGTCCCCTCAGTTATTCAGACAACTGTTACTCTACTTTCTGTCTCTATAGATTTGCTTTTCTGGCCTTTTTATATTGTTCAGATCTTTATAACATATAGTCTTTTGTATTGGGCTTTCCAGAAAGTCTTTTGTATTGGGCTGAAGTGATCCTCCCACCTCTTGCCTCTAGAGGAGCAGGGACTACAGGGGTATGCCACCATTCCTGGCTCAGTTTTTTTTTAGTAGAGATACTGTGTTGTTCAGGCTGGTCTCAAACTCCTTGGTCTCAAACTCCCTGGGTTCAAGCAATCCTCCCACCTTGGCCTCCCAAAGTGCTGGGATTACAGGTGTGAGCCATCGCACCTGGCCAGAAAATCTCTTAATTAGTAGGAAAATTGGCCGGGCGTGGTATAATTGGCATAATTGGTATAATTGGCATAATTGTCAGATTACGCCTGTAATCCCAGCACTTTGGGAGGCCGAGGCGGGTGGATTACCTGACGTCAGGAGTTTGAGACCAGCCTGCCAACATGGTGAAACCCTGTCTCTCCTAAAAATACAAAATTAGTGGGGCATGGTGGTGGGCACCTGTAATCCCAGCTACTCAGGAGGCCGAGGCAGGAGGATCACTTAAAGCTGGGAAGCGGAGGTGGTAGTGAGCCAAGATCGTGCCATTGCACTCCAGCCTGGGCAACAGAATGACACTCTGTCTCAAAGAAAAAGAAAAGAAAATTAAGGTGATGCTTCTAACCAATGATAACGAAAAAAAGTTGAGATAATAGTTGTAGTGATTTGTGTAAGGGAATTGAAGAGGTATACCTAGAGCATTAGCATAATCATAATTGTATCTGTTCTGTCATGATTGTATATTTCTTTTTAAATCTTTTATTTATTTTTATTTTTTAAATATATATTCTGCTCATGTATTATATTTCTTCTTCTTCTTTTTAGGAAACACTGCGCTAACTTATGCATGTGCTGGAGGATTTGTTGACATTGTTAAAGTGCTCCTTAATGAAGGTGCAAATATAGAAGATCATAATGAAAATGGACATACTCCCTTAATGGAAGCAGCCAGTGCAGGTCATGTGGAAGTTGCAAGAGTTCTTTTAGATCATGGTGCAGGCATCAACACTCATTCTAATGAATTCAAAGAAAGTGCTCTAACACTTGCTTGCTACAAAGGTACTTAATACATGTATGAATATTTATAATGTTTTTCGTAACCACTTTGATTATTTGAGTATTGAGTATTTGAGTTTACTTTATATTGCTTATGTTTTCCCTGTGCTATAAAATTATCTAGTTTATAAGAAATTATATAGAAAGTCTATTTTAGTCTATATTGCCTGTAATATAGTTTTCTAGTATATGTTTATTATTTTAATTCAGATTTATTGGGTTAACTGTGAAGTTAACCCAACTACTTAGCTTAGATTTAGAGGGTTTCCATTATTTAATAACTTTTGTTTTATATGATTTTTCCAATGTTTATTTAAAAAATAGTACATGCCAAAGTAATAATACACACAATACTGAAAACCTGAAAAACACAGAGTAACACAAAGAAAAGAAATTTTTTGTTTTTGAGACAGAATGTCGCTCTGTCACCCAGGCTGGAGTGCAGTGGCGCGAACTCAGCCCACTGCAACCTCTGCCTCCTGGGCTCAAGTGATTCTCGTACCTCAGCCTCCCAAGTAGCTGGGACTACAGGCATGCACCACCATGCCTGGCTAATTTTTGTATTTTTAGTAGAGATAGGGTTTCACTATGTTGGCCAGGCTGGTCTTGAACTCCTGACCTCAAGTGATCCTCCTGCCTCAGCCTCCCAAGCCTCCCAAAGTGCTGGGATTACAGGCGTGAGCCAGCACACCCAGCTAAAGAAAAGAAATTTTAAAATGACATGTAATGCTACCATCTAAAGATAAAAAAGCATGTATACAATATTTTAGTGTATACATTTCCAGTTTGTTTTTAAGTATGTTTATATACAAACATATATATATTTTAAACAAAATAGTTATACTCTAACAGTTTTATAATCTACTTATTTTACTTAGCAGTGTATCATGGACATTTTTCATCTCAATAAATATTCTTTATTTTTTATTTTTCATTTATTATCATTGTTTTTTTGAGACGGAGTTTCACTCTTGTTGCCCAGGCTGGAGTGCAATGGTGTGATCTTGGCTCACTGCAACTTCCGCCTCCCGGGTTCAAGTGATTCTCCTGTCTCAGCCTCCCTAGTAGCTGGTATTACAGGTGCATGCCACATGTCTGGCTAATTTTTGTATTTTTAGTAGAGACAGGGTTTCATCATATTAGTCAGTCTGGTCTCCTGACCTCAAATGATCCACCTGCCTTGGCCTCCTAAAGTGCTGGGGTTACAGGCATGAACCACCGTGCCTGGCCTATTTTTTATTATTTTTAGAGACAGGGTTTTGCTCTATCACCCAGGACGGAGTGCAGTGGCACTGTCATAGCTCACTGCAGCCTCAAACTCCTGGGTTCAAGCTATCCTCCTGCCTCAGCCTCCTGAATAGCTAGGATTACAGACTCACACCACCATACCCAGCTAATTTTATTTTTATTTTTTTGTAGAGATGGGGGTCTCACTATGTTGCCCAGGTGGCTCTCAACCTCCAGGCCTCAAGTGATCTTCCTACTTCAGACTCCCAAAGTGTTAGGATTACAGGTGTAAGCCACCATGCCTGGCCTCAATAAATATTCTTACAATGTAACTTTTGATGATTATATACTATTTCACTATTTCATTTAGGATTAAAATTGGTTGCATATGTCACAAAATCTAAATTAACGATTTGAGCAAGAGAGAAATTCAAAGGTAAGCCGTTTAGGGCTAGTATGGCAGTTCCATTGTCATCAAGAGCTCATAATTCTATTTTTCTGCTCTGCTATCCTAGTATGTGGTTTGTATCCACAAGGTTACAATAAACCTAAAACCAAGATGATAGCTAGGACCCCAGCAGTTCACATTCTAGGAAAGACGTTAAGGGCAATATAAGGAGTGCCTCTCAATTTAGTAAGCTCCCTTTAAAGAGTCTTCCTAGGTGTGCGGCCTTATAACTACCACTTACATCTCATTGGCTACACATAACTGCAAGAGGGGCAGAGAAACATAGTCTTCTAGTCAGGTATGTTGCTGCCCAGATGAAACTGGAGTTCTATTATTAAAAAGGAATTAAAGAATGCTGGGTGCAGTAACTCACACCTATAATCCCAGCATTTTGGGAGGCTGAGGCAGGAGGATCTCTTGAGGCCTAGATCAGTCCTAGCTACTCGGGCAGCTGAGGTGGACGGATCCCTTGAGCCTTGGAGTTTGAGGCTGCAGTGAGCTATGATCATGCCACTGGACTATAGCCTGGCCAACAGAGACCTCGTCTCTTAAAGTGAGAAAGAATAAGAGAGTGGATATTAGATAGGGAACTAGCAGTCTCTGCCAAATACATCAAATAGATGTACCATAATTGCCTATTGTTGGACACTTAAATTCTTCCCAGGTTTTCACTATTATTAAAAACACTGATCACATCCTTGTGCAGACATTTTTGCATAACCTCTGATTATTTCCTTAGGATAAATTCCTGGAAGTGGAATTGCTGGGTCAAAGGGTATGGACATTTTTAAGGGTTTTGCTACATATTGCCAAATTGCCTTCTAGAAAGGTTCAACCAATTTATACTCCCACCAACAATGTTTGAGAGTGCCCTTTGCCCCACCCTACACCCTCACCAATACTGGGTTTTATCATTCTTTTTAATATTTGCTATTTTTGATAGTAAAAACATGGTGTCTTGTTTTAATTTGCATTTCTTTAATAGGAAGGTTTAATATTGTTTTCATCAGTTTAATATTCACTTGCATTTCTTTGTTGAATTATCATTTCATATCTGTCACCCATTCTTCTGGAGTGTTTGTCATTTTCTTATTGACTATCAAGGCTTTTTATATATTCACTGTATCAAGAGGATTGGAATTATTTTAAATGGAGTTTTCTGTGCCTGCTTATTGCCACAGTGGGTTTATGGTTATTTTAAAGCTGTTTTTCTGGAATATATGATGCCAAGATACTTTACTTGGCTTTCTATTTGATCTCAGTGTTTTGATTAGATAAATAATTTATGTATTTTCAACCAAGGTAAAAGCATTATTGCTTTACTTAACTTGAATTATGTGCCTTGGACTAATTCAGTCTTTAAAGCCTAGATAATAAGACCTTGAAAAAAGCCTGTATATTGCTTTGAATGGGCTTTGTAAAACTGTTACTGATTTATTTATTGAATGCAAAATAAGTTATCAAATTCTTGTATAGACATCTGAAGAAAAAGATTCCATACCTCAATATTTAAATATTAAACTGATAGTGAATTCTTTTAAAATTTTTGTTCCTTTTTTCAAGGCCATTTGGATATGGTTCGCTTTCTACTTGAAGCTGGTGCAGATCAAGAGCACAAAACAGATGAGATGCACACTGCCTTAATGGAGGCCTGCATGGTAATTTTAAATTACACTCACTTGAGATTTTATGGGAAGAAAAGGTCGTATGTGTTTAAGCCTTTAAGAGTGATTAATTGCCAGTGCGGTGGCTCACGCCTGTAATCCCAGCACTTTGAGAGGCCAAGTCGGGCGGATCACATGGTCAGGAGTTCGAGACCAGCCTGGCCAGTATGGTGAAACCCTGTCTCTACTAAAACTACAAAAATTAGCTGGGTATGGGGCGGGTGCCTGTAGTCCCAGCTACTCGGGAGGCTGAGGCAGGAGAATCGCTTGAACCCGGGAGATGGAGGTTGCAGTGAGCAGAGATTGCGCAACTGCACTCCAGCCTGGGCGATAGAGCGAGACTCGGTCTCAAAAAAAAAAAAAAAAGAGTTATTAATTGGTGTTGGGTTTATATAATTTCTTAATGCTAAATTAAACAAAGTTGATGCTTGAATGCATCTGCTTTTGGAATAGAACAGTCAAAGTATTTGGCCTTAGGGATATTATTGATAAAACTCTAATTCTGGAGATAGTAGACATAGTTCTAGTGTTTTTACAGTTTCATATTAAAATCTTAAATAGCAAATTGACCTCAAAATATATTGACTCAAACTGTATGGATAGCCTATAAAACATTTAACTGTTTTTTTAAAGGATAATGTAGAATCATACTTTTAATATACAATTCTCTGTGTCACAGAGAATAATCACCTTTAATGCTGTCAATCCAGAAATCCTTTTTCTACTTCTGTAAGCACATATATATCATGCGTATATGCATATCTAAAAGAGAGTGCAAATACAAAGAAACTCAAAGCATTCTGATAAGTATTTAAGACAGATTTAATGGCAAGAAAATTACCTGGAAGTGCAAACGCATTTTTTCAGATGTGATTAAATAAGCTCATCATTACACATGTTAATTTGTATTTTGTTGACTATTGCTGTTTAGCGAATCACTCAAAACATAATGGCTTAATGTAGCAGCCACATATTACCTCTATCTATTTTTTTTTTTTTTTTGAGACAGAGTCTTGCTCTGTTGCCCAGGCTGGAGTGCAGTGGTGTGATCTTAGCTCACTGCAGCCTACCTCCCAGGTTCAAGTGATTCTCGTGCATCAGCCTCCCAAGTAGGTTCAAGTGATTCTCGTGCCTCAGCTTCCCAAGCCTCCCACCTGTATCTTATACTATCTCATATATCATATGATTCTATGGGTTGATTGGGTGGTTTTTCTATTGGTCTCTCTCTCTCTCTCTCTTTATTTTGAAGACAGACTCTCACTCTGTTGCCCAGGGTAGAGTGCAGTGGCACTGTCATGGCTCATTACAGCCTGTACCTCCTGTACTCAAGCAGTCCTCTCGCCTCAGCTTCCTGAGTACCTGAGACTAGAGGGGCACGTTACCATGCCTAGCTAACTTTTAAATTTTTTGTAGAGACAGCATCTCACTATGTTGCCTAGGCTTTAAGAAAAGATTTATTTATTTATTTATTTATTATTATTATTTTGTTGGAATTCCCCTCTTAATATATGTATGCAAGATATGTTAGCAGAATCTATCAAAAAAATATTCAAGAATTTGGCTGGGCGTGGTGGCTCATGCCTGTAATCCTAGCACTTTGAGAGGCTGAGGCGGGTGGATCACTTGAGGCCAGGACTTCAAGACCAGCCTGGCCAACATGGTGAAACCCCATCTCTACTAAAATACAAAAATTAGCCAGGCGTGGTAGTGTGCACCTGTAATCCCAGCTACTTGGGAGGCTAAGACACAAGAATCACTTGAACCTGGGAGGTGGAGGTTGCAGTGAGCTGAGATCACACCACTGCACTCCAGCCTGGGTGACAGAGTGAGACTCTGTCTCAAAAAACAAAACAAAACAAAACAAAACAAAAAACTTCAAAAATTCAAGTAAATTCAAGTAAAACAATGTATTGAGAGCCTAGAGGAGATAGGCACAATAGCAGTTCCTTGATCTGTTGACATTTATAAATCCTTATTTTCTTTTCAATTAGAAATGCATTTCAACTACCAGATGACTCAGTACAGTAATTTGGTTAAAATATTTTATTTTACATGTATTTGAAGTATTAGTAAAACTGAAATTTTAATGTGAAGTCATCTGTTTTTGGCATATATCAAAAGTGATTAAGGCTGGGCTAGTCAGTTAAGTATAATAAAAGTCTTGATGGGTATTGAAATTTAACAACTAAGGTTTCTTTATTTAATTCTTTTTTGTTTTTGAGACAGGGTCTCTATCATTCAGGCTGGGTGCAGTGGCGTGATCTTGGCTCACTGCAACCTCTGCCTCCTATGCTGAAGCAGTCCCTCTGCCCTCAGCCTCCCAAGTAGCTGGGACTACAGGCGCACACCACTATGCTTGGCTAATTTTTGTATTTTTTGTAGGAACATGGTTTCACCCTTTCCCCAGGGTGGTCTCAAACATCTGGGCTCAAGCTATCTGTCTGCCTCAACTTCCCAAAGTGCTGGGGTTACAGCTGTGAGCCACTGTGCCCAGCCTTATTTCTTTAATTAAATAACTACTAAACCTTATTTTTCTACTCAGTATTTATTTTTCATTTGCAACATTATGGTCATTTTTGAAATACAGTACAATATAGCCTCTGACCTTATGTGTCACAACAAGCATTAAGACCTACATAAAGAGCAGTTTCCAAGATGGCCAAATAGGAACAGCTCCAGTCTACAGCTCCCAGCATGAGCGACGCATGAGACGGGTGATTTCTGCATTTCCAACTGAGCATACGGCACACCAGGAGATTATATCCCGCGCGTGGCTCAAAGGGTCCCACACCCACGGAGCCTCCCTCATTGCTAACACAGCAGTCTGAGATCAAACTGCAAGGCGGCAGCCAGGCTGGGGGAGGGGCACCCACCATTGCTGAGGCTTAAGTAGGTAAACAAAGCGGCTAGGAAGCTCAAACTGGGTGGAGCCCACTGCTGCTCAAGGAGGCCTACCTGTCTCTGTAGACTCCACCTCTGGGGGCAGGGCATAGCTGAACAAAAGGCAGCAGAAACCTCTGCAGACTTAAATGTCCCTGTCTGACAGCTTTGAAGAGAGTAGTTGTTCTCCAAGCACGGAGTTTGAGATCTGAGAATGGACAGACTGCCTCCTCATGTGGGTCCCTGACCCCTGAGTAGCCTAACTGGGAGGTACCACCCAGTAGGGGCAGACTGACACCTCACACGGCCGGGTATCCCTCTGAGACGAAGCTTCCAGAGGAACGATCAGGCAGGAACATTTGCTATTCAGCAATATTCACTGTTCTGCTGCCTCCGCTGCTGATACCCAGGCAAACGGTCTAGAGTGGACCTCCAGAAAACTCCAGCAGACCTGCAGCTGAGGGTCCTGACTGTTAGAAGGAAAACTAACAAACAGAAAGGACATCCACACCAAAACCCCATCTGTACGTCACCATCATCAAAGACCAAAGGTAGATAAAACCACAAAGATGGGGAAAAAACAGAGGAGAAAAACTGAAAATTCTAAAAATCAGAGCAACTCTCCCCCTCCAAAGGAACGCAGCTCCTCACCAGCAACGGAACAAAGCTGGATGGAGAATGACTTTAACGAATTGAGAGAAGAAGGCTTCAGACAATCAAACTTCTCTGAGCTAAAGGAGGAAGTTCGAACCCAACACAAAGAAGCTAAAAACCTTGAAAAAAGATTAGACAAATGGCTAACTAGAATAACCAGTGTAGAGAAGTCCTTAAATGACCTGATGGAGCTGAAGACCATGGCACAAGAACTATGTGATGAATGCACAAGCCTCAGTAGCCGATTCGATCAACTGGAAGAAAGGGTATCAGTGATTGAAGATCAAATGAATGAAATGAAGCGAGAAGTTTGGAGAAAAAAGGGTAAAAAGAAATGAGCAAAGCCTCCAAGAAATATGGGACTATGTGAAAAGACCAAATCTACGTCTGATTGGTGTACCTGAAAGTGACGGGGAGAATGGAACCAAGTTGGAATACACTCTGCAGGATGTTATCCAGGAGAACCTCCCCAACCTAGCAAGGCAGGCCAACATTCAAATTCAGGAAATACAGAGAATGCCACAAAGATACTCCTTGAGAAGAGCAGCTCCAGGACACATAATTGTCAGATTCACCAACGTTGAAATGAAGGAAAAAATGTTAAGGGCAGCCAGTGAGAGAGGTCGGGTTACCCACAAAGGGAAACCCATCAGACTAACAGCGGATCTCTTGGCAGAAACTCTACAAGCCAGAAGAGAATGGGGCCCAATATTCAACATTCTTAAAGAAAAGAATTTTCAACCCAGAATTTCATATCCAGCCAAACTAAGCTTCATAAGTGAAGGGGAAATAAAATCCTTTACAGACAAGCAAATGCTGAGAGATTTTGTCACCACCAGGCCTGCCCTAAAAGAGCTCCTGAAGGAAGCACTAAACATGGAAAGGAACAACTGGTACCAGCCACTGCAAAATCATGCCAAATTGTAAAGACCATCAAGGCTAGGAAGAAACTGCATCAACTAACAAGCAAAATAACCAGCTAACGTCAAAATGACAGGATCAAATTCACACATAACAATATTAACCTTAAATGTAAATGGGCTAAATGCTCCAATTAAAAGACACAGACTGGCAAATTGGATAAAGAGTCAAGACCCATCAGTGTGCTGTATTCAGGAGACACATCTCACGTGCAGAGACACACATAGGTTCAAAATAAAGGGATGGAGTAAGACCTACCAAGCAAATGGAAAACAGAAAAAGGCAGGGGTTGCAATCCTAGTCTCTGATAAAAACAGACTTTAAACCAACAAAGATCAAAAGAGACAAGGCCATTACATAATGGTAAAGGGATCAATTCAACAAGAAGAGCTAACTATCTTAAATATATATGCACCCAATACAGGAGCACCCAGATTCATAAAGCAAGTCCTTAGAGACCTACAAAGAGACTTAGACTCCCACACAATAATAATGGGAGACTTTAACACCCCACTGTCAACATTAGACAGATCAACAAGACAGAAAGTTAACAAGGGATATCCAGGAATTGAACTCAGCTCTGCACCAAGCAGACCGAATAGGCATCTACAGAACTCTCCACCCCAAATCAACAGAATATACATTCTTCTCAGCACCACATCACACTTATTCCAAAATTGACCACATAGTTGGAAGTAAAGCACTCCTCAGCAAATGTAAAAGAACAGAGATTATAACAAACTGTCTCTCAGACCACAATGCAATCAAACTAGAATTCAGGATTAAGAAACTCACTCAAAACCGCTCAACTACATGGAAACTGAACAACCTGCTCCTGAATGACTACTGGGCACATAACGAAATGAAGGCAGAAATAAAGATGTTCTTTGAAACCAACAAGAACAAAGACACAACATACCAGAATCTCTGGGACACATTTAAAGCAGTGTGTAGAAGGAAATTTATAGCACTAAATGTCCACAAGAGAAAACAGGAAAGATCTAAAATTGACACCCTAACATCACAATTAAAAGAACTAGAGAAGTAAGAGCAAACACATTCAAAAGCTAGCAGAAGGCAAGAAATAACTAAGATCAGAGCAGAACTAAAGGAGATAGAGACACAAAAAAACCCTTCAAAAAAAATCAATGAATCCAGGAGCTGGTTTTTTGAAAAGATCAACAAAGTTGGTAGACTTCTAGCAAGACTAATAAAGAAGAAGAGAGAAGAATCAAATAGACGCAATAAAAAATGATAAAGGGGATATCACCACCGATCCCACAGAAATACAAACTACCATCAGATAATATTATAAACACCTCTATGCAAATAAACTAGGAAATCTAGAAGAAATTGATAAATTCCTGGACACATACACTCTTCCAAGACTAAACCAGGAAGAAGTTGAATCCCTGAATAGACCAAGAACAGGCTCTGAAATTGAGGCAATAATTAATAGCCTACCAACCAAAAAAAGTCCAGGACCAGATGGATTCACTGCTGAATTCTACCAGAGGTACAAGGAGGAGTTGGTACCATCCCTTTTGAAACTATTCCAATCAATAGAAAAAGAGGGAATCCTCCCTAACTCATTTTATGAGGCCAGCATCATCCTAATACCAAAGCCTGGCAGAGACACAACAAAAAAAGAGAATTTTAGACCAATATCCCTGATGAACATCAATGCAAAAATCCTCAATAAAATACTGGCAAACCAAATCCAGCAGCACATCAAAAAGCTTATCCACCATGATCAAGTGGGCTTCATCCCTGGGATGCAAGGCTGGTTCAACATATGCAAATCAATAAACGTAATCCAGCATATAAACAGAACCAAAGACAAAAACCACATGATTATCTCAATAGATGCAGAAAAGTCCTTTGACAAAATTCAACAACCCTTCATGCTAAAAACTCTCAATAAATTAGGTATTGATGGGACATATCTCAAAATAATAAGAGCTATCTATGACAACCCCACAGCCAATATCATACTGAATGGGCAAAAACTGGAAGCATTCCCTTTGAAAAGTGGCACAAGACAGGCATGCCGTCTCTCACCACTCCTATTCAACATAGTGTTGGAAGTTCTGGCCAGGGCAATCAGGAGGAGAAAGAAATAAAGGGTATTCAATTAGGAAAAGAGGAAGTCAAATTGTCCCTGTTTGCAGATCACATGATTGTATATTTAGAAAACCCCATCGTCTCAGCCAAAAATCTCCTTAAACTGAAAAGCAACTTCAGCAAAGTCTCAGGATACAAAATCAATGTGCAAAAATCACAAGCATTCTTATACACCAATAACAGACAGAGAGCCAAATCATGAGTGAACTCCCATTCACAATTGCTTCAAAGAGAATAAAATACCTAGGAATCCAACTTACAAGGGATGTAAAGGACCTCTTCAAGGAGAACTACAAACCACTGCTCAAGGAAATAAAAGAGGATACAAACAAATGGAAGAACATTCCATGCTCATGGATAGGGAGATTCAATATCGTGAAAATGGCCATACTGCCCAAAGTAATTTATAGATTCAATGCCATCCCCATCAAGCTACCAATGACTTCCTTCACAGAATTGGAAAAAACTACTTTAAAGTTCATATGGAACCAAAAAAGAGCCCACATTGCCAAGACAATCCTAAGCCAAAAGAACAAAGCTGGAGACATCACGCTACCTGACTTCAAACTATACTACAAGGCTACAGTAACCAAAACAGCATGGTACTTGTACCAAAACAGAGATATAGACCAATGGAACAGAACAGAGCCCTCAGAAATAATACCATGCATCTACAACCATCTGATCTTTTGACAAATCTGAGAAAAGCAAGAAATGGGGAAAGGATTCCCTATTTAATACATGGTGCTGGGAAAACTGGCTAGCCATATGTAGAAAACTAAAACTGGATCCCTTCCTTACACTTTATAGAAAATTCAAGATGGATTAAAGACTTAAATGTTAGACCTAAAACCATAAAAACCCTAGAAGAAAACCTAGGCAATACCATTCAGGACATAGGCTTGGGCAAGGACTTCATGTCTAAAACACCAAAAGCAATGGCAACAAAAGCCAAAATTGACAAATGGGATCTAAGTAAACTAAAGAGCTTCTGCACAGCAAAAGAAACTACCATCAGAGGGAACAGGCAACCTACAGAATGGGAGAAAATTTTTTCAATCTACTTATCTGACAAAGGGCGAATATCCAGAATCTACAATGAACTCAAACAAATTTACAAGAAAAAAACAACCCCATCAAAAAGTGGACAAAGGATATGAACAGACACTTCTCAAAAGAAGACATTTATGCAGCCAACAGACACATGAAAAAATGCTCCTCATCACTGGCCATCAGAGAAATGCAAATCAAAACCACAATGAGATACCATCTCACACCAGTTAGAATGGCGATCATTAAAAAGTCAGGAAACAACAGGTGCTGGAGAGGATGTGGAGAAATAGGAACACTTTTACACTGTTGGTGGTACTGTTGACTAGTTCAACCATTGTGGTAGACAGTGTGGCGATTCCTCAAGGATCTAGAACTAGAAATACCATTTGACCCAGCAATCCCATTACTGGGTATATACCCAAAGGATTATAAATCATGCTGCTATAAAGACAGATGCACACATATGTTTATTGCGGCACTATTCACAATAGCAAAGACTTGGAACCAAGCCAAATGTCCATCAATGATAGACTGGATTAAGAAAATGTGGCACATATACACCATGGAATACTATGCAGCCATAAAAAAGGATGAGTTCATGTCCTTTGTAGGGACATGGATGAAGCTGGAAACCATCATTCTCAGCAAACTATCACAAGAACAAAAAACCAGACAGCGCATGTTCTCACTCATAGGTGGGAATTGAACAATGAGAACACTTGGACACAGGAAGGGGAACATCACACACCAGGGCCTGTTGTGGGGTCGGGGGAGCGGGGAGGGAAAGCATTAGGAGATATACCCAATGTAAATGAGGAGTTAACGGATGCAGCACACCAACATGGCACACGTATACGTATGTAACAAACCTGCATGTTGTGCACATGTACCCTAGAACTTAAAGTATAAAAAAAAAAAGACCTACATAAATTTTGACATTAAAAATTTGAAATTAAAGAAGGATATTTATGGTGATAGGTAGAATTGATACCCACCATGAGAATATTTTATTGTTAATTGACTTACTGTCTATGCAGATAGGCCATGGTAAAAATTTTTTACAATGAATGTCTTTATTTTTACATCATTACAAAATCTTTGCCTCATTGCAACAAGGTGTTGTGATTAGGAAAAATATAGGATGGTGTCAATCCAGAGACATTTATGTTGGTGACATAATCCCAAGTGGTAACGACTTCACATAATTTGTTGTGTTATTTTTTGCCATGCCTTTGTTTCTGAAATAGATGTAATACGGTTTCTACATTTGAATATGACTCCTGAGTTTGAGGGTATGACTGTATTTGACCTGGCAGTAGTATAATCTTGTTATTTTGAGGTAGCATTGACTATAGATTTCACAGTTTTTTGAACTTCAAAAAATGGAAATTTAAAATTATTTGGATTTGTGACTGTTATGTCACCAAGTCTCATTCTTTTGGAGAATTTTGGGCTTGCTCAAAAGTTGGTTAAAATAATTTGAAAATTACTTAAAAGCAATATTGATGAACTTTTGATAAGGCTCAGATGAGCATGATAATATATATGCTGTCTATGCTGAATCTTCTAATCTTGTCTTTTTTCTTCCTTTTTCCAATCTCTTGCTTTCTTCTCTCCCACTTAAAAAAATCTCAAAACAAAAAATTTCTCTCCTTCTTTCTTTACTTCTGAAAATCTGCAGGATGGACATGTAGAGGTGGCACGTTTGCTTTTGGATAGTGGTGCTCAAGTGAACATGCCTGCAGATTCATTTGAATCTCCATTGACGCTAGCTGCCTGTGGAGGACATGTTGAATTGGCAGCTCTACTTATTGAAAGGGGAGCAAATCTTGAAGAAGTTAATGATGAAGGATACACTCCCTTGATGGAAGCTGCCCGGGAAGGACATGAAGAAATGGTGGCACTACTCTTAGCACAAGGTAAAGCAGTTTTACTTCTTTTAGAAAAATCAGTTTTCTTTGGATGTTTTGTGTTAGTACTGGTGAAGTTTACTACAGCTAGCATATATATATATATATATATATATATATATATATGCATATATATATATATGCATATATATATATATATATATATATATATATATTGCATTGATGATAAATTACCCTGGAGGAAACCACAGAAGCAGAGAAGACAGAGATGATTATCACAATTCAGAAAATTAATATCTTTATTATAAGTCTCTTGCAACTAATTTTATCTGTTTTTATACTTTCCTAGGAGCAAATATAAATGCCCAGACAGAAGAAACTCAAGAAACTGCTCTTACTTTGGCTTGCTGTGGAGGATTTTCTGAAGTTGCAGACTTTCTTATTAAGGCAGGGGCTGATATAGAACTTGGCTGCTCCACACCTCTGATGGAGGCATCTCAGGAGGGACACCTGGAATTGGTTAAATATTTGCTGGCTTCTGGTATGTGGCTTTAAGATGCCTTATTGCTCAGAAAGACAAATACAAATAATAGTTTATATGTGGAATCTAAAAACGTTGAGCTCCTAGTAGATAATAGAATGGTGGTTACCAGAGTGTGGGCATGAGGGTGGGAGGAGAGTACACAAGGAGAGGGGAAATGTTGATCAAAGGGTACAAAGTTTCACTTAGATAGGTGGAATAAGTTTTAATGATATATTGCATAGCAAGGTGACTACAGTTAACAATAATGTATATCTCAAAATTGCTAAGAGTAGATTTAAATGTTCTCACCACAAATATGTGAGGTGATAAATATGTTAATTAGCTTGATCTAATCATTCCACAACATATACATATATCATAACATCACATTGTACCCCATAAATATATACAATTATTATTTGTCAATTAAAAATAAAATTAAATTAAATAATTAAAAATACTGTTTAGAAAAAGACTTATATTGCTTTCTTAACTTTAACAATTAACTGTTAACTTTTTCATTTCTATAAAAGTTGAAAGACAGCTGCATAATTTAACTGATCTTAGACTCCTAAGTCTCTAAAACTGATTTTTAAAAAGATTTCTTACTGTTATTAATGTTTGTGTAGTGACCATAAGGTATCTCGTTCACCTTCTTTCTCCGTCTAATTGTTTGTGGCTTGTGGAAGGGAGATGTTAGTTTCTACTAGTCTCTGTTAATAAGAGGAGGTGGGGATGATGACATTATTGAGAGGTTATAATTTGGTACCTTTAAGTCTGTTCATTTCTTGACATTTCTAAGTCATCTGAAAAAAGTGGGAATTAATTTATTTTTACAGAGTACTAATTTTAAAAATATTTGTGCTTTATTATTAAGCTGTGGTAAGCAATAAGTACTTTTACATAGAATATTTGTAGTTTTATAGAACATACTAAAAAAAAAATTAGTCCCAACAGATGTAAATATATTCTTTGAAAATAATGTCAGATTTTTCTTTTTTACCACGTCTGATATATTATTTAAAATTTGATATATAGAAAAGTTAATATGTAAAAGAAAATAAAATATTTAGCAAAATTTTATTCATCCTTTTGGGCTTTCATTGTTAACATTAATTTTAATATAGCCCAACCTCAGTTTTTCCTTTGAATTATTATTGAAATAATTTGTTAAACCAGATTTTATTTTATTCTATTTTTTGAGATAGGGTCGTGCTTTGTCATTCAGGCTGGAGTGTAGTGGTGTGAATATGTTCCACTGCAACCTCAACCTCCTGGGCTCAAGTGATCCTTCAGCCTCAGCCTCCCAGGTAGCTGGGACTATAGGCGCATACCACTATGCCTGGCTAATTTTTGTATTTTTTGTAGAGATGGGATTTTGCCACGTTCCTGAGGCTGGTCTCAAACTCCTGGGCTCAAGCAATCCTTCTGCCCCGGCCTCTCAAAGTGCTGGGATTACAGATGTGAACTACCACACCCGGCCTTAAACCAGATTGTGAATGGTTTGGATGATTTATGGTTTGGACAAACCAACCATAAATGCTGACTTTTTTCCTGAACAAATACTGATAATCATTCTAGTTATTGTATATATTCAGTCATTTTTCCCCTATCATTTTTAGTAACTGTGTCCTATTCAAGAGTCTTTCTCTGCTAGTGGTTATCTTTGTACATTCTTCCCACATCCCTCTCTTAAGCTAAAGTCGTGCTATTGTAACGTGTTTTTAAAAGAAGGAATAAATGTTTATTAAGAAATTATTGAATATCAGACATTTTGCTCAGCTTTTGTGTTATCTCTATTAATTGCCACTGGTTCCTATGTAGTGAGAAATATTAAACACATTCTTGTAGATGAGGGAACTAATGCACAATGATGTTATATAACTCCGTCGAAGGTAACCAAGCTAATAGGGACAGAGTCAACATTCAAACTTAGAACTCGACATTGTTTTTTCTACTGCATTACCATTGATTTAGCTCCTTTTGCTTATTTGAAGTATGTAGCTCGTAGAAACTATCTCAGGGTTTGAGAATCACTTTTATGTGATCACTACCTAAAAGTTTTTTTTCCACCCAGTTTTAAGGGTAATTTATTTACATGAAGTGCTTCTTACAGTGTGGCACTAAAGAAAACTCAAATAAGGCCTATACAATTAAAACAAATTTAACAACCTTTTTGTTATGGCATTTTTTCAAACATACAGAGAATGTAGTATTTGAGATCCTAAGAATCCATCACCTAGTTAGTGTTTTAACATGAATGTCTAATTCATGGCCAATCTTATTTCATCTGTACTTCTTCCACATCCCCATTCTTACAAAATTATTTTTATTTAAAAGAAACATTTTTAACTTTTTATTTTTAAAATTTGAAAATTAATGATTAAAAATGTTACTTTTATAAAAGTGTTAATATTCAGTATTTAAAAGATAATTTTAAAAATAACCACAATACAATTTTCCTACCTAAAAAATTTTAATGAGTTTCTTAGCAAATATCCAAGCCATTTTTGTATTTCTCTGATAGTTTTATAAATCTGTATGTATGTGTTTAGTGACTTTTTTGAATTAAGATTGAAATAAGATTCATAAAATCACTATTAATCAATGTCTCTTAAGCCTTTTTTAATCTATGGGCTACATCTCATTTTTCTTATCTTTCTTCTTGCAATTTTTGGTTGAAGAAATAGAATGTTTTTCCATTAGGCTTCCCAGAGTATGGATTTTCCTGATGATATTGCTATGATTTTGTTTAACTTGTTTTTCTATCCTTTGGATTTTCTATAAATTAGTAGTTAGATCTAGAGACTTTATTGTATTCAGGTTTGATTCTTTTTTTTTTGTTTTTTAATGGGATACTTCATAGGTGGTATTTGTATACTTTCTTCAGGAGGTAATAAGTATATAGTTGTCTCTCTTTTTGTGATATTATTAGCCATTGATGAGCATTGCTTAGATCCATTAATTCCTTAGGGGTTACAAAGGGGTGATACTCTAAGTTCTTTTATTCCTTCTTTGTTTATTCCTTCCTTGACTATCTATAAAGAGAAACTTTCCCTCAACTATTTGCCTGTAAATTAAATACAAATCATCATATAAAAATGGCAAGAAAGGCCAGGCGTGGTGGCTGTAATCCCAGCACTTTGGGATGCCGAGGTGGGCGGATCACAAGGTCAGGAGATCAAGACCATCCTGGCTAACACCGTGAAACCCCATCTCTACTAAAAAATACAAAAAATTAGCCAGGCGTGGTGGTGGACGCCTATAGTCCCGGCTACTCAGGAGGCTGAGGCAGGAGAATGGCGTGAACCCGAGAGGCAGAGCTTGCAGTGAGCCGAGATGGTGCCACTGCACTCCAGCCTGGGTGACAGAGCGAGACTCCATCTCAAAAAAAAAAAAAAAGAATGGCAAGAAAAATGTTTGTCTTTTTTTCCCCCTTTATCTGCCAGTTTCCAAAGTGATGAGGTAGTCCCTTAGCATCCTTCAAAGGTGATCAGTGAAGTGTTTTTTTGTTTGGTTTTGTTTTGAGACAGGGTCTCACTCTGTTACCCTGGCTGGAATGTAGTGGTGTGATTGTGGCTCACTGCAACTTTGAACTCCTGGGCTCAAGGGATCCTCTTGCCTCAGCCTTCCAAGTAGCTGGGACTACAGGCATACACCACTATGCCCCGCTAATTTTTTTTTTTATTTTTTGTAGAGGTGGGGTCTTGCTTGTTGCTTAGGCTGATCTCAAAGTCTTGGCCTCAAGCAGTCCTCTCACTTTGTTCTCCCAAAGCGCGGAGATTACAGGCATGAGCCACTGTGCCTGGCCCTGTTTTTTTGTTTTTTATTTGAACATCATTTTGAACTTTCAGATTTAAATATATAAGATGGCCTTTACTTCATCACGGTCATTCTTTGTGATGTAAAAATTGTCAGAAGATGGGACAGTTTGAATATCTTTGGTCAGTAAGGTTAGCTCCTAAATCCTTTTGACATGACCTCATTGTAGTCTCTGATAGTTTCCTTGCTTTCTCATATGGCAAAGTGTTCCAGGCTCATCTTGTACAGTTCCTGCTCCAGCCTTGGGATCAGTCATTTTTCTAAGAAGCCCTAATTTCATTATTTAGTAAATGGTACTTAGAGACCACAATCTAAGCTAGAGATGCTATTTATGCTTATTTAGTCTACTACCATTGTCTCTAGGCTTTAGTTGGTCAGGGCTGGGGAATATATATTTTTCTTATAGATCAAATATATCAGGAATTCATTGGTCACCTTCGAAGGATGCTAAGGGACCACCTCAGTACTTCCAATTCAGAACCACAAGGGTTTTTTTTGGTTTTGTTTTGTTTTTGAGACAGAGTCTTGCTCTGTTGCCCAGACTGGAGTGGAGTGGCATGATCTGGGCTCACTGTAACCTCCGCCTACTGGGCTCAAGCAATTCTCCCATCTCAGCCTCCCAAGTAGCTGGGACTACAGGCATGTGCCATCATGCCTGGCTAATTTTTTTGTTTGTTTGTTTGTTTTGGTAGAGACAGGGTTTCACCACGTTGCCCAGGCTGGTCTCAAACTCCTGTGCTCAAGTGATCTGCCCGCCTCAGCCTCAGCCTCCCAAAGTGCAAGGGTTACAGGTTTGAGCCACCATGCCTGGCTAGAACCACAAGATTTTTACTTAAGTTCAAGAATCTTATATCTCACCTAAGGTTGGGAGTTCAAGACCAGCCTGGCCAACATGGTAAAACCCTATCTCTACTAAAAATACAAAAATTAGCCAAGCGTGGTGGCATGTGCCCGTGATACCACCTACTCGAGAGGCTGGGCCAGGAGACTTGCCTGAACCCAAGAGGCAGAGGTTGCAGCTGAGTCATGCCACTGCACTCCAGCCTGAGCGACAGAGTGAGACTATCTCTCAAAAAAAAAAAAAAAAACTTATATCTGTGTTTTCCCTTAACCATGCCCAAAATTTCTGTTCTCACGAAATAATTGCTCATTTGATTTATACCACAATATCCATAGAACTGTCTCTGAATACAAACCAAAAGTACCACCAATATGATTTCTGAAAAATGCTTAATATTTTTTGGTTTTGCAGCTCTTTTATTCCTTAGGGTATATCTTACTACTGATGTAAGGGCAAATTACTGTGTTTTAAAATCATTTGGTTTAGTTCTTTTTGGTATGACTCAAATTATTTTTATAAAGCATATTTAAAGGAAAACTAGTATACTTAAAATGCATTTTGATATTTTCACATTTTGAATTCTTCAGTTTCACCAGATTGCAAAATTGGACTATCTAATACAATTTTACAGTTCACAAAGTAAATGT
Source organism: Homo sapiens (assembly GCF_000001405.40). Taxonomy (NCBI): domain Eukaryota; kingdom Metazoa; phylum Chordata; class Mammalia; order Primates; family Hominidae; genus Homo; species Homo sapiens. The sequence continues at coordinate 140,464,648 of NC_000005.10, forward strand.
ATGCTTTTTTGTTTGCTAGGCGCTAATGTGCATGCTACAACAGCAACAGGAGACACAGCCTTAACCTATGCTTGTGAAAATGGACATACGGATGTTGCAGATGTTTTACTTCAAGCAGGGGCTGATTTAGTAAGATATTTTTAATTTCAAATATTTTTGCGTTAATGTTAATATCCATTTATACTTAACATTTAGAAAACACTAAAGATCAATGGTTTGCGTACTTTGTATACAGTAACTTAAAAAAGCTTGGCTACCTGTTCTAGTTGTTGTATGTATTAAATGTATTTGAAAATACTTAGTGTTGAACAGGGCATACTGTTTCTTTTCCTAGGTAAAACTACTAGTTTGTTTCTTCCTTTCACTCCACCCCCATTTGACATTCCTGTGCTTTTTAAACTGCCATCTGTTAGATATATCATAAATTCAATGATGTGTTCACAGAATAGAGTAACAAGTCAAGTCACTTTGAGTGATTTATTATTATTTTAATTGACACATGATAATTGAACATATTAATGGGGTACAGAGTGATATTTCAATACATGTATATAATGTGTAATTATCAAATCAGAGTAATTAGTACATCCATCATCATTTTGAATGATTTCTGTTGTTTCTCTGATTAGACATTTCAAAACAAAGCTACTATTGTTAATCATCCTTCTAGTACATTCCTACAAATTCTATTCTTTTTGTGTTTTCTGTTTTGGTTTTTCAAAATTTCAAATTAGGTGGCAGGTTCATATGTGTAATAATCTATATAAAAATAATATTCCATTTAAATGTTCATGCCTCTTGCTGAAATGTGTGCTTTGCCTAGCTTTTATTTTGTGAGAGTGCTTTAAACTGCTTCCTAGAGTTTTTCCCAGAATTCTCTGATACATTTCTTAAAAACTTATGTGTGACATACATAGCTGTAAATGTTATAGAGAATTAGATTTCTTAGTTTTGCTTATTTAGAAAAAACTATGCAAGTATTACCTTTTAAATCATCCAAGTAGATACCTGAGAACATTATTGGAAAATAATTATTAACCAAAATAAATGTGTAGTATGATTGTTATTTATTATCATTTCTACTAATACAAAATATTGTAATGAAAACACTATCATTCATTCTTATTAATTAGGACCTTCCCTATCAGTTATAATTTTTGGGAGGTATGCTTTTTTGTCTGAGAATTGTGACAGCAATATATGTTAAGTACATCTTAGTCTTTTGACTTCTTTCTATATCTTTTTCCTTTTATAGAGTTGCTTTGAGTCGTCTATAAAAATTAGGAATTGAAGTTTGTCATTCAAAATAAAGAAATAGAGTAGAACTTAAAAGCTTAGATAATATAAGCAAAATTTAATACTCTTATCCTCTAAATTCTTACCTGGATTCTCTCTTCATTGTATTTTCTACAACAAAGTCACTGTCTTAACCTGTTGGGAGTTCTTCTAAAAAATTGAATAGGGCTGGGTGCAGTGGCTCATGCCTGTAATCCCAGCACTTTGGGATGCCGAGGTGGGTGGATCACCTGAGGTCAGGTGTTAAAGACCAGCCGGACTAACTTGGTGAAACCCTGTCTCTACCAAATACAAAAAGTTAGCTGGGTGTGGTGGCACATGCCTGTAATCCCAGCTACTTGGGAGGCTGAGGCAGAAGAATCAGTTGAACCCAGGAGGTGGAGGTTGCAGTGAGCCTAGATTGCGCCATTGCACTCCAGCCTGGGCAACAAGAGCAAAAACGCCATCTCAAAAAAAAAAAAAAGAAAAAAATTAAATAGGATAAAAGAGGAGCTATCTGGTAAATGTACTCTAATGTATAACAAAACCATACTGATTGTGACCAAGTTAATATCTGTTACATTTTTAAATATTTTATTTTTACTGTCTTCTGGAATTAGTTAAAATAGAGTGTTTATTATTTAGTTCCTTAGAAGAACTACATTAATTGAACAGATAGAGCTATTTGAACTTACCGTATTTACTTACTTTCAAAATGTAAGATTAAAAATGGCCCAGATAGGCCAGGCGCAGTGGCTCACGCATGTAATCCCAGCACTTTGGGAGACCGAGGCGGACGGACCACCTGAGGTCAGGAATTCGAGACCAGCCTGGCCAACATGGTGAAACCTGTTTGTACTAAAAATACAAAAAAATTAGCCGGGCATGGTGGCGGGCCCCTGTAATCCCAGATACTTGGGAGAATCACTTGAACTCAGGAGGCGGAGGTTGCAGTGAGCTGAGATAGTGCCATTGCACTCCAGCCTGGGCAACAAGAGTGAAACTCCATCTGGGAGAAAAAAAAAAAAGGCTCAGATAAATACATATCTTAATTATTCAATACAGAAGTAATGCCATTGTTCTAACATAATTATTCATTTTTATCTTGCAATCTATTTTTACATTCATATTTACATGAAATTATAGACACAATATATAATACAGTTGTTTTCTATTTTTTCACTATGTGTTCTTGTGTTCTATCATAATCTTTACCATATTACTATATAGTCTCTATAACTCTTGCATCATATTCCATCAAGTTGATGAACCATACTCGTTCATTAATTATGGAACTTTTGCTTTTCATTTTTCACTATTACAAATACTGTTAGATTTAATAACTCTATATGTATAACTTTTTACCTTTTCTTATTTTGAATTATTTTATATATTGATTTTAAGTTTTAAAAATGTATAGCCTCTTCCATGCTTTTGCTATTTGTGGACTGATATCTTAATTTTAATATTATTTCTTTTCCTCATTATAAAAAGCAATACTGTTCTTCATATAAAATGTGGAAATGCTGGGCTTGTAGTCCTAGCTACCAAGGAGGCAGAGGTGTGAGGATTGCATGAGCCCAGGAGTTAAAGGCTGCAGTGCACAATGAGCATGCCTGTGAACAGCCATTGTATGCTAGCCTGGGCAACATAGTGAGACCCTTCTCTTAAAATAATTTTTTAGGAGAAAAAGAAAATGTGGAAAGTATGGGAAAGTATAATAACTTTTATATTTAAAACCTATGAATATTTGTGAGTAAAATTTGTGACAGTGAAAAAAATATAAAACCTATGAATAAATTTTATTTCAGGCTTTATTGTAGGCCAGAGGAAAGAAAAAGTTCTAGTCAAAAACAGGGAAACCTCAGAGTAAAGCAGGCAGATTAGTCCCTGAGTCCTGGGAAAAAGTGACTGGTAATTCTTATCAACTTTATCTTACAAGGCAGTACCATCTTACTTGTCCTTCATTCTTTGCTGCTGTCTTCTAATATCTGTTTTGGGCTATAATAATTTCCTCCAGCAGTTTGCAGATAGAGGACTGTCCATCCCCCATTGCATGCAGTGGAGATGTATTTCATTCCTGGCATCTCATAGATATGTTCTCAGTTTAAGGTTTAAGTGTACTAATTCTTTTTTTTTTTTTTTTTTTTTTTTTTTTTTTTTTTTTTTTGATGTGGGGTCTGGCTCTGTTACCCAGGGTGGAATGCAGTGGCACGATCTCGGCTCACTGCAACCTTCTCCTCCTGGGTTCAAATGATTCTCCTTCCTTAGCCTCCCGAGTAGCTAGAATTACAGGTATGTGCTAAAATCCAGCCTGGGTGACAGGGCAAGACTCCGTCTCAAAAAAAAAACAAAAAAAAACAAAAAAACAAAAACGTAGTTTATCACTGACTTACCTCTGTAACCATAAAGTAAGCCCTCTGACCTTTGTTGCTTTCTTTGGACTGTATTCTGCTGACTGAGTGAACTATATTGGGCATTTTCCAAAAATAGTTGAGCAATTGGAAACTAGGTAATTTAGACATGGGTACATTAGTACTCTGTAGTTCTTCTTCCTGGAACTTATTTCCTTTTAAATGAGATTTGATATGGACCTCCCTTAATAGAAAGAAAAATATCTTATGGATCAGTTTATTATCTGTATTAAATCTTATAAATAGAAAACATAGACCCAAGTCCTCTTTTATAAGATTTTTTAAAAAATTTAAACAATATATTGTGTATCTCTCTAGACATTTCTGTATACCCAAAATATGTACATTTAATATATGTGATATAACATCTTTCCGTGTTCCAGTAGATTTCCCATTCTTTTTCACAGGTACCCAGTGTTCTGTATAATTTATTAACCATTTATCTACGCATAAACACCTGAGTTAATAGTTTTTAAATATTACAAATGGTGCTGCAGTAAATATTGCTAGGCATATTTATGTATCTTTGCTACTTTTGTGAATATATATAATAGGGATAAATTCCTGGAAGTGAAATTGCTGGTTATAGGGAAATATTTGACTAAAATTTTATTGTTTCGGGAGGTCCACATCTGAAATTTTGATAACTATTGTCAAACTGTTCAAAAATCCTGAACCAGTGTACATCTCTGTTAACAGTTGATCCCTCCTGACTCTCCCACATTCTCACAAATATAAACTGATTTCTTCTTTCTCCCCTCCTTCCTTCCCTCCCTTCTCTCCTTCTCTCCCACCCTCCTTCCTTCTTCTTCCTTTTTTAAACAGTTTAATTTTCTAATTTCTGATCACAGCCCCTATGTTTGCATTATCTACAAAAATCTTCTTGCCTGGCACAGTAGCTCAAGTCTTTAATCCCAGCTCTTTGGGAGGCCAAGGAGGGCAGATTGCTTGAGCCCAGGAGTTCAAACCAGCCTGGGCAACGTGGTGAAAACCTGTCTCTACCAAAAAAAAAAAAAAAAAAAAAATTAGCCGGGTGTGGTTGTGCGTGTCTGTAGTCCCAGCTACTCAGGAGGCTGAGGTGGATTGCTTGAGCCCAGGAAGCGGAGGTTGTAGTAAGCTGAGATTGCATCACTGCACTCCAGCCGGGGCAATAGAGGGAGACCCTATCTCAAAAACAAACAAACAAACAAAAAAAACTTACTGTGCTACAATTAGCCCTATTAATTGCTCCCAAAGTTTTAGCGAACTATAGAAAACACAGGAATAAAATTACTTTCTGGAAGTATGTGAAGACACCATTTACAAATAGATTTTTAAAAATCAGATATTTATTCAGTATCTATTGACTTCATTCTGAAGGACAAGGAGAGTAATATATCTTTCACCATAGAATTTTCATGAGTTATTTTAATATTCTCCTGGTTATACATTTACATTCTGATTTAGGACCCTATTTCTCATAGTTATTTAAATATATATATATGTGTATATATGTATATATAATATTTAAGTGGATTCAGTTTTTACATTACTAGTCTTTCTTATTATATAGCTTCATGATTCCTGAATTCCTCAACTTGACTTATCTGTTGGCTGGCTAGTACTGGTATTTTGATTTGAATTTATTCTCCCCCTCAAAAAAGGAGTTAATAGGTGCTTGCATATTTTAGAATACCATATGTTGTATTTATAAATGAATGTAGCCATGTATGAAATTATTGAATCACTTGTTCTTTCCCCTCAAAATTTTAAACCCACTATATTAGTGTCTTCTGGTACTGAATATTGCCAAAGCCTGCTAGACTATTCTGTATTATATGTAAGTGTCTCCTTTTTCTGTCTGGATTATCATAAAATTCTTTCATTATACTTAAACATCTGATTTCATCAGGATGTATCTTGTGTTAATTATTCTATTAATTTTCCTGAGAAACAGTGAATACTTTCTGTCTGAAGACTTTAATAAGTCATAGTCTTTAATAAGTTGTCATAGTATTTAATTTTTAAAATTTTTTTTTTTTTTAGTGGTGACCGTGGGGTGATATTTTCTTTTTTTTAAAGGAAGGTTTCTTTCTGCTATGTTTTTGACTATTTATTTTTCTATTCTGTTAACGTCCTTCAAGATATTTACCATTCATATGTATGGTCTCCCTCATCTCGCTTGTTTGTATTTGTATTATGTTTATGTCTAATACATTTCTTTGTCCTTTTCTTCTGCATTGTGTCTTAAGTCTGTCATCCAGGTCACTATTTTTTTCTGTATACTTGTTTCTGCTTTTTTTTTTTTTTTTTTTTTTTCTTAAAAGGGACAGGGTCTTGCTTTATCTCCCAGGCTGGAGTACAGTGGCATGATCACAACTTAATACAGCCTTGACCTCTCAGTCTCAAGCAATCCTCCACTTCAGCCTCCTGAGTAGTTGGAACTACGGGCACACACTGCCACACCAGCTAATTTTTTATTTTTATTTTTTGTAGAGACGGGGTTTCATCATGTTGCCCAGGCTAGTCCTGAACCGCTGGGCTCAAGCGATCTACCCACCTTAGCTTCCCAAGTTACTGGGATTACAAGTATGAGCCACCATGACTGGCCTGTTTCTACTTCTAAATGTGGTTTTCATGGCTTCACTGTTACTGCTCCCTTATCTGCAAAGCTTGGGACCAGAAGTGTTTTGGATATTTTTTTTGGATTTTGGAATATTTGCAGAATACATACCCATTGAGCATCCCTAATCTGAAAATCCAAAATCTGAAATGCTCCATGAGCATTTCTTTTGAGTGTCATGTCAGTAATCAAAAAGTTTCAGATTTTGGAGCATTTCAGATTTCAGGTTTTTAGATTAGTGATGCTCAATCTGTATTTAGTTTCTTCTATTCTTCCAATTCACTTTCCAGTCTTTTGTTTTATCACTTTGTTCAGCTATTTAAGTAAAGATTCCCTGTTCTCTTCAATTTATTTGAAGGTATTGGGGAATATTTGACTAAAATTTTATTGTTTGTTTTGTAGGAACTTCTTGATAGGTTCCATGTTGGATACTTTGTGCTTATTATTCGTATTTTAATGGGACTGGCTATTTATTGAAATAGGGGGTGAAATAGGGGTAAGGTGGCAGGGAAGAGGAAGTGAGCCTTAACAGTTAGCTTCTTAAAATCATGTAGTTGTCTCAGGATACTGTCTTGCTGAATCTATACCATAGGAGCATGCACTTTCTTAGGATAAGCACATCACATAGGTAGGAAATTGGAATGACTTAGAGTGAAGCCTTCTCTAGGCCACATTTCCTTTATTTGGAGATTTAGTTGACTCTGGTCAATGACTGAAAAGCTTCTTATGGTTTCCTAAGTTGTATCCCTGTCTCACCTTTAGATAGTTTCTCTCTGTTAAGAGTCTAGATCTAGAGAAAATACAAACATTCCATTTCTCAAGTTCTTTGAAGGTTCTTGTTTTAGTTGAAAAGTGGAAGCCTTAAGTACATTTATAATGAGGGGAAAAGCTATGTAACTATTTATCTTACAGTATTTTCCTCCGTCCTCCCAACTTCTGATATGCCCAAATCTCTTGATTTCATTATTTTCTTTGGTTAGATATTTTTAAATGTTGCTCTGTTTTTGTGGCTTTGTTTTTTGAGACAAAGGCATGAATTTAAATAATTCTGCAGAAATATTTCTACATATATTAAGATTTATATTGAAGTTTTATTGGTAAAAAACCATAATATCACCCCCTTAAAAAAATTTATACTCTGCTCATGACATTACAGTCTCTACAGATGAGAATCTTTTTAGTTGAAGATCCTGAGTTAACAAAGCCCACCATCTGAAGTATCGGTCACAAGGTCTTCATGGCCAAATGTGATTTTCGTTTTTGGAATAAGATCCGTGAGTTCTTCTTTTTCCTTTCGCAGGACAAGCAGGAGGACATGAAGACTATTTTGGAGGGCATAGATCCGGCCAAGCATCAGGTGAGGGTGGCCTTTGATGCTTGTAAGCTACTACGTAAAGAATAGATGTTGTAGGTAACCAGAACTCTGGATATCTGAATTCCAGCCAAGAAGTTCCAGGACCCTGCTGGGTGACAAAGGAAATCCTCTTCAATTGAAAAAGATTATGAAGTCCCAATAAAAAGAGATTTGTATTGCTGGTAGTTTGTTTCCTTAGTCTTCTTTCTCAGTGATATTCCTAAAAAAATCTCTTAGGTGAAAATAGATTTTCTTATTCAGGTAGTTCTTTTACATTCTCCTTTATTGGGAGAGTTAGTATACCGCAGAGAGAAAGTCTCAGTAATAAAGTCCTTTGCATTCAACTTTGTTCATCAAAAATCTGAAACTCAGAGTGATATTAATATATTGGATTGTTTTAAAAATAATACTCAAATAAACAAAAAAATTAGTTTAGCAAAACGTTTACTATATAGTTTATGCCCTAATTTCTATAAACTAGAAGTTTAAAATTTTCTTCTTAAAATTGTCTCCTACTATTCTGAAATTGGTTTTTAAGAAGGTGAATATTTTTTCATAGGAAATATTTCTTTTGAAAAAATGTGTGAATTTGTGCCCAGTGGTTTTAAAAGTCAAATAAATTTAATATCCATTATAATCCAAAGAGATTTATTTAAAATCAGGAGCAGTTTTTAATTTTAAAATTATTAATGAATTGTGATTAGATCACAAATAACTTAGGCCATCTAAGTTTCTTTTTTTTTTTTTTTTTGAGACAGAGTCTCGCCCTGTTGCCCAGGCTGGAGTGCAGTGGTGCTGCAATCTTGGCTCCCTGCAGCCTCTGCCTCCTGGGTTCAAGCGATTATCCTGCCCCAGCCTCCCAAGTAACTGGGATTACAGGCGCGTGCCACCGTGCCTACCTAATTTTTTGCATCTTTAGTAGAGACGGGGTTTCACCATGTTGGCTGGGCTGGTCTCGAACTCCTGACCTTGTGATCTACCCGCCTCGGCCTCCTAAAGTGCTGGGATTACAGGCGTGAGTCACCGTGCCTGGCCTAAGTTTCTTAATTCTAAACCCCTCTTAATCATGATGCTTATTAAGTGTCTTCATCATTGGCTTGTTAAATGAGAAGCTGTTTTATTTATTCTGTTGAGATTTTTAAAAATTTTTTAAATTTTTTTTTTTTGAGACAGGGTCTCACTCTGTTGCTCAGGCTGGAATGCAGTGGTGTGCTCTTGGCTCACTGCAGCCTTCCCATCCCAGGCTCAAGTGATCTTCCTGCCTCAGCCTCCCCAGTAGCTGGGACTAGAGGCATGTGCCACCATGCCCAACTAATTTTTTTCATTTTTATAGAGATGAGGTCTCACTGTACTGTCCAGGCTGGATATATTTATTCTACTTTGAAGTAAGTAAGTTTATTTTACAAAATGTGATGTGAACATGTGAGCTTCTACTCAGTTTGTATAATATTATAGGCTCCTATCAAGAATGTAAAGCTGAGTGTTATTTCAGATCAAAGTAATTGTTTTTCCCTGGATTTGTTAGATGAAATGTAATTGTAAATCTTTCTCTCTAGCTGCAAGTCTCAAAACAGGATTTTTTTAAAAATGAGTTTTGCAGCCCCACGTTTACAGGTTCAGATTCCATAGATCTGAAATAGGGGGTCTGCATTTGAACTAATATCTCAGGAGATTCTGATGACAAGTTCTCCATATTTTACACTTTGAGACATTGGTAGAGGCCATACAGATTATTCTGCATCATTGCTGAGTTCTTTTCTTTTTCCATCTTTGCTTTATAATCGATCATTTTTCCTCCATCCAAATTGAATAAACTTGGTTTTTCTCTCTGTTACTTGTGATTTTTAGAAAATGTGCTAAACACAAGCCTTAGGACCAGTGCCTCTTAACCTTTTATCCATATCAGTTCTCCTGAGGGGTATGAATCCAATCAGTAATAGTAGATCACTAAGGTAATGATTAATATACAGTGGTGGGTTGAAGGAACATACTCCCCATGGAAGAGTATTGGAATCCTCTAGTACGTACAGTATCAAACAGTCTCCCTCCTTTTCTCTGTGATTTTGGTCTTTCTCCTTAGAGAATGTCCTCCCTCCAACTCCAAAAGACATTGCCTCTGTGGTATAGTTACAGTCCTTAAATATATGTCTTGGGTGCCCTGTGGCTGTGATTTTTTAAGGGAAATTAACTTATTTTAAATAAAATAAACTTAATTTAAAATAAAATTTTGTTATCTAAAGCCAAATAGAAAAAATTCCACATTTTTTCTTACAGTGCTCATTCATCAGAACCTTTTTTTTTTCTTCTTTTTTTTTTTTTTTTTGGAGATGGTCTCACTTTGTCGCTCAGGCTAGAGTACAAAAGCGTGATTATAGCTCACTGCAGCTTTGAACTCCTGGGCTCATGGCATCCCCTTTCCTCAGCCTCCTGAGTAGCTAGGACTACAGGTATGCACCACAATGCCTGGCTAATTTTTAAATTTTTTTTCAGAGACAAAGTCTTGCTATCTTGCCCAGACTTGTAGTGTATTTTTTATAGATATATTTTTAGGGAGCTTATGAGCTCTAGTAATCTACTTATCAATGTATTTCAACTGTTAGTAATTACCTTACCTTAATAAACTTTAAATGTGACCTTACCTTCCACTTTTTAACTTTTTTATTAAGGAATAGCGTATATACATATTTTTAACTTTACTACTTAAAACTAGGAAACTTCTGTCAATTTCTTAAAAATCTAAAACTACCTATGGAATACACAAAACTCCTAATACATTTCTTTTAAAGCCAAGTTCTCTCTTTCTATGTTATTGTGTATTGAATGAGTTCTTTTCAGCTCTCTCCAGGTTGTTTAAATATAAGTACAAATGACTTCAGTCAAGAAGGTAAAGTCATTATTAGTATATAGAAAAATGAATCTAAAAATATGTAGTCGTGCCCCAAAACAACAGGATTAAAGATCTCCGTGGACTAGAAGTGCAGCATGGATCCACAGTTTAAGCTGTAGTCCCAAGGAGAATTAAGGGCTAAAAAAATACACAATGGGGGCTGAGATTTCAGCATGTGCAGAGGAATAGGGAATGAATGCATTTCACATGTAGTACATCAGTAGATCTAGTCTACTTGAATAAAGCAAGGAACCGGCATCTTATTGCCCTACCTGTGAACCAAAATGGATAAAAAAATATTTGATCAACTATCTAGGGTTATGGTTAGAAATTAGCAAATTGTCATATCCAGGTTGTATGTAAAAAACAAAACAAAACAAACCCAAAAAAACTAAAAAAAAGGGGGGAAAAATTAGCAAATTGTCGTTAATGGAAGAAACAGAGACAACTGTGTAACTAAAAACTTGGAGGACAACCTTCTTGATTTAGGGAACAGAAGTGAAATATCTCTATGAGACAAGAACCTTAGGTGTCCAGCAAAATATCTACTTCTGAAATGGACTCCAAGAGCCAGACTGAGGGAACTTCCAAAACATCTGATGAGGAGTACATCTGTGGATGGAAAAGAAACTAAAACAAAACACCTCCCATCAAAATGAGTTTCCTCAGTAAAAAAATTATAAAGCTGGAGAGCGAATCTTTATCAAGAAAGATAGTCAAAATGTAAACAAACAAAAAGCAAAATATAATACACTCAAGGAAATTGAAATAAACTTTAATCTTGAGAATTATGAACATGTTTATTTTAAACTATGACCAGTAGCCATAAAACAATGTGAGATAATAAAGCAAAAGCTGATAATTACGTATTAAGAACAGGTGGATATAAAATAAAACTAAAAGTTTTGGGGGGTAACCTCAATATATAGGGTAAGACAGCATATTAGACACAGTTGAATGCATTAGTGAATGAGTGATAAAACAAGAAATAATACAATAAAATATATAATGAAATATAGTAAAGAGATAGAAAATATGAAAAAGAAATTGAGAGAAAGAGAATAGATTAGAAGCTCCACCATATTATCTACTAGAAGTTCCTGAAGGAGAGGATAGAAATGGAGGGGAGAGGAAATGTTTGAAGAGAATGGTGGAGAATTTTCTAGCATTGTGACTAGACATGAATCCTTGACTGAAGAATCATATCCATCACTAAGCAGAACAGATGAAACTGTGGAACTTTAAGGATAATGAAAAATGTCTTAAAAGCTATCAGAGGAAAAAAACGCATTACCTACAAAAAAACAACCATCAAAGTTTTGACCTTCTCATCAGCAATAATAAATTACAGAAGATGATGGGAAGTAATATCCTCAAAATACCAAGATAAAATAACAATACAGAATTCTGTACTTAAGTACCATTCTAGAGAAGGAAAAAATAAACATATTTTCAAATCTACAAAGAATAAACGAATTACCATCATTAGACCCTTGACAAAAGAACTACTAAAAGATATATACATCAGTAAGAAGAAAAGTGAGTCCTGGAGGAAGGCGTGGGATACAAGAAACTACGGTAAGCAAAGAAATTGATAAAACATATTATAAATACAAATGTTTGAGTTTAAAAACCTAAATTTTAATGTTTAAAACCAAAGTAGTACTAAAATTCTAGAAAACAATAGCAGGAAATCAGAAGGATGTGTTAGAGAGTTTAAAAGCCACGCTAGAGTCTTTTGTTGTTGTTCAGGAGGAGAAGGTACTGAATAAAGTTTTTTTTTAAAGAAAAATAGAATCGTAATCAGAACAAATATAAAGCTATTACACTCAATTGTTAAAGGGCAGAGACTTCTGAATTAGAGTCAGAATCAAAATGTAACAAATGCTGTTTGCAGGAGACAAACCTAAAGCAAAGTGATGAGGAAAGCTTGACAGTGATGGGAAAAAATTATGTAAAGCAATATTAATATCAGACAAAATGGAATTTTAAGCCAAAAGCACTTTTAGAAATGAATACTCCTCCAACTGAGAAAATAATTACCAATCAGTAACTAACAATCTACCATCCAAATAAAATATAAAACTGCAAAATTGCAAGAGAAATGGTCAGATCTGCATTTGTAGTGGTAGGATTTTTTTCACACACTTCTCAATGAAACTGATGAATCAAACATAAAATGATTGTTAAAAATCAAACAATTTTTTATCTTTCATAAAGCTAGCATTCTGTTTCCAGTAAATATACTTTATATTCTTTTCCAATACATGGAATATTTATAAAAATTGTCCATGTTTTAGGCCACAGAGAAGTCCGAAGAAACTCCTGAATCTTCATCACATGGACTACATTCTCTGATCTCTCTTGCCTTAAAATTACACATCAACAATAAAGTCTTCTTTAATTCCATACATTTAGAAATTGAAGGAAAATACTTTTTCTTTTTGTTTTGAGACGGAGTCTCACTCTGTCACCAGGCTGGAGTGCAGTGGTGCCATCTTAGCTCACTGCAACCTCCACCCACCGGGTTCAAGAAATTCTCCTGCCTCAGCCTCCCAAGTAGCTGGGATTACAGGCACCTGCCTCCGCGCCTGGGTAATTTTTGTATTTTTAGTAGAGATGGGGTTTCACCATGTTGGGCAGGCTGGTCTTGAACTCGTGACCTTGTGATCCACCCGCCTCGGCCTCCCAAAGTGCTGGGATTACAGGCATGAGCCGCCGCGCCAAGCCAGGAAAATACTTTTATAAAATTCATGGGGTTAAGAGGCAATACAGTAAAAATTACACGGTAGAAACTGAGTTACCAGTGCACACCAAAACTTGGGTAGGGAGAATATACCTAAAGTTGTCCTTAGAAGGAAAATTGTAGTTCTGTATATCAACATATTAAAGATGAAAATAAAATTTAAAACAATAGCACAAAGGAAGAAGAAAATAATAAAAGCAGGAGAACACCTTGTTCTATCATATATGGTATTCTGTGGTACATGATATTCTATGGTATAGAATGAGATGTTGCCCAAATGTAGGGAAAAAATATAAAAGCAAAAGTTAACACAATAGAAAATAATTTTAAAAAGAGATACAAAAAATATAGGGATGAAGAGTGAAATTAAAAGCTGGTTTTTAAAAAAAGACTACCAAAACAGATAAAACAAGCAAGCAAGGCTTTTCTTTCTTTTTCTTTTTTTTTTTTTTTAGGGGAAAAGGCACAGATAACAATAAACTTAAAAGTGAATTGTAATTATTTTATAAGTAGAGATCTTAAAATTCAATCAATAAATGTGAATGCTCAGGTGAAATGAATACTAATTTTTGCTAGAAATATATAAATTATCAAAATTGACTCTAGAATAGGAAACCATGTATTACAAATTGAATCAGTAGTTTACCCATATATAGAAGGTAAAGGTTCAAATGGATTTATGGGTGAATTTTACCAAATGTTCAGGGTTTTTGGGTTTTTTTGTTTGTTTGTTTTTGAGACAGAATTTCGCTCTTGTTGCCCAGGCTGGAGTGCAATGGTGCAGTCTTGGCTCACTGCAACATTCACCTCCAAGGTTCAAGCGATTCTCCTGCCTCAGCCTCCCGAGTAGCTGGGATTACAGGCATGCACCACCTTGCCCAGCTAATTTTGTATTTTTAGTAGAGATAGGGTTTCTCCATGTTGGTCAGGCTGGTCTGGAACTCCTGACCTCAGGTGATCCGCCTGCCTCGGCCTCCTAAAGTGCTGGGATTAAAGGCATGAGCCACTGAGCCTGGCCAAGAAATAGATACTTTCTTTCTTTATTTTTATTTTATTTATTTTTTTTAATTTTTATTTATTTATTTATTTTTAAGATGGAGTCTTGCTCTGTCACCCAGGCTGGAGTGCAGTGGCACGATCTTGGCTCGCTGCAAGCTCCGCCTTCTGGGTTCATGCCATTCTCCTGCCTCAGCCTCCTGAGTAATGGGACTACAGGCACCCGCCACCACGCCCGGCTAATTTTGTTTTTTTTTGTATTTTACGGGGTTTCACCATGTTAGCTTGGATGGTCTCAATCTCCTGACCTCATGATCCCCCCCGCCTCGGCCTCCCAAAGTGCTGGGATTACAGGCATTAGCCACCATGCCCAGCCGAAATGGATGCTTTCTATATTATTCTAGCTGTTCTCAAGAACAGAAAAAGAAACATTAAACTGCATGATATTTAAGTTTGTAGCCTTGGAAAATAATTTTCTGCGTTTATGAAGGGAAAAAAATCAGAAACAATTTGTATCCTAAAATTTTATTAGTATTGAACAAATAGTGGCTATATGACTAAATCCAATGCTCATAAGTAGTACGATGTATACAAATTTGATTACCATTATATACATATATGCATTGATTCCCATGATATGCACACATATATGTATATACATACATTATACATATATATTCCCATTATTGATTCCCATTATATACATATATGTGTTCCCATTATATGTATGTATTCCTGTTATACATGTATATTCCCATTATATACATACATATGTATATATACATTGATTCCCATTATATACATACATAGGTATATATATATACTTATATATATACCTATGTATGTATATGCGTATATATGTGTGTGTGTATATAATGGGAATCAATGGGAATATATGTGTGTAATGTATATATGTATGTATATAATGGGAACCAATAATGGGAATATATATGTATAATGTATGTATATAATGGGAATCAATGTACTCCTATATATATACATACATATATATGTATATAATGGGGATTTTCCATATATACATATATAGATATATTATTATTTTTTTCTTTTTTCTGCTTCTTGCACAGCAGGGCTAACCCATAGGGAGTGTGCCCACAGTAGCCTGATTCCCATTTTAAAAGAAAGATTTAGTAGTCAGATATTTTGGGGCAAATATTGTGTGTTGTGGGATATACATTATTCATTTTAAGACACAAAATGTTGTAATACAGAGTTGTGGCATTGTTTTATCAACTTTTTTCAAATGTGATTATGTTATTCAAAACTAAGGGAATGAATGTATATTTATAGAGAGGAAAATAAAATAGGTAGCTTTTCACCCCTTTTATTTCAGGAATTAATATGTTGAATTTTGAAATGACTTGGTGTGAGGATATTGGGACTGTACTTTCTGATTTCTTGTCTTTTAACAACTATGGTAATATTTTAAATATACAGAATTAACAGTTATTTTTTAAAGTTTATTCTAAATCAGGGCTGAAAGCTTTGAAATCATTTTTCATGATTTCATTTGAAATGTCTTTGCCATGACTCACGGGACCTAATTATGTTGATATGACCTAATTATGTTGATCACTGCCAGGCTTAAGAAATAAGAAAGAGAAAAGGGTAAAGTAAGGATAAGTGACATTAATATTGCCCAACTATGTTCTAATAATAACATATCAGTTGCAGATAATCAATGTCTTACTCTCGGGCTTAACTACTACTCTTAATTTCTTGTTTAGTTGACTTTCCTTTCTCTTATTTACCTAGTAGAAAATAATAAAAACTTCAAACCTCAGTGCTATGAGAGGGAAGATTTGCAAGTTCAGTTATGCTTGGTTTCCTGCATGATTAAACAATATTTAATCACTCCATTGTTTAAGCATTATGTGTACAGTGGCAAGCAAAAAAAGACAAGATCATTCCTCTCATGGAGCTTACCGTTTAGTGGAGGAGACAGGTTAGTTAAATATAATACTTACACAGACTAAAATATGATTGCAGTTTATGAAGGAGAGCTTCATAGAGATGTATGTCCATAATAGGAAGAGTGATTTAGTCAGGAAGTTCAGGGAGGTCTTCCTTGAGGAAATAACACTTGACTTGAGATGTAAAGGATGAAAATGAGTTAGTGGAGGAAAAGCATTAAAAAGAAGAGAGACCAGTATGTGCAAAAAAGTTGTGAGGCAGGAAGGGAAAAAACAAGTTGCTAAATGGGCAATTTATTTCCAGGATGTAGTTGATTGTAATGATAATTCAGAAATAAGTTGGATAGAAAAACTGGACAAACAACTTTCTAGGTCTTTCCAAGTAAGGTCTTTGTGATACATATTCAGTTTTATTTGAAGTAAATTGCCAGAATGTTAGATTTACCTAAATTTGAATGTGAGTTCAAGATCTATTCTAAAGCCAAATTATTTTGGCATTATCTATAGTTATTCATTTTTCCATAATCTAGAGTTAAAAGATTCTTATTTAATTAACATGTATAACAATTAAAAAGTCAAAGCATAAAGTAGTTTTTAAAGTAGGTTTAATGATACTACACTGTCAAGATTTTTTTTTAAACCTATTTTAGGGAGGAATTCCTATCACTTTTCTGTGAGGTTTCCATTGAGTTGACAGTCTACTCATTTCTTATTGTTGTTTTGCCTGAGTTGTAGATCAGAATAATTAAAATGTAAATAGACTAAATTGTATTCTATTGGGAGAGCACATATTTTAAATTGATCATGTGGTAATTATAGGATTTTCAGAGTTAATTAGAAGAATATAGCTGAAATAAAGCCTTAACGTAACCACCAGTCTTTATCAGTTTTTTCTTAGTAATAAAAGAGAACCAGAACAACAGAAATTCGTGTTTGCATATATAATGAAAGAGGGGATAGGTAAGAGAACTTTTCAAAGAAGCAGTATATAAGCTACATTTTAATACTTAGATGAATTTAATGAGTTCATAATTCTTCCAACAGACAGTATTACTCACCATATAAGCAAGCTCCTTTTAGTGGCATTTGATGTGAGGCATGCATGGTTAAAAACTGTTTTATCATTCATTCCTCTTGCTGGCAAACTTCCTAGAAAGAACAATCTTTCTGCTATTAGGAGTTGTATCTTTTGCCTTTGACTATTCAAGTATTTAATTTCTACTTAAAAAAAAACTACCCATTGGTATATTTTTCTTCTTCATTTTTCCGTTACTCCTAAAATACCATAGTGTTTTTCTTCAGGGAATCATTTGCATCCTTTGATAGTGCTTTTATTGGCTTCTGCTATAAGATCAAGATTCTTCTAATCATTTCACAGGACTGAGGTTCCTTTTTCACAATCCAGATAAATAGTTGGGAAACATTTTTTAAAACTTAGAATTAGAAAAATGCAGTGATTTCTCTTTGGGAACCAAACAAAACATTAATATTATCTTTAATGGTTATTACTTGGTATGCAAAACTGAACTTGCCCTTAGAAAGTTACATTATCTACTTTGGACTGAAAATCCTGTATAATGGGGGAATTGAGGTAGGTGGTATAAAGTGTCTACAATGAGTAAGTATATTAAATCCTCGTTATTTCTCATTTCATCAGTACTGTTTTTAAAATAGATGGTTAGACTGTTGGCATTGATGGATTATTTTTTCCATTTCTTTAACAGGAACATGAATCTGAAGGTGGAAGAACACCTTTGATGAAAGCTGCAAGAGCTGGTCATTTGTGCACTGTGCAGTTTCTTATTAGCAAAGGTAAAGAAAGGGCAAGTGATCATTTCCAAGAGGCTACAGTTTATGGAAAAAAAAATCCTAAACTGTTGCAATTTATGTTATGGCTACTTTACCTACAGTAAAGTATTGTATTCTTGCCTTTTGTTATTATATTTTATTTAGTAAGCATAGAGTTTGTGAGTTGTTTACTGGGAATTTTCTTTATTAGTTTTGAATTTTAAGTTTTCATCAACAAAGCAACATGTGGTTGCTCCCAACTTAGAAAAGCCAAATGTAAAATGTCCCACTATGATTAGGTGGATATGCAACAGCTAATGATGAGTCTATTCTGCTGGAGATGTGGGTGGAGGACAGAGAGTAAGTCTGCTACTGTGGTACTTGTTTGTGGTACAGTTGAATTAACTGAGTTTGTAAGGGTCTTATTTATAATTTTTATATGTCTTTAGAAATTCTATTATTAGAATTATATTTAGGCAAGAAATTTCAACTGGTGAATGAAGAATTAGCTTAAGACTGTTTACTGCAGTAAAATAAAATGCTGTAGAACCAATGTTAGGTTTAACCGTATATAATTGTCATGTTATGAATCAAAAATGGTAATGTCAGCAGTTTCATTTGGTTCAGCCTAACTCTTTGTATAGTGTCAGAAATACTGTGGCATATAATGAAACATCCTAGGATAGGATGGTCAAAATACAAGGAAGATTCTCTCAGGTTGTGTTATGTTATTAAGATAAAAACTATATTTATATTTTAATAGATTTCTGACATTTAGTGACATTAAAAATGCAGGGTAAGATTTTATCTTTTTTTTTTTTTTTTTTTTTTGAGAAGGAGTTTCACTCTTTTTACCTAGGCTGGAGTGCAATGGCGCCAACTTGGCTTACTGCAACCTCCGCCTCCCGGGTTCAAGTGATTCTCTTGCCTCAGCCTCCCGACTAGCTGGGATTACAGGCATGCACCACCATGCACGGCTAATTTTGTATTTTTAGTAGAGACAGGGTTTTACCATGGTTTGCCAGGCTGGTCTCAAACTCCTGACCTCAGGTGATCTGCCCGCCTCGGCCTCCCAAAGTGCTGGGATTACAGGCATGAGCCACTGCACCTGGCCAGATTTTATCCTTTTAAATGTACTTGTTTTCCTCTGAATTGGATAAAACTAGGTTTATTTTCTTCATATTGCATTTTTGCTGCCAAGTAAGGCATATCTTTACATAATATAGTCTGTAAAAGCTGTTTACCTCAACCACACAGAAATAAATAGATGGATAAACTCTGGAGTTCTCTTATGTTTCTTTACTAAAGAGAATACCTAATCATACCCAACAACAACCTGCTAAGAATATAATCAGGCTTATCAGGAATAGGAACACATTGATTATATCCTTTCTATGTCAAATAATCCTGTCATCTAAAATAATTTCATGTTGCTAATCTCAGGATGTTTATTGCTGCGTTTTACCTTTCCCAAAAGGTACTTTTATGCAAGTTAGGATTAGATTCAGCTGGATATTTTCTGAAAATTAGACAAACTAATAGTAGTGGTTTTACCCACTGACTTATTTTTCTCTTAAATAAGATAGGTAGAATTAAGAAGGAAGAATGAATATTTCTATAGTCTTAACTTTCTAGTTGAGATCTTTTGGAATTGTTAAAGGTAGCTGAACTAAAGTTATTTTTTCCAGGGGTCAAAAATAATTTATCAAAAAAGAAACTAAGAAAAGACTTTGCATTTAGACATTTTTCAGGTCATGTTATACACAGCTATTGAACAACTTGCCTTTCAGATAACATATCTGGATAATATTCTGTCTTCTCTCCATATCTAGGTCCCCTGACTCTTAAAATACACAATATGAAGAATTATATATCTCTTAAACATTGCTTAAAAAAATCTGTTTTCTTTACTTTGAGACCTGGCTATATTGCCACTTTCTAGTAGATCAAAAATGTCTTTGAAACATTTTGAGTTATATACAGTGGTGTTATTTGATGCTTACATTAACCTGTATATATTTATTAATCTTAGTCTTCTAGATTTTCCATTTTAAAAGTGATATTGAATGAACGAACTACAGCTTCATGCAACATTGTGGATGAATCTCACAAATATAATATTGAGTGAAAGAAGCCAGACGCAAAAGAGTACATTGTATGATTCCGTTCATATAAAGTTCAAAAACTAAAACCAGTTTGGAAGTCAGGGTAGTGGTTACCATTGGGAGGCTGGGTAGTGACTGAAAGGGAGCACAAGATGGGGCTTTTGGTATGTGGATAATGTTCTGTTTCTTCCTCTGGGTGCTGGTTACACAGGTGTGTGTTCATTTTGTGAAAAAAATTCAAACTATACACTTAATGATTTGTATATTTTTTTGTATCTACATTATACTTCACAAAAAATTTTTAAATGATATTGACTATGAACTAGCTTGATGTCAACCTTTGCTAAGATTGCGATTTATTTTTCTTCAAAGGTGCCAATGTTAACAGGGCTACAGCCAATAATGATCATACAGTAGTGTCGCTGGCATGTGCAGGAGGCCACCTGGCAGTTGTTGAGCTTCTCTTGGCTCATGGGGCTGACCCTACTCATCGACTCAAGGTAGTCTACTTAAAAATAAGTAAACAGGCTGTGTGCGGTGGCTCATGTCTATGATCCCAGCACTTTAGAAAGCTGAGGCGGGTGGATCACTTGAGCCCAGGAGTTTGAGACTAGTCTAGGCAACATAAGGAGACCCCATCTCTATTAAAACACACACACACACACACACACACACACACGTATGTATGTGTATATATATATAAATAATATGTGTATAGTTATAAAAATATGTTTGATCTATCTTAGTGCTTAGTATTTAATACTGTTTAAATGAGTTTTGATTTTATATGAGCTGCTAAGAAACTATAAAGAATTAATTATCATGGCAATTCTTTTTCAGGATGGTTCAACAATGCTCATTGAAGCTGCAAAGGGTGGCCATACTAATGTAGTTTCTTATCTGTTGGATTATCCAAATAATGTTCTGTCAGTTCCCACCACAGATGTGTCTCAGCTCCCTCCACCTTCTCAAGATCAGTCTCAGGTAAAGTAAAATGGAGCTTGTTTGTTAATATAAATATTCTTCAACATGATTAGAAGTTTTTGTTTAAAATCAGTTTTAAGCAAAATGGACTTGTTTTTATTCTCTGTTACATATTGAGAAAATCATGACTCTAAATTCTTTAGGATTTATTTTCTTTAAAGGTACACTGAAATTTGTTATTGCCTTATTTATTGAGAATAGTGGTTTTTAAAAACCACTTAATATCAAATATAAACGTAAGTATTCTAAGTTGTTATCTTATTACAACTAGGTTTTTCAGGGTTTTTTATTTGTTTTTTAACAAGAGAATCAAGAGAAAGCTTTTTCTTTTTTCTTTTGTTTTTTTTTTTGAGATGGAGTCTTGCTCTGTTGCCCAGGCTGGAGTGCAGTGGCACAATCTCAGCTCACCGCAACCTCCGCCTCCCAGGCTCAAGCGATTCTCTTGCCTTAGTCTCCCAAGTAGCTGGGACTATAGGTGTGCGCCACCACGCCCAGCTAATTTTTTGTATTTTAGTGGAGATGGAGTTTCACCATGTTGCCCAGGGTGGTCTCAAACTCCTGAGCTCAGGCGATCTACCTGCCTCGGCCTCCCAAAGTGCTGGAATTACAGGCGTGAGCCACATGCCCGGCCGAGAAAGCATTTTCTTAATACCTCCCAAGGTAGTATTAATTATCCTAGAGATAGTGACTTTTGTCAACCATGAAAGTATAGGTAACATAAGCGCTAGAAGTTCATTAAAGTAACTTTTAAACCCACCTTAAATTATGGAGCTTTTACTAGTATATTAAGTTGGTGAAATCTAAATTCTTTTCTACAAAGTCATTCTGAAAACTGCTAGCATACCCCAATTGAAGAAATATATTACATTTTTGTTTTCTTTTGATCCATGTAGAATTTGAACAAGGGTAAATTGGCTAGTGGATAGTGAATATGTGACTTGTACCCCTAGCTACAATTGGAACCAGCAAGGCGTTCTATTCAGCAAGGGAGTAATGTTATTTCCATTTAGCTTAAAATCATTGACTATTTGTAGATTCCCCGACTGTCTAATCATTAGTCTCAAAAATTATTGCTTGGTGAAAGCTTTTTTTAAAAAAAGCTTCAGGAAACAAAAGTGCATTTGGTGGTATATGAAGATAACCTAAAACAGGATATCTGTTTCATTTATGGGCCTTTGTCTTATTCTTTGGTCTGAGATGATTTTTTTCTGAGTTGACTTTTTAGGTGCCACGTGTGCCAACGCATACACTTGCCATGGTTGTACCTCCCCAGGAACCTGACAGAACTTCACAGGAGAACTCTCCTGCCCTTTTAGGAGTGCAAAAAGGTTAGTTATTGAATTATTTTTCTTAAAATGGGTATTTTTTCACCTAATTGATAAATCCAGAAATGTACTTTAATGATACAGAGTTACTGTGTACCCATGGCTAATTGAGGTAGATAATTCTGACAAATGCAAATAGTCTTACTATCTAAAACCAAAAAGACGTGTTAGGAAAAATGACTTTTTATTATTTTCCTGTTAACATACTGATAGTTGTAGCTTTCATCTGGCACAGATGAAAACACTTAAGAAACAAGCCAAGTTCTTGATTATATTTAAGTAACCACAGTTTATCAGACATTCATTTTTCATTTGATAATTCTTTAGCTAACCAATAGTAAATGAAGAGTAAAAATGCATATTTGCTATCTAGTTAAGTCTTTGTAACATTGATTCAGTTAATGAGTGAGAAGTTTAAGAATTACATTCAGTTGCATTTATGCAATGCTGAATATAGTAGATTATCATCTGTCACTATGTGAACCTGGACAAATAACTATCAAAATAAAATGTGTACAAGTAATATCCAAATGACTATTAAGAAGGAGAGTATACTACTTAAAAAACTCAAGTTTATGAGCTCTGATATGTTTCTGCTGTCTTTATATTTGTAAATGAAATGTACCTTCATGTATAAATGTACCTTCACTTCATAATTATGTATAGTTGTAATATCTGAGTTTTCTGAAATAAAGAAAATAGTTAATATGTAGGATGTTTAAAACTATGTAAAAACAAACTTATGAACATCGTTCATTTAGTGTATGATAATCAAGTCCTAGATATTGAAATCACAATGAGGTATGTAAGTGTATATAAATATCTGTAACACTGATTTAAGAAAAGTTGGTGTGGGTTGACTGTTATAGCAGCAAACAGAAATTTCTTTCAAATTATGCCAATTTTAGTAATTTAAAGTATTGGGGGCCTTTACCAGGGCTAAACTATTAATTTCAGAGATGAAATATCTGTAGTCTCTCTGATTTAAGCTAATTCTAGCAGTTTTTCATGGAACACCTAGCTATTCAAAATTTTCCTGCTGTTTTTAATCTTAACAATTAAAAAGCAAATTAAACATGCATCTGTAAGTATCATAATCAGCTGATATTTAACCTTTAGTAAAATATTTAAAGCTAAATGCCTCTGTTTTTATTGTTTTCTTTGGGGGGGAGTTTATTTGGCTAAACCTTATAGAGGACTGTAGTAACTTTGGCTTTGGAAACTCAATACTAAATAAGAATCATTGGCCGGGCATGGTGGCTCACGCCTGTAATCCCAGCACTTTGAAAGGCTGAGGCTGGTGAATCATCTGAGGTCAGGAGTTCAAGACCAGCCTGGCCAACATGATGAAACCCCATCTCTACGAAAAATACAAAAAATTAGCCAGGTGTGTTGGTGGGTGCCTGTAATTCTAGCTAGTTGGGAGGCTGAGGCAGGAGAATCGCTTGAAGCCAGGAGGTGGAGGTTGCAGTGAGCTGAGTTGAGGCCATTGCATTCCAGCCTGGGCGACAAGAGCAAAACTCTGTCTCAAAAAAAAAAAAAATCATAAAAAAAAATATAGGCCACGTGTGGTGGCTCACGCTTGTAATCCCAACACTTTGGGAGGCTTAAGCAAGTCAATCACTTGAGTACAGGAGTTTGAGACGAGCCTGGCCGACATGGTGAAATCCCATCTCTACTAAAAATACAAAAATTAGCCGGGTGTGGTAGTGCACACCTGTAATTCCAGCTACTAGGGAAGCTGAGGCATGAGAATCACTTGAACCCGGGAGGCAGAGGTTGCAATAAGCCGAGATCTTGCCACTGCACTCCAGCCAGGGTGATGGAGTGAGACTCTCAGAAAAAAATTAGTGCCAGGCACAGGGGCTCACACCTATAATCCCCGCACTTTGGCAGGCCAGGTGGGCAAATTGCTTGAGCCCAGGAGTTCGAGACCAGCCTGGGCAACATGGCGAAACCCTGTCTAACAAAAAAATACAAAAGTTAGCCAGGAGTGGTGGCACAAGCCTGTAGTCCCTGCTGCTAGGGAGACTGTAGTGGGAGGATCACTTCAGCCTGGGAGACCAAGGCTGCAGTGAGTCATGAGTGTGCCATTGCACCCCAGTGTGGGCCACAGAGCGAGACCTTGTCTCCAAAAAAAAAAAAAACCAGAAAAAGAAAAAAAATTAGGCTATGTGCTGTGGCTCATACCTGTAATCCCAGTGCTTTGGGAGGCCGAGGCAGAATGATCGATCAGCCTGCCCAGCATAGGAGAACTTGTCTCTATTTAAAAAAATTTAAAAATTAGCCAGTCATGGTTGCCTGTGCCTGTAGTCCCAGCTACTCAGGAAGCTGAGGCAGAAAGATCACTTGCACCCAGGAGCTCCAGGCAGCAGTGAGCTATGATTGTACCACTGCACTCCAGCCTGGGCGACAGCCTCAAAATATAAATAAATAAATAAATAAATAACACAGATCCACAAAACAATCAAGAAATAAGCTAGATAGAGTGTATGCCAAGAGGAAATAAAAACATTTTAAATTTAGGTTTAATATGTAAATACTCTGAGATGTTTAGGTAGTGATTTTTTAAGTTTATACTCTAGTGAGTAACCATATTTTTGCTTACTGAAATATCTTGGATTATTTAGTTATTTTCTGCATTTTGATGTTTTATTACTTACTAAATAGTATAAACATGGACTACCTTTCTAAGGAATCATTTTACTAGATTATTAGGGTTATCCCTAATTAACATTTGTATTTAGATCACTTGGGCACTTGCTACTGCTATCAACCAAATGGCATTGGCAATCTAACAGTTACTTATGTAGGATCAAACTGCGATAGTGCATTGTGTTAAAATGTCATGTTAGTATAAATCATGCATATCATAGAATATTATGTTGCTATGAATTAGGAAAAATCATTTAATTATGGAAAAGAACACACTGAATTACCAGGATAGGAAAACCTATCTTAAATAAAGACTTAACTTTTTTTTTATACTTAAAGCTCCTTTTTCTTCTTAAAGCTTCTCTTTTATGTCTCTGGAAAAGCTCCCTTGAGTGATGAAATTGCTGTTTGACCTTTTTGTTTTTGTTTCTTCTAAGTCCATATATTCTGTGTCGTGTATGTGATTAGGGATGGACAAAGGGTTCTTATTCCCTAGGACTCTCTTTTCCTCTTCCAGCGATCATCTTTTCAGGTTCTTATAACATTTTACTCCTGTCTGTTTTTAGTAAATCTTTTTATTATTCATATCCTCATCCTTTTAAAAATGTATTAATGCCCATAAATCTTACCCAGGTGTTTGATATATGTTCTACTCAGATATTCTTTTCTTTCATGCCCCATGTGTACCATTTGTACAGGCTCCGTCCATCTTGATTCATAACCTCCCGATTTAGGCAACTTGATCTCACTTGTCTGTTGGTTTTCAAGGATTCAGGATTCTAGGTGGCATCTAACAGAGGCCTCAGAATCACGTCCATAAAATATGAAACTCAGAGTGACATGCTCAGTTTTCTAGCATTATTTAACTTTATTACCTGCAGTTACAAATATTCAGATGGGAAAGGATACATAAGTAATGTAAATCCGTTGCCTTGTTATAACTGGTTCTACAGAAAGATTCATTTTGATCTTTTGCAAGTTGTGTAACTTAGAATTAATCTGCTGCAAAGCATTTAAAATTATGTCAGGATAAACAAAACACATCTTTTGTGTATACCTCAAGCCCTCCTGAGGAGTAATTTCCTTTTCTCTGAAATTCTAGAGTACTTCATTGGATCTTCCTTCCAGTTCTTGTCACTTTTGCTTGCTCCCCTCCCCTTGGGACCTCAAGTGTAGAGGGTTGAGTTAATCATACTCAATTTCTGGTGCTTTATCACCATAACTTCTCTCTTGTTTCATTTATTCCCTTTTATTTCTCTTTCCATTCCCCTGCTTCCCCCATAGATAATCATTTCAATATTTGATGTGTATATTCTTTTGTTCTTATAAATTCTTATAAAATATTTATTTTTTATATGTATGTATATATGTGTGTGTGTGTATATATATATATATACACACACACACATATATATATATATATACACATATATATATATATATATATATTTTTTTTTTTTTTTTTTTTTGAGACAGGGTCTCACTTTGTCACCCAGGCTGGAGTACAGTGGCGCAGTCTCAGCTCACTGCAGCCCCAACCTCCGAGGTTCAAGCAATCCTCCTGCCTCAGCCCTGCAGGTAGCTGGGACTACAGGTGCCCTGCCACTACACTTGGCTAATTTTTTGTATTTTGGTAGAGACAGGGTTTTGCCATGTTGCCCAGGCTGGTCTTGAAGTCCTGAGCTCAAGAGATCTGCCCGACTTGGCCTCCCAAAGTGCTAGGATTACAGGTGTGAGTCAGCACACCCGGCGATTACCTTGTATTTTTAATTTACATAAATAGTATTGTGCTACAGATTTCATTTTGTTTTTTCCCTTTGTTTACTCAGTACTGTTTTTAAGATTTATCCACCTATCTCTAGATTGTTTCTACCTATAGCATAGTGCTTCACACCCTGTATATCCTCCATGTTTTACCTGTCCTTTCTCCCAGTGACGAATATCCTGATTGCCTCTATTTTCTCACCCCCACTAACAATGCTTTGATGAAAATATTTGTATAGTCCCTTTATGGATCTATATAAGAATTTCTTTGGAACATCATCTCCCCACTTAGACTGTAAGCTCCTTAAGGGCAGGGTTTATGTTGCTTATCTTTATATGGTCTACTATGCCTTGCTTGTATTAGATGTTTAAGTACTTATTGAATAAATTAATGAGTGCAAGGCTAAGAATATAGATTATTTTGAAGGCAGAAGAAAATTCTTAAGCATTTTTAAGAAAGACATTGTGATTAAAGAGATGTTTTAAAAAAGTAATCAAGAAGTAGCATTCTAGAATGGTGGAAACGAGATTGAAAACAGAAGCGTAAATGTAAAGTAAGAATTAAATTGGCATGCTGCTTTTATATGTTAGAGTTGCTTTTTGGAGTAAGTGACATGAAAAGTTCTCACATTTTTATATCAAATCATTAAAATTATATAGAAAAATTGTATATACAGTGAATGGTATTCAGTATTCCTCTGGAAACTTTACTGATAATATTCTTTAGTCACTTTCCATTATATAATCATTCTTATATGGATTTACACATGCCCAAATTTGATAATATCTTTTAACATATAACTGCTTATAGTAATAAGAAGAAGATTGAATTAATCTGTTAACATGTAACACAGATGTTTCTTTGGACACCCTTGGTTAAGTGATTGCTATGTTAAAATGTATAATGTGTCCTGTTAGTTTGGGAAATTTTGAGAGGAATATTTAGACATAAAGGAAAAATAAGTCAATTCTAGGTTAGTGGCTTTCATTTTTAACTATGACCACAATAAGAAACATTTTATATTGAAGCCCAGGACACATCATACATCTGTTTATCAAAACAGAAATTCCAGTGGATAATAAACACTCTACTACATTTGATGCACTGTGTTATTTTTAGTTATACTTTTTCAACCTGATTTTCTATTTGAGATCCAGTTGGGAATGCTGTTTAAAAATCATTCTAGTAGGGTGCTGTGTGATGATGTAAGCAAGGGAATTACAGAACAAGGTTTAAGTTTTATAGACAAAACCAAGTAAGGAAATATGAAATCTAGTCTAGATCCTTCTGTATATCATGTTTTTTTCCCATTGGCCATTATTTTTCCATTGTACAATGCACTGATTATTTTTAGACACAAAAATGATTGATAGGATTAAGCTCAATCCAATAAAAAACTAAATATTTGGCAAATACATGTCCACCTCATTCCTTCACTGCCAATAAAAAAATAAAGGCCATGTTTAAGCTGTCACTACATCATGGCTTCTAATACAGATTTTTTCTAGTTTTGTTAATGGAGGGAAAGTGAGAGGCAAAGGAATAGGATAGAAACCAAACCAAAAAGATGAAATGGCGACTTTACCTGTGGTTCTTTCTTTGAGACGGAGTTTTAGTCTTGTTGCCCAGGCTGGAGTGCATTGGCACGATCTCAGCTCGCTGCAACTTCTGCCTCCTGGGTTCAAGCGATTCTCTTGCTTCAGCCTTCTGAGTAGCTGGGATTACAAGCATGCGCCACCACACCGGGCTAGCTAATTTTACATTTTTAGAAGAGACGGGGTTTCTCCATGTTGGTCAGGCTGGTCTAGAACTCCCAACCTCAGGTGATCCACCCGTCTTGGCCTCCCAAAGTGCTGGGATTACAGGTGTGAGCCACCGCACCCGGCCACCTTTATTTTTAAATAGTACTTTATGATATCATTCACTGATACCAGTGAATAGATGTCTTTGTATCTGACACTGTAAGCTGTTTGAAGGAGATAGAACCCTTTTATTTTCTGGTATCTTATAATACTACTTACTACCTGTTGAAAATTTTGTTGCTAAAAGAATACTTGTCTTAATCTCTACCCAGAAACTGTAGATGTTGCTTTAGTTTCTAGGACTAATTAGGCGACATTATCTGTTTTTCACCAATCTGTTTTATTCTTGATGTTATAGCTTGTGTTAGTCCTTTGATGTGTCTTTAGGCAATTCCACTAACTCCATGGCTATTTTGAGATGAACCACTTTTTATGCATCATTTTTGCCATCTTCCATTTTTAATGCTACATACGTTCTGGGCTTATAGTTTGTCTATTCATAAATTACTCTTAGTAATCTTGTGTTCCACGCTTCTTGCATATTATTTGTTAACAAGATAGACAGGGCCATTCCTATCTGTTACTGTCCTCAAAATTCTACTCTTATTTTGGATTATACTATGTATAAAGATTTTAAATCTGTGAATGTCCAGTGGGGTCATAACATAATTACTAACCAGTCTGGTTAGTGTTGAACTCTTACCTAGTTTTCCTGAATCTTAAATACAAATTGCTTAGTAGCTATACAAGGGTGTTTTGAAACTAATGGATGTTTAAAGGACCATGGACCATTCAGTCTTTGTAGAACTTCTAAATGTACTCGAGTGATGTCATTGAATTTATTACATGACTGAATATTTCTTTGCTATTGCTGTGGATTTGTACATTGCTATTTGTGACCATTTACCTTCCTTTTCTTGTTGATTGTCATTAGGCACTTTAAACAAATACTGTAAATCAAAACAGGGACTCCTATATGGTCTTAGGAAAGTAATAATAAAATTAGCTCACAAATCTAATTGCTTTTGCTCTGAAAGAATAAAGTCTTTTTCCATCATTTTTACTCAGAAAGAAATATAAATTGAGGAAGGCTGAGGCTGGAGAATTACTTTAGGCCAGGAGTTCAAGACCAGGCTGAGCAACATAGCAAGATCCCATCTCTTAAAATTATATATATATAAATTGAATATAGACAGTGTACTTTGCAATTTAAGGAATAACTAAGCCTCTGAAAGTGATTGCAGTGATATTGAAATTGTGGTCATCTTACCTTATTAAAGACAGTATGTAGGTGAAAAACTTAGACTTTTTTAGTAATGACACATGTTGCATATGTTTGAGCTACCTGCAGTTTTGAGATCTCTATTCTAGCAAAAAAGTAGATGAATCTCTAATTTTTTTTTCTTCAGTAGTTTTGTCACCCCTTTGAAATTCAGAACATTTCATGTCTCTAAATGATCTTTTTTCCTTTGGACTTGAGAATCATTTTTAATACAATGGATGATTTTATTTTAAAAATTCCCAAATTACCTATGTTATTCATATATGTTGACTGCAATTCAAAATAATAGATAACTTTTTTACCCAGCTTTTCTCAAACAGCTTTATTGTTTAATTTACATACCATAAAGTTCCCTTGTTTTAAATGTACAATGCAATGAGTTTTAGTAAATTTACTGAGTTGTGTAACCATCATCACTATCTAGTTTTAGACCATCTCCATCTGCCCAAAAAGATCTCTTATGCCTGTTTGCAATTGATCCTCATTTTCACTGTTATAACCTCAGGCAGCCACTACTGTCCCTGTCTCTATAGATTTGCCTTGTCTCTGCAGATTTGATATGAGTGGAATTACACAATGTGTGGTCTTTTGTGTCTAGCTTCTTTCACTTAGTATAATGTTTTTGAGGTTTACTCATGTTGTAGCATGAATCAGTAGTTTGTTCCTTTTTGTTGCTGAATAGTCCTACTTTTTTTTTTTTTTTTTTGAGATGGAGTCTCGCTCTCTCAGGCTGGAGTGCAGTGGCGCAATCTCGGCTCACTGCAAGCTCCGCCTCCCGGGTTCACGCCATTCTCCTGCCTCAGCCTCCTGAGTAGCTGGGACTACAGGCACCCGCCACCATGCCTGGCTGATTTTTTGTATTTTTAGTAGAGACGGGGTTTCACCGTGTTAGCCAGGATGGTCTCGATCTCCTGACCTTGTGATCCGCCTGCCTCTGCCTCCCAAAGTGCTAGGATTACAGGCGTGAGCCACTGTGCCTGGCCTAGTCCTACTTCTAAACAAGATTAAGCCTTAGATTTGCCTCAGAGTAGGTATTGTACGTCAAAAAATTTATGTCCTTCATTTCATGTCCAGATGTTAGGATTATTAATATTGATAATTATTTTTCAGCTGATTTGTTATGAAGGAAGGAACTTAAGTGTAATTTAAAACCTTAAAATAATATACATTGCCATTGTTTGTTAACATATACTGTCAGCATGAGTAACCCTAAATGGGAAGTCTGATTTTCTCCTAGGATCATTTATTGTTTCTCTCATAGACAGAATTTACTTGAAGTGTTCATTTAAATGCAAGTTGTCCTTTGCATAGTAAGTTTAACAGTGTTCCAGTACAGATGTGTTAAAGGTATATTTAATGGAGAATTTTAGAAAGACATGTCTTGAAAAAACTGATTTCACATTATATTTCAATATAAGAAGAAAAATATTTTGACTGAAAAACACTATCCCCTACTTTGATCTGTAAGTTTTGGTCTTTTGCATTAACTCTGCATTGCTTGCAGAGTTGATATTGCTAAAAGAATGATTGTTCTAAATGGGCAGTTAACATTTCTGGTATTTTCAACGCTATTTTGATACTGCTTTAGATTTGGTGTTCTTTAAAAAGTCCAATCTAATCAGCAGAATTTTGAGATTCTTGCCTCTTGGTTTTCCTTTTCCCCGCCCCTGACTTAATTTCCAAAATCCTCCTATCCTAAAGTAGATTTTTAAAACTTCACAGTTTTTGAATTAGCAACATCCTAGTTTGTGCTGCTTGAAATAGATGAGTATAGGCTTTAACCTGCCTAACACTGGTGTGACTCTGAACATTCATTCTATAACATTAGTTATAAGGGTTTTGGGAGGGAGGTCCGTGTGTGTGGGAGGGGAGGCTGGTTTTCTTTTTTTTTTTTCTTTTCTTTTTTTTTTTTTTTTTTTTTAGCATGGCACTCTTTCAAACATTTTTCATGTGCTTAGGTACATCCAAGCAGAAGTCCAGTTCCCTCCAGGTAGCAGATCAGGACCTACTGCCATCTTTTCACCCATACCAGCCTTTGGAGTGCATAGTAGAGGAGACTGAAGGCAAGCTGAATGAACTGGGACAAAGAATTAGTGCTATTGAAAAAGCACAGCTTAAGTCACTGGAGTTAATTCAAGGTGAACCTCTGAACAAAGATAAGATAGAAGAACTTAAAAAGAACAGAGAAGAGCAAGTCCAGAAGAAGAAGAAAATATTGAAAGAACTGCAGAAAGTGGAAAGGCAGTTGCAGATGAAAACACAGCAGCAATTTACCAAAGAATACTTGGAAACCAAAGGTCAGAAAGACACAGTGTCTCTACACCAACAGTGCTCTCATAGAGGAGTCTTCCCAGAAGGGGAAGGAGATGGTAGTCTCCCAGAGGATCACTTTTCAGAGTTACCTCAGGTTGACACAATCTTATTTAAAGATAATGATGTTGATGATGAGCAACAGTCTCCACCATCGGCAGAACAGATTGATTTTGTCCCAGTCCAGCCTTTATCATCTCCACAGTGTAACTTTTCCAGTGACTTAGGTTCTAATGGGACAAATTCTCTTGAACTTCAGAAAGTATCAGGTAATCAGCAGATTGTAGGACAGCCTCAGATTGCTATTACTGGACATGATCAGGGGCTGTTAGTTCAAGAACCAGATGGACTAATGGTTGCAACTCCAGCTCAGACGCTTACCGACACTCTTGATGACCTGATAGCAGGTGGGTTAAGAAATATATCTGTAATAATTTCTCTTTAATCTGTGTGCTGAACTTCTTTATATACCCCTCCAAAAACGTAGACTTTGTACGTTTCCATTTTAGAACTTTGTAAAATTACCCATTTCTCGAAGTATTTTGGAAGTGAATTAACTATGCTCAATAGCACTAACACACAAAAGTGTGTTTTCCCCTCTTCTTTTTTGTCATATTGCAAAGGCAAAGAAATAAAGTTGCCACAATCCTTTGTTTTAAACCGTTGGTATCAAAACCACTGTGTGCTGTGACTTGGGTAGGAGATCTCAAAGTAGAATTTCTTTGTAGGCTTTTAGAAGTATTCGTATAAGATTATACTTAAAATTTTCCTGCTGTTGATTTTCATGTCTGGAAATTTAAAATCACACAGCTTTTTTAATTTGTAATTTTATTAGATCAACTTACGTATTTCCAATTAAATGGGATGTTCAGATAAAACTAAGTATTCCATATTATAATATTTGTGGTTAGAAGATAAGGTGCATTAAAATGATTGTCACTTGATGATTTGAAGATTGGGATTTTTGCATTAACTTTCTTAATGAAAGCACACAACCACACCACACCACACACACACACACACACACACACACACACACACACACACACAGAAAAAAAGGCCTGATAACCTTGAAGTATATGTTTCTGTTTATTGTTGTGTGGAAAATTACAACTAGATATGAAATGAGGTGCACAAGTTTACTTTCCCTTTCATTGTCCTTGCAGCAGTGGGAAAACAGTGCAATTAATCATTTACCTTCCTAAAGATGGCTGGTGAATGTATCACCTCCATGAGAGCCCAATTCAGAAATGCAGCCAGAATGGCTGTTGACAGTGGATGAAGACCAAGAACTAAGATGTAGCTGGAGTGATATTCAAAGGCAGGCCAGTCCTCTGTCTCTTGATTGCAACATTTTTTTCCTTACTGTTGTCTGTTGCCTCTTGTCATATTCTCCTCCCCTTCTCCCATCCCAATTATGCTATCTCAGTTTCCTTTCTTCTTTTGTGAGCCTTTAGTCTTCCTGATCTTTACTGAATCTTTTTAAATGTGGAATAAGATTACTGAAATCAGGAATTTTATTGGGCATGTGTTTGACTTCCAATGGTTATAGAATTGTGATATTGCCTTTGAGGCTCCTCTGATATGTAATAGGTATCATTGTGCAGAGGAGGAATGTCTTAGTTTTCTTAAAGAAAATTAAAATTCTGGGAAATGTTTTAAGGAGTTAGGCTCTTTGTTCTTTAATTTGGGTTTTTATATCTTCAGTTGGTAGACACAAATTAACTTTGTATTATTAGCATTGAAAGTTGTTATAAATTGTGAATAAATTCTTGTAGTTCATTTGGAATTCTAATTTTAATCTGGGTAAAAACAGATTTTAGAATGTGAAGTATGATTACGAATAATAATGATGAAACTGATGAACTGGGAATAACATTTTTAACATGTAGTGTTCTGTAACTAGCATTATAATGTTCCTAATTAAGTGCACAGTTTGCAGTTATGAAATCTGTGTTACTGATTAGTTCAGTTATGTTAGAACTTTTTTTTTTTTAAAGAATGTAGAAATAGCTCTAAAAGGAACTTGTAAGTGTTAAGGAACATCAAGTTTTATTTCACTGAAGTATTTGTTAAATTAGTCTTTTACAAAGTTTGCATGAAACTTAGAAAATTGGCTTAGAAATTATCTTTTTATTAATATAAACAAAATTTAATTTGTGTTAGACATTAATACCTACCACATTGTACAATATTCTTTTATTAATAAGTTTTAAATTTTAAATCAGCCAACAGGTACAAAAATTATCTTCATGTAAAAACTTCCATTTTTGTGAAGGCTATGTGTTTTGAACTATATGGCAGTAATTATATTTTCTTTATTCAAGATGATGTACCTGTCTTAAATTTAAATATTATATTTTCTTAAGTCAAAGTTTGTCTTAATTTTCTTAGTTGAAGGTAAAATAAATAAGGCAAGGGTGAATTAGGTTAATACCTAATGCTGTAATTGTAAAACATATTAACATATTGGTAAGATTATAGAGTAGGACAAATATATAATTAATTTTACTTAACTCTAGTTCTTACCACTCATATTAGTAAAGAATACTGTACATCTTAAAATTCTACTTT
The DNA here is from genome assembly GCF_000001405.40 of Homo sapiens. Classification (NCBI taxonomy): domain Eukaryota; kingdom Metazoa; phylum Chordata; class Mammalia; order Primates; family Hominidae; genus Homo; species Homo sapiens. The sequence continues at coordinate 140,499,446 of NC_000005.10, forward strand.
AGAATTTTACTTTAGAAGTAAATTTTACTTTAGAAGAATTTTAGATGTATGATAACAGTACATTTTACTTTTTAAATATAGGAGTATTATTTCCTTATTGCTATTCTTTCAAAATATTTGTTGTGATAATAAGTTGTTTATATAATTTATTAATGTTGCAACTTGATTAGCTGATTAACTTAGCCCTTTAGTGTGTTGTTTGATACGTGTCATACATGATGTAGTTCCAAACAGACTATATAAATTATTGATTAGGAACATGGTTCCTCAAGTCCTTCTGAAAGTGAGCATTGGGTTTTTAGCAGTTACCATAATAGCAAGTGATTCTCAAAGTTCAAATGTCTAGGAATATAAAGTAATTTAAAGAAATTCAAAATAGCTTTTACCTTTGAGCAGTTCTAGAAATACTTAGTAAAATTTTCTTTCTTTTTTTTTTTTTTTGAGATAGAGTCTCACTCAGTCATCCGGGCTGGAGTGCAGTGGCTTGATCTCGGCTCACTGCAACTTCCGCCTCCTGGGTTCAAGTGATTCTCCTGCCTCAGCATTCCGAGTAACTGGGATTACAGGCACCTGCCACCACACCCAGCTAATTTTTGTATTTTTAGTAGAGATGGGGTTTTACCATGTTGGCCAGGCTGCTTTCAAATTCCTGACCTCAAGTGATCCACCTGCATCGGCCTCTCAAAGTGTTGGTTTTACGGGCGTGAGCCACCGCGCCTGGCCAAAATTTTCAATTCTAATATAGAAAGAAGATTGGTTAAAAATCACCTAATATCAATTTATTTACATTTATTGAGCATTTACCATGCACCAACTTCTATGATAAATGCTAAATATACTTTATTTCATGGGCTAATTATAATAATACTTTAAATAAGTCCTTTTCCCACCTCTATTTTTCTGTTGAAAAACTGAAGCTGGCCGGGAGCAGTGGCTCATGCCTGTAATCCCAGTACTTTGGCAGGCAGAGGCAGGCGGCGGATCACTTGAAATCAGGAGTTCAAGACCAGCCTGGCCAACATGGTGAAACCCATCTCTACTAAAATACAAAAATTAGCCAGGCGTGGTGGTGCATGCCTGTAATCCCAGCTACTTGGGGGGCTGAGGCAGGAGAATCACTTGAACCCAGGAGGCGGAGGTTGCAGTCAGCCAAGATCACACCACTGCACTCCAGCATGGGGCAACAGAGCGAGACTCTGTCTCAAAAAAAAAAAAAAAAAAAAAGAAAAGAAAAACTGAAGCTTAGGGAAATTAAGTTGCTAGTAAGTACCAAGATTCAAACTCAGTTCAGCCAAGTTTAAGAACCTTAGATGTAATATGCATGCATATGTGTCAACTTAAAGTTCTGATTTATCTTTAAGTATTGTTATTTCCTTAGACTTCGAAATTCTATTAATCATTTCCCTTATTTTTATATTAAGATTTGATGTACATGTAAGTTTTAATACAGTTTTTGACTTTTTACTATGTTGTTACTATCATTGCCATCTTAACAGGCTCTTAAATTGTAATTTTAAAGTATCTTTAACTCTGTAGTAGTGAATATAGGTTTAAGAATTAAAAAGTAATTAAGAAATCCTCTTAAGGAGATTTGCAATAAAATCTTTAAATAATTTTTTCTAATTGACTTTAATATTTTATTTATAGGTTTTTGTTTTTTTTTTTTTTTGAGACGGAGTCTCACACTGTCACGCATCTTGGCTCACTGCAACCTCCGCCTCCCAGGTTCAAGCGATTCCCCTTGCCTCAGCCTCCCAAGTAGCTGGGATTACAGGCGCCCACCACCATGCCTGACTAATTTTTTTTGTATTTTTAGTAGAGATGGGGTTTCACTATGTTGGCCAGGCTGATCTCAAACTCCTGACCTCGTGATCTGCCCGCCTCGGCCTCCCAAAATGCTGGGATTACAGGCATGAGCCACCACGCCAACCATAGGTTTTTATTTACATAGAACTATTTAATAAAGTTACCAATACATAAAACAGATTACAGCAATTAAATTTCTTAAAAACTCACAACAGCCGGGCACTGTGGCTCACACCTTTAATCTAACCAGCACTTTGGGAGGCCAAGGCGAGCAGATCATGAGGTTAGGAGATCGAGACCATCCTGGCTAACACAGTGAAACCTCATCTCTACTAAAAATACAAAAAAATTAGCCAGGCATGCTGGCATGTGCCTTTAATCCCAGCTACTCGGGAGGCTGAGGCAGGAGAATCCTTGAACCCAGGAGGCAGAGGTTGCAGTGAGCTGAGATCATGCCACTGCACTCCAGCCTGGGTAACAGAGCGAGACTTCATCTCAAAAAAAAAAACTCACAACATATTTTATGTACACCTAGTATCAGTGAGATTTTTTAATAATTAGATTTATTATCTTCCATATTGCCTACAAAACTTTCTTCAACTTCATAAAAAGTCAAGTAACATACTGTACTTACTTCTCTCACCTCATTTTAAAATAGTGGATAAATTGTCAGACACAGTGACTCTGCACCTGTAATCCTAGCTACTTGGGAGGCTAAGGTGGGAGGATTGCATGAGGCCAAGAGTTCAAGACCAGCCTGAGCAACACATAGAGACCCTATCTCTTTAAAAAAAAAAAAAAAAAGCATACCGTATAAGTTTAATTTGAATTATATATAGATGTTTGTGGTAGCAGTCTGTCTTGGTCACTTTCAGAGATATTTCATTCAGAGGTAGGAAATATTTTAGAATTTATGAAAATGTCATAGTCTTGGTGTAATTTTCTCTTGATACAACCTTTATTCCACATGCACTTTTTAAATCTCTTGCTACTTCCTAGTTTTAGAACTTTTCATTTGTAATTAGTCCTGTTAAAGGCACTTGCTATGGAATGTTTCTGACTGTCATTATTACATGGAGTGAAAAAATGCTTCTAGGATAATGTAGTACAAAAATGTTTAGTAATTATTGTAACAACACATTTTTGTTAACAAAGCTGTTAAATGCACAAAAGTACTTTTTAAAAGCCAACTCTGTGAAGAAGTTTCTTATCACATTCTGGCATAGCACTCTAATCAACTATTCAAAAAAATTTTTATATACCTGTTTTTCATAATAAAGAGAGATGAGATAACATAAATAAAATACTGATAGAAAAGTAGTTCTTTACTAAAGTATATGTTAATAATTGTGGGACCACTACTGAAGTCTTACTGTTAGAAAGGTTCTGTAACATATTAATCTTCAGTGTCTTGTTTTTTCAAGCAGTTTTCCAAACATATCAGCTATTTTGAGGAGGTGTAACAAAATAGTATCTGCTTTTAACTCATTGAATGACAACAATTTTTCATTATTACTATTATTTTTTTCTTGGCCACTTCTTCCAGGAAAAAAATGACAAAAAATTTTAAGGCTTTGTTTCCATTTTGCATATTCTTATAGGTGAAACAAACATATGTAATAATTATTCCTATTTGTAACTAAATAGTTAAATTATGTTATTTATGTGATGACAGAAGCTGGAGAAATTTGTATTGCCAAGATGGTTATATATGTTGGTGGGGATGAGCTGGGTAGCTCATGTAGAAATATATCTGGGCATCTTAAACTTTGCTCACTTATTTAAACTAGTAATCTACTAAACTGAGTCATTCACACTTACGAATAGTATCTTTGAATGGGATCTAGTCATATCAAAAATTCTAGAGAGAAAATATTTTCCAACACTTAAAATGCTTACATTTTTCTTTAAGTCCTACGTGTTTTTGACTGACTTTTAATCTGGGTGCAAATGTAAGGTTATTGCCATCACTGATGCTTTGTTGATTTTTTTGTATATTATTACTGATTATATGTTTTTTTCTGAGTTTTTCCTTTCTTGAGTGAATAATGTTTTTATTTTTCAATACAATGAATAATAGTATTGACAATCCTATAAAATATCTGATAGTTACATCTATTGAGCACCCACCATTTGCTAAAAACACTGTGTTAAATGCTTTATATACAGTATCTCTTAGACTACTCACAACATCCCTGAGATAGGTCCTGTTTCCCCCCGTGGTCAAACTCCATCTCTTAAGAAACATAAGAAATTTTCAGAGATATAAAATACATAATTTCTTTTAACTCAGTTTTCTTTCTTTTTTTTTTTTTTTTTTTTTTTTTTTTTTTTGAGATGGAGTCTCACTCTGTTGCCCATGCTGGAGTGCAGTGGTGCGATCCTAGCTCACTGCAACCTCCGCCTCCCAGGTTAAAGCGATTCTCCTGGCTCAGCCTCCCGAGTAGCTGGGCTTACAGGCGCGTTCCACCACTCCCAGCTAACTTTGTGTTTTTAGTAGAGACGGGGTTTTGCCATGGTAGCCAGGCTGGTCCTGAACTCCCAACCCTCCTGACCTGAGGTGATCTGCCCACCTCAGCCTCCCAAAGTGCCAGGATTATAGGCGTGAGCCATCGCTCCTGGACTTAACTCAGTTTTCAAACCACATTTTGAGATCTCAAATAGAACTTCAATGTTCATTTTAAAAATAGTTGGACTTTCAGATACTGATTTTTTAACAAAGTTTCAAAATAAATATTGAATTTAGGAAACACATACTCCCTGCTATTTATGTGAGAAATACTTGAACTTGTCTCCCTCCCCTCCCCCACCCTTTTTTTTAGATGTAGTCTAGCTCTGTCACCCAGGCTGGAGGGCAGTGGCGTGATCTCAGCTCACTGCAGCCTCCACCTGGGTTCAAGCAATTCTTCTGCCTCAGCCTCCCAAGTAGCTGGGATTACAGGCATGTACCACCACACCTGGCTAACTTTCTGTTTTTTTTAGTAGAGATGGGGTTTCACCATGTTGGCCAGGCTGGTCTCAAACTCCTGACCTCAGGTGATTCACCCGCCTCGGCCTCCCAAAGTGCTGGGATTACAGGCGTGGGCCACTGCGCCCAGCCCCCTTTTTTTGAATTGTACACAGGATATTTTTATCTAATTGACTTTTTTACAAACTAAAATCTAGAATTCCTTTTATTTACTTTTATTTTTGGAAATTTTTTTTCCTCCCTGTTGGCAATGCAAAAAGCTACTATTTAATGTATGTGCACTAAATATCAGGTGCTGTGTTAAGTATTTTATCTGCATTGCCTCAGTGGTCTTTCCAATAACCTTCCAAGGCAGGTACCATTATTTTCGCCATTCTACATATAGGGAAAATTGAAGCTCAGAGAAGTTAAATTACTTGCCCAAGATCAGAAAGTCAGTGTTGGAACTAATATTTAAATGTAGGTCTGTCTGATTCCAAAGCTTGTGATTTTACTATTACTACATATTACTGCTATGGAAATTTCTGTTTTTGTGTTTTTCTATGTACAAATAACCTTACTCTTTTAAGTGGAATTTAGCAATATGAATATTGTTTTTCAGCTGTGAGTACCAGAGTGCCCACTGGTTCCAACAGTTCTTCTCAGACCACAGAGTGTCTTACACCTGAATCCTGTTCGCAGACTACAAGCAATGTGGCTTCCCAATCGATGCCTCCTGTGTATCCTTCAGTTGACATTGATGCACATGTGAGTAGATTGCTTTATTTAAACTTATTTTGCACATTCTGATCTTCTTTGGAAAGGAAAATTATTCTGCATTTATTGTGAAAAGAAATATTATTTGCTCTTAAATTGATAACTTCTGTTAAAAAAAATTTTAACTTATTTTTTTCTTCTCCTAGACTGAGAGCAATCATGACACAGCATTAACACTAGCTTGTGCAGGTGGTCATGAAGAACTTGTATCTGTGCTCATTGCACGGGATGCCAAAATTGAACACAGAGACAAAAAAGGTAAATATCAGTCAGAAATAAAATCCAAGTGTAGTTACATCAGAAAATAATTAACTTTTTTATTATTGATAAATAGTTCCTAGACTATCTCAGTGATAAGATGGATAAGTATATTTCAGTTAGGAATATCTGGATTCATTATTCTGCGGAGCCAAATAATTCTCAAAACATTCAAAAATTAGACGTAGATCATTAGTGAAATAGAGCAAGTTGTGGTTGCCTTTGTTAATCCAAAGGTAGTTCATACAGAGGCATCAAAGTTCATTATGAGTATAAACTTTAATAATTTTTACCGACTTAGTTTTTTAATTAGGTGTTTATGGGTTTTTTGTCACTAACAAATTAGGGTTTAGAGCAGTTTTATGTTAACTCATTATCAGTGTCTGCCCTGAAGGATTTATTTTGCTAAAATACTAGAGAATTGTAAACAGTGGCTTTAAAATAAAATAAAAAACATAAATTTGTTTAAGATTTTCATTTTCTGATTTAGGTTTCACACCACTAATCCTGGCAGCAACAGCAGGGCATGTTGGAGTTGTTGAAATCCTTTTGGATAAAGGTGGAGATATAGAAGCACAGTCTGAACGAACTAAGGATACTCCGCTTTCATTGGCATGTTCTGGTGGACGTCAGGAGGTGTGTTAATGTTAATTTTCATTTTGTAAATATTTTGCTTGTATTTTAAAATATGCATATGATTCGTATTTTAGCTACATGAATAAAATTTGCATGTATTTTGTGTGTTTGTTTTTCTGAGGCAGGGTCTTGCTCTGTCTCCCAGGCTAGAGTACAGTGGTGCAATTACAGCTCGCTATAACCTTGAACTCTGGGGCTCAAGCAATCCTCAGCCTCCCAAGTAGCTAGGGCTGTTTTGTAGAGATGGGGTCATGTAATGTTGCCCTGGCCGATTTCAAACTCCTGGCCTCAAGCAATCCTCTCTCCTCGGCCTCCCAAAGTACAGGGATTATAGTTATGGGCCAGCATGCCTGGCCCTGCACGTATTTTAACATGTTCCATATACTTTCTGAGGAATGGGTACTTCTGTTAACTTTTATGGGAATGTAAATGCCCTTTTTTTTTGGCGGGGGTTTGTGGAGGGAACAGGAGGGTGGAGATGAGGTCTCATTATGTTGCCCAAGCTGGCCTTGAACTCCTGGCCTCAAGGGATCCTCCTGCCTTGGCCTCCCAAAGTGCTGGGATTATAGGCATGAGCCACCATGCCTGGCCATAAATCCCCTTTTAAAAAATCTGTTTCTTGCCCTTAAAGCCAAATAAAAATTATCTTAATCCTTACATTTATTCGGATTGAATGAATCACAATTCTAACACATATGAAGTGCAAATTTATTGCCCAATAAATGGCAAATAGAAAGGGTAACATCTTGTTATTGCAGTATAATTGGGATTTCAAAACTCTGAATTCCTGAAATTGAATCCATTTCTCTAGTGTTGATATTTCAATATTTAGGGTCTAATGAAATGTAATTAAAATATCAGATATTTAGATAAGGAAGTTATAAGTCCTGTTTCTTTGTGTTTCCTTCATTATAAGTTGAGCCCTTGGTGTAAACTCTCTTCTCTATCCATATTTTACTTTGTAGGTGGTAGACTTGCTGCTGGCTCGAGGTGCAAATAAAGAACATAGGAACGTATCTGATTATACACCACTGAGTCTAGCTGCGTCTGGAGGATATGTTAATATCATTAAGATTCTGCTTAATGCTGGGGCAGAAATTAATTCAAGGTATTGCCTGTTCATTTTATTGTTCATGTTTAGTAAGTTACTACTTTGGACTTAAATGTCTACCTCTTAACGTTTAGACAGATACATTTTAAATTAAGATAGTACTAAAGTTGCAAAGCCAACGATTATACCTATAATGTGTTTGTTTATAAGTAATCTCAGCTTATTTCAGTAATGTGGCTGCTTATAAAGAGGTCTCATTTCAAAAAGTGTTTTGTTCTATGGCCTACCACCCTAAACGTGCCCAATCTCATCTGATCTCAGAAACGGTATTTTATTTTATATAGTTGGAAATTTATAATCCCTAAATAGGAATTACATTTTATTTTTTAAGTTATTTATTTTTTGAGATGGAGTTTCGCTCTTGTTGCCCAGGCTGGAATGCAATGGCGCGATCTTGGCTTACCGCGAACTCTGCCTCCGGGGTTCAAGCGATTCTTATGCCTCAGCCTCCCAGGTAGCTGGGATTACAGGCATGCGCCACCACACCCAGCTAATTTTGTATTTGTAGTAGAGATGGGGTTTCTCCATGTTGGTCAGGCTGGTCTCAAACTCCCGACCTCAGGTGATCTGCCCTCCTTGGCCTCCCAAAGTGCTGGGATTACAGGCATGAGCCACCATGTCTGGCCGGAAATTATGTTTTAAATTGTGACATTTTCTTATTCTTTATTATTGGTCGAAACAAGTAAAATCTATTCATTGATGTTAGAAACCTCTCTTTTTAGTGAAACCTTTTCATCTTTAATGCTTTTCTAAAATAATAGGCAACATATTATTTTAATTTTCTAAGCACATTTCCCCCTTTAGGACTGGGAGTAAACTAGGTATTTCTCCCCTGATGTTGGCTGCAATGAATGGACATGTTCCTGCAGTAAAATTGCTGCTCGATATGGGTTCAGACATTAATGCCCAAATAGAGACCAATCGGAACACGGCTCTCACCCTGGCCTGTTTCCAGGGCCGAGCAGAAGTAGTGAGTTTGCTTCTGGACCGAAAAGCCAATGTTGAACATAGGGCAAAGGTAAGCATTTTTTACTTGTCAACTATTTCAGATACATTTCTGTAGAAAGAACATGGCATTTTAACGCAAATTGAATATAATATTTTAAATTATCATAAATTAAAACTGATACCAATGCAGAGTTGAGGGATTATGCTGTATAATAGTGAGTGACATACTGTCACCATCATGACTTTTATTAAGGACAATGAAGAAAACAGAATTAGTACTTTTCCCAACCTCAGCCTTGAGTAGCTTTCTATTAATACTGCAGCTTACAACTTTTGAATGTAGTAAGATTATTTTGTATTAACTCTTACACTGTAGACTTTTAAAGAACACCTTTAATGAGGTATGTGCTTATCATTGTAAAAATCCCAAGCAAAAATTTAATTCACAAGTTATAAAATTAGGGCAGCTAACATCTAATTTGACCATGGCAGATTTTGACAGTTTCATGACTATTTGGTATTAAGAAAATAGGAGTTAGTGGAGGCTGGGCGCGGTGGCTCACTCCTGTAATCCCAGGACTTTGGGAAGCCTAGGCAGGTGAATCACATGAGGTCAGGAGTTTGAGACCAGCCTGACCAATATGGTGAAACCCCCGTCTCTACTAAAAGTACAAAAAATTAGCTGGACGTGGTGGCAGGCGCCTTTAATCCCAGCTACTCAGGAGGCTGAGGCAGAAGAATCACCGGAACTTGGGAGGTGGAGGTTGCACTGAGCAGAGATCACGCCATTGCACTCCAGCCCGTGCAACAAGAGAGAAACTCCATCCCACCCCCCGCCCCCACAAAAAAGAAAGAATAAAGGAGAAAAGTCATAAGATAATCTCCATAGATGCAGGAAACACACACAGAGGAAAGAAAATAGGAGTTAGTATGTCATTGGCTTGAATTTCTTTGCTTAGAACTGCAAGGTTCTTAGAACTCTGGAAAGACGTAGGTTGGGTAGAATTTTTAATAATTAGTCAACAGAGAATCTAGTGCTCATTTGAAATTGGAAAGATTTGACTGGAAATCTCGTACTTCTTCCCTGAAATTCCTTTTACTTCTTAAAGTTTAGTGCAACATTTACATTCTTTTAATCTAAGTAATGAGGAAGTGTAGTTTTTCCTTGGCTTTTTACCACACAAAGAGAAATGAGTCTTTCCTGTCATTCAATTTGTCTTTTTCTATTACAAGTATTCATTGTGTGCCACTCATCCATTAAAGGTCCTAGAGAAATCTGTGTTATTTTGGATAGTACCAGTAGGAAATGTCCTTTGAAAAAATGTTGGAGACTAACGTACCAAAGGCACATATGCAAAAAATTTATAAAGTGATTTTAATCTACTTATTTTTAATATCTCTATTCATTATGCAAAGAAATTATCTGAGTAAATTCACAAAAGTATAGAAGTTACAGAATTGTTTTTAGCATGAGATAACATGTTTTAAGTTCATTCTAGCACGTCTGAATCTAACAATTTCTACTGCTGTTTAGTAAAATTCAAGGCAAAATATTGCTTAGCTCTTTTATGAGAGCTAATCAGAACTAGAATTGTCTTAAAAGTTAATTGCCTCAGGTTTTTAAAGAAATTATGTAGCTTAGTTTTGGTCTACGGAATAGTTAAAAAAAGAAATGTAACTTAGTTGCATAATTTATTGGTTTAAACAGACGGGTCTTACCCCCTTGATGGAAGCAGCTTCTGGAGGGTATGCAGAGGTTGGAAGAGTTCTTCTTGATAAAGGAGCAGATGTTAATGCTCCCCCTGTGCCTTCCTCAAGAGATACTGCTTTAACAATAGCAGCAGACAAAGGTCACTACAAATTTTGTGAACTCCTGATTCATAGGTGAGTACTTTTCTATTATATGTAGAACTTCTCATGGTCATTTTCACTTTTCAGAGCTTTTAAAGTTAATAACATTGTTTTACTTTATTGATATTGTTAAGAAAAGATTATTTGCAAGTTATTTTGTAAAAGAAGAAGATAGAGAAAACTAGAAAAAGCCAGCCTCTTCTTACAGGAAACAAACTATTAATATGCCTTGTTTACAGGGGAGCCCACATTGATGTTCGTAACAAAAAGGGAAATACGCCACTTTGGCTGGCATCCAATGGAGGTCATTTTGATGTTGTGCAGTTGCTAGTGCAAGCAGGTGCTGATGTGGATGCAGCAGATAACCGGAAAATCACACCTCTTATGTCAGCATTTCGCAAGGTAATTTGATATGGGGGAAGAAAGGTCAATTTTAAGCCAATTCTAAGTTAAAACCATGTGAGAAAGATAAGTTTATCTTGGAGAATTGAGTATATTTCCATAGAAAAATCACTGCTATCTTTCCATTCTTTTTTTTTTTTTTTTTTTTTGAGACGGAGTCTTACTCTGTCACATAGGCTAGAATGCAGTGGCATGATCGCGGCTCACTGCAACCTCTGCCTCCCAGGTTCAAGTGATTCTCCTGCCTCAGCCTCCTGAGTAGCTGGGATTACAGGCATGCGTCACCACACCCGGCTAATTTTTGTATTTTTAGTAGAGATGGGGTGTCACCACGTTGGTCAGGCTGGTCTCAAACTCCTGACTTTGTGATCTGCCTGCCTCAGCCTCCCAAAGTGCTAGGATTACAGGCTCCCGACCTTATCTTTCCATTCTTTTGTGGCCAAATCTAAGATCTATGTGGTAGTTCACTATAAGCAACTTGGTTGTTAAATCACTTGGTGTCTTGACTATTTGTGATACATTGTTCATGAAACAGAAGATTTAAGAAAAACTATTATATGCAGATGGATTTTTTTGTGCCTAAAGAGGAACAAAAAGGAGTAGACTTTCATAAAAACTTACTGTATCTTCTGTGTGCGTGTGTGTGTGTGTGTGTGAGTATGAAACGGTCTCAGTCTGTCAACCAGGCTGGAGTGCAGTGGCATGATCATAGCTCACTATAGCCTCAACCTCCCAGGCTCAATTGATCCTCCCGCCTCAGCCTCCTGAGTAGCTGGGACCACAGGTGTCACTACCATGCTCAGATTTTTTTTATTTTTACTTTTTGTAGAGACGAGGTCTTGCTATGTTGCCCAGGCTGGTCTCAAACTCCTGGGCTCAGCGATTCTCCCACCTCTGCCTGCCAAAGTGCTGAGATATGGGCGTGAGCCATGCCTCTCATATATATTAAAGTTCATGCCCGGCCTCTCATATATATTAAAGTTCACTTATCTGCTGTATTTTTAAAAGCCTTCCCATTGGTATAGCTTCCCAAACTATAAACTACTTAGTAGGGCATGTAAAGACCTGCATAATAAGCTTCATGTCAACCTCCCCATACAAATCATTTATGCTACTATCCCCTTTTGCTCACTGTTTTCTAGTTACTGGCCTAGAATGCACTAAATTTTCAACTGCCTCAGGGCCTTTGCTCACTGATTTTCTTTTCCTGAAATGATTTCCTTTGCTGTTCACCTAGCTCACCTCTCTACTCATCTGTTAGCTCCAATTTTACATGTCAGTTCTCAAAGAGTATTTCTCTAACACCAAATCTGAAAAAGGTCCCTCTGTTTCTCTTTTATAGTTGAGTTTTGATTTTCCTTACCCCAATTTGTAATTATATCTTCAAACATGTACTTACCATTTTAATGCCTGTCTCGCCAACTAGACTGGTAGGTCCATGAGGACAAGAGTCATGACCATCTTTTTCAGCACTGTTTATATACCCAGTTGTTTAGCACAGTGCAATTTACATATAGTGAAATGCATGAATCTTAAGGTACATGGTTTAGTTTTGATAAACGTATACATACATGTAACCCATACCCCATAAACATATAAATTATTTCTGTAACCCTAGAAGGTTCCCTCTTGCCCACTTTTAGTCACTTCCCTGCCCCAGAGGCAAGCATTTCTCTGATTTGTATCTCCATCACACTAATTCTTAAGGATGTTTTAGAACCTTGGTAGGAAGGGAAACTATGCAAGCTTGGTTACATTAAAATAGATATGCTGGCCGGGTGCGGTGGCTCACGCCCATAATCCCAGCACTTTGGGAGGCCGAGTCAGGTGGATCACCTGAGGTCAGGAGTTCAAGACCAGCCTGGCCAACATGGTAAATCCCCGTCTCTACTAAAAATACAAAAATTAGCCAGGCGTGATGGTAGGCACCTGTAATCTCAGCTACTCCGGAGGCTGAGGCAGGAGAGTTGCTAGAACCCGGGAGGCGGAGGTTGCAGTGAGACAAGAGCGTGCCGTGGCACTCCAGCCGGGGCAACAACAGCGAGACTCCCATCTCAAAAAAAAAAAAAAAAAGATATGCTTAGAATTGATTACAGATCTTTCAACCCTTGATAATGGCATTTAGAAAGTGTTTTATTTAGATTCAAGTCCTAAGGCTCAGAAAGTTGTGATAGTCCACCTTGTTTAGTTAGTGAAGTAGAGGCAAAGTAAGACTTTGAAATTTAAAAAAAAATTACTTATTTTAGGACTCATTTCCCTTTTACACTGAGGTTCATTTTACATCACCAATGTTTGTTTAATAGATTTATTCTAGGAGATACTGTTTTTCTACAAAAGCTTTTTCTAATTTCAGTGGGATTAAATTCAGGAGAAATGTTGTCTAGTCCACCATCCATTCCTGAGCACACATTCTTGTCTTTTATGCCTTTCTTTTTATAAGCTGAATGCTGATCTTATTTTTATAATTTTAATTTTAAGCTTAATATTCTATTTGGAAGTATTTGCCTTTTTATTCTTAAATTGGTAGGCATATATGCAAAATCAAGGGATTCCTTTGTAATTCTGTTGTTTTACTTTCTTTTATTCTTAAGAATAATAATTTTTCTTTTCATGCTACCTTGTCTAAGATTGTTGTACTTCTTATAGGGTCATGTAAAAGTTGTTCAATATTTGGTAAAGGAAGTAAATCAGTTCCCTTCTGATATAGAATGCATGAGATACATAGCAACAATTACAGATAAGGTAAGTTTAATATGCTACTGAAGCACATTTTTGTTCTTTGTGGAATGATATGCCAAAGTGTGCAGTTAGGAACTTGTTCTTTTTATATTCTGAAAGGTTGGTCACCTGATCTCTTTATGCGTTTGTTTCTCCATTTGCAAAATAGAGGGGTATAATACTTTTGATAAACTATTTTGAGATTTCTACTGTGGACCATAGTCACAGTGACTACACTAAGGTACTAAACCATTAGCCTAATGAGAAGGCTTCCTAAGGACATGCAGGTTTTTAGGGAAATGGTGTCTTATTTTTGTGAAAGATTGGACTCAAAGGATAACTTAATTTGGTTTAGTGACTTTTCAGTTTGAACTTTAACCTCTGGACTTTAATGTGCTCATCAGCTTAAGTTTTATTTGGCCTCTTTCATTATATATTTACATAATTCTATTTCCTGCTGTAGGAACTGTTGAAAAAATGTCATCAATGTGTCGAAACCATTGTGAAGGCTAAAGACCAGCAAGCTGCAGAAGCAAATAAGAATGCGAGTATTCTTTTAAAGGAACTTGATCTGGAAAAGGTGAGTGGGAAAAATAATTTTCCTTTTTAGAAATTATTGAGGGTGGGGGCCGGGCACGGTGGCTCACGCCTATGATCCCAGCACTTCAGAAGGCCAAGGCGGGTGGATTACCTGAGGTCAGGAGTTCAAGACCAGCCTTGCTAACAAGGTGAAACCCTGTCTCTACTAAAAATACAAAAATTAGCCAGGTGTGGTGGCACACCCCTGTAATCCCAGCTACTCGGGAGGCTGAGGCAGGAGAATTGCTTGAGCCCGGGAGGCAGAGGTTGCAGTGAGTCGAGATCGTGCCACTGCACTCCAGCCTGGCTGACAGAGCGAGACTGTCTCAAAAAAAAAAAAAAAAAGAAAGAAATTATTGAGGGTGGGCGTGGTGGCTCACACCTGTAATCCCAGCACTTTGGGAGGCTGAGCCTAGGAGTTTGAGATCAGTTTGGTCAACATAGAGAGGATGGCCTGAGCCCAGGAGGCAGAGGTTGCAGTGAGCTGTGATTGTGCCACTGCACTCTAGCCTGGGTGACAGAGTGAGACCCCATCTCTACAAAAAAAAGTTTAAAAAACAGTTGGGCATGGTGGTACATGCCTGCAATCCTAGCTATTCAGGAGGCTGAAGTGGAAGGATCACTTGAGTCCAGGAGTTCGAGGCTCCAGTGAGCCATAATTACACACTGCAGTCCAGCCTAGGCAACAGATCGAGACTCTCTCTCTATTAAAAAAAAAAAAAAAAAAAAGGAATTGACAGATGTCATGGCTCATGCCTGTAATCCCAGCACTTTGGGAGGCTGAGGAGGGTGGACTGCTTGAGCCCCAGAGTTTGAGACCAGCCTGGGCAACATGGCAAAACCCCATCTCTACAAAAAACAAAAAATTAGCCAGGCATGGTGGCAGGTGCCTGTAGTCCCAGCAACTTGGGAGGGTGAGGTGGGAGGATGGCCTGAGCCCAGGAGGCAGAGGTTGCAGTGACCTGTGATTGTGCCACTGCGCTCTAGCCTGGGTGACAGAGTGAGACCCCATCTCAGACAAAAAGAAAATCTGCTAGAGTAAACGTGTCGCCTATATGACCAATATTCTTAATAATATATGATTCAAAGGAAATAGGTAATAGATTCTTAAACCACCATCAATTTTTTATTCTGACCTGTCATTCAAAAAAATATATTTTGAGCCCAAATATAAGGGAAGGACTAGATTTTGAGCAAGATCCCAATTTACGGCTGGGAGCGGTAGCTCACACCTGTAATCCCAGCATTTTGGGAGGCCTAGGCTAGAGGATGGCTTGAGCTCAGGAGTTCGAGACCAGGCTGGGCAACATAGTGAGACCTTGCCTCTACTAAAAGTTTAAAAAATTCACCGGGCATAGAGGTGCACACCTGTAGTCCCAGCTACTCAGGAGGCTGAGGCGAGAGGATCTCTTGGGCCTGGGAGGTTGAGGCTGCAATGAGCTATGATTGTGCAATGAGCCACTGCACTCCAGCCTGGGTGACAGAGCAAGACCCTGTCTCAAAAAAAAAAAGGTCCTGTCTGGGCGCAGTAGCTCATGCCTGTAATCCCAGCACTTTGGGAGGCCGAGGCGGGCAGATCACCTGAGGTTAAGAGTTTGAGACCAGCCTGGCCGACATGGAGAAACCCCGTCTCTGCTAAAAATACAAATATTAGCTGGGTGTGGTAGTGCATGCCTGTAGCCCCAGCTACTTAGGAGGCTGAGGCAGGAGAATTGTTTGAACCCGGGAGGCAGAAGTTGCAGTGAGCTGAGATCACGCCACTACACTCTAGCCTGGGTGACAGAGCTAGATTCTGTCCCCCCAAAAAAAAAAAAAATCCCATTTTACCAAATGACATCATTACTGCCTAAGTGGTTTTAACATTGGTCTGTGAAGAAATTTAGTAAAGCATTGGAAATCATTTGTTTATTGTTAAGATCTGGGTTACAAATGGTTTATTAGATTCCCAATTAAAGACTATCCAGAAAAAAGACGGGAGGAGCCAAGGTGGCCGAATAGGAGCAGCTCCGGTCTACAGCTCCCAGCGTGAGCGACGCAGAAGACGGGTGATTTCTGCATTTCCATCTGAGCTTTGAAGAGAGCAGTGGTTCTCCCAGCACGCAGCTGGAGATCTGAGAACGGGCAGACTGCCTCCTCAAGTGGGTCCCTGACCCCTGATCCCTGACCCCTGAGCAGCCTAACTGGGGGGCACCCCCCAGCAGGGTCAGACTGACACCTCACACGGCCGGGTACTTCAACAGACCTGCAGCTGAGGGTCCTGTCTGTTAGAAGGAAAACTAACAAACAGAAAGGACATCCACACCAAAAACCCATCTGTACATCACCATCATCAAAGACCAAAAGTAGATAAAACCAAAAAGATGGGGAAAAAACAGAGCAGAAAAACTGGAAACTCTAAAAAGCAGAGCGCCTCTCCTCCTCCAAAGGAACAAAGTTCCTCACCAGCAACGGAACAAAGCTGGACGGAGAATGACTTTGACGAGCTGAGAGAAGAAGGCCTCAGACGATCAAATTACTCTGAGCTACGGGAGGAAATTCAAACCAAAGGCAAAGAAGTTGAAAACTTTGAAAAAAATTTAGAAGATTGTATAACTAGAATAACCAATACAGAGAAGTGCTTAAAGGAGCTGATGGAGCTGAAAACCAAGGCTCGAGAACTACGTGAAGAATGCAGAAGCCTCAGGAGCCCATGCGATCAACTGGAAGAAAGGGTATCAGCGATGGAAAATGAAATGAATAAAATGAAGCGAGAAGGGAAGTTTAGACAAAAAAGAATAAAAAGAAACGAGCAAAGCCTCCAAGAAATATGGGACTATGTGAAAAGACCAAATCTACGTCTGATTGGTGTACCTGAAAGTGACAGGGAGAATGGAACCAAGTTGGAAAACACTGCAGGATATTATCCAGGAGAACTTCCCCAATCTAGCAAGGCAGGCCAACATTCCGATTCAGGAAATACAGAGAACGCCACAAAGATACTCCTCGAGAAGAGCGACTCCAAGACACATAATTGTCAGATTCACCAAAGTCGAAGGAAAAAATGTTAAGGGCAGCCAGCGAGAAAGGTCGGGTTACCCTCAAAGGGAAGCCCATCAGACTAACAGCAGATCTCTCGGCAGAAACTCTACAAGCCAGAAGAGAGTGGGGGCCAATATTCAACATTCTTAAAGAAAAGAATTTTCAACCCAGAATTTCATATCCAGCCAAACTAAGCTTTGTAAGTGAAGGAGAAATAAAATACTTTACAGAGAAGCAAATGCTGAGAGATTTTGTCACCACCAGGCCTGCCCTAAAAGAGCTCCTGAAGGAAGCACTAAACATGGAAAGGAACAACCGGTACCAGCCGCTGCAAAATCATGCCAAAATGTAAAGACCATCGAGACTAGGAAGAAACTGCATCAACTAACGAGCAAAATAAACAGCTAACATCATAATGACAGGATCAAATTCACACATAACAATATTAACTTTAAATGTAAACGGATTAAATGCTCCAATTAAAAGACACAGACTGGCAAATTGGATAAAGAGTCAAGACCCATCAGTGTGCTGTATTCAGGAAACCCATCTCACGTGCAGAGACACACATAGGCTCAAAATAAAAGGATGGAGGAAGATCTACCAAGCAAATGGAAAACAAAAAAAGGCAGGGGTTGCAATCCTAGCCTCTGATAAAACAGACTTTAAACCAACAAAGATCAAAAGAGACAAAGAAGGCCATTACATAATGGTAAAGGGATCAATTCAACAAGAAGAGCTAACTATCCTAAATATATATGCACCCAATACAGGAGCACCCAGATTCATAAAGCAAGTCCTGAGTGACCTACAAAGAGACTTAGACTCCCACACATTAATAATGGGAGACTTTAACACCCCACTGTCAACATTAGACAGATCAACGAGACAGAAAGTCAGCAAGGATACCCAGGAATTGAACTCAGCTCTGCACCAAGCGGACCTAATAGACATCTACAGAACCCTCCACCCCAAATCAACAGAATATACATTTTTTTCAGCACCACACCACACCTATTCCAAAATTGACCACATACTTGGAAGTAAAGCTCTCCTCAGCAAATGTAAAAGAACAGAAATTATAACAAACTATCTCTCAGACCACAGTGCAATCAAACTAGAACTCAGGATTAAGAATCTCACTCAAAACCGCTCAACTACATGGAAACTGAACAACCTGCTCCTGAATGACTACTGGGTACATAACGAAATGAAGGCAGAAATAAAGATGTTCTTTGAAACCAACGAGAACAAGGACACAACATACCAGAATCTCTGGGACACATTCAAAGCAGTGTGTAGAGGGAAATTTATAGCACTAAATGCCCACAAGAGAAAGCAGGAAAGATCCAAAATTGACACCCTAACATCACAATTAAAAGAACTAGAAAAGCAAGAGCAAACACATTCAAAAGCTAGCAGAAGGCAAGAAATAACTAAAATCAGAGCAGAACTGAAGGAAATAGAGACACAAAAAAACCCTTCAAAAAATTAACGAATCCAGGAGCTGGTTTTTTGAAAGGATCAACAAAATTGATAGACCACTAGCAAGACTAATAAAGAAAAAAAGAAGAATCAAATAGATGCAATAAAAAATGATAAAGGGGATATCACCACTGATCCTACAGAAATACAAACTACCGTCAGAGAATACTACAAACACCTCTACGCAAATAAACTAGAAAATCTAGAAGAAATGGATAAATTCCTCGACACATACACTCTCCCAAGACTAAACCAGGAAGAAGTTGAATCTCTGAATAGACCAAGAACAGGAGCTGAAATTGTGGCAATAATCAATAGCTTACCAACCAAAAAGAGTCCAAGACCAGATGGATTCACAGCCGAATTCTACCAGAGGTACAAGGAGGAGCTGGTACCATTCCTTCTGAAACTATTCCAATCAATAGAAAAAGAGGGAATCCTCCCTAACTCATTTTATGAGGCCAGCATCATCCTGATACCAAAGCCGGGCAGAGACACAACCAAATAAGAGAATTTTAGACCAATATCCTTGATGAACATTGATGCAAAAATCCTCAATAAAATACTGGCAAACCGAATCCAGCAGCACATCAAAAAGCTTATCCACCATGATCAAGTGGGCTTCATCCCTGGGATGCAAGGCTGGTTCAGTATACGCAAATCAATAAAAGTAATCCAGCATATAAACAGAACCAAAGACAAAACCACATGATTATCTCAATAGATGCAGAAAAGGCCTTTGACAAAATTCAACAACCCTTCATGCTAAAAACTCAATAAATTAGGTATTGATGGGACGTATCTCAAAATAATAAGAGCTATCTATGACAACCCCACAGCCAATATCATACTGAATGGGCAAAAACTGGAAGCGTTCCCTTTGAAAACGGGCACAAGACAGGGATGCCCTCTCTCACCACTCTTATTCAACATAGTGTTGGAAGTTCTGGCCAGGGCAAATAGGCAGGAGAAGGAAATAAAGGGTATTCAATTAGGAAAAGAGGAAGTCAAATTGTCCCTGTTTGCAGACGACATGATTGTATATCTAGAAAACCCCATTGTCTCAGCCCAAAATCTCCTTAAGCTGATAAGCAACTTCAGCAAAGTTTCAGGATACAAAATCAATGTACAAAAATCACAAGCATTCTTATACACCAACAACAGAGAGCCAAATCATGAGTGAACTCCCATTCACAATTGCTTCAAAGAGAATAAAATACCTAGGAATCCAACTTACAAGGGATGTAAAGGACCTCTTCAAGGAGAACTACAAACCACTGCTCAGTGAAATAAAAGAGGATACAAACAAATGGAAGAACATTCCATGCTCATGAGTAGGAAGAATCAGTATCGTGAAAATGGCCATACTGCCCAAGGTAATTTACCGATTCAATGCCATCCCCATCAAGCTACCAATGACTTTCTTCACAGAATTGGAATAACTACTTTAAAGTTCATATGGCACCAAAAAAGAGCCCACATCGCCAAGTCAGTCCTACGCCAAAAGAACAAAGCTGGAGGCATCACACTACCTGACTTCCAACTATACTACAAGGCTACAGTAACCAAAACAGAATGTTACTGGTACCAAAACAGAGATATAGATCAATGGAACAGAACAGAGCCCTCAGAAATAACGCCGCATGTCTACAACTATCTGATCTTTGACAAACCTGAGAAAAACAAGCAATGGGGAAAGGATTCCCTATTTAATACATGGTGCTGGGAAAACTGGCTAGCCATATGTAGAAAGCTGAAACTGGATCCCTTCCTTACACCTTATACAAAAATCAGTTCAAGATGGATTAAAGACTTAAACGTTAGACCTAAAACCATAAAAACCCTAGAAGAAAACCTAGGCATTACCATTCAGGACATAGGCATGGGCAAGGACCTCATGTCTAAAACACCAAAAGCAATGGCAACAAAAGCCAAAATTGACAAATGGGATCTAATTAAACTAAAGAGCTTCTGCACAGCAAAAGAAACTACTATCAGAGTGAACAGGCAACCTACAAAATGGGAGAAAATTTTCGCAACCTACTCATCTGACAAAGGGCTAATATCCAGAATCTACAATGAACTCAAACAAATTTACAAGAAAAAAACAAACAACCCCATCAAAAAGTGGGCAAAGGACATGAACAGACACTTCTCAAAAGAAGACATTTATGCAGCCAAAAAACACATGAAAAAATGCTCCTCATCACTGGCCATCAGAGAAACGCAAATCAAAACCACAATGAGATACCATCTCACACCAGTTAGAATGGCGATCATTAAAAAGTCAGGAAACAACAGGTGCTGGAGAGGATGTGGAGAAATAGGAACACTTTTACACTGTTGGTGGGACTCTAAACTAGTTCAACCATTGTGGAAGTCAGTGTGGCGATTCCTCAGGGATCTAGAACTAGAAATACCATTTGACCCAGCCATCCTATTACTGGGTATATACCCAAAGGACTATAAATCATGCTACTATAAAGACACATGCACACGTATGTTTATTGCGGCATTATTCACAATAGCAAAGACTTGGAACCAACCCAAATGTCCAGCAATGATAGACTGGATTAAGAAAATGTGGCACATATACACCATGGAATACTATGCAGCCATAAAAAATGATGAGTTCATGTCCTTTGTGGGGACATGGATGAAATTGGAAATCATCATTCTCAGTAAACTATTGCAAGAACAAAAAACCAAACACCGCATATTCTCACTCATAGGTGGGAATTGAACAATGAGAACACATGGACACAGGAAGGGGAACATCACACTCTGGGGACTGTTGTGGGGTGGGGGGGAGGGGGGAGGGATAGCATTGGGAGATATACCTAATGCTAGATGACGAGTTAATGGGTGCAGCGCACCAGCATGGCACATGTATACATATGTAACTAACTGCACATTGTGCACATGTACCCTAAAACTTAAAGTATAATAAAAAAAAAAAAAAAAGACTATCCAGTATCCTAGGATGTGTGCTGTAATGGAAAAATTAAAACAAACAAACTAAAACATTGCCTTTCTGAGGCTCAGTCTGCTTACCTGGAAAATGACAGTGTTGATATACTGAGTTTGGAAATTATATTAAAAGAAAAAATGTCATGATCAAGTAGAGTTATTCTAGGAATGCAAGAGATAGCTTAACATAAAAATATTTTGTTGATAATTAAAGGAAGAGAAAAAGTATGATTATTGAGAGATGCTAAAATTTTGACAGCAAATTTTGGTTTAAAAAAACTTCGTAAGCTAAAGAGAGAAGAAAAGTTTGCTTACAGTCATTGAGGAGAAAAAAAGATAACTTATCCATAATAAAAAATGATCATGTGAATAGGCAATTCACAGAAAAAGAAATACAGGCTGGGCATGTGTGGTGGCTCATGCCTGTAATCCCAGCACTTTGGGAGGCTGAGGCAGGAGGATCACTTGAGACCAGCAGTTCAAGACCAGCCTGGGCAACATAGTTGGACCCTGTCTCTACTTAAAAAAATAAATTAAAATAAATTCTATAAATAGGAAAGAATCATTTTTGTAATAGCTTCTTGTCAGGATTTTTACAGTGAAATTTATCAGTATTTTGTAAAGATCCATGATAGCTGCATTTTAGGCACATAAATAGATGCCACATAAATGTTTTTTTAAAATAGCATTAGTGAAATTCACTCCACAAACCATACAATTTACCCATGTAAAGTTACATAATTCACAGTTGGGCACAGTGGCTCATGCCTGTAATCCTAGCACTTTGGGAGGCTGAAGTGGGCAGATCACCTGAGGTCAGGAGTTCGAGACCAGGCTGGCTAACATGGTAAAACCCTTCTCTACTAAAAGTACAAAAATTAGTCAGGCATGGTGGCACACGCCTGTAATCCCAGCTACCTGGGAGGCTGAGGCAGGAGAATTGCAGGAACCCGACAGGCAGAGGCTGCAGTAAGCCAACATCGTGCCACTGCACTCCAGCCTGGGTGACAGAGCAAGACTCTGTCTCAAAATAAAATAAATAAAGTTACGTAATTCAGTGGTGTTTAGTATATTCACAGAATTGTACATTTATCAGCACAATTTTGGAACATTATGACTGTCATAAAAAGAAACCCTGCACTCCATAGCTATCATATTCCCATTCCCCCACTGCAATCCCTGTGTCCTAGGTAACTGCTAATCTACTTTCTGTCTCTATAGATTTGTCAATTATGGACTTTTCACATAAATGGAATCATATAATATTTGGTCTTTTGTGACTGGCTTTTTCACTTAGTGAAATGTTTTCAAAATTCATCCATGTTATAGCCAAAATCAGTACTTTATTTCTTTTTATTGCCAAATACGAAAACAATTCTATTCTGTAGACAGACCACATTTTGTTTATCTGTTTATCAGTTAATGGTCATTGGGTTGCTTCCACTTCTTGGCAATTATAAACAATGCTCAATGATTGTAAGCAACCTTTTCTTCTCTCTTTAGCTTACTACGTTTTTTTAAACTAAAATTTGCTATCAAAATTTTAGCATCTCTCAATAATCATACTTTTTCTCTTTAATTATCAACAAAATATTTTCATGTTAAGCTATCTCTTGCATTCCTAGAATAACTCTACTTGATCATGATGTTTTTTCTTTTAATAATGGAATTATAAATAAGTATACAGTTTTTGTATGAAAATGTTTTTATTTCTCTGGAGCATGTACCTATGGATGGAATTACTAAATCATATGCTAGTTCTGTGTTTAACTATTTGAAGGATTGAAGGAGTGCCAGATTGTTTTCCAAAGTGGCTGTACCATTTTACATTCCTACCTGCAGTGTATGAAGGTTTCAATTTCTCCACATCCTCACCAATATTATTATCTGTCTTTCTGATTGTAGCCATCCTAGTGGGTGTGAAGTGGATATCTTGTGACTTGGATTTGATTTTCCCTGATGGCTAATGATATTGAACATCTATCTTTCTCTGTGCTTATTGGTCATTTGTATATTTTCTTTGGAGAAATGTCTATTCAGATCCTTTTTCTGTTTTTAAAAAATAGCTTTATTGAGGTATATTTGACAAATAAAAATTTGTGTATATTTAAAATGTATAACTTGGTTTTTTTTTTTAATTAATTTTTTTCTTTTTCCTTTTTTTTTTTTTTTTTTTTTAAGAGACAGGGTTTTACTCTGTTGCCAAGGCTGAGTGCAGTGACATGATTATAGCTCACTAGAGCCTCAAACTCCTGGGCACATGCAATCCTCCTGCCTCCCAAGTAACTGGGACTACAGGCATAGGTCACCATGCCTGGCTAATTTTCTTATTTTTTTACAGAGATGGGATCTTGCTATATTGCCCAGGCTAGTCTCAAACTCCTGGGCTCAAGCAATCTTTCCTCCTCAGTCTCCCAAAGTGCTTGTATTACAGGCGTGAGCCACCATGCCCAGCCTGCATATAACTTGATGTTTTCATAATCTGTTTTTTAAATGGACTGTCTTTTCATTCGTGAGTTGTAAGATTTTTTTTTTATATATTATAGATACAAGTCCCTTACCAGTTGTATGATTTGCAAAAATATTTTTCCCATTTTATAGGTTGACTGTTTACTTTTTTTTTTTTTTTGAGACAGTCTCACTCTGTCACCCAGGCTGGAGTGCGGTGCCATGATCTCGGCTCATTGCAACCTCTGTCTCCCAGGTTCAAGTGATTGTCCTGCCTCAGCCTCTCGAGTAGCTGAGACTGCAAGTCCGTGCCACCACACCCAGTTAATTTTTGTATTTTTAGTAGAGATGAGGTTTCGCCATGTTGGCTACATTAGTCTCGAACTCCTGACCTCAGGTAATCCACCGACCTCGGCCTCTCAAAGTGCTGGGATTATAGGTGTGAGCCACCACGCCCAGCTGATTTTTTACTTTCTTGATGATTCCTTTGAAGTATAAAAGTTTTTAATTTTGATGGTGTCCAGTTTATTTTTTCTTGTTGGCATTTATAAATGTGTTTTGAGAGTAACATCCATGGAAATCCCTGTGTATCATAAAAATATCATTTCATTCTTTATTTTACATTACTGCCTTATTGGTAAAATTATATACCTGCTTTATTTCCAGTCAAGAGAAGAGAGCAGAAAGCAGGCTCTTGCTGCTAAAAGAGAAAAAAGAAAAGAAAAGAGAAAAAAGAAAAAAGAGGAACAGAAAAGGAAACAGGAAGAAGATGAAGAAAACAAACCTAAGGAGAATTCGGAACTACCAGAGGATGAAGATGAAGAGGAGAATGATGAAGATGGTGAGAAACAAACCATCTGAATTAACGATAAAATTCTCCTTTGTTTATCAACTTCATTTTGAGTGCTCTTTGCTCTAGTTAACTCTAGTTAAACATTTGATTACTTTATTAATCTGAAATGGACAATGACTTTTATAGTAAATATTTGTAAGTGTTTTGCATTGTAAATTAATGCAGAGAAACAAGAGGGAAAACAAGCGCATAATTTGAATAAATTCAGTTGTAATTTAAGTCACCTTGTAAAACACTGCATATATACTAAAAGCAATACAGTGAGAAGTTTGCCACCTTTTTTTGAGATTCTTCTCTAACTCTTCCTCTCCTGATTAGAAGTAAAATTTCTCAGTTTACTTTTAGCTGAGATTCAGGCTCAAGGATATAGAGGCCTGAAATGTCAGTAGAGATGGGTTTAGTACTCTCAAAGAGTTATTTATTGTACTGTCTGGCAGTGCTTGTAGTAGGCAAATAATTTTGTTCTACTTGGATTCTAATTCTAAAATACTATTTGAAAAATGTCCTAAATTCAAATTATATTGTGGTTTGGGTTCATGAGACTAGAATTAAGAATATTAAGAATATTGGGCCGGGTGCAATGGCTCACACCTGTAATCCCAGCACTTTGGGAGGCCGAGAGCGGATCACGAGGTCAGGAGTTTGAGACCAGCCTGACCAATATGGTGAAACCCCGTCTCTACTTAAAAAAAAAAAAAAATTACAAAATTAGCCTGGGATTACAGGCGTGGTGGCACATGCCTATAATCCCACCTACTCAGGAGGCTGAGGCAGGAGAATTGCTTGAACCTGGGAGGCGGAGGTGGTGAGCCGAGTTCACGCCATTGCACTCCAGCCTGGGTGACAGGAGCAAAACTCTGTCTCAAAAAAAAAATAAAAAGAAAAAAAAGAATATTAAGAATGTTGCTAGTATGTGTGTCCTATACCACCTTAGACAAGAAAATATATTTTATATTTGTTCTAACAACAAATAATAGTAAATATTTATTAGGCTAACAAGAGCAAAGATTTTTTTTGTGTGTTTTTTTGAGATGAGGTCTCCCTCTGCCACCCAGGCTGGAGTGCAGTGGTGCAATCTCGGCTCACTGCAACCTCTGCCCCCCAGGTTCAGGTGATCCGCCCACCCCAGCCTCCCCAGTAGCAGGGACCACAGGTATGCACCACCATCCCCAGCTAATTTTTGTATTTTTTGTAGAGACAAGATTTCGCCATGTTGCCCAGGAGATCTTGAACTCTTGAGCTCAAGTAATCAATCCACCTGCCTTGGCCTCCCACAGTGCTGAAATTACAGGCATGAGCCACTGCACCTGGCCACAGTAAAAGATTTCTTTATTTCAGCTGGGCGCAGTGGCTCACACCTGTAATCCCGCACTTTGGGAGGCCGAGGCGGGTGGATCTTGAGGTCAGGAGTTTGAGATCAGCCTGGCCAACATGGTGAAACCCTGTCTCTACTAAAAGTACAAAAATTAGCCGGGCATGGTGGCACATGCCTGTAGTCCCAGCTACCCAGGAGGCAGAGGTTGCAGTGAGCCAATATCGCACCACTGCATTCCAGCCTAGGCGACAGAGCAAGACTCCATCTAAAAAAAAAAAAAAAAGATTTCTTTATTTCTTAGTGAATACTGGTGAAAGGAAAATATGATGTAAAACACTGAATTATTATGAATTATCAAATATATTCTGTCAGAATTTGTTTTGAGATCTGTGACTCAGTATGATTTTTATTCTTTTTAACAATTTCAGTGGAGCAAGAAGTTCCCATAGAACCTCCTAGTGCAACCACCACCACTACGATTGGAATCTCTGCAACATCTGCAACATTCACAAATGTGTTTGGGAAAAAAAGGGCCAATGTGGTGACAACTCCCAGCACCAATCGGAAAAATAAGAAGAACAAAACAAAAGAAACCCCTCCTACAGCACATTTAATTTTACCAGAACAACATATGTCTTTAGCCCAACAAAAGGCAGATAAAAATAAAATAAATGGAGAACCTAGAGGTGGTGGTGCAGGTGGGAATAGTGATTCAGATAACTTGGACAGCACAGACTGCAACAGTGAGAGTAGCAGTGGTGGTAAAAGCCAAGAGTTAAATTTTGTGATGGATGTGAATTCCTCTAAATACCCCTCACTGCTCCTTCATTCCCAAGAAGAAAAGACAAGTACTGCTACTTCCAAAACTCAGACACGGTAAATTTTTCTGATTTGTTAACTCTACCTGCACCTTTCCTTCTTCATGCCTGGTACAAGAATTTGAAGTATATTAATCCAAGTACAAGTTGTGTTAAACAATTGAAGTCTACCACATTATCTATCTTCAATATTCAAAACTGAAATTCACCCATGTCCTCTTTATCATTTGCTAGTTAGGAAATGAGATTATTAGAAATTTTTATAGGATTCATAGTCTGAAGTTGAAAATATTTGCATGCTTTGATTTTATCTATGTCATTTTTATTGATTATAGTCTAATTTTTGGCATCTGAATCCATTTTAATACTAAAATAAATGATGGGTTCTTTGCTCTATTTCTGTTTTTCTGACTCATTGATTATTTGATGTGCCAAAGTTTAATACGAATATTTCAGCGTAACTCTGGCTATAAAGGAATAGTCTCTTGAGTTTCTATCTTAAAACTTATCTTTTATTGTACTTGCTATTTGTCTCTTCTTAGACTTGAAGGTGAAGTGACTCCTAATTCCTTGTCAACCAGCTACAAGACAGTGTCATTGCCATTAAGCTCTCCAAACATAAAGCTGAATCTCACTAGCCCTAAAAGGGGTCAGAAAAGAGAAGAAGGGTGGAAAGAAGTTGTACGAAGGTAAATAGAATTAGTTCCATCTTTTTAGCTTTCATATATTTTCCCTTTCTCATGTGAGATGGCTACCTAGTTAATTAATGAATAATTTGAATGTGGTTATTATTTTAAACTGCATTGCCACACTAAATCCAGAATATGCTAAAGCAAAATTAGAAGCAGTATGTAAATTTTGCATGCATATTTTATATGACACAAGAAATTTTGGCTTTTTTGGATAACCTCAGTTGCTTTTTATGTAGTTCAAATGTAAAGGCTTTCTCTTGCTTTTTTTCTTTCTCATGTCTCAGTAATTCTAGAACTAAAGTACTAATAATCAACTTTAGATTCAGAATACATGTCAGCTCATCATTGACCTGAGGCTTTATTTTTTATTGCTAAGTATGAGCTGTTGATACTGGTTTAAAATGAATATGCTAGCATAGTTATTCTGTGTGGATTTTAATAATATGGTATTCATTATTTTAACAGGGTCATTGCAGTTTAGTTGATGTGTAATATTTTGGGCAGATTTGAATGCTTATATTGTGAGTGATTTAAATATAATTTTTGTTTTCAATGGCAGTGTAATTTTTAAAATTAGGTTCTCTGAAACTGCAGAGCAATGTAATTTTTAACTTTACTAAATTCAATTCAATATTACAAGAGATCAATTTCTAAAATAAAAACTTTTAATAATTTCCTCTTTAGCATTTAAGAAATGTTATTCTCCAAAATGTCCATGAACATACTTACTAAGACATCTTTCTTAATAAAGAGACATTTAATTTCATAAGCTCATGTGTATTCTTCATTTTATAGGTCAAAGAAATTGTCTGTTCCAGCCTCAGTGGTGTCGAGGATAATGGGAAGAGGAGGATGCAACATCACTGCAATACAGGATGTTACTGGTGCCCATATTGATGTGGATAAACAAAAAGATAAGAATGGCGAGAGAATGATCACAATAAGGTAATTGTGCAAAATGTATACTGCTAGTTCTGAGTAGAAATTATAAGAAGCATACCTTTGTCAGGTATGGTATAATTAAGAACTTTATTTGATGGTTAAGATTACCTTTTTTTTTTTTTTTAATGTTTTTGGTCTTGTTTCTGTTTTTTTTTTTCCCTTAGGGGTGGCACAGAATCAACAAGATATGCAGTTCAACTAATCAATGCACTCATTCAAGATCCTGCTAAGGAACTGGAAGACTTGATTCCTAAAAATCATATCAGAACACCTGCCAGCACCAAATCAATTCATGCTAACTTCTCATCTGGAGTAGGTACCACAGCAGCTTCCAGTAAAAATGCATTTCCTTTGGGTGCTCCAACTCTTGTAACTTCACAGGCAACAACGTTATCTACGTTCCAGCCCGCTAATAAACTTAATAAGAATGTTCCAACAAATGTACGTTCTTCTTTCCCAGTTTCTCTACCCTTAGCTTATCCTCACCCTCATTTTGCCCTGCTGGCTGCTCAAACTATGCAACAGATTCGGCATCCTCGCTTACCCATGGCCCAGTTTGGAGGAACCTTCTCACCTTCTCCTAACACATGGGGACCATTCCCAGTGAGACCTGTGAATCCTGGCAACACAAATAGCTCTCCAAAGCATAATAACACAAGCCGTCTACCTAACCAGAACGGGACTGTTTTACCCTCAGAGTCTGCTGGACTAGCTACTGCCAGTTGTCCTATCACTGTCTCTTCTGTAGTTGCTGCCAGTCAGCAACTGTGTGTCACTAATACCCGGACTCCTTCATCAGTCAGAAAGCAGTTGTTTGCCTGTGTGCCTAAGACAAGTCCTCCAGCAACAGTGATTTCTTCTGTGACAAGCACTTGTAGTTCCCTGCCTTCTGTCTCCTCTGCACCTATCACTAGCGGGCAAGCTCCCACCACATTTCTACCTGCAAGTACTTCTCAAGCACAGCTTTCTTCACAAAAGATGGAGTCTTTCTCTGCTGTGCCACCCACCAAAGAGAAAGTGTCCACACAGGACCAGCCCATGGCAAACCTATGTACCCCATCTTCAACTGCAAACAGTTGCAGTAGCTCTGCCAGCAACACCCCGGGAGCTCCAGAAACTCACCCATCCAGTAGTCCCACTCCTACTTCCAGTAACACACAAGAGGAGGCACAGCCATCCAGTGTGTCTGATTTAAGTCCTATGTCAATGCCTTTTGCATCTAACTCAGAACCTGCTCCATTGACTTTGACATCACCCAGAATGGTTGCTGCTGATAATCAGGACACCAGTAATTTACCTCAGTTAGCTGTACCAGCACCTCGAGTTTCTCATCGAATGCAGCCCAGAGGTTCTTTTTACTCCATGGTACCAAATGCAACTATTCACCAGGATCCCCAGTCTATTTTTGTTACGAATCCAGTTACTTTAACACCACCTCAAGGCCCACCAGCTGCAGTGCAGCTTTCTTCAGCTGTGAACATTATGAATGGTTCTCAGATGCACATAAACCCAGCAAATAAGTCTTTGCCACCTACATTTGGCCCAGCCACACTTTTCAATCACTTCAGCAGTCTTTTTGATAGTAGTCAGGTGCCAGCTAACCAGGGCTGGGGAGATGGTCCACTGTCCTCACGAGTTGCTACAGATGCCTCTTTCACTGTTCAGTCAGCGTTCCTGGGTAACTCAGTGCTTGGACACTTGGAAAACATGCACCCTGATAACTCAAAGGCACCTGGCTTCAGACCACCTTCCCAGCGAGTTTCTACTAGTCCAGTTGGTAAGTTATTAACTATTGCTGCAGTTGAGTTTGGAGCTCCTATGGCCTAATCTCACCTTAAGTGGACAAAAAAAGTAGCAAGAGGTAAATCAGTCACATATAATGAGCTGCTTTAGATTCTCTCTATGATTTTTCTGTCCCTCATAGTAAGGAAGTTATACCATAGTGTAAGTCCATTTTCTTGGAATTGGTGTCTATTCATATTAATAAAAAAAACTCCAGGGATGTTTCAAGGATTCCAAATTTACAGACTTAAAAAAAAAATCATAGTGATTGTTTGCATTTCTTAGATTTAAAAAATTGAAGTTGCAAAGGTGTTTAGGCACAAGTTCATAATTTACATTGTTTAATAGTACTCTTGTTTATTTTAGGTATAGCTATTTGTTTTTTATGTATTTTATTTTTTATTTTTATTATTTTATTTTATTTTTTTGAGACAGGGTCTCACTCTATCACCCAGGCTGGAGTGCAGTGGCCCAGTCTCAGCTCACTGTAACCTCCGCCTCCTAGGCTCAAGCATTTCTCGTTCCTCATCTTCTCAAGTAGCTGGGACTACAGGCATGCGCCACCATGCCCGGCTAATTTTTTGTATTTTTAGTAGAGACGGGGTTTTGCCGTGTTACCCAGGCTGGTCTCGAACTCCTGTGCTCAGGCAATATCCGCCTGCCTTGGCCTTCTAAAATGCCAGGATTACAGGTGTGAGCCACCGTGCCCAGCCTAGATACAGCTATTTGAAGAGACCCAGTCATTTATAGGCTCTTACTTTTGAAAGACCAGTGTAGATTTAGCTGTTGCTTCTTTGAAATTATAAATTAGCTGCCGAGGCATTATGAGAAATATATAGACAGATCTGAGGTCAGTTTTGGCTTGGAGATATTTGGAGAACCAGAATCTATTTTCTATGGTTTAAGAGCCAAATTTTAGTCTAATCTGCACTGTTCTGAAAAACAAATTAAAAATGTGGCCGACCCAGAATATGGCACTATTGCCTCTTAGCATTTCTCTTCCAGTTGGAAAACTGCCCCATATTCCATGCTACTTTGTTGCTAATTATAAACTGACCTATGTTGTTTAAAATTATTTGTGAGTTATGAATATGGCGTAGCCCTAGCTTTCATTTCAGATATGTTTCCATTTACTTGTCTTTTCAGGAAAACATAGCTGTTATATTGTATTTCAAATAGAAATAGAAGCCTGCATATGACTATCTATGGTCCAAAATATTCTCTAAATTTTTTCCATTCCTCTCTGTAAATAGGCATCTATTACAACTTTTCATTTGGGGAAAGTAATATAGACTTTGAGAAGCCCCAGGGTGAAAGAAGAGCTCATTTCCAGTACCCAGGATGTGATAGGAAGCATTAATCCTTGACCTTCCTTCTAGGGCCTAGGATTAATAATC
Source organism: Homo sapiens (assembly GCF_000001405.40). Taxonomy (NCBI): domain Eukaryota; kingdom Metazoa; phylum Chordata; class Mammalia; order Primates; family Hominidae; genus Homo; species Homo sapiens. Next base: position 140,531,199 of record NC_000005.10, read on the forward strand.
TTGGCCCCATTTCTTAACTGCTTGTATGGTTTCTTTTGTTGATGCTCTTTTCACGGATATAGTTTACTTTCCTAGTTTTCAGGTAAGAAGTAGTAATACCGACTGAGCGTGGTGGTTCATGCCTGTAATCCCAGCACTTTGGGAAGCTGAGGCGAGTGGTTTACATGAGGTCAGGAGTTTGAGACAAGCCTGGCCAACATGGTGAAACTCCATCTCTACTAAAAATATAAAAAATAGCCAGGCATGATGGTGCAGGTCTGTAGTCCCAGCTACTTGGGAGGCTGAGGCACAGGAATCACTTGAACCCAGAAGATGGAGGTTGCAGTAAGCCGAAATCATGCCACAGCACTCCAAGCCTGAACAAAAGAGCGAGACTGTCAGGAAAAAAAAAAAGTAGTAATACTTAAGAAGATGGGAAAAGATAGAGAGAAACTGAAACCATCATACATGGTAGGTAGGAATGTAAAATGGTACATCTGCTTTGGAAAAACAGTTTCACAGTTCCTCAGAAAGTTAGACGTTAAGAGTGATCATATGATCCCATTATTCTACTCCTAGGGAAGATATATGTCTATAGAAAAACTGGCACACCAATGTTCATAGCAACATTATTCATAATAGCCAAAATGTAGAAACAACCGAACGTTCATTAACTGACAAGCAGATAAACAAAATGTGGTATATCTATAGAATGTAATATTTTGTATTTGGTATAAAAAGAAATAAAGGGCCAGGCGCGGTGGCTCACGCCTATAATCCCAGCACTTTGGGAGGCCGAGGTGGTTGGATCATGAGATCAGAAGTTCGAGACCAGCCTGGCCAACATGGTAAAACCCTGTCTCTACTAAAATACAAAACATTAGCTGGGTGTGGTGGTGCACTCCTGTAGTCCCAGCTACTCAGGAGGCCGAGGCAGGGGAATCACTTGAACACAGGAGGTGGAGGTTGCAGTGAGCTGAGATCGCGCCACTGCACTCCAGCCTGGTGACAGAGCGAGACTCTGTCTTAAAAAAAAAAAAAAAAAAGAAGTACTGATTCATGCTATAACATGGATGAACTTTGAAAACATTTTACTAAATGAAAGAAGCCAGTCACAAAAGACCAGATATTTATTTTATGATTCCATTTATGTGAAACATCCAGATTAGCAAATCCATAGAGACAGAAAGTAGATTAGTGGTTACCTAGGATGAAGGGGTGATTGGAGGGTGGGTGATAGCTTAGGGGTGCAGAATTTCTTTTTCTTTTTTTTCTTGAGACAGGGCCTCACTCTGTTGCCCAGGCTGGAGTGTAGTGGCGTGATCATGGCTCACTGCAGCCTCAACCTCCTGGGCTTCAAGCAATTATTCTACCTTGGCATCCCAAAGAGATAGGATTGCGGGTGTGAGCCACCATGCCCAGCTTCAGAGTTTCTTTTTAGGATAACAGAAATGTTCTAAAATTGATGTGGTCATGAATGCACAATTCTGTGAATATACAAAAAGCTACTGAATAGTATAACTTTAAATGAGTAAATTGTATGGTTTGTGAATTAAATCTCAGTAAAGCTATTAAAAAGTACATTTATGTGGCATCTACATTTAGGTCCCCAAAATGCACATCATGATCTTTAAAAGCTATCATGATTAGCTGGGCATGGTGGCTCACGCCTGTGCTGGGAGGCTGAGTTGGGTGGATCACTTGAAGTCAGGAGTTCAAGACCAGCCTGGCCAACATGGGGAAACCCCCGTCTCTACCAAACATACCGAATTTAGCCAGGCATGGTGGTGGGTGCCTGTAATCCCAGCTACTCAGTAGGCTGAGGCAGGTGAATCGCTTGAACCTGGGAGGCAGAGGTTTCAGTGAGCTGAGATTGTGCCACTATACTCAGCCTGGGTAATAGAGCAAGACTCTGTCTCCAAAAAAAAAAAAAGCTATCATGATCTTTACAAAAGACTGACAGATTTCACTGTAAAAATATTGACAGTGGCCAGGTGTGGTGGCTCACACCTGTAATTTGAGTACTTTGGAAGGCCAAGTCAGGAGGATCACTTGAACCCAGGAGTTCGAGACCACCCTAGGCAGCATAGTGGGACCCTGTCTTGATAAAAAATAAATTTCAAAGTTAGCTCAGTGTGGGACCGGGCACGGTGGCTCACGCCTGTAATCCCAGCACTTTGGGAGGCCGAGGCGGGCAGATCACGAGGTCAGGAGATCGAGACCATCCTGGTTAACACGGTGAAACCCCATCTCTACTAAAAATATAAAAAAATTAGCCAGGCGTGGTCGCAGGCACCTGTGGTCGCAGCTACTTGGGAGGCTGAGGCAGGAGAATGGCGTGAACCCGGGAGGCGGAGCTTGCAGTGAGCCGAGATCGCGCCACTGGACTCCAGCCTCGGCAACAGAGCGAGACACCCTCTCAAGAAAAATAAATAAATAAAAATAAATTAGCTCAGTGTGGTGGTACACGCTTGTAGTCCCAGCTACTCAGCGGGGCTAGGCAGGAGGATTGCTTGAGCCCAGAGGTCGAGGCTGCAGTGAGCCATGATCACACCACTGCTGCACTCTAGCCTGAGTGAGAGAGCAAGACCCTGTCTCAAAAAAAAAAAAAAAAAAAAAAAACAAGAAGTTATTATAGAAATGATTCATTTCAATAAAAAAAGAAAGAAATGATTCATTTCCTACTTACAGACTTTTTAAAGCCACATTCAGTATTCTCACTACCTCTAGGTTTTGCTAACATCTACTTTGGTTAGCACTAGAAAATTTAATTTTTTTTGTCAGGAAAGCACAGTAATAAATTGCCTACTGTTGCCTACCACAATAATGAAAGTCTGAAATAAGTAGGAAATGCATTAAGTTACCCACATGTCCAGAGTAGGCAAATCTATAGAGACAGAAAGATTAGTGATTGCTTAGAAATGGAAATATGAGGCTGGGTGCCGTGGCTCACACCTGTAACCCCAGCACTTTGGGAGGCCGAGGCGGGTGGATCATGAGGTCAGGAGATCGAGACCATCCTGGCCAACATGGGGAAACCCCGTTTCTACTAAAAATACAAAAAATTAGCCGGGCGTGATGGCAGATGCCTGTAGTCCCAGCTACTTGGGAGGCTGAGGCAGAAGAATGGCATGAACCCGGGAGGCGGAGCTTGCAGTGAGCTGAGATCGTGCCACTGCACTCCAGCCTGGGTGACAGAGCAAGACTCCGTCTCAAAAAAAAAAAAAAAGAAATGGAAATATGAGGGTGAGGACCCAGTGAATGACAGGTAATGAGTATGGAGTTTCTTTTAAGGGAGACAAAAATGTTCTAACATTGATTGTGGTGATGGTTGCACAATCCTGTGAGTATACTAAAATCCAATGAATTATATACTTTAAATGGGTGAATTATATGGTATGTGAATTACATCTCGAAGTCATTTTTTTTAAATGATGGGGAAATCAAAGTCTGAAAATAAGACCTGCTTAAAAGAAATTTTGACAGTCGATGTTGATATTAACTACTTTTTCCTGAAATAATAAACCATAATCCTTTTCCAGACCTTCATCCTCTTTTCCTAATACATTTTCCAGAGAAAGCAATGGAATTTGAGAAGATGGCTAAGTTCAGATTTATACAAACTAGATAGAAACTTTGATAATAGTTTGCAACTGTTGATATTTTCTATCAGATAGAATACTGAAATTATCCTCAGTAGTAGGCTTTTCCTCTTTGTGAGGAAGGAAACATTGGTAGATTTTGTTACTTATCTTCTATAGAAAATGACTATAGTTATACAGATGAAAAGCTGTACTTTGACTACAAAAGGGAATGCAGGAGTTATTGTTGGGTGCTACTTAGTTACAGCATACTCCCATTTCATATCCCCTCCAGTTAAAAGCTTTGAGATTCATCTAGAACATTACTCCAGGTGACTGACACTCTTAAACATTGAGCCCATTTTCCTGTATCTAGTGCTGTTTGGCGATATTCTTCTGGACTGTAAGGAAAAAATGGATTTGGCCATACAGTATCACATAGATGGATTGTTTTTGCTGTGGTCTATGAAAATGAGCCACATGCTATCTTTTATTTATTTGTTTGGTTATTTTTACAGCTTATCTCACTTTGGTGGAAGTCTTCTTGGGCTTTCAATTTTAAAGTTTTAGCTAATTGGATGTCTTGGACCTGTTTTATTTCAGGGTTACCATCCATTGACCCATCAGGCAGCTCCCCATCTTCCTCTTCTGCTCCTCTGGCAAGTTTTTCCGGCATACCAGGAACAAGGGTTTTCCTGCAAGGGCCAGCTCCTGTTGGGACTCCTAGTTTCAACAGACAACATTTTTCTCCCCATCCTTGGACAAGCGCCTCAAACTCATGTAGGAATCCTGGAGGAACTCTTCCCAAAGAGTTTTGAATAAGTTATTAAATCATTTATTTCAGTTACAACACCATGTTGTAACTTTAGTAAACTAAGTGGTATACAGATGCCCAAGGTTTGTTCTGTGGTCATGTGAAAAAATTGTCAGTCATTTTTAGCATAGAAAACTTGAGAATTATTCTTTCAAGCCAAAAATGTTTTACAGTAGAACTTGGATCAAGAAAAGAGGTACTAGGCTGGGTGCAGTGGCTGACACCTGTAATCCCAGCACTTTGGGAGGCCTAGGCAAGAGGATCGCTTGAGCCCAGCAGTTGGAGACCAGCCTGGGCAACAGCAAGACCCTGTCTCTATTAAAAAAAAAAAAAAAAAAAAAAGTACCGCAAGTAGTTTTACAAAAGGACCCTTTGGAAGCAGTGTTGTAAAATTATTTCTTAAATCTGGAAAGAAGTTGAATTTTTGTATATGGTCAGTTTGGTGTGATTTCTCATGTATTTTTACATTTTATGAAACTATTGCCTTTTATAAGTTAAAATATTCCTTTGTTCTATTGATTGATTGATTGATTGATTGAGATAGAGTGTCTCGCTCTGTTGCCCTGGCTGGAGTGCAGTGGCACGATCTTGGTTCACTCCACCTTCTGCCTCCCAGGCTCAAGCGATTCTCCTGCCTCAGCCTTCCGAGCAGCTGGGATTACAGGTGCCTGCCACCACGCCTGGCTAATTTTTATATGTTTAGTAGAGACAGGGTTTCACCATGTTGGCCAGGCTGGTCTCAAACTCCTAACCTTGGGTGGTCCACCTGCCTCAGCCTCCCAAAGTGCTGGGATTACAGGCGTGAGCCACCTGCCTGACCCCTTTGTTCTATTTATTTCAATGTTTAGAACAGATGAAGTATGTGGAATTGAACGGAATTGGATTTTTATTTTATTTTAATGAGCATCATGAGGTAGTCAGTGAGTATTGGCTTTTTTGACAAGGAAAATTACCCAAATCACCCAAGAGTTCCATTAAGAAACAAAGCTGTGAATCAAAATCGTACAATGCTTTGCTAACATTTGACCTTATTTCCTTATAGAAACAAAAAGGGCTGTAGAAAGGGAAAAAAGAAAAGACTAACAAGTATAGAGGGTCACCAGATGTTTTCTAGAAAATATGCTAGGTACTGTGCAAATATTGCCACATTTTAGTTAATTTTCAAATGTGGCTGGGCGTGGTGGCTCACGTCTGTAATCCCAGCACTTTGGGAGGCTGAGACGGGCAGATCACCTGAGGTTGGGAGTTTGAGACCAGCCTGACCAACATGGAGAAACCCGTCTCTACTAAAAATACAAAATTACCAGGTGAGGTGGTGCATGCCTGTAATCCTAGCTACCCGGGAGGCTGAGGCAGGAGAATCGCTTGAACCCAGAAGGCAAAGGTTGCAGTGAGCCAAGATCACGCCATTGTACTCCAGCCTGGGCAACAAGAGCGGAATTCCGTCTCAAAAAAAAAAAAAAAAGTGACAGTAATGTTTTGAGCAGATTATTTAGAGCTAGAATAAAAACAAATGTGGCCTGCTTCCTTTCTAGCATTGTTTAGTTCAATTGGGAAAACATTTTTTAGACTGTTGTATACTTATTATAGGCAGAAATCGTGTAGGATAATGTCTATAGAAATTATGTTTTATTTGAATGTTCTTTTAAAATGAAAATTTTCTTTACAGAACTTATGTTGTGGAATAGATCTTTCCAACAAGGTTTCTCATATTCTTATAGTTTTTTATATGTAATAAAACAATAGAGAAATATTTTGCCACCAGGTGACTCTCCTATTCCATCTGTTTCTTCGGGATCATCTTCACCTCTTTCAGCCACTTCTGCCCCACCAACGTTGGGCCAACCAAAAGGAGTCAGTGCCAGTCAAGATCGAAAGATACCTCCCCCAATTGGAACAGAGAGACTGGCCCGAATTCGGCAAGGAGGGTCTGTTGCACAAGCCCCGGCGGGGACCAGTTTTGTCGCTCCCGTTGGACACAGTGGAATCTGGTCATTTGGTGTCAATGCTGTGTCAGGTACAATTGCCTTGCTCTCTCTCTGGAGGGATATCTTAAGTAAGCTGTAGGTTTGCCATTAAAACTTAGTTCCTTAGAAAAAACAAACAAAAAAAACTTAGTTCCTATGTTTAACACTCAATTAGGGAAGGGTGTTTATATCTTTGAGGAGTTCAGTCCAATTTCAGAGTCTGGAATATTGGTTGAGGTAATACATAGAGTTAATCAGAAACAAAAGATTCAAAGTGTGTGTCCTTTCTCTCTTAAATAATCATTTGAGTTCTTTCAGAGAGTACTTAATCTTTTAAAAGACAGGGTAAAGTGGAGTATTCAGAGGACTTTACCTAGTTTTTCAGGAACTGGTTTTTTTTGGCTAGCAAGACTGTGATAAATACGCTTTGAGCTCTTCAGAGGAAAGATTTCAGTAACATTTGGTCATGTTTGGTAATAACAATGGTAATGTTTTGTTGTTTTATCCAAATAAATTTAAAACTTTGTTTTCAATTATTCTTTCCAGAAGGCTTATCAGGTTGGTCGCAATCTGTGATGGGGAACCATCCAATGCATCAACAATTATCAGACCCAAGCACATTCTCCCAACATCAGCCAATGGAGAGAGATGATTCTGGAATGGTAGCCCCCTCTAACATTTTTCATCAGCCTATGGCAAGTGGTTTTGTGGATTTTTCTAAAGTGAGTTGACAAACATCACTGTAACTTGATTGACACTTTGTCAGCCAATGTAGTCACATTAAGGAATACCTTGTATTGAAATAATGCTCCCTTTTGTTTCTGTGGCTTTGCTAGATCTTTTGCTTAATTTCAGGAGTGCACAGAGTTGTCCACAGTAGTTTGTCCTGAAGATGTCCCCATCCCCCGAAAACACCTGAGGGATTTGGGTTTTGCCACTTTGTGCTCTGCTACTACAGCTTTGAGGGAGGCCTCTACCCCTCTTAAAAGCTGGCCATGAGTTCACTGATGCTTTCTTGTCTGCTCTGACAGCTTTATGTCGGCAATCAATTATGTAGAGTTCCCATTTTCTTCTTAGCTCAAGCTTATTCATGAAACTAAAATATGGGAAAGTTGAGGTTATTTTTATCAAATATGAGAAATTTCCTGATGATTTCATATTGGATTTAGTTTCTTTCTCTCTCTTGTTTTTTGTTGAAAAGCTTTGCAGATGCAGATAAACATTTTGTTTTCTCAACACTGCCATACTGTACTTATAGGATCTTTTGGAGTTCTTTAAATGAGGAATATTAGAGAAGTCTAAGCTGGTATTATGGGATTTATAGTAATTTTATAATTTATAGTAATTTTAAGATTAAATCTTTTTTCCTGCTGTTTTAGGGTCTGCCAATTTCCATGTATGGAGGCACCATAATACCCTCTCATCCTCAGCTTGCTGATGTTCCAGGAGGCCCTCTGTTTAATGGACTTCACAATCCAGATCCTGCTTGGAACCCTATGATAAAAGTTATCCAAAATTCAACTGAATGCACTGATGCCCAGCAGGTAAAATGGGCTTAATGCTCTTTTGTTTTTTAGATTTGTCACATCATTCTTTTTGTTTTGTGAGAAGTATAAGTACTGAATATCAAAAGTCATAATTGACCATTTCGATCTGGATTGCTTTTTCAATATCAAGATGATGCTACTGAACACTTTATTTAATATATGTGTATTCTTCCTAGGCAGAAACAGTGAATTGCCATTGCATTTATATATTCATTTTGTAACTGTCTAAAGATTCCTAATTAGAAATTCCAATTTTTCCTCCCCCTTTTCAGATTTGGCCTGGCACGTGGGCACCTCATATTGGAAACATGCATCTCAAATATGTCAACTAAGTTAGAAGGTCTTTACTCTTTAGCCTTGTTTAAGAAACCTATGACCTTGGAAGAACCATGGGGATTTTTTTTTAATGTGCCTAAGAAATTTTCTCTGAGGCTTTAGCAATGGAAATTTGATTGCCCATTGTATAAGAACAAATTGATTTCCTATCCACCTGATTATGTTCTCTGGTTAGTTTAGCCATTTTGAACTTAAGATCATATGACCTTAGTGCTTTTGGCTAAACATACAGAATACTACTTGTATGCAGAAGAGAATTAGTTGATTACATGTTTCAACCTTTTAGGGTGATAAATACATGTATAATTGTTTACATACTTAAAAGGAAAAAGTTGAGTAAATTTCTTGTCATATAGTGGCTCTACGTAATGTAGCCTGTATTAATGTGAAATATTTACCAGAATATTCAATAAAAAGATGAACAGTCTTTAGAAGTGGGGTGTGATCCTTTCAGTGGTCATGCAGGTACCACTCAATCCACATTATATTGAACCAGATGGTTAATACTATATTTGTAACAGGCTTCTCACATTTAACACTTGAGTCCCTTCTTAGACTGCCTTAAAAAAGCACTTTTAAGACTATTTACCTATTTATTCTGTGTTAAACATTCCTTGTTCCCTTGTTGTCTTCCATAATCCTTTAACATATGAGAAAGTTTCAAGCTCTGGCAATGTGTCTTATCTGACTTTAGCTAGCAGATAGGCCACTGATAGGTTTTTTCTCTATGGATCATGAGAATGTCAATAAGAACAATTGGATTTAAATCAGATGACACTAAACAAATGTAGGGACACCCAAATTATCAACTTCAGGTTCCTTCTGTGCTTCCTGACCTTTTTTATCTGAAAGATTTGTCTGGTTATAGATATTTTAAGCTTTATATGAGTTGGGACATAAGGAGGTGACTCCTGTCATTCTGTTGTATTATTGAATCAGCTGAGTAATATTTATAAATATGTGAGTAATTCCAGGCTTAGTTCCATGGCCCTAAGCATGGAGAGTCAATATGTTTAACAAGCTAAACAGAGGAACCCTGGAATGGGCTGCTTTGGCCAAACCATAGGCTATGCCGAGAATCAGCATAGAGAAGGAAAAGTTATCCCACTGAAAAGTATAGTCATCAACTTATTTGTGTTTTAATATAGCTGAATTTTTCCTGGTCAGTATAGGCAATACAGAAAAGAAAACAAGAAAATGTTTGGAGCTGATGGAGAAGCCAAAACTCATATCAAGGCAAAGAAGGATGCACAGAGAAAGAGTAGTAACTAGGGACAGAACTATATTAGCAGCACCTTTCTACGCTTATGCCAACAGGAATTCTTAATTTTCTCTGCCCAGGTCCTAAAGCCAGGACCACATCAGACACACCATGTTTGTTCTGTGTCAGATATACCTGCTTCTTTAATCTTCTATATCATCTTACATATGAGAAAGCTTCCTTAATTAAGCTTATGTCTTATGTTTTGTTTTGAATGGATTTTGAAAGTGTTGTTTATTGAAGCTACTACTTTGTAGTGATTGATAACCACATCAAGTATCATTAAGGGGCCCCTTGACCTTTGTGGGGGCAGTTGGGTGGGGCACAAAAGACTCCTTGGATCACCTGTGTATCTTGCTGTTTCCACTTACCATTAACAGCAACAAGAAAAATCACCTAAAATTGGTGAAATGAATGAAACTACTCTTGATGAAATATATACTAGTGAGAAATAATATTAAATAAATTATTCAGTGGGACAAAAAGGTGAGTTTTATTCTATCTTAACTGTCTACAATACATTTGAATTGTCTGGAGGAGCCTTAAGTCCATATTCTGCACCTTGAGGACAACCAAATGAGAAATTTTATTTCAGGTCAGTAAGTAGAATTTATGAAGAGAAAGGAGATAATTATGAGGAATCCCTAGGAAAATTGGGAGGAAAACAACAGTTGTATAGTTGGGAGTAGTTCTTTAGGATACGCTCCTCCCTTCCTTCTTACCAGCACTTCCTTCCTTTCTTTCTGACTATTTGGATCCCAGTAGCCTGCTCCCAACCTCATTTCACCTGCTAAATCTCTTCTTCCTCTGCCTGCCTCTTCCTGGCACTACTTTACTGCTATTTTACCAACCTGAACATTTGGATAAAACCTAGCTCAGGTAAGAACTTAATTACTTTCAAAATATACAAGGGATATGGGAGGAGACAGCATGGATACAGTGGAGCAGTAGTCAGTAGTCAGAGCCTAAATTCTATTTTCATTTCTGCCGCTTGAAGCTTTATGGCCTTAGGCAAATCATCTCACCTTTCTGGGTTTCACTTTTCTCATCTGAAATTGAACTCAAGAGTCTTCTAGTTCTAACACAGGATTTCTTCTTGTGAATGAGAATATAAGATATGGAAATATTTGAAGCCATTAGATTGTTTACAGTGCTGAGATTTGAGAGCCCCTAGCATTGGTTCTGATAAGGAATCGAAATAAATCCTGCCATTATTATGGGGGCCAGTATTGAGATTTTAGTGGAGGCAGAAGAAGACCTTGCACATCTTTAGTGAGCCTTCAAGTTGTGAAGAAACATCCTGCTAAGGTATAGATCAAACCCAGTGAAATGAAACTATAGGAATGAAACTACATCATCAAGGTTTCTGGACCCACTTATTTCAACTTGTGTTCAATGTAATAAAATTCCGCTACCAATAAAATTATTAATGTTTTAAGACCCTTTAAACCTATTGTGGCTACAGTGTGCTGACTTGCCCTTTTATAGGCCAGTCTGCTTCCTTCAGTCCCTGCTCTCAAAGGGGAAATCCCATCACCTCAGCTAACCAGACCGAAGAAGAGAATTGGACGGCCGATGGTGGCCTCTCCTAACCAGAGGTAAGAAATTTCAGGACTTGGAACTACGGTTTCCCTCTCTTCATGTAGATTCTGGCCAAGTCCTCCCCACAATCCGAAAACTAGTGCAAGAGAGGACCATCCTTAGTTTAAGTTAACTTACAGAAGTGGAGGCCGGGCATGGTGGCTTACGCTTGTAATCCCAGCACTTTGGGAGGCCGAGGTGGGTGGATTATCTGAGGTCAGGAGTTTGAGACCAGCTTGGGCAACATGGTGAAACCCCATCTCTACTAAAAATACAAAAGTTAGCCAGGTGTGGTGGCATGTGCCTGTAATCCCAGCTACTCAGCAGGCTGAGGCAGGAGAATCGCTAGAACCCAGGAGGTGGAAGCTGCAGTGAGCCAAGATCACGCTACTGCACTCCAGCCTGGGCAACAGAGCAAGACTCTCTCTCAAAAAAAAAAAAAAGAAAAGAAAAGAAAAGAAAGGGAAAGGCTGGCTACATTATAATTTCAAGCCAGAGAGAGGAGTACTTAGTATATGTGGTTCCTTCCCACTGTTTAAGACCTTTGGGGCCGGGTGCGGTGGCTCATGCCTGTAATCCCAGCACTTTGGGAGGCTGAAGCGGGTGGATCACCTGAGGTCAGGAGTTCGAGACCAGTCTGGGCAACATGGTGAAACCCCGTCTCTACTAAAAATACAAAAATTAGCCGGGCGTGGTGGCATGCACCTGTAATCCCAGCTACTCAGAAGGCTGAGGCAGGAGAATCGCCTGAACCCAGGAGGCGGAGGTTGCAGTGAGCTGAGATCATGCCATTGCACTCCAGCCTGGGTGACAAGAACGAGACTTCGTCTCAAAAAAAAAAAAAAAAAAGACCTTTGGACCACATTGTAAATCCAAGAAAAGGCAAGCAAGCTTGTAGGAAAACAGCTTCTGAATGAACATCTTGTTCTCTGACTAGCAAGAAGTATTTCTACCAAGACATACAACTGGTTATGATGTCTTCCCAGTGGACCCTGCCCCCTATAGTGAGGGGCTCTGGTAATGCTGCATTTTCTATTTATCCTCAGTGATTTGTCATTTGCAAACAGGCAGGTTCATGCGCCTCCATCCTCTCCTTTAGGCAATGGGTGAGAGAAAGGTGGTTTTAAGCATCAAAAACTTAAGTGTGTTAAGACCACCTCCAATAAAAGGCATGACCCTGGGCTTCAACACCTAATTTGGAAAAGATCATGAATCAGACGATCTTGTTTGCAAACCTATTTTGTGATTACTTTTCACATTCTGTTTTATCTTGATGGTATATTAATGTGAATCCAAAGTAATTTGCCTGATAACAGAGACCTGGTATTTCCTTATAGGCTTAATCAGATCTCTGGGGGTGGGGCCTGGGCATAGGTATTTTTTTTAAACACTTCCATATTCTAATAGGTAATTAGTTGTTTTTTGTTTTTTGTTTTTTAATGAGACAGAGTCTCACTCTGTTGCTTAGGCTGGAGTGCAGTGGCGCCATGTTGGCTCACTGCAACCTCCGCCTCCTGAGTTCAAGCAATTCTCCTGCCTCAGCCTCCCAAGTAGCTGGGATTACAGGTGCACACCACCACACTTGGCTAATTTTTGTATTTTTAGTAGAGATGGGGTTTCTCCATGTTTGCCAGGCTGGTCTTGAACTCCTGACCTCAAGTGATTTGCCCGCCTCAGCCTCCCAGAGTGCTGGGATTACAGGCGTGAACCGCCTTGCCCAGCCAGTAATTAGTATTGACCCTCTGATTTAAATTCTTGTTTCTTCATCCAGATTGCATGGATGATGAATCTGGCTTTCTCTCTAAAGCCAATTACCTATTCCCCAGCCCTTACAGCACACAGTGACTCCAGAAGAGTTAGCTGCAAGCAGTAGTCATTATAGTAGTAGTAACTGTGGCTATTATTTTGTGGTAGAGATTAGTAGAAGGAAGACCTCACTTCGACAATGACCGTTCTTGAAAACTTTTGATACTTTTCTCCTGATTTTCCTATTTCCGACTCATCTTTCTCAGTCTCTTTTGGTGAATTCTTTTTCTCTACTATCTTTTAAATAAATAAATGTTGATGTGCCCAGGCTTCTACACTGTATCTTCTCCCCAGATGATCTCATCCCACATTTATTTATTTATAAATAGAGATAGGGTCTTGCTGTATTGCCCAGGTCTTGAGCTCCTGGGCTCAAGCGGTCCTCCCACCTCAGCCTCCCAAAATGCCAGAATTAACAGATGTGAGCTACCGATCCTAGCCCATCCCCACACTCTTGAATTTCACACCACCCAAATTTGAGCCACTAACTCAGAGTTCTCCCCATGGCTTCACTATATCTAGCTTCCTCCTGTGCTCCATCTGAACACATATTATTCATTCCCTCATATAAGATATGCTGCTCTTCTTGTTTTCCCTATCATATTAGTTGGTGCTACTAGCCACCAAGACTCTCAAGCCAAAAGACTGAAAATTATCCTAGTTTACACTTTCCCTCACCCCACTCTTAATCAGTCACTTTATTCTTCCTCTGTGTATCTGAATCTCATCCACTTCTCTCCATCCTCACAGCCATCGCCCGTTTGCCCACCTGGTTTCACTAGACTGGACTCTACCCTCAAATCTCACCATCCTCCACCCTATTCTCCCATTCCCCCTGTCAGACACTTCCTCACGTTGCATAAAAGGTTAGTTATCATAAATGATTCACTACAATCTGTTCCCAAGCTTTACCCTCCAGCACTGCTAAGACACTTCATTTTGGCATGCACCATTTTGTAAGATACTCAAAATCCTTTTCGGGACAATAAAATATACATACCCTTGATACCTGAAGTGTGTTTCTGAGGCCCTGAAGCGTTTGCATTACTGTATTAAAAACTCACAGTTGCAGTCAGGCCCGGTGGCTCATGCCTGTAACTCCAGCACTTTGGGAGGCCAAGCCAGGCAGATCACTGGAGATCAGGAGTTCGAGACCAGCTTGGCCAAGATAGTGAAACCTGATGTCTGCTAAAAATACAAAAAATTAGCCCGGTGCGGTGGTGGGTTCCTGTAATTCCAGCTACTCAGGAGGCTGAGGCAGGAGAATCGCTTGAACCCAGGAGGCAGAGGTTGCAGTGAGCTGAGATCATGCCACTGAACTCTAGCCTGGGTGACAGAGCAAGACTCCATCTTAAAAAAAAAAAAAAACCAGCCAGGTGTGGTGGCTTATGCCTGTAATCGTAGCACTTTGGGAGGCCGAGGCAGGCTGATCACCTGAGGTCGGGAGTTCAAGACCAGCCTGACCAACATGGAGAAACTCTGTTTCTACTAAAATTACAAAATTAGCTGGGTGTGGTGGTACATGCCTGTAATCCCAACTACTCAGGAGGCTGAGGCAGGAGAATCGCTTAAACCCGGGAATCGGAGGTTGCGGTGAGCCAAGATCATGCCATTTGGGCGGCAAGAGCGAAACTCCATCTCAAAAAAAAAAAAAAAAAATCCACAACTGGCTGGGCACGGTGGCTCATGCCTGTAATTCTTGTTTCGGAGGATGCCTGTTTGGGAGGATCGCTTGGGCCCACAAGTTTGAGACCAGCCTGGGCAACATAGTGAGACCCCGCCTTTACAAAAAATTTAAAAATTAGCCAGGTACAGTGGCATGCACCTGTGGTCCCAGCTATTGAGGACACTGAAGTGGGAGGGTCACCTGAGCCCAGGAGGTTGAGGCTGCAGTGAGCCATGATTGTACCACTACACTCCAGCTTGGGTGACAGTGAGACCCTGTGTCAAAAAAAAAAAAAAATCCAAAATCTCACCCAGACCAATACTGTATCAGAATTATCATTTTAACAATATCTCCAGATGATTTATATGCACATTAAAGTTTGAGAAGCTGGCCAGGTGTGGTGGCTCACACCAGCACTTTGGGAGGCCGAGGCAGATAGGTTACTTGAGCTCAGGAATTCGAGACCAGCCTGGGCAACATGGTGAAACCTTGTCTCTATAAAAAATCCAAAAATTAGCCCGGTGTGGTGGTGGGCACCTGTGGTCCCAGCTACTCAGGAGGCTGAGGTGGGAGGATGGCCTGAACCCAGGAGGCAGAGTTTGCATTGAGCTGAGATTACACCACTGCATTCCAGCCTAGGCAGCAGAGCAAAACCCTATCTCAGAAAATAAATAGTTTGAGAAGCAATCTTTTTTTAAATGAGTGAAGAAATCAGACCTAAGGAGAAATCTGATGAAGCCAGAGCTGAGTTAATATTGATAAATGGATGCAGTCAGGTGGTCTATACTTAATTTTTGGTGAGGGGAAGGGACAGTGGAGGCAGTATTGATTTTGAGGAAGCCAAACAGGACAGCCTGATGAATTCAAGATTTCCAGCATATATACATCTTCACCAATCCCACCACCTTGCTCCAGCCTGTCATATCACTGTGTCTACATAAAAAAAAAAAACAAAAAAAAAACTCCAAGGCCAAACTCTCTGACCTTTCTTTCCTTCTAAAGACCAAGCCCTCCTCACTAGCCCCCTGCCCCTCCTTAGTTAACTGGCAAAGAGATCAAAGGGCAGGCCTTCTGACTGGTGATGCCTCAGCTGTAGCCCCCAAACTTGACTCATCCTTTTATTAGTCCAGGTACCACTTCTTCAGAAAGATGACCAGCCCTCACTGACCTTCCCCTTCCTGCTGTGCTCCAGGCCATCAAGGCATGTGTCACCCAGGCTGGAGTGCAGTGGTGCAATCTCCGCTCACTGCAACCTCCGCCTCCTGGGTTCAACCTATCCTTCCACCTCAGCTTCCCGAGTAGCTGGGTCTACAGGCGCATGCTGCCGCACCCGGCTAATTTTTGTATTTTTAGTAGAGTCTAGGTTTCACCATGTTGCCCAGGCTGGTCTCAGACTCCTGGGCTCAAGCTATCCACCCGCCTTAGCCTCCCAAAGTGCTGGGATTACAGGCCGTGAGCCACCGCACCCGGCCTTGTACTGTTACTGTTTATGGGAGGCAGTACACAGCTGGGCTTAAGGGCACAGTCCTGGAATCAGATGCAGTCAGATTTGAATCCCAGCTTCCCTTCCTGCAAGATGTGTGACTTTGGCTAATCATAGTGCTTTACTATCCAAAAGTTGGCAAGGAATGGGTGAACTAATACAGGATAAAAACGCTTGCCCTACTTCACCTGCCCCCAGCTCCCGGCTATAAACAGTAAATAGCTGAGCTGCTGCAGCACTCAGGCAGGTTGGCCAGCGCTGGGCCAGCAGGAACTGGAAGCTGGTGTGGGGCCTGGGACTTTGGACGCATTTCCAGCTTTCTCTGAACCGGGCTGGCTTCCTAGCAGATAGGGCGGGACCGTCGGGTTGAGTGACGGCCGGTGGCCCGCCCTGGGCGTGACGTTGTTCTAGTGTTGTTGCCAGCAGCTGCACGTGGTCGGCTGAGTCCGCCTCAGACTCAGAGCTGCGCTCCTCGACCTCAACGCCAGGCGGTTACTTTGCTGCTCCTCCCGCTCGCTATGTCAACGTCCACTAGCTGCCCGATTCCCGGGGGCCGGGACCAGCTGCCCGACTGCTACAGCACCACGCCGGGGGGCACGCTATACGCCACTACCCCCGGAGGTCAGCGGGCCGGGCAGGGGTCCGCAGGCTGCGGACATATTAGCGCGTGCGTGTTGTTGCGGGGCGGGGGTAGGGGAGGGACAGACCTAAGACTTGTCCGCAGGCCCCTCTACAGGTTGTAGCTTTGGGGGAGAATGTTTGGAGCGGAAGCTCAGTTCCCAAAAACTTCTAAGTGATGCAACAAGGCCATGAGCCTAGCTTCCGGGTGTTTGGGCTGTAATCCTTCACTGTGGCCTGGGTTCTTGGAGCCTTACACACGCTCCTTACCCCTCGCGACTTTGCTTCCTAGGAATAGGGGCCAGGGCCCCCTACTGAGCGTGACCTCAGCCGGAAGCACCGGGTCTTGAGAAGTGGAGTAGTTAGAACAGTTGGGGCAGTTGCTCCGTTTTTGTGCTGCTGGCTGGCGTCTGTTTGGTTGGGCGAGCAGCCTGGGATCACGAGCTGCTGGGCTCCCGACCCAGGGATTCCTGCCACGCGGAAGCGGAGGGGAGGAACAGGGCAGGACCCTTTGAGGACATTATGCGGGCCAAGTTCCTCTGAGCTAGTGTGAACCTTATAGGACCTGGGAGGGGTCAGGATTAGAACAGTACGTTTCTCCTCCCTGCAGGAGATAGCCCAGGTAACAGCACTGGGTGGAACCCTTCACAACTGCTATTTCACTTCTTGAACCACCTGAGGCTGTTAGTCTAGGTCTCACCTTCACTGGTGAGACCAAAGCAGAGGTTTCAGAGTGGTAGAGGAGCAGCATGAAGTACCTGAACTCAAAGTTTGGTGTTCCTCTTAGAGCCAAGATCTGAAGCTCTCCCAAACATAAAGCCCCTGCCTATACCAGCTGGGATGCCCCCCTTGCTTTATACCCACATCTTGGTTAGGTCTGGAAGATTTTAAGCACTATGAAGGCTTGTCTGCTGAGAACCTAGCTGGGCTTCAGAGCCGATGTCCTTTGATACACAGGGAAATTTGACACCACCCTCACCTCCAGGCCCCAAAAGGCCTGAGTCTGGGACCCCAGTCACCTCGGTACCCAAGCTCCTGACTCTTACCTCAGTCCCAACCCCTTGACAGGCACCAGGATCATCTACGACCGAAAGTTCCTGCTGGAGTGCAAGAACTCACCCATTGCCCGGACACCCCCCTGCTGCCTCCCTCAGATTCCCGGGGTCACAACTCCTCCAACAGCCCCTCTCTCCAAGCTGGAGGAGCTGAAGGAGCAGGAGACAGAGGAAGAGATACCCGGTAAGGAAAGCAGGAATTAAGAATTGTCCCAGCCTTTGAGTTCAAATGCCACTGTGACACAGTGCGGGGGTTCAGTTCCAAGAGGGGTTTCTGCACTGATGCTGAGCCTGCAGATCCTCAGACCAGCAACCTGTCTTCCTGCCTTTTCTCTCTCCAGATGACGCACAATTTGAAATGGACATCTAATCCAGTGCAGATGACCTGGCATGTGGAGTTACAGAGGGATCCCTCATGCCACTGCTGCCACCACCTCTTCCTGGGGCATCCAAAGGCCAGCTGGCCTCATCTAATCTGGAAGGGAGTGACTTGTTAGTTCCAGGCCTCCTTTAGTTCTGAGGCAGCTAGACCAGGGATAGGAGTGGGCAACTTGCCAAGCCCTTAACTCTACTTCCTCTTCAGTCTGTGGTACTCCTCCTAACCCTAAACCCTCTATGCTCAGGGGCTGGAACTGGGGAATGGAGTAAGTCACCTTCTGACTGCTTAGTAAACATTCAAAGAAATGCCTTGGCTCCAGTGTTCTCCTCAATGCTGATTTTCTCATCTCAGCCACACAGCTGAAGGCCCTGGCAGGCCTGGTTAAGCTCAGAGGCCTCAGATCATTCCCAGCTCCCACCAGGCCCACTTCCAGCAGCAATTAGAACCTGAGGCACGCTACAGTGGCAGGTTACATGAGCCTCCAAACCATAAACAGCAATAGCTTGGCCACTGCCAAGGGCTGTTCCTGTCTTCCCAGGAAGCAGCCTTCCTGGAACCAGGGCCCCCCAGCAGCCCCTCCCCTATCCATTCCAAAGCAGGACTCTTGGAAAAGAGGTGCTGTCCCAGCCTATAGCCATCCTGTCTCTCCCTGTGCCTTTTCTGCTTCCCACCTCTAAGCACCAGTTCCTCTATTCCAACACCAAAAACCTTGTACCCTTCTCACAGCATGATAGTCCACCAAGTACCTCTCTCAAAGGGTTACAAGAGACCTTAGAGTTCACACTGAAACCCAAAATGAGGCAGCAGTTTGTTTGGCAAGTCAGAGTTACAATCCCCAATCTCAGTAATCTGGTCTTTTTCTCCTTCGATTTACACAGAAAACCCCACTCAATGTGGTTCTAATCTCTGTAACAGTAGTATCTCAAGGGTGATACAGTGCAAATAGGACTGTCTTTCCTTTTGTTGAGGGAAAAGTCTCCCCGTTCTATTTGAGTCTGTTCTCATGCTGAAATGAAACCATCCAAACACAGCTGCTCCGCCCAGCACAGGATGTGCTTTCAGTCTACTTTGGGAAAAAGTGGTAGGCAGTAGTCTGACTTTACCCAGCAGATCCCTTCCTGATGAATGGAGAAGGGAGAACAGAGGTTTGCAGATACACAGGGAGCAGGGCAGTCGAGGACACCAGAGGGGACTAGCTTGGCACCGGAAGGGTTCATCTCTCCTACCCAAGGCCCACCGCAGAGATGTTTTTATTGAAATGCATGTTATGAGTAACACATGAACTCCCTCTGGCCCAGGTGGGACTTCTTCCCTCATAGGTGGGTCAGGCCCAGTGGGACAGTCTTGGTGGTGGTAAGAAGGGAGCCAAGTGACAGAAGGTCTCCAAGGCATAGGAGATGGTGTCCGGTGAGTCTGGGGAACCGAGGATTATGAAGCCTGCTGGAAGCCTGGTATGGTATGGTTCTTCTCAGCTGTGGCTGCAGATTTCTCTTCATTGGCTGCCTCCTCTGAAAACAGACTCCTCTTTTCTGCAATTAATCTTTTAACTCCTACCATCCACTGACTGACCTCAGTCACATGGTCAACCATGAGGGAGCGGTGGATGTCATCTGCTGCGTCCCACCGGTGGCTTGAAAGCTCTGAAGAGAGACGGGGGTTGAGCAAGCAGCCTGTGGTACAAGAGCTTCCATGCCTCCCCTCCCAGTCAATCAAAATCTCAGCACCTGCTCCAGCATAGCCAACCACAGCAGGAAAGGGATTTAGGCTATACCAAAGAACCCACCCATACCTTGCACCAGTAGAGCCATTCTCTTCTTTACAGGTATTGACAACTTTCCTCCAGCCCACTGTTCCTGCAGCAGTGCCAGGCGTCGGCTGATGTCATCACATACCTGCTTCTAAGAGACAGAAGCCCCCCTCCAATTCAGTGCTGCCAGCCCAATGAGGGGAGGAGAGGGGAAGACAGCACCACATAGGAAGCACCTGCTTTCTCTGGCCCACACTTTAGAATTCTGGTTCTTTACCCAAAGATTAGAGGCCCCACTGAGAAACTGATGAAACCTTCCTTTCCCTGCTGTCTTCTTCTGACACTGCCTGATGTTTCATTGAAAAGTAGAGGTCATTAAACAGGAATTCTCTCATCTTCCCACCACCAGTCTTCCTAACCCACCTCCTACTATGACTAGAATTCTAAAATTTCAGGGGCTTCTCAGACTCTCAGAAGCTCATCCTGTAGCGTTACTTCACAAAAAGAAAACTAAGCGCCAAAGAGGTGAAATGACCATGCTACTTTCCCTTTCTTTTAAGACATTCTTCAGATCTCTTTTTCTAAGAACTAAGAAAACACTATAGCTAGAAGAGGTTTCTTTCTCCCTAACTGGGCACAATATAAATTTCCTGAGAATAAAATCAGCAGCTTCTGCTCTGAATGGCATGGAGATACAGAAAATCAGGTTGTTCACTAATAGGAGCTGAATTCAACTCTTGTTCCCACAGCATCTTCTACTGATTGGTCTTCAAAAGTCTTATTAATGCTCCTGAAATCCTGTGTTCATTTCTTTGGGAAGGCCTTAGCAGATTCTGAAGGAGTCCGTAACTCTCAAAGGATTAAGAACCTGTCCACTGGGTCAGAGGGTCTATCTCTGGGAACCATTCCTGCATTTGGCTGTGGATGGGAGCCCTCTCTAACCTCTGATGTGCCAGAGCTTACCCTTGTGTGGCCACGGCAGTCTTCCAATGCCTGTTCCAAAGGTCTCAGCACATCCTCCATCACAGCCTCAGACTCGACTGGGAAACTTGTGGGCTCCACGCCAGAGGCAGGACCACTCCCCACAGGTGGGGACCTGGGAGCCTTACTTGAAGGAGGTGGAGGCCCCATTGGGGGAGGCCCAGGAGAAGTCTCTGATGCGGGGACTGAAAAGGTACAGCAGGATCAAGCAACATGGCTTAAATGGGTAAGAAGCTTAACTCTAAATTCACCCCTTCTAAGAAGGGCTACTCTCTGAGACAACTTATTCATTCAAAAATATGCATTTATGAAGTCCCCACTCTACGCCAGACAATATGCTAGGCACTAAAGATTAGAAAAGTAAACCAGGTGGCCGGGTGTGATGGCTCACACCTGTAATCCCAGCACTTTGGGAGGCTGAGGCAGACAGATCACCTGAGGTCAGGAGTTCAAGACCAGCCTGGCCAACATGGCAAAACCCTGTCTCTACTAAAAATACAAAAATTAGCTGGGCATGGTGGCACATGCCTGTAATCCCAGCTACTCAGGAGGCTGAGGCAGGAGAATCGCTTGAACCCGGGAGGCAGAGGTTGTGGTGAGCTGAGATGGTGCCATTGCACTCCAGCCTGGGCAACAAGAGTGAAACTCTGTCTCAAAAAAAAAAAAAAAGAAAAGAAAAGTAAACCAGGCCTGGGCACAGTGGCTTATGCCTGTAATACTAACACTTTGAGAGGCCAAGGTAGGAAGATCACCTGAGCTCAGGAGTTCAAAACCAGCCTACGCAATATAGTGAGACCTCATCTCTATAAAAAAATTTTAAAAGTTAGTCAAGTGTGGTGGCACACACCTATAGTCCTGGCTACTCAGGAGGAAGTAAACCAGACAGATTAAGTTCCTGACCTCAGAGAGCTTAATTCTAGAGGCAGGGAAAAAAACACAAAATTACTAAATTATGTTACATGCTACCAAGAAATAAAATGGTTTATGCAATAAAGAGAAATGGGAGAACCTATCTAGACTAAGTGTTCAAGGAAGGCCTTCTGAGGTACATTTAAGTTTATCTGAGCTCACTTGCTATGTGACTTTCAGCAAGTTACTTTCAACTAGAGCTTAGGTTCCTCTTCTGTAAAATGGGGATGAATATAATGCCACTTATTTCACAAGGTTGCAATGAAGATTAGGAATACAGGTACAGGCTGAGTGTGGTGACACATGCCTCTAATCCCAGCACACTGGGAGGCAGAGGCAGGAGGATCGCTTGAGCCCAGGAGTTTGAGAGCAGCCTGAGCAGCATACTAAGACCCTCTTAAAAAAAAAAAAAAAAGACAGCTGCTAGACTAGTATGTAGCAAAAAGTACAAAATGAGCTGTTTTTATTAAATTGAGAACTACCGGATGAGATAGATGCAGCTATGAAGAGTTGAAGGAACATGTACTAGGTCGAGGTTAGAGCAGTGCCCAAGAAGCAGGAAAACTTTTGATTTGTTCAAGAGACAGTAATGAGGCCTGTATGGCTAAAAATTATTACCACTGAAGAAAGTAGTATGAGCTATCATTAGAGAGGTAAGCAGAGGGTCCAGACCCTGTGGGGCTTTGGAAGAGTTTGATCTTGAGTCAATGGTACTGGGAAGCCACTGCAGGTTTGTAAAAGCAAGGGGTGATGTGACCAGACTTATTTTTAAACATGTATGCTCTGTGAAAAACTGATGAAAACAGGTCAACAGTGGTGGCAGGAACACCAGTTGAGAGGTTGAGTAGTTCAGGAAAGAGATAATGCTGGCATGGACTAGGGTAAAAGAGTAGACGAGGGGAATGGAGTAGTCTGAGATTTACTTAGGAGGAA
This sequence comes from Homo sapiens, assembly GCF_000001405.40. Taxonomy (NCBI): domain Eukaryota; kingdom Metazoa; phylum Chordata; class Mammalia; order Primates; family Hominidae; genus Homo; species Homo sapiens. The sequence goes on from NC_000005.10 coordinate 140,553,842, forward strand.
GTAGCAACAGGAGTGGATTGAGAGTGAGGAAGAGAGAAGTCAAGGTGACTCGTAGTTTCTGACTTAGTAATGGGAACCACTAACAGAAAGAAGACTGGAAGACAAAAGTCAAAAGTTTACTTTTAGGTACCAACATCCACAAGGATGATTAATTCATCTAATAATTTGGTGTTTCAGTTGACCTCTTCACCTCCAGTGATCATTTTTTCCCACCCTACATCAGCCTGTCATCCCCCTGCCTTGTTCACACTATCACCTCCAAAATCTGATCACCCCCTTACCCCTTCCAGCTCAGCTACTTTGATTTCAATGTACATTAACATCACCCCCTTATAAATATTTTTACCTCCTTTATCTCCTCCCATTGTCCCACTTTCCTGGTTAAACCCAACTTGCTTGCACTTGGGAGGGAAAACAGAGCCATGCTGATAGTTTAAATTCATGGCCACAGATTTTAAAAGGTACCAAATACTGCCTGGACATTTTGGCTCATTTTTTCCACTCTTCAGAACTTCTCTTCCTTTCCTTGCTATCTTCTTCTGACACTGCCTAATGTTTCATTGAAAAGTAGAGGTCATTAAACAGAACTCTCTCATCTTCCCACCACCATTCCTCCTAACCCACCTGCATCTGTGGCCACTTTTCTTCCTCTTGTAATAGATGAAAAGGTTCCTGCTCCTATCAAAAGCCATCTTACCAGCTGTACTCTGCATCCTAGCCTCTCTTGTCTTCTCTAGACTTCCCTACTGTAACTATCTTCTCTTGCATCATCAGCTCCCCCTCTCTACTGAATCATCCCGTTAGTGTACAAACATGCTCTAGTATATTACTATCAAAACACTCCCTTACTTCATGTTCCATTTTCAGATACTGTCCCATTTCTTATCTCTGCAGCAGCATTTGAGTGAGCTCTTTATAGTCACTCTCTCTACTTTTCACATTCTCTCCTCAGCCCATTCCAGCTGTTTCTGTTCTCACTACTGCAGAGACTTGCTCTTGTTATGATCACGAGTGACTGCTATGTTTGTCAAATCTACTGGTTCCTTGTCGCTCTTTTTTTTTTTATTGAGATGGAGTCCCAGGCTGGAGTGCAATGGTGCGATCTCGGCTCACTGCAGGCTCCACCTCCCAGGTTCAAATGATTCTCCTGCCTCAGCCTCCCGAGTAGCTGGGATTTCAGGTGCCCGCCACTACACCTGGCTATTTTTTGTATTTTTAGTAGAGACAGGGTTTTACCACGTTGGCCAGGCTGGTCTTGAACTCCTGACCTCGTGATCCACCCGCCTTGGCCTCCAAAGTGCTGGAATTACAGGCGTGAGCCACTGCGCCTGGCCCCTTGTCTCTATCTTGATGTCTCAGCAGCATTCATTACTATTGATTCATGTCTTTACGCTCTCCTATTTTCTTTTTTTATTTTGGTTTTGTCACAGAATATCACTCTGTCGCCCAGGCTGGAGTGCAGTGGTGCGATGTCGGCTCACTGCAACCTCCGCCTCCCAGGTTCAAGCGATTCTCCTGTCTCACCCTCCCAAGTAGCTGGTATTACAGGCCCAGCTAATTTTTGTATTTTTAGTAGAGACAGCGTTTCGCCATGTTGGCCAGGCTGGTCTTGAACTTCTGATCTCAGGTGATCTGCCCACCTTGGCCTCCCCATGTGCTGGGATTACAGCCGTGACTCACTGCGCCTGGCCTCTCCTTTTTTCTTCTTTGGCCATTTCCCAATCTCCTTTGCTGATTCCTTCTCAACCTTGAAATGCTAGAGTGCCCTACGGCTCTGTCCCTGGCCATATTCAAGCCCATGACATCAAATACCATCCTTGTAATGGTGACTTATTTCTCTAATTCTGGCCTAGAACATTCCCCAAAAGTAACAGCCTAAACTTCACATGGCCCCCCAAAAAAACTCCCCCTCCCCAAAACCACCATCCCCAGTCTTCCTATATCAAGCAAAAAAATTCAGTTATATGGATTCTTCCTAATCTACTCATTCCTACTGACCTTCTCCATCTCATATCCATCCAACTCCTACCACCCTGACTCCCACCCTTATGCAAATCATTAAATCTTGCCTATATTACCATAATAGCTGTAATTTGTCTTTCCACTTCCCTAAAATCTTGTTTTCACACAGCAGACACAGTGATCTTTCCAAAATGTAAATCAGTCCCTGGTTCTCAAGCTAGGAAGATAGTGCCCACAGGGCAAATGTCTGGAAACACTTTTGGCTATCACAACTGGGTGGATGCTACTGACATCTTTTGGGTAGAAGTCAGAGTTGCTGATTAACATAAGACACAGGAAAGTCCCTCACAAAGAATTATCTGGCCACAACCTATCAATACTGCTGAGTTTAAGAAACCAAGCCTTGTATCATTCTTCTACAGCAAAAAGGGTGTGGAGAATGGAGGGCCACTGAAAGAACCAAACCTGAGCCCCTTTATGGGGGCCACGGCACAGCCCATTTAATGGCTTGGAAAATTCTCGGGGGGAAAGGTGGCTCTCCTCTACTTTAAACTTTTCAATGGCTTCTAACTTTATGTAGATTAAAATACAAATTCCTCATCCTGCTTTACAAAGCCCACTATGCTGTAGCCAGCCACTCTGTATTTCATCAGTCTCTGAATTGGCCAAACTTATTCCTTTTGCAGCTGTTTCTTTTGCTTGGAATGCTTTTGTACATGATCTTTGTGTGGCTTAAATGTCAGCCCCTCAGACACCTCGTTACCCAGTCATATTACATCACCGCTTATTTTCTGTAGCACCCTCACCACTATTTCATCTTTCAGCCCATCTCCAGTGCTGCAACGTGGACTTCCTGAAAGCAGAGATCTTTTTTTTTTTTTTCTCACTGCTGTCTAGTTCGCCCTCAAACAGTGCCTGACTTATAGAAGTGCTCAGTAAATAACAGTGATTAAATGAATGAAAAACTGTGAAGTCTGACGATTATCATATACCTAAGTGAAGACAGAATGGACAAATGAATATGCCACTATACGGTTCTGGCAAGAGGTATAGGTTAACAAAGAAAAATAACTTCAGGATTAAAACTATATTAAAAGCCACAGGTCTGGATAAGATCATCTAGGATGAAAAAATAGTCTTTTTAAATCAATACACCATTTATTAACCTGAGCAGCAGAGAAGGGGCTCGGAAAAGCACCTGCTCTGAGACCCTTACTGGAGCCCCAAAACTTCTCTCCTTAAGGAGCCCTCGGGGAGAGAAAAAAGCCTTCCAAACAGGCTTATGCCTTACACCCCCCCCCCCCCATTCTCCGTCTGTCTCCGAGCACAGGGGCCCCACGCACCTCTGGGGGATCCATCCTGGGGTGCGGCGACCCTCTTGGTAAGCAGCGAGCGCCTGGGTCCGCCGGCCTGGGTCTGCAGCCCGTATGAGAACTGCGGCGGGTCGTTCCAGCCGCGTTCCTTGTTGCCTGCGGAGGCGAGGGATGTGTGAAGCGAGCCCGGAACTCCACTGTTAGCTTATACTGGGGCTGGGGGAGACAGAGGGTCCATACTAAGCGCCGCAACCGCCCCCAGCCTAGGCCGGGGCGACAACCTAGTGCCCTAGCCCGCCGGCTGCGCTCACCCGGCTTCACGTACAGCTCCGCCATCTCCACTTCCGCTTGGCCAGCGGGGCAGCGCGTCATTTCCGGGGCGGCCCCTCACGCGGGCCAGTTGAGACACGTCCAGGGCCAGGCGGGTTGCCGGAATCCGTGGAGGATGGATGCTGGTTCACAACCGTCGGGAGCCGCTGTGGGGACCCTGCGGCAACTCCCTAAGACTCGAAGGCTCCATCTAATGAACCATCAGGGCCCTGGTCACAAGGCACCAAAGGAGGTTGCTGTCCAGGAGCCAGTGCTCTAGGAGGCCTCATCCTCTCAGGAGCAAATTCAAACAAAGAAGCTCCTGCCCCACATACACCCCGCTGTGATCTAGCCAGGTTGACTTCTACAGCCTCCTCTTGCATTGCCCTGCACAATCTCCACATTCACGTCCGGTAGCCTCACTAGTACTCATCTTCCTTCAGTTCTCAGTTCAGATGTCAGTTCTTCAGGAGGCCTTCTGGAATGTCTCAGGCCAGGTTAAGTGTCTCACTTGAGCTCCCACGACCCTACAACCCTCTGAGATTTCGTAGGTGTATTACATCACATCTTCTGCCTTATTTGACTCTTGTTCGTTTCCCTGTCGGACAGTCTTAGAAGGTGGGACCTTGACTATTTTATTACATTCCCAGTGCCCAGCTTAGTGCCTGGCACAGGGAACTCCTTAGAAAATATGTTTGTTGAATGAAGTCAGATCTCCATCACACCCATGCTGTCATGTGACTACAGAGAGCCACCAACATCAAGCACAGACACAAAGACACTCATCTCACACAGGGTGTTAGCCCCCAGCCCTGTCCCAGGCCCAATATACTCACATCCAGTGAGGTCACTGAGGGATTTTTATTTGCACTGATTTTGCTATAAAGTGTTACTGAGGTAGAGCCAACTGTCCAGGGTTGGACAGGGGCAAGGAACACAAGGACCCAAGGAAAGGGGAGCCAGGGTCCTACGTTGTGGTGCAGTGCCTCCCAGTCATCCGTATAAACAATAAATTGGGCAATAAATAGACGGTGGACAAGGATCGGAGGGACAGGCAGAGAAGGCTTCAAGGAGTGACAGGCTATAGGCCTTGAGGAATAAAACGGTACAGAGTTAGGCATGGACCCAGAGCCTACTTCCCCAGCCTTCCCAGATAAGTTTAGGGCATATGGAGCAGAGAGGGTTTCAGCCGGAAGGCATCAAGAAAAGAGAAGACACCCCGCTTTCGAGGGGTTGCCCCTGCACCGCCAACCCCTCCTTTGAGCAGGGGGAGGGGCAGGGGACCTCCTGGGGAATCCATGGAGCTGGTCCGCTTGAGCCGCAGGCGGGCACGGGCCTGGGCACCCCAGGCCTTGCCTCGAGCTGCAGAGGCCACAAGACACTTCTGGTACTGAACCTAGGGAGAAGGGGAATGTGAGGATCCAGCTACTTTCTGCCTCTAGACTCCCTGAAAGCTTCTGCAGGACAGGGAACTGGCCAAAGCTTCTGTCTGATAACAAGGTTGGTAGTCAGCCACATGTGGAGTTTCTAGAGCATTCCCAGGTAGCTCAATAACAAAATCATAAAACATGTATCAGACACTTAAGGAGGGCAGGCTGGACACTGCTAAGTGCTTTGTATAATTCAGTTATTTATGAGGGGTTATTATCCCTGTTTTGCAAAAGAGGAAATTGAGATTCAGAGAGTATATGACTTGCCCAAGGTCACACAGCCAGAGAAAGGCAGAAATGGCATTCAAACCTAGTTCTCTCTGATTGCAGAGCCTAAACTCTTAATTACATGTACCACTATGTTGCCTCTTTTCCATCTCTCACTGGTGGGGACTAGTCCCTGGCAAAGCAGATTCCCTAGTCAAGGGTAAAGGTGTACAACTCAAACTCCAGCCCCAATGCAACTGCTCCCAGTCATCTCATCTGAACAGCTCAAAGGTGTCCTAATTGGCCTTCCTACCTCCTATTACGTCCTCCAAATCTTTTACCCATACTATAGCTTAAGTGGTCATCCTAATCCATAACCCTGACTTCACTCTCGGGCTCCAGTGCTTCCTAGTGCCTCCAGATAAACTCATCACCCTGACCTATGAGGTCCCCCAAACCTGGCTTCTGTCATTCTCTCTGATCTCACCTCTCACTACGTCCCCCTTGCATGCCAGATACACTAGATTCTTTCAGATACTCTCATCCACTAATATCTCTCACCTTCACAGCTAAGGTTCCCTGTGCTTGGTACACCTGCCCCACTCCCCTTCACCTGGCTAACTTCCCTCTTGGACTGTCGGATTTCTATCACCTCTTACAGGTAGCCTTCCTGACCCCTAAAGGGGCCACCTCTTCCATCAACCAGTGGTGTACAACTTATTTCTGGTCTATCTTGGCTCTATCCTAAGTGTTTTGTGAAGGCAAGGGCTGTGCCCTCTACAGCACTAAATTCTCAGGGTCAGCTATGGTGTCTGGGACCCTGTAGGCACCCATATTTGTTGAATGAATGGGCAAACTGAACTAACGAAGTATAAGCAACCCACACTCAAATGCCCACAGATGCCAGGAAATAAACCTAAATGAGACAAACAGGAACAATGCCAACTCTTTAGGGCACAGCTTCTGCACAACTCTGGCTGCATGCTGACACTTACACGTGTGAACTGAGTGCCAGAGCTCTTGATATTTTAAGAAAAACAAGAATAGCGATTATTATGTGAAATGTCCTGGCCTTTAAATATTGGCAACTAATTAAAACTTACTAAAAACAACATGAGGGCCAAAACATTAATGAACCAGAATCAGCCCAGGTTTGTGATCTCTGAAGAGGCTGCCGACCCGGAGCCCAAGTAAACAGTGGAGAGCAGCTGCAGGGCAATCCCACCAACCCATTCCCACCCATGACTCACCATACAGGCAGCCTGCACAGCTTCAGAGAGTCCCCCTGCATGGGGCTGGCACCAGAAGGCTGCGCACTGGAAGCTCTGACGGCCCAGGTCAGCGATGAGGCCAAAGGTGTGTGGGTCGCGGCCAACACCAATAAATGTCACAAGGCGCACAGGGCACTGCCACAATGGCTCCTCCTCTGTACTGGCCTCTGCCTGCCCACACCAGGCCTAGTCACTAGAGGGCCAAGCACGGGCCAGACCCACTTAACTTTTCCGACAGCAAGCAGTGACCCCTCAGCATCCCTGCTCACCCCTCCAAAGCCCCCAACTTCACCCTCTTCTGGTACCTGAATGGGGTGTGCAGTCATGAGAGAGTCAGACACACTGAGCATGGTGGGGACCCAGGCATTCCGGTCCCCCCTGGCGGTGAGGGTACCAATGGCCTCGTTCAGCACATCCATGCCTGGGGGAACATACCCAGCGTGTCTCCCAGTGTAAAAGAAAGAGTCTGCAGGGAGTGTCTAGCCCCCTCTCACTGATTTGGGATTCAGAGATAGGGAATAGGATAGCTGGGGCAAGCCTTAGAATTCTGATTTGGGAAGGCTGGTAGACCCCAGGCCATAACAAGGCCACGGGAGGACTCTTGAGAAATGATAACAGGCCTCACCTCACTCACCTTCCCCTTGCCTCACACAGCCCACCACATGCAGCCCCCTCAGTCCTCACCCATGGCCTTGGTGACTGGCAGTGTCCCCATATACAGTGCCTCGTACTTCTGAGCAGCTTGGCTTACCGCATCCAGCAGCTCCACTGAAATATACACACCAAGTTGGCCTGGAAGCTCTTTCAATTACCCTTTTCCCCACCCTTCTCAATGGGCCAGGACTCAGGTCAGAGCTGGTGCTGGTAGAAGAAATGGCTCATAGATGCTCCTCCAACTAGTGGCTTGGGATCCCTGAGACCAGACATCTCAGAAATTTATCCACAGAAGTATTAAATAACCAGAAATCGCCCCCCCACAAAGCAGCACCAAAGCACCCCAATGCAGCAATGCAGGTCTCCCCTCCCCATACCTTGCCGTGGCAGGTCTTCAGGAGAGATGGGGTCTGGGGAGCAGCAAGAGGCATCACCACTGACCTCTACTCGCTCTGACAAGATCTAAAACACAATGAAGCCAGCATGACCCACAGGGAGAGAGGGGAATTAGGGTAAAAGGGCCAATACCACCCCAACTACCTTGGAAGCTTCAGACCCAACCCCTTACCCACATTCCCTGCCCCACCCCTGACACTTACCTGGGCACAAAGCCCATGTAGGGCACTGGCAATGGCCTTGGCAGGGACATCACAGCAAAACACATGGCACTTGAGCATACAGCTATCTTTGTCACTTGCCACAAAAGCGAAGTCCCTAGCAGGGGCAGAGATGGGGCTGGGGTAGAAGCTGGTTAGAGGCAGGAGCCTGCAGGAGGCTGGAAAGTCAGGCTAGGGATATAGCAGGGATGGAGTAGGGACATCAGGGATGGGGCTCAGGATACCTGGTTTTCACTCACCTGTCACTGTTCCGGAAGCATGTGGGAGCACAGAAGGGAATCAGCCCAGCCTCTCGGACTCTCCCCAAACTGTCCCTGCTGAGCTGGGCCCACCCTCCCCAACCAGGGCTGGACCAGGCAGGGGAAGCAGTCCTGGGTCCACATCAGAGGATCTGTGTCCAGGGGTTCAAGTACTGGGGATCAGCATCAGTGGGGATCACAGCCTGCAGCCGGGAGGGAGAAGTAGCTCTTGCTTGGGGGATGTAGGCATCCTCACCGGCCCTTGGAGCTCCCCACGCCCCACACACGGATGTGCACCAGAGGCTGGCAGTGGATCAGACTGTGGTCCAGGGGATTCACTAGGCTCATGGCATCCTTCTTCAGGATCATCAGCATGTTCTGGCCCTGCCAAGGACAGAGGTCAGCCCAGAGCTCAGATAAAGGTCATTGCCATGAGAAATAGGAAATTCAGGGACAGCTACCTCTGCTGGGCCCTGGGCCCAAACCATTAAAGGGCCCAGCCAACTCACCTCACCCCAGGCACCATCTGGAGGCTGGCTCCGGCTGCGGGTCTGGGCCAGCTGCTGGATACAGTTATTGACTGCAATACTGCTCTTCCCCGGTGCCAGGTCCTCTTCAGGTACCTCTACCCAGCCCAGAGAGCGGACTGCAAAGCACTGACAGGTTGGGGGAAGGGACAGGAATTAATAAGGATGGAGTAGGGTGGCAGGTGCCACAATACATACTCCCTGTCTTCACCCTTGATCACCTCTGTTCAGTCCAATCCCACCCTTGTCTTTCCCTTGGGACCTCCCAATGCCCTCAGGCCCAAGTCACTACCTTAGCCCCTGGCTCCATGCTCTGGATGTAGGATTCCCCACCATACCAGGACAGAGAGTTACTGAAACAGAGCAGAGCTGTTAAGAGGACCACATTTCCTACAGTAGGGACACTGGTGAGGCCTAGACAACTTGATAAGCACAGGATGAGGGGCAAGACCCAGAATATAGCACCAGAAATATAAAACCAGAGCAGGGTAGAGCCCAGGACATATTAACGTAACATAAAGTGTGACTCAGAATTTGAGGGAAAATTCAGGACATAGGACCCAGACACAGGACATAGAATAAAAGTCACAAGGCTAGGTGCAGTGGTGGCTCACGCCTGTAATCCCAACACTTTGGGAGGCTGAGACGGGTGGATCATGAGGTCAGGATATCGAGACCATCCTGGCCAACATGGTGAAACCCCATATCTACTAAAAATACAAACATTAGCTGGGCATGGTGGCATGTGCCTGTAGTTTCAGCTACTCAGGAGGCTGAGGCAGGAGAATGACTTGAACCTGGGAGGCGGAGGTTGCAGTGAGCCAAGATCGTGCCACTGCACTCCAGCCTGGATGACAGAGTGAGACTCCATCTCAAAAAATAAAAAATAAAAGTCACAAAATAGAACAGGGTCCAATATGTGGACCAGAACCCCAAAGTGGGACAAGAGACCCTAGAACAGAGGACTTAATGGCCAAGGTCTAGAACATGATAGGTTAGGACCAAGAATATGAAAAACATGTAGCTACAAACAAGAGCTTAGAACAAGGGATAAAACTCAAAATACTGACAGTTAAGAACCTGGGACAGAGCCAAGAACGTAACAGAACCCAAAACATGTGACAGAATCCAGAACCTGGGCTGGAAAGCAGACCATGGGTCCAGCTGCATTTTTGAACACCATGGAACCCCAAGCCTTTCATTTTGCCTGGGCCACCCGTTACCTCCGGTCCAGTGAACTCTCCAGGCTGGAGAAGGATCTCCCTTTGGGGGGCCGCAGTCCCCAGATCCCCTCCGTTCCCTGTAGAGTGGGAGTTAGTCAGTTTAACAGCAGACCTAGGTCCACACATGGGCTCAGACCTCCTCCTCACACTCTACCTACCGTGCCTGGGTCCTCTGCATCTCCTAGTTCCCAGGTTGGGCGCTGCCACTGGGTGCTACCGCTGGGTACATGCCAGTAGTAAGTACCTGCAGCATCGTGGATCTTCCTCCAGCCAGGAGGCAGGCCAGCCTCCACCTCCAGACTGTGGTCCCCCCACAAGTCATCTACAGGAACACCGGATTAGAGAGGAGGGAGCATATGATTTGTGAGTTCAGAATAACATGCTGTCATAATCCCCTCTCCATCCCCAAAATGGGTCAGTTCTTAGGCTGAAGATCCAGGCTCCTCAATCTTGAAGACATCACATGTAAAGACCGGGTTCATTCGCCCCCTGGTCCCTACACAGAGAGGTATCCCCCACCGTCTTTGAGCCCCAGAGTAGCCTTTCGGATTCCCTCGTCCTCCCTCAGCTCCTGGTCTTCCCACCGGGCCCCTCCGTGCACACCATCGCAGTTGACCAGAATGATGGCCAGCATGTAATCCTTGCCCAGCATAACCCCGGCTGCTCCCCGCCAGCCTCTGCCGGCCCGCACTCTCAGCCCAGCGCGACCTCTGGAGCTACTGCGCCTGCAAGCCCAGCCTCTCTGCGCCGCAGGCTGCGGGGCCAGCTGGCGCCGCACAAATACGGGGCGGGACACGGGGCGGGACACGGGCCGGTCCCGGGGGAGGGCCTGAGCCGCACAGCCCGCCCAGGGGTGGTGCGTGTAAACGGGCGTCTGGATCCCCGAATGGTTGCGTGTTTCCGTGTGTGGGTCCGGGGGAGGCCCACGAACGCCAGCGAAACCGCTGACACCACCGCCCAACTATGAACTCATCAGGCGCCTGAAGACCGACACGCCGAACATGCGCCGCGCGCACTCGCGCACGAGTGAGATCATCGCGCCCCGGTCGTGAGTGCGCTCACACGCAGCCTGAGACTCGACGGGAGGGGGTCACGTGGAAGTATCTGAGAGAGGCGTACTTGGCCACTAGGAAAGCACCTCCCCCTTTCCAAAAATGCTCCGGAAGTGCCTTCGCCCTCCGTAAAGATGGCCGGGGCAGTCGGCACGAGGGAGGCGGGGATGCGCCTGCGCAACAAGTTCGGCGGGGAAGATGGCGGATGACAAGGTGAGTGGCCGTGGGGGTGATCTGCAGCCGGGCGTGGTCTTCACTCTCCTTGACCTTTTTAGTTCCGGGGAGAAGCGACTCTGGAGCGGCTCAGGAGTGAGGATGTCCCTTGTTTCTTCTGCGGCTCCTGTCAACTGCCTCAACAGTGTGGAGTGGTGTGGGGAGAGCATTCGGCGAGGCGGGAGGAGCCGTGGATCCCCCAGATGTCCCCTCCTGGGAACCATCACGAACCCGTTACTAGCACAGACTCAAAAACATTCACCCTTAAACACTCCTCACTTTACCCCATTCCCTAGCTCCCGAAATTTTCTTCCCAGTGACACGATGTTTCCAATCACACGGACACTCACACCACCCTCATTCAAACACTCCTTTGCATACATTCTGAATTTCATACTTATATGCGATCAAAATCACTCAGTCCATTTACTTACACACTTGCCGACAGTCTTTTTTGTCATTCTCAGTCACATCCAGTCACTCACATTCAGTTTGGGATGTCCTTGGGAAGAAAGAGGTAAAGCCCATCCAGGAACCAAGACAATAAAATTGTCCAGGAAACTGCCTCGGTCCATTACTCACCATTGGTCTAGAAGCTCAGCATTACCCACACATTTACTAAATGTCAGGCACTAGAACATAGTAGCCAAGACAGACTGGTCACGACTTTCAAGGAGCTCATAATGGAGTCAGTAGTGGTTTCCTGATGGACCTAATTAAAGGTCCCTAGCTGTCCCTCCTGCCTTTCCTACATACTGCTTGCTATATAAAATTCTTGTCAAGGTTGATGTAAGTTACTGGTTCAGATCCCATCTGTCAGTCCCTTCCTGGCCCTCATTTGAATTCTGTGCTTTTCAATGCTTGTCTTTCTTTGCCACTGCCATCTCAGGAAGCTTTTATAGGAAAAGGTCTTTCTGGCTCACCCCATCCCCTCCCAATTCCCAGCTTCTGATGGAATTGAGCAAGGGGTGGGGCTTAGTCAGACTGCTGGAGCCAGCCTCTCGCTTGTCCTAGGATTCTCTGCCTAAGCTTAAGGACCTGGCATTTCTCAAGAACCAGCTGGAAAGCCTGCAGCGGCGTGTAGAAGACGAAGTCAACAGTGGAGTGGGCCAGGTAAGGACTGTCCCACCCCACCCCTGCCTTAGGCTTTATTGCCCAACATGCTCTTGAGAGTGTTAAATGGATGGTAGAGATTTCTTCAGCAAGTGATTATTGAGGGCCTATTCTCAGTCACCCTAAGGACAATTTTTCTGAATGGCACATGAACTAATATCTTAAGTAGTGGTTAAGTAGGTGAAGAGGGGAGGAAAGAACATTCCAGGCAGAACAGCATATGTAAAGGCCTTGTGGTAGGAAGTAGCATTATAAACATGAGGGGTGAAAGGAGGTCCATTTGGCTACAGTAGTTGGGGAGCATGCTAGGAAATGAGGCTGGAGAAACCGGCAGGGCTAGGGGCATCTCTGACCTTGTGTGGCGGTGGAGTTCTATGGTTGGAGCTTTCTGACCCCAGGGTTCTGAGATTGTGTGATCAGAACTGCTTGGTTCTTTTTCTGGCCCCAGAACCTTGGGAAAAATCTGGAGAAAATACCACGGTTGTCCAGGGTGAGGAGGAGCTGGTGGTGGAATGCTCTAATCCCAGCTTGAGTAGCCCCTGGACAGTCAGGAAGGAGCCTAGCTAAGTTTCCTTCTGCATTTTTCTCTGCAGGATGGCTCGCTGTTGTCCTCCCCGTTCCTCAAGGGATTCCTGGCTGGCTATGTGGTGGCCAAACTGAGGGCATCAGCAGTATTGGGCTTTGCTGTGGGCACCTGCACTGGCATCTATGCGGCTCAGGCATATGCTGTGCCCAACGTGGAGAAGACATTAAGGGACTATTTGCAGTTGCTACGCAAGGGGCCCGACTAGCTCTAGGTGCCATGGAAGAGGCAGGATGAGCAGCTCAGCCTTCAGGTGGAGACACTTTATCTGGATTCCCCAGCTGTCATCCATTTGCTATCTCCAACTTTCCTGCCACCTTCATCCTTGCCTCCCTTCCTGCAGATTGTGGACAGTAGTTCCTCAGCCTGCACCCTGGATTCCTTCTTCCCCTTCCTAGCTCCATGGGACTCGCCCCAAGACTGTGGCTTCAAGGACCACCAGCCCCTTACTCTTCAAGCCCTGACTGTGGAGTTGGTAGATGCCTCTGATCCTCAGTATTCTCTCTGGCAATGTTCCACGGCTTCTCCTTCCTGGGAGCTGGCTCCATAACTTGATTTTCCCCAAACGTGTTGCAATCCCTGCTGCCCCTTAGCCACCCAGGGTCTTGTGTGGGTATGAGTGTAGAGGATGGGGGTATGCCAGGCCTGGGCCGTCCCAGGCAGGCCCGCTGGACCCTGATGCTACTCCTATCCACTGCCATGTACGGTGCCCATGCCCCATTGCTGGCACTGTGCCATGTGGACGGCCGAGTGCCCTTCCGGCCCTCCTCAGCCGTGCTGCTGACTGAGCTGACCAAGCTACTGTTATGCGCCTTCTCCCTTCTGGTAGGCTGGCAAGCATGGCCCCAGGGGCCCCCACCCTGGCGCCAGGCTGCTCCCTTCGCACTATCAGCCCTGCTCTATGGCGCTAACAACAACCTGGTGATCTATCTTCAGCGTTACATGGACCCCAGCACCTACCAGGTGCTGAGTAATCTCAAGATTGGAAGCACAGCTGTGCTCTACTGCCTCTGCCTCCGGCACCGCCTCTCTGTGCGTCAGGGGTTAGCGCTGCTGCTGCTGATGGCTGCGGGAGCCTGCTATGCAGCAGGGGGCCTTCAAGTTCCCGGGAACACCCTTCCCAGTCCCCCTCCAGCAGCTGCTGCCAGCCCCATGCCCCTGCATATCACTCCGCTAGGCCTGCTGCTCCTCATTCTGTACTGCCTCATCTCAGGCTTGTCGTCAGTGTACACAGAGCTGCTCATGAAGCGACAGCGGCTGCCCCTGGCACTTCAGAACCTCTTCCTCTACACTTTTGGTGTGCTTCTGAATCTAGGTCTGCATGCTGGCGGCGGCTCTGGCCCAGGCCTCCTGGAAGGTTTCTCAGGATGGGCAGCACTCGTGGTGCTGAGCCAGGCACTAAATGGACTGCTCATGTCTGCTGTCATGAAGCATGGCAGCAGCATCACACGCCTCTTTGTGGTGTCCTGCTCGCTGGTGGTCAACGCCGTGCTCTCAGCAGTCCTGCTACGGCTGCAGCTCACAGCCGCCTTCTTCCTGGCCACATTGCTCATTGGCCTGGCCATGCGCCTGTACTATGGCAGCCGCTAGTCCCTGACAACTTCCACCCTGATTCCGGACCCTGTAGATTGGGCGCCACCACCAGATCCCCCTCCCAGGCCTTCCTCCCTCTCCCATCAGCAGCCCTGTAACAAGTGCCTTGTGAGAAAAGCTGGAGAAGTGAGGGCAGCCAGGTTATTCTCTGGAGGTTGGTGGATGAAGGGGTACCCCTAGGAGATGTGAAGTGTGGGTTTGGTTAAGGAAATGCTTACCATCCCCCACCCCCAACCAAGTTCTTCCAGACTAAAGAATTAAGGTAACATCAATACCTAGGCCTGAGAAATAACCCCATCCTTGTTGGGCAGCTCCCTGCTTTGTCCTGCATGAACAGAGTTGATGAAAGTGGGGTGTGGGCAACAAGTGGCTTTCCTTGCCTACTTTAGTCACCCAGCAGAGCCACTGGAGCTGGCTAGTCCAGCCCAGCCATGGTGCATGACTCTTCCATAAGGGATCCTCACCCTTCCACTTTCATGCAAGAAGGCCCAGTTGCCACAGATTATACAACCATTACCCAAACCACTCTGACAGTCTCCTCCAGTTCCAGCAATGCCTAGAGACATGCTCCCTGCCCTCTCCACAGTGCTGCTCCCCACACCTAGCCTTTGTTCTGGAAACCCCAGAGAGGGCTGGGCTTGACTCATCTCAGGGAATGTAGCCCCTGGGCCCTGGCTTAAGCCGACACTCCTGACCTCTCTGTTCACCCTGAGGGCTGTCTTGAAGCCCGCTACCCACTCTGAGGCTCCTAGGAGGTACCATGCTTCCCACTCTGGGGCCTGCCCCTGCCTAGCAGTCTCCCAGCTCCCAACAGCCTGGGGAAGCTCTGCACAGAGTGACCTGAGACCAGGTACAGGAAACCTGTAGCTCAATCAGTGTCTCTTTAACTGCATAAGCAATAAGATCTTAATAAAGTCTTCTAGGCTGTAGGGTGGTTCCTACAACCACAGCCATGATTGTCTTGTGTCTTCTGTCTGCGCAACTCCCCTCAAACAATTTTGTTCCTCTGGGGTCCTGAGTATCTTAATTCTGGGATAACTTTTAGACTAAGAAAAAATTGTTTTCTCCAAGCTGTTGCCAGTGGCATTATTTCCTGTGAGAGTTCCATGGAACTGAGACATTTCCCTGTCATAGAGCTTTTGAAATTTCCCTGGAGCACAAAACTTGGGCCCAGGGGAATGCGGAGAGAGTCTTGGGAACAGCAGGTGCTGGGCCGAGCAGGACAAACTAGACTCTAGGCCAAAAAACTCTTAAGAAAGCCGATGTGGTTTCGGTTTTCATTTCCTCTGGTTCCCTTACAATTTCTGCCTGTCATCTGTCTTAAAATCATGGCCAGGGGAATGTCAGGCCCTGATTCTATGATAGAATATGTGGTGAGTTTCTAAAAAAAACCAAGGGGGTTGGGGGGGGGCCCTAGGCCTATCTTAGACCTATTAAAGCAGAATCTTAGGGAGTAGTGTTTGGGAATCTTTTTCTTCTTTCTCTTAAGCTCCCTAGGTGGTTCTGATGCACACAGAAGCTTGTAAGCCACTACTGTGCAGTGTAGAACTATGGACAGACTTGAATTTGAATTCTGGATCTTCCACTTAGCTGACTGTTCTTGGGCAGTTATTTAACCTCTCCTAGCTTTAGTTGCCTTATCCCTGAAATAAGGATCAAATGGTACCTACTATATGTGGTAGCTGGAGAGGCTAAATAAAATAATATTAGGCACTTAGTAAGGACTGGAACAATGAGACATGGTTTGTGTTATTAATTATCCATAATAAGGATCAGCTTGGTTTTGTCTCACCTTTTTCTCCCTTCTAGGACCCTCCAGAATGAGGAGACAAGAAACTTCCTCTAAAGGGTTCCTGTTAAGGTTTCTCCCCAGGACAGGTCCAGCATGACTACCCCCAGCCTAGTCTGCACCCTGCTGAAGCTGCTGGTTCTCAGCTTGGAGCTCCTGATTCTGTGTGGCCAGGTTGATGGTTTCTTCCAGGGTGCCCGCCAGCAGGCTGCAGTGATGATGCTCTGTGGTCATGGCCCCCTCCTCCCACTGGCCCTGCCAGGCTCAGAATACCTGTGCCCAGATTCAGAGATGCCTGTCACTCAGCCAGCCTTGGAGCCAGCTCAAGGCCTACCCTCCATCCCCACTGATGGGCAGCACATGGTGTGTCTGAGCTCGGGTGGCCTGCACATGCAGGTCATAGAGGGCTGCCAGGTCCTGCTCTGCTGTGTTCCGCTCTTCCTGAAGGGCCTCCAGCTGGAATCTCAGCACCATCTGTTCCTGCTGCCATCTCTGCCTCTCCTCGCAGGCCTTCAGTGATAACACATACTCTTTGGAGTGCCACCTGTGTGCCAGGCTCTGTGCTAAATACTTCAGGTGTATTATTTTATCCAATAACAACCATATGTGGCATTGCCATCTTACAGATTTGGCAACAGTGGATCAAAGAAGTGACCTAACTTGCCCAAATTCTCATGGCTAGTAAAGGTCAGAGCTGACATGGCACATGCCTTTCAATGGTTTGCAGCTCTCCTTGGGGTAAAGTCCAAAGCCAGAGCTGTGGCACACACTTGTCTCTTTAGCCTTGCTTCTGACTACGCACCTGTTCAGCTCCAGCCAGACTGGAGAATTTGCAGTTCCCAGACCCACTTTGCCATTGCTTCCCTCTGAACTTTTGCTTATACTGTTTTGTCTTCTCTAAGAACATGTCCCCACTCCACCCACCCCCCATCAGTTACTGATGAGCAGTAACTGCCCTTGTTAAGCTCAGTGTCCAGTGAATTCCCCTGGCTGATCTCTGCCTGTCCTTTGAGGCTCAACTTAGATTCCATCTCCTCTGATCCACTCCAGCCTGGGTCAGATATGCCTTTTTGGTCCCACACAACCCTAGATCCCCCATCCCATCACTTAGCACTGAGAATTGCCTCATCTATCCCTGACAAGGCTGTGAGGGCCATGAGAGAGGGTATGAACTGGTCGGTTGTGATTGATGATGGATCCTAGCCCCTAGCACAGTGCCTGGACCAATTAGAGCCTCAAGTCCCCTATTTGACCCTCCTTACCTCCTCTTCAGCCACCAGGCCTTTGACCTGGTCATCTGCCACCTCCTCCTTCTGTTCCAAATGCTTCAGCTTCTCTCGAATCCAAATTTGGTGCTGCTCCCTCAGTCTCTGCCTCTGGGCCTGGGCCAAGAAGAGCGGCCGGGCCACATCTGGTATCTGCTGGGCTTGGTCAGAAGTTCATGTGTGTGCACGGATTTAGGACCAGAGCCCAACTTTTCCAATAGAACCTCATCACCAGGGCTGCTCCCAGAACAACATCCAGGACCTAACTAGCCTGGAAGAGCTTGTAGCCTGGGCAGAGACTCAGGAGGCCATGGTGGGGAGAGGAAGGTAGTGGCTCTGCCAGGAGGTGCCATAGTGCCTCTAAGGATCCTATACCCTTAATCCAATAAGTAGGAAAACAGTCCCTCCCCATGGCCTTGCCTTAGGGGTCTAGTCACCTTCAGGTCCTTTATTTGTCAAAAACTTCATATTTCTCCCTGATATTGGGGCAGGGTAAGCAGGGGCACATTAGCTGGGCTCTGCAGCTCTTCACTCCCCCTACAGCTTCTAGTCGTTCCTGGGGTACATGAGGTATTACCTATTCCTTAGGGTGCCTGAGAGGATTCTTTTGGTGGAGCCACGCCTTAGAGTTGCCATTCTTCCTGCCACTAGAGGAAAATGTAATTAATCACACCAAAGGCAGGGAAGACGTCCCACTCCCAGCTCATCCCCAAGTCCCAGACCCACCTTGGGGCTCTCCCTCGAGGCATGGGCTCTGGTTTACTGGTGACTCTATCACCTGCTGAGAAGATATTAGAAGTGATCGTTCCACACCTTTCCTCCCAGTACAGTGTAGGTTAAGATCAGGGCTTGGAAATCAGACAGATCAGGGTCCCAGCCCCTCCTCTTCTTAGCTGAATGACCTCGAGCAGGTGACTGGCCTAGTCTCCATGTGCTTCTCTATCAAATCGAGCTGATAAAAGTTGTGGAGAGAATGAAATGAAGTACTGCACCGAAAGCACTGGGCAGTAAGGCACTTGCTCAATAAATAGGAGCTACCATGCCTGATTCCCAAGCCCCAAGGCTGTAAAAACAAGTTCTAAGCAACTATGAAAAAAGAAGAGAAAGGCCAGGAGAGGCTGGACAGGGACAGGGTTTCAACCACCCTGTGATAAATCATGGAAGACCAGAAAGGCCATGCAGCCTAAGGAGATGAAAGAGCACTAGATTAGGAGTCTAAGGACTTGAGTGTGATTATACTTCTGCTGCTCCTGATTATGCCTGTGACCCCAGGCTCACAGGTCTCACATCTTTTATTTTTCTTTTTCTTTTTTATGACAGAGTCTCGCTGTGTCACCCAGGCTGGAGTGCAGTGGTGCAATCTCAGCTCACTTCAACCTGCGCCTCCTGGGTTCAAGTGACTCTCCCACCTCAGCCTCCTGAGTAGCTGGGACTACAGACATGCGCCACCATGCCTGGCTAATTTTTGTATTTTTTAGTAGGGACGGGGTTTCACCATGTTGGCCAGGCTGGTCTCGAACTCCTGGCCTCAGGTGATCTGCCCATCTCAGCCTCCCCAAGTGTTGGGATTACAGGCGTGAGCCACTGCGCCCAGCCCTCTCACATCTTTTCTTTTTTGAGATGGAGTTTCACTCTTGTTGCCCAGGCTGGAGTCCAATGGCGTGATCTCGGCTCACTGCAACCTCTGCCTCCCAGGTTCAAGTGATCCTTCTGCCTCAGCCACCCGAGTAGCTGGGACTACAAGCGTGCGCCACCACACCAGGCTAATTTTTGTATTTTTAGTAGAGATGGGGTTTCTCCATGTTGGCCAGGCTGGTCTCAAACTCCTGACCTCAGGTGATCCGCCCACCTCGGCCTCCCAAAGTGCTGGGATTACAGGCATGAGCCACCGCGCTCAGCCTCACATCTTTTCTTTAAGCCTCAGTTTGCTCACCTGAAAAGGGCACAGTGCTCTTTCCTGCTTAAAATACTTCTGTGGCTCACCTGTGACCTTTAAGACAAAGTCCAAACACCTCTGTTTTGCAAAGCCCTGTGTGACCTGGCCCCTGCTGTCCTCTCCAATACTTCTCTCCTGACTCTTCCTCAAGTTCTGTTCTTCAATAAATTGAGCTACTTGCACTCCCTCAAGGGGACCAAGCACTTTCTTGCCTCTGAGTCTTTGCCTGTCATTCTCTCTGCCTTCAGGTTCTTCACTCATCTTTGTTGACCTCCTTCAGGAATCACTTCCTCCATGAAGTCTTCCATCCCTCTCTTGCCAAGGCTAACTTAGATGCCCCACAGAATTCTGTGTTTATAAGCCTTTCAGAGCACCGATTATGGTGGTGCAATTGTTTCCTCCCAGGAGATTATAAACTCCATGAGGGCAGGGAATTCCCAGGGCCTATGTGGCACTGGGCCCAGCATACAGTGGGTGGTCAATAAGTGTTTGGGAATCAATAAGTCAATGAATGAATGGAGGTCTTCCTCAAAGTGCTTTGGAAAGAGGACAAGAAGGCAGACTGCTCCTTGGAGCATCTGGCTTCTTGGGTGCTGGCTCCACGCTTTTACCACCTATGGAGAAAGGGTTCAAGGTGGGTACTGGCCATGGCTAGCCCAGGTGCCCTCAGGCTTCACCTTGCTCACCTCTAGCTCCCGCAGTGCCCTTCCCAGCTGGCTTAGCCCACTGTCCGTCAGGGTGTCCTCAAGGAGGCCTAAACGCAGGGGCCTCAGGCCAGCCCGGCGGGCCCGAGCCTCTTCTACTGCATCCCACAGGGTGGGCCTCACCTGTTTCACCTGCATCCTCCTTCCTGAGGCCCCCAACAGAGCAGCCTGGAGCAAACTGAGGGAGCTACCTAGTAAAGGGACACTCCAAGTGAATTACTCCTTCCTGTGGACTCCAAAGCACGCTGCTTGTGATACTTTTACTTTTTATTAGTAGTACTATTCATAAAAATATCTAACTCCCACTAGACTTTTACATATGCTTGATGGCACTTCACTAAGGCTGTTCATGGATTGCCTCTTTTTATCCACACAACACTCCAATCAGGCAGAAGCTCTAATCTATCCTGCCTCCCCCGACATTTTCCAGATGAGGCAATAGAAGCTCAAAGAGGTCAAGCAACTTCTTGGCAAGTGGCAGAGCCTAAACTCAAGCCCATGCCCTTCAACATGATACCAAACTGGCCTGAAGATAAACACGTCTGGCCCTCACTGCTTTATCCTTGTGGGTGTGAACTGCTGTAACCTATCTTCCTCATTCCAAGGGACCTCCCACAGCGGAGGTCTGGGAACTTGCTAGCCAAATGAATGTGGGTTTGTTGATTTTGGAGATGAGGGCCAGACATTTTTTTACTCTTTTATTATGGAAAATTTCAAACATATACAAAGTATAGGAAATCCTGTCTACCTGTCACCTAGCTTTGACAGTTATCAACTCATGCCATTTCTGTTTGATCAATACCCCCACCTCGACCTCCCCCAAATCCCTGACATCATAACATTTCAGAGGCTTGATTTTTTTTTCTTTTTTTCCACCAGCATCTACATTAAGGACACAGAGGCTTTGTTTTTTTATTTTTTATTTTTTTGAGATGGAGTCTCACTCTGTCGCCCAGGCTAGAGGGCAGTAGCACGATCTTGGCTCACTGCAACCTCTGCCTCCCAGGTTCAAGCAGTTCTCATGCCTCAGCCTCCCAAGTAGCTGGGACTACAGGCACCTGCCACCATGCCCAGCTAATTTTTGTATTTTTAGTAGAGATGGAGTTTCACCATGTTGGCCAGGCTAGTCCTGAACTCCTGACCTCAGGTGATCTGCCCACCTCAGCCTCCCAAAATGCTGGGATTGCAGGCATGAGCCACCACACCCAGCTGAGGCTTGATTTTTAATGGGTGTATGAAAATAGGAGACTCCCTTCTCTTCTCTTATCCTCTCTATTCTCATCTATAAATTAGGCCTGCCTCTCTTTCCTTATTTGTAAATTATATCTGCCTCATGGGGTTGTGGTAAGAATCAAAGGCATTTGTGCAAAAATGCTTGGTAAGTGGTTTAAGGTCTCTGAAGGGTGAGGGGTTACTTTCACTATTGACCTTACTTTGCCTCTCCAGTCTCTGTCAGCCTAGGCACTCTGGGGCCCTCTTGGAGGGTCAGACGCTCTCTCTGGGCTGAGGTTGGGGCTGAGGCCGGTTGCGTGATGGGTGAGGCAGGCCTAAGGACAGATCTCAGAGCTTCCCAAAGAACTCCACACTCTCCCCCTGGCCACCTTGGGGGTCCAGGCGAAGAAGTAGGCCACTGTAGTTGTTTCCTTCCAAGAGCCATGAGACAATCCAGGGCAAAGAGCCCTCCGCCTCCTCACCAACAACTTCACCAGCCAACACCCGCAGCAGGGGGCAGTCTCTGCAAGAGGGAGAGGAAGAAAGGCGACGTCCACTGGTGGATGGGGAAAGAAACTGGACAGAGTTACACTCTGATGGAAAGGGCAACTATTTCCAGAAACTTTTGTGTATCACCAGACAGATTTGAAACATTGTACAGATCTTTATTTTATTACTATTATTTTTTAAATTACAAAAGTAATACATTCTCCATGGGCATGGTGGCTCACACCTGTAATCCCAGCACTTTGGGAGGACGAGGCTGGCGAATCACTTGAGGTCAGGAGTTCGAGACCAGCCTGGCTGATATGGTGAAACCCCATCTCTATTAAAAATACAAAAATTAGTCAGGTGTAGTAGCACACGCCTGTAATCCCAGCTACTAGGGAGGCTGAGGCAGGAGAATTGCTTGAACCCAGAGAGTGGAGGTTTCAGTGAGCCAAGATCACACCACTGCCTTCCAGCCTGGGCAACAAAGTGAGAGTGTGTCTCAAAAAAAAAAAATTTTTTTTTAAAAGAAGTAATAGATTCTCATGGTAAAAAATTTAAATTGTGTACCTGACAAGTGACTTGTACCCAGAATATATAAAGAGCTCTTACAACTCAATAATAAAAAGACAACCCAATTTTAAAATGGGCAAAAGAAGATGACATCAGTGAAAATGGCAGAGTAGGGAACTCCAAGAGTCCGTTCATCCCCAGAAACACCTAGCAAAAACAGCCAGAAACAACCTTATTTTAACTCTGAAAGATAGAGGTTTACAGCAACCAATGCTTAACCAGGAGAAAGGCAACTTAAATATGGTAAGAGATCTCTGTGGTGTTTTAACTTACCCTAGCTCCAACCCCTCCCCAGCACAGGGCTAATCTTGAAGACAGCAGCCCAAATTTCTGGTGGGGGTTCCTGGTTAGGGAGGGAGCAGAGAAGATCTTGATCCCAATGAATTGTGTTTATCTTTTTTGACTGTCTGGAATTTCCCTTGAAGAACTGATGAAAGGGAATTCTCTTTGCTTCACGAATCTCAGAACTCTCTCAAGGCAGAGCAGCTACACAGAGGATGTTCCCTGAAAACTGCTAAAGAACAAAAGAACAAGGAACTGCTGCCTGAAGCAAAAATAACAGTTGAGGCAAACAACTGATACCCTGAAAGACTGGGAAAAGTTTGGAAGTGATATTTTTGGGAGAATAAGGGCTTCAAAAAGTTCCCATGTGTACTAGAGAGAGCAGAAAGCACACCCAGGGTAGGACTCATGTGCAGAAAAGGCCCAATAAGACAATAAGCTTTCATCTCTGTCTGGTCTTTGGGCTCAGCACAAGCAGGAAGTGAAGGCTAAAACAGAGCTGTAAATTGCCTGGCTAAGCTTAGGAGTGACTCCACACAGAGCCAATCTGCAAAGACCTAGAAAATTCTTTCTTTTTCTTTTTTCCTTCCTTCCTTCCTTTGTTTTCTTTTTCGTATTCTTCTTTATTCTTTTTGTTTCTTTTTTTATTTGTTTCTTTCTTCTTCCTTTTTAAAAAACAAAACAAAACTTTTTTTTTAGTCGCAGGCATTTAAGGAATTCTATGTTAGGTCACTGGCTGACTACTAAAATAACAAAATGAAGCCTTCAGTGAATACAAAGAATACAGTCTTCAAAAAAAAAAAAAACCCACAAAGATAAAGAGAGAATCTTGAAAACAGCAAGAGAGAAGCAGCTTATTATGTGCAATGGATCTTCAATAAGACTAAAAACAGACTTATCCCCAGAAACCATGGGATAACTTAAAGTTGGCCCTTTATATCCATAGGCTCTGCATCTGTGGATTCAAGCAAGCATGAATCAGAAATATTTGGGAGAAAAATGGTTTTGTCTGTACTGAGCATGTACAGACTTTTTATTGTCATGATTCCCTAAACAATACAGTATAACAATTTACATAACATTTACATTGTATTAGGAATTATAAGTAATCTAGAGATGATTTAAAGTATGTGGGAGGATGTACATAGGTTATATGTGCAAATACTATAACATTTTATTTTTTATTTTTATTAGTTTTGTGTGTGTGTGTTGTTGTTGTTGTTTTCCTTTATAGATAGAGTCTCGCTCCATCACCCAGGCTGGAGTGCAGTGGCATGATCTCAGCTCACTGCAACCTCCACCTCCAGGGTTCAAGCAATTTTCCTGCCTTGGCCTCCCCAGTAGCTGGGATTACAGGTGCCCGCCACCACACCCAGCTTATTTTTATATTTTTAGTAGATAACGGGGTTTCACCATGTTGGCCAAGCTGGTCTCGAACTCCTGACCTCAGGTGATCCACCCGCTTTGGCCTCCCAAAGTGCTGGGATTACAGGCGTGAGCCACTGTGCCAGGCTAATTTTCGTACTTTTAGTAGAGACGGGGTTTCACCATGTTGGCCAGGCTGGTCTCAAATTCCTGACTCCAAGTGATCCACCCTCATTGGCCTCCCAAAGTGCTGGGATTACAGGTGTTAGCCACCACGCCCAGCTATTTGTATTAGTATTTTTTTTAGACAAGGTCTTGCTCTGTTACCCAGGCTGGAGTGCAGTGGTGTGATCATGGCTCACTGAAGCCTTGACCTCCTGGACTGAAGCTATCGCTTCAGCCCCTCAAGTAGCTATTATTATTATTTTTTGCAGTCTTTTTTAATTTTTATTTTTTTGTAGTGATAAGATCTCACTATGTTGCCCAGCCTGGTCTCAAACTCCTGGGCTCAAGCAATCCTTCTGCTTTGGCCTCCCAAAGGCTGGAATTATAGGCATGAGCCACTGTGCCTGGCCCACATCATTTTATATAAGACACTTGAATATCTGTGAATGTCGATATCTGCAGGGGGGTCCTGGAACCAATCCCCAAAAAGATACAAAGAGACAATGGTATTTAAAGTGCTTTAAAAAATCCTGCCAATCAAGAATTATATATCTGGCAAAACTATCCTTCAAAAATGAAGGCAAAATTATGACACTCCCAGATCAATCAAAGCTGAAGTAATTCATTGTTAGTAGACTTGCCTTACCAAAAATGCTAAAGGGAGTCCATCAGCCTGAAATGAAAGGACACTAGACAGTAACTTGAAGCCATATAAAGAAATAAGGAACAATAATAAGGTTCCTACATGTGTAAATATAAAAGCCCATAATATTGCATTTTTGGTTTGTAACTCCTCTTTTTTGCCTATATGATTTAAAAAACAAATGCATAAAACAATAATTGTAAACCTATGATAATGGGCACACAATATATACAGATATAATTTGTGACATTAGCAACATAATGGGAAAATATGCAGATGTATGGGGTAAAATCTTTATAGATATTGAAGCTAAATTGGAATTAATTCAAGCTGGATTGCTATGTGGTTTTTGTTTTGTCTTTTTTTGTTTGTTTGTTTGTTTGTTTGTTTTTAGATGAGGTCTCACTATGTTGCCCAGGCTGGTTTCAAACTCCTGGGTTCAAAAGATCCTTCTGCCTCAGCCTCCTGATTAGCTGGGATTACAGGTGCATACCCTTGTGCCTGGTGAGACTGTTTTAAATTTAAGATATTAGCCGGGCGAGGTGGCTCACGACTGTAATCCCAGCACTTTGGGAGGCTGAGGCAGGCAGATCACGAGGTCAAGAGATCAAGACTATCCTGGCCAACATGGTGAAACCCCATCTCTACTAAAAAATACAAAAATTAGCTGCGCTTGTAGTCCCAGCTACTCTGGAGGCTGAGGCAGGAGAATAGCTTGAACCCAGGAGGCGGAGGTTGCAGTGAGCTGAGATCACACCACTGCGCTGCAGCCTGGAGATAGAGCGAAACTCTGTCTCAAAATAAATAAATAAATAAATAAATAAATTAATTAATTAAAATACATTTAAGATATTAATTGTAATCTCCAAGATGGCCACAAGGAAAATAAGTGGGGTTTTTTTGTTTTGTCTTGCTTTTTTAGACAGGGTATCACTCTGTCACCCAGGCTAGAGTGCAGTGGCACGATCATGGCTCACTGCAGCCTCAACTTTCCAGACTCCAGTGATCCTCCCACTTCAGCCTCCTGAGTAGCTAGGACCACAGGCCTGTGCCACCATGCCTGGCCAATAGAAAAATAACCGTTAAAAATATGGAAAAACCCCTGTTCACTTTGCCAAATGGATTTGTGTCTTTATTGCTCATTAATTGGGGCAAAGGAAATATCCTTTTAAAACTCAGGCAAACTGAGTGTTTGTCTTGTATCCTGTCAGAGGAAAGAAATTGAAAAAGAATAAAAAGGAAAAAAATATCAAAAAGGTAATGCGAAAAAAATCAACACAGCACATTGCAAAAAATCAATTAAATACAAAAGGCAATATTAGAGGAATTAAGAAACAAAAATATATAGCCAAATAGCAAGATGGCAGGAGTTAGTGTTTGTTATCAGTGATTACTTTAAAGGTAAATGGAATAAACTCCCCGATTAAATAATAGAGTTTGGAAGAATAGTTTTTTTTTTTTGGTTGGAAGAATAGATTAAAAAAAAAACCCTTAATTTATCTATGTGTTGTCTACAAGAGACTCATTTTATTTTCTTTATTTTTTTAAGAGACAGGGTCTCACTGTGTTGCCTAGGCTGGAGGTACAGTGATGTGATCATGGCTCACTGCAGCCTCAACCTCCCAGGCTCAAGTGATCCTCCTGCCTCAGCCTCCAAGTAGCTGGAACTACAGGTGTGTGCCACCATACCTACTTATTTTCATTTTTTTGTAGCTATGGGATCTTACTATGTTGCCTAGTCTGGTTTCAAACTTCTAAACTCAAGTGATTCTTCCACCCTGGCCTCCGAAAGTGTTGGGATTACCGGCATGAGCTGCCGTGTCCAGCCAAGACCCACTTTAGATCCAAAGACACAAATAGGTTAAAAGTAAGAAGATGGAAAAAGATACAAAAGAGTCTGTGGTGGCTATATAAGTATCACACCAAATAGACTGTAAGTCAAAAATTGTTACAAGAGACAAAGAAGTATATTATATATTCATAAAAGGTTCAATTCATCAAAAAGATAAAACAAATATAAACACGTATGCACCTGACAATAGACCAAATATGTGAAGCAAAAATGGACAGAAATGAAGGGAGAAATAGATAGTTCTACAGTAATAGTTGGAGACTTCAATACTCTACTTTCTTTTCTTTTCTTTTTCTTTTTTTGAGATAAGATCTCACTATATTGCCCAGGCTGGTCTTGAACTCCTAGGCTCAAGCAATCCTCCTGCCTTAGCCTCCTGAGTAGTTGGGAATTACAGGTGCATGCCACTACACCCAGCTTCCCCAGTTTCAGTACTAAGTAGAACAAGTAGACAAATGATCAATAAGGAAGTAGAGGACTTAAGTAATACTAAACAATTTAGACCTAAGAGACATGTTTAGAACACTCAATCCCAAAATAACAGAATACACATTCTTCTCAAGTGCTTGGAACATTCTCCAAGGTAAACCATATGCTAGGCCACAAAGCAAGTGTCAATCATATTTAAAAGTTAAAATCACACAAAGTATCTTCTCTAGCCATAGTGGAATAAACTAGAAATGAGTAACAGAAGAGAAACTGGAAAATTCACAAATATGTAGAAATTAAACAACCAGTGGGTCAGAAGAGAAATCACATGGAGAATTAGAAAATACTTTCAGAGAAATGAAAACAAAAACACAACATATCAATACTTATGTGATGAAGCAAAAGTAGTGCTTAGAGGGAAATTTGTAAGTATAAACATCTACATGAAAAAGGAAGCTCTGAAACCAATAATTTAACTGGACACCTCAAGGAACTAGAAAAAGAGAAAAATAAACCCAAAGCTAATAGAAGAAAGAAAAGAATAAAGATCCAAACAGAGATAAATGAAAAAGAGAATATAAAATAATAGAAAATCAATGAAACCAAAGTTGATTCCTTGAAAAAAAAATTTTAAATGAACAGGAGTGGTAGCTATGGAGCCGCTGGAGGAGAAAGAAATGCAGGTTGCTGCATGGTTAAAATAAATATTTGGAGATCATCCCATTCCACAGTATGAGGTGAACCCACGGACCACAGAGATTTTACATCACCTTTCAGAACCCAACAGGGTCCGGGACAGGGATGTCTACCTGGTAATAGAGGACTTGAAGCAGAAAGCAAGTGAATATGAGTCAGAAGCCTATAGTATCTTCAAGACCTTCTCATGGATAGTGTGAATTTTTCCCCTGCCAATTTCTCTAGCACTGGTTCCAGGTATCTGAATGCATTGGTTGACAGTGCGGTGGCCCTTGAAACAAAGGATACCTCACTAGCTAGTTTTATCCTTGCGGTGAATGATTTGACCTCTGATCTCTTTCATACCAAATCCAAAGGTGAAGAAATCAAGATTGAACTGGAAAAACTTGAAAAAAATCTAACTGCAACTTAATATTAGAAAAATGTCTACAAGAGGATCTCAAGAAAGCAGAGTTGGATCTGTCTACAGAAAGGGCCAAACTTGATAATCGTCATCAGAACATGGACTTTCTAAAAGCAAAGTCACAGGAATTCAGATTTGGAATCAAGGCTGCAGAGGAGCAACTTTCAGCCAGAGGCATGGATGCTTCTCTGTCTCATCAGTCCCTAGTAGCACTGTCAGAGAAACTGGCAAAATTAAAACAGACTATACCTTTGAAGAAAAAATTTGAGTCCTATTTAGACTTAATGCCAAATTCCCCTCTTGCTCAAGTGAAAATTGAAGAAGCAAAGTGAGAATTAGATAGCATTGAAGCTGAACTTACAAGGAGAGTAGACATGATGGAACTGTGACAAGAGCCAAATAAACATCCTTTTCCCTAACAAAGTAAATTGAATAGTGCTTTATAGAGTTCTTTTTCCTCTTGGCATTTCTTAATAACAAAATTTTCTGTTTGTAGATTACAGAATGTCATAATTAATAGAATATGGTTTCTTACTGTGTATTGCATTTTTGTCCCCAAATACATAGTTTTCATATTAAAAAGGCTTTTCTTTCTCTCTTTTTTTTTTTTTAGTTGGAGTCTCGCTCTGTCACCAGGCTGGACTGCAGTGGTGCGATCTTGGCTCACTGCAACATCCAACTCCCTGGTTCAAGCAATTCCCCTGCCTCAGCCTCTTGAGTAGCTAGAATTACAACCATGCCACCACACCCAGCTAATTTTTGTATTTTTAGTAGAGAAGGGGTTTCACCATGTTGACCAGGCTGGTCTCGATCTCCTCACCTTGTTATCCACGCACCTTGGCCTCCCAAAGTGCTGGGATTACAGATATGAGCCACTGTGTCCAGCCAAAAAGGCTTTTCTCTTTTAAAAAATTTTAAAATGGACAAACCTTTAGCTAGATTGACTAAGAAAGACAGAAGATTCATATTACTAACATTAGAAATGAAAGTGAGGGCATTGCTACCAACCTTACAGAAGTAAAAAGGATTACAAGAGAATGCCACAAACAATTATATACCAACAAATTAGAGAACTTAGATGAAATGGACAAATTCCTAGAAACACACAAATGATCAAAACTGACTCCAGAAGAAATAGAAATTCCGAATAGACCTATACCAGGTAAAGAGATTGAATCGGGCTGGGTGCAGTGGCTCACGTGTGTAATCACACTTTGGGAGACCGAGGCGGGTGGATCATGAGGTCAGGAGTTTGAGCCCAGCCTGACTAACATGGTGAAACCCCAACTCTACTAAAAAAAATACAAAAATTAGACAGTCATGGTGGTGCGTGCCTGTAATCCCAGCTACTCAGGAGGCTGAGGCAGAAGAATTGCTTGAACAAGGGAGGTGGAGGTTGCAGTGAGCTGAGATCATGCCACTGCATTCCAGCCTGGGTGACAGAGAGAGACTCCATCTCAAAAAAAAAAAGAAAAAAAAAGCGAGATTGAATCAGTAATCAAAAACCTCCCAACAAAGAAAAATCCAGGACCAAATGGCTTCAATGGTGAATTCTAGCAAACAGTTGAAGAATAAGTAACACCAATTCCTCTCACACTGCTCCAAAAAATGGAATAAGAAGGAAGACTTCCTAACTCATCCTATGAGACCAACATTGCCCCAATACCAAAACCAAAGACAACACAAGAAAATAAAATTACACACCAATATTCTTTTGAATGTAGACTCAAAAGCTCTCAACAAAATACTAGCCAATGGAATCCACTGAGTATTAGAAGTATACATCATGACCAACTGAGATTTATCCCAGGAATGCAAGGGTAGTTCAACATGAAAATAAATCAATATATAATATACCACATTAATAGAATGAAGAAAAAATATGATGATCATTTCAACTGATGCAGAAAAGCCTTTGACAATATCCAACATCCTTTCATAAGAAAATGCTCAACAAAATAGGAATAGAAGGGAAATTTCATAACATGATTAAGGGCATATATAGAAAAACCCACAGCCGATATCACAAGCAATGGTGAAAGACTAAAATCTTCCCCCTCAGATCAAGAACAATATAAGTATGACTACTATCACCACTGCCATTCAACCTTGTATTAAAAGTTCAAGCCAGAACAATCAGGCAAGAAAAAGAAACAAAACTATTGAAATAGGAAAGGAAGAAATAAAACTATCTCAATTTGCAAATGATATAATTTTATATACAGAACATCCTAAAAAATCCACATCCAAAAAGAACTATTAGAACTAATAATCAAATTCAGTAAAGTTGCAGAATACAAAATCAACACGCAAAAATCAGTTGTATAGCCGGGCATGGTGACTCACGCCTGTAATCCCAGCACTTTGGGAGGCCGAGGCAGGTGGATCACGAGGTCAGGAGTTCAATACCAGCCTGGCCAAGATGGTGAAACCCCGTCTCTACTAAAAATACAAAAAAATTAGCCAGGCATGGTGGCAGGGGCCTGTAATCCCAGCTACTCAGGAGGCTGAGGCAGAGAACTGCTTGAGCCCAGGAGGCGGAGGTTGCAGTGAGCCAAGATCATGCCACTGCACTCCAGCCTGGGCGACAGAGCAAGACTCCGTCTCAAAAAAAAAAAAATCAGTTGTATTTCTTTTTTCTGTTTTTTGAGATAGGGTCTAGCTATGTCACCAAGGCTGGTATGCAGTGATGTGATCAAGGCTCACTGCAGCCTAGACCTCCCATGTCAGCCTATTGAGCAGATGGGAGTACAGGCATGCACCATCATGCCCAGCTAATTTTTTTATTTTTTTGTAGAGATGAAGTCTCACTATATTGCCCAGGTTGGTCTCAAACTTCTGGGCTCAAGCAATCCTCCCAGCATGGCCTCCCAAAGTGCTGGGATTGCAGGCATGAGCCACAGTGCCCAGCCGAAAATACTTACTTTCCATACACTAGAAATGAACAGTCCAAAAAGGAATTTTTTTTTTTTTGAGATGGAGTCTCACTCTGTTGCCCAGGCTGGAGTGCAGTGGTGGAATCTCAGATCACTGCAACCTCCACCTCCTGGGTTCAAGCGATTCTCCTGCCTCAGCCTCCCAAGTAGCTGGGACTACAGGCACCTGCCACCACACCCGGCTAATTTTTTATTTTTAGTAGAGACGGGGTTTCACCATGTTGGCCAGGCTGGTCTCGAACTCCTGACCCCAGGTGATCCACCCACCTCGGCCTCCCAAAGTGCTAGGATTACAGGTATGAGCCACTGCTCTTGGCCAGGAATTTTTTAAATTCCACTTATAATAACATCAAAAATAATAAAATGCTAAGAAATAAATTTAACCAAGGAAGTGTAAATCTTATACCCTGAAAACTGTAAAACACTGCTGAAATAAAGAGAACCTAAATATATGAAAAAACAGCCTGTGCTCATTGTTCATGAATTGGAAGACTTCATATCATGAAGATGACCGTATTCCCCAACAAATCTAGAGATTCAATACAATGCCTATCAAAATCCCAATGGCCGTTTTTTTTTTTTTTTTTTTTTTTTTTAGAAATGGAAAAGCCAAATCCTAAAATTCCTATGGAATTGCAAGGAGCCCTGAATAGCCCAAACAATGTTGAAAAAAAGAATAAAGTTGAGGGCCGGGCGTGGTGGCTCACGCCTGTAATCCCAGCACTTTGGGAGGCCAAGGTGGGCGGATCACGAGGTCAGAAGTTCGAGACC
Organism: Homo sapiens; assembly: GCF_000001405.40. Taxonomy (NCBI): domain Eukaryota; kingdom Metazoa; phylum Chordata; class Mammalia; order Primates; family Hominidae; genus Homo; species Homo sapiens. The sequence continues at coordinate 140,585,658 of NC_000005.10, forward strand.
AGCCTGACCAACATGGTGAAACCCTGTCTCTACTAAAACTACAAAAATTAGCCGGGAGTGGTGGCGTGCGCTTGTAATCCCAGCTACTCAGAAGGCTGAGGAAGGAGAATACTTAAACCCAGGAGGCAGAGGTTGCAGTGAGCCAAGATCACGCCACTGCACTCCAGCCTGGGAAACAGAGCAAGACTCTATCTCAAAAAAAAAGAAAGAAAAGAACAAAGTTGAAGGACTTACACTTTTCCATTTCAAAGCTTACTACGAAGCTACAGTAAATAATATAGTGTCAGGCTGGGCCCAGTGGTTCACCCCTGTAATCCCAACACTTTGGAAGGCCAAGATGGGAGGATAGCTTGAGCCCAGGAATTTGAGACCAGCCTGGGCAAAGTAATGAGACCTTATTTCTACAAAAAAAAATTTTTTTTAATTAGCTAGGTGTGGTGGTGTGTGCCTGTGGTCCCAGATACTTGGGAGGCTAAGGCAGGAGGGTCACTTGAGCCTGAGAGGTCAAGGCTGCAGTGAGCCTTGACCGCATGACTGCATTCCAGCCTGGGTGATGGAGGGAGACCCTGTCTATAAAACAAAATTAAATTAAGTTAAATTAAAACAGTATGGTATTGCCATGAAGATAGCCTTTGACAAGAACTGACACCTTTTCATGATTAAAAAACATTCAAGAACGTAGAAATAAAAGAGAAGTTTCACAATATGGTAAAGGCTATATAAATCAATGTAATATCATTGAGCGTCGTGACATAAATCCATATATATGTGGCCAACTGATTTTTGACAAGGGTGCCAGGACCAGTCAATTGGAAATAATAGTCTCTTTAGCAAATGGTGCTGGGAGAACTGGAGAGAATGAAGTTGGACCATTACTCCATACTAATACAAAAAATTAACTCAAAATGGATCAATGACCTAAATGTAAGAGACAAAGCTATAAAACTATTAGAAGAAAACCTAGGGGTGAATCTTCCTGACCTTGGATTTTGCAATGGTTGCTTAGGTATAACACCAAAAGCATGAGCAACAAAAGGAAAAACAGATAAATTGGGCTTCATAAAAATTTTAAAGTTTAGTGTATCAACGGACACTATCAAAAAAGTAAAAAGATAGCCAGGCAGGGTGGCAGGCACCTGTAATCCCAGCTATTTGGGAGGCTGAGGCAGGATAATTTCTTGGACCCAAGAGGCAGAGGTTGCCAATGATGCCGTTGCACTGCAGCCTGCGCAACAAGAGCAAAACTCCATCTTAAAAAAAGAAGGAAAGAAAGAAAGTGAAAAGATAACCTACAAAACAGAAGAAAATGTTTGCAAATCACGTAGCTGATAAGGGTCTAGTATACAGAATATATAAAGAACTCATAACACACAAGAAAGACACAAATAACCCAATTTAAAAATGGGCAAAGGATTTGAATAGACGTTTCTCCAAAGAAGATCTAGAGATGGGCAACAACCACATGAATAGATGCTTAATATAACTAGTCATTAGGGAAATGCAAATCAAATAAAAATGAGATGCCACTTCAAAACCACTAGGTTGGCCATAATCAAAAACATGGAAAATAACAAATGTTGGTAATTATGGAGAAGTTGGAACCATCGTACATTGCTGGAGGAAATACAAAATGGTGCAGTGCTGTAGAAAGCAGTGTGGTAGTTCCTTAAAAGTTAAACATAGACTTACCATATCCATATGACCCAGCTATTCCACTCCTAGGTAAATACCCAAAATAATTGAAAAGAGGTATTCAAACCAATACTTGTACATGAATGTTCGTAGCAGCACTATTCACAATAGCCAAATGATGGAACTAGATAGTTCCACAACATTGTGAATGTACTAGGAGTCACTAAATTGTACATTATAAAATGGCTAATGGTTAATTTTATATTATGTGGACTTTACCTCAATAAAGACAAACATACAAACAACTTTTAAAACAGTTACCATATGACCCAGCAACACCACTTCTTGTTATGTGTCTGAGATAATTGAAAACACATGTCTAAATAAAAACTTATATGTGAATGTTCATAGCAACATTATTTAAAATAGCCAAAAGTGTAGCTAGGCATAGTGGCTCATGCCTGTAATCCCAGTGACTTGGGAATCTGAGATGGGAGGATCGCTTGAGGCCAGGAGTTTGAGACTAGCCTGGGCAACAAAGTGAGACTACATCTCTAATAAAGGGAGAAAGAAAGAAAAGAAAAGATGGCCAGGCATGGTGGCTCATGCCTGTAATCCCAGCACTTTGGGAGGCCGAGGCAGGCAGATCATTTGAGGTCAGGAGTTCGAGACCAGCCTGGCCAACAATGAAACCCCATCTCTACTAAAAATACAAAAATTAGCTGGGTGTGATGGTGGGTGCCTGTAATCCCAGCTGCTTGGCAGGCTGAGGCAGGAAAATCACTTGAACCTGGGAGGCAGAGGTTGCAGTGAGCCGAGATCATGCCATTGCACTCCAGCTTCGGTGACAGAGTAAGACTCCATCTCAAAAAAAAAAAAAAAAAGAAAGAAAGAAAGAAAAGAAAAAAAATATATAGTAGCCAAAAGTGGAAACAATCCAAATGCCCATCAACGGATGAATGGATAAACAAAATGCGGTATATCCATATAATGGAACATTATTTGTCAATAAAAAAGAATAAAATTCTGATTCACACAAGTGGATAAACCTTGAAAATATCCTAAATGAAAGAAGCCAGACAGGAAGACCACATATTGTATGGTTCCATTTACATGAAAAGCCCAGAGTAGCAAATCTACAGAGACAGAAAATAGATTAGCGATTGCCTTGGGCCGGAGTGGATGGCAGGATGAGGAATGCTTGGAAATGGAAACGGGTTTCCTTTCTGGGGTGATGAAATGTTCTAAAATTAGATAGTGCTCATCAGTGCACAATGTTGTGAATATACTAAAAAACCACTGAATTGTACATTTCAAAAGAGTGAACTTTAGGGTGTGTAAATTATATGTTAATAAAGCTGTTATTTTTTTTTTTAAAAAAAGAAGCATACATGATAAAAGAAAGAAAAGACTTTATAATAGTTGGGAATTTAGGGTACATTTTCCCCTTCTGTTTTGTTTTACTACAATTTGTTTTCAGGCACTTCTGAATTTGGCAACATTTCCATGATATTACAAACACGCAAGCTGGTTCGAAATAACTATTTCCTATCATTACTTCATATTTTCATAACTTTAGAGCACTGAGTAAAGGATGTAAAGTGGGGCTTGAAGATATGATTTTTGGGGAATTTCCCAGTCTTGGCTTTGAACATTTAGTTTCTTTCCAAGTTTTCAATCTGATAGATCAGAAGAGATATAAGTAGCTGAAAAGGAATTAGTAATGTAAAAATAAAAAAGTGGTAAATAAAAAAGTCTGAAAAATCAGACAAAAATGCTTGAAGACGCTATTTGCAAAACTGTCCCTGGTGTATTAATCTGTGATTTCTTACCCAAAGTAAGATTTTTCTTTGCTGTTATTTTACTATCATTTATTGGAGTCTTGAAGGGCCTAAAATGTATACATTATTCCTTCTAACAGCAGCATCCCCTTCTAATTTGTGAGTGTGTTGGCCAGGCTTTAATTAGAGAGGAAGAACCAGTGTTTTTCATATATATACAAATTTGTTAAAGGAAATGGCTTACAAGATTGTGGGTGCTGGCTAAGCAAGTCCAGAATCAGGAAGGTCATGGGCACAGACCACAACTATTGTCTGTGGGCAGCCAGGAGGGAAGAGAATGAGCAGAATGGAACTCCGCAGGCACAAGTACAGCAGATGCCACTGCCCATGGATGGAATTTCTTTTCTTTTTCAGGGAAGCTTCAGCTTTTAAGGCCTTTTTAGACTTCTGCTTTTAAAGCTTTTCAACTGATTGAATTGGGCTCACCCAGATCTTTCAGGATACTCTTAATATCCATCACATCTGCAAAATACCTTCACAGCAGCACCTAGCTTAAATAACTAGAGACTGTCACTGAGCCAAGTTGACATGTACACACACACACACACACACACACACACACACACACACACACCATTACAGTGGGTTTACCAGTAAATTTCTTCACCAGTTTCCCATAACTGGGCATTTGGTTTACATTCTTGTTGTTGTTGCTGTTGTGTTTATAGACTTATTTCACATTATACTTACAGAAGCTTCTGTGGGGATTTTTTAGTTTATGGATAAGGACATCAGGACAATCAGTTACAGTAAACTGCCTAAGCTGTTCTCTTATGCTGTGTACCCTTAAGAATAAAAGAAATTTTGTTCTTTTTCTGAATCGTTGTCACAGATGGGATGTGCTCTGTGGAAGCTTAGGAACATCTAAGCTACTGTAATGTACTCTTGCTTAAGTCATTTAAAGATGGACAGAGGTGCTGAGAACTAAGTAAATATGACAATAAGAAGCGGGAATGGTAGGGCCTTAGGTGCCCACCTGCAGACTAGAGTGCTCCGTAGGGCCAGGCTGTGCCCCGAGCACATCTGGGGTGTATGGCCGGTGTCTGATACACATCTCAGAACACAGAGTGGAACAGAAGAGAATCAAAAAGCTGCTTCACCTTCAGCAACAATACATGCCAGTGTTGCTTTTCCATAGGAATAAAAAGTGATGAATCTAAAATTACATGATATTTTGCTGTAAATAGCAGCTATTTTTATTATCTGCTAATAATAGAATGAAGATAAAATACATTTAACTTTTGCATTAAAAAAAATGTCCCTGGTGCACTTATCAACATATGAAAAAAAAAACAGTGGCTGGAAATATTTATTTATTTATTTATATTTTTTGAGACTCACTCTGTCACCCACGCTGTAGTGCAGTGGTATGATCATGGCTCATTGCAGCCTCAATCTCCTGGGCTCAAGCCATCCTCCCACCTCAGCCTCCTGAGTAGCTGGGACTACAGATGTGTGCCACCATGCCTGACTATTTTTTTTTGGTATTTTTTGTAGAGATGGGGTTTTGGCAGGTTGCCCAGGCTGGGAAATATTTATTTTTATTTATTGGTTTCACTAACTCTCTATCCAGTTGCTTTTGACCACATCATCTGCCAACAACGGGGCTTAACTTGTGTTCTGGGATGCTCTTATTATGGGGTTGAGGAGAGGAGAGACTTTGATGCTACCTTGGGCCTTTCCATCTGTAATTCAACTCCCCACCTCACCCTTCAATGCAGTCAGAAGGCCCCCTCAGACTTACGGGGCTCCTGGGAGCTGTAGGATCCGTAGAGCCCCTTGCCACACACGCTGGGTCCCGGGCCCCTCAGGAGGGTCAGGCCCTGGGCAGGACATGGTGAGAGTGAGCAGACAGCAGGCCCTGTGGAGGAAAGGGTGGACTCAGGCCAAATGCCTAGCGGGGATGGGGTGACAGATACTCTCCTGCCCTCACCTGCCTTCACCTGCGGTGGCCTGCAAGTACAGCTCTGAGGCAGCTTTTGAGTCAGACACCTCCACTTCAGTGGCATCTTCTACCACCCTGGAGGAAGCAGAGGCTGAGCTCAGCTCCGAAGCACCAGGGTTCTGTCCAGACCCCCAGAACCTCCATGTGGGGAGCCCTTGGAGGTCCCCATAGCCTATAACCTCCCTAAACATTTCTCATCCTCATGATTTTATTTTCCCTCCTGTGAACAGGGTAGTTGAGATCACTCCCATTTTCAGATGGAGAAACTGAAGTCCTGCTCAGTGAGATGCTCAAAATCACCCAGTGTGACAATGACTGAGTCAGGACATGGGGCTGGGGAATAGAGTTGAGGTGGTGTAAGTTGAAGAGTTGTAAGTGGGGTGAGGGGAGTGAGAGGGATGGGCACATAAGATTAAGGAAGAGGGTGGGAGGGGATCCTGAGAGCAGCCCCTGACCCTGTAAGCATGACCCCAAGCTCAGAGCTTTCTTCCCCTGGGATGGCAGTGGGTGGAGACCCCCAAAAGCTCGGCTTCAGGGAGGCAGCCATGCCTTAAGACAAGCACCCTCAGACTCCACTGGGCCCTGAACACTCACAAGCCCAGAGGGGACACGTCCAGCACCGACAGGTTCTCCACCCCTGGAGAGAGCAGGTCCTGGGTCCTTCCACTGGGGCTGAACTGGGGTCACACAAGCACACTTGTTACAAACTGAACCTTTCCCTACTTTCAGCTCACATGATCCTCCTGGGGTCCAAACATGGCACCATGAATTCAGCCTTTTTGCAGTCAGAGGAGAGGAGACCTCAGAGAGGCACGCCCATGCCAGTGAGCAGTAGAGTGAGACTGGACACACACTCTCTGGCTCCCCACAAACCTCGGGCTCCTTCTGCAACATTGCCCTGGCCCTGGTTCCCAGGTCCCACTCTCTCCCCTCCCTCAAGGGTCTCACCTGCACCAGGCTAAGAGTGCTAAGCACAGGATCAGAGCAGCTGAGGGGCAGAGCTTCTTCAAACAGCATCTGCAGCAGCTAAAGTGGAGAAGCGTTCAATGAGGATTAAGAAAGCATGAATCTGTCCTTCAGCATTTCCTGAGCATGAAGTCTGAGTCATGCCCCATACTACTGGGGACATGGTATCCAGGAGAGAAATAGCACCAGTCTTCTTCTTCACAGCAAGCCAGAAAGTGAGCAGACATCCTCAGTGGGATCTGCTGTTTGCTGCACAGGGATCCACGACAAGTTCTGAGGCAGCTATTTTGGTTTGGGGGCATTTTGACGAAGCCCCCACAATAAAGCTTCCAAGCTTATAATTAGTATTCACCATGAACTGTGAAAATCAGATCTCCCTGGATATTTGATCTTTTCATGCCACCCCTCTCTAACCCTCACCCTATCAGCCCATCTTCCTTTATTTTATTTTTTAATTAAAAAAAAATTTTTTTGTTTTGCCTTTTTTTTTTGGTATACTTTTGGCTTTATTTCCAGCTTTTAAAAAAAATTTTATTATTATTACACTTTAAGTTTTAGGGTACATGTGCACAATGTGCAGGTTAGTTACATATGTATACATGTGCCATGCTGGTGTGCTGCACCCATTAACTCGTCATTTAGCATTAGGTATATCTCCCAGTGCTATCCCTCCCCCCTCCCCCCACCCCACAACAGTCCCCAGAGTGTGATGTTCCCCTTCCTGTGTCCATGTGATCTCATTGTTCAATTCCCACCTATGAGTGAGAATATGCGGTGTTTGGTTTTTTGTCCTTGCGATAGTTTACTGAGAATGATGATTTCCAATTTCATCCATGTCCCTACAAAGGACATGAACTCATCATTTTTTATGGCTGCATAGTATTCCATGGTGTATATGTGCCACATTTTCTTAATCCAGTCTATCATTGTTGGACATTTGGGTTGGTTCCAAGTCTTTGCTATTGTGAATAGAGCCGCAATAAACATACGTGTGCATGTGTCTTTATAGCAGCATGATTTATAGTCCTTTGGGTATATACCCAGTAATGGGATGGATGGGTCAAATGGTATTTCTAGTTCTAGATCCCTGAGGAATCGCCCCACTGACTTCCACAATGGTCGAACTAGTTTACAGTCCCACCAACAGTGTAAAAGTGTTCCTATTTCTCCATATCCTCTCCAGCACCTTGAGCTGTGGTGAGCTCCACCCAGTTCCAGCTTCCCTGCTACTTTGTTTACCTAAGCAAGCCTGGGCAATGGCGGGCGCCCCTCCCCCAGCCTCGCTGCCGCCTTGCAGTTTGATCTCAGACTGCTGTGCTAGCAATCAGCGAGACTCCGTGGGCATAGGACCCTCCGAGCCAGGTGCGGGATGTAATCTTCTGGTGCCCCGTTTTTTAAGCCCGTCAGAAAAGCGCAGTATTGGAGCGGGAGTGACCCGATTTTCCAGGTGCCGTGTGTCACCCCTTTCTTTGACTAGGAAAGGGAACTCCCTGACCCCTTGCGCTTCCCGAGTGAGGCAATGCCTCGCCCTGCTTTGGCTCACGCACGGTGTGCTGCACCCACTGTCCTGCGCCCACTGTCTGACACTCCCTAGTGAGATGAACCCGGTACCTCAGATGGAAATGCAGAAATCACCCGTCTTCTGCGTCGCTCACGCTGGGAGCTGTAGACCTGAGCTGTTCGTATTCGGCCATCTTGACTCCCGAAAAACGCCTTTTTTTTTTGAGACGGAATTTTGCTCTTGTCGCCCAGGCTGTAGTGCAATGGCATGATCTCGGCTCACTGCAACCTCTGCCTCCCAGATTCAAGTGATTCTCCTGCCTCAGCCTCCCAAGAAGCTGGGATTAAAGGTGTCCGCCACCACGCCCAGCTAATTTTTGTATTTTTAGTAGAGATGGGGTTTTGCCATGTTGGCCAGGCTGGTCTTGAACTCCTGACCTCAGGTGATCCACCCACCTCGGCCTCCCAAAGTGCTGGGATTACAGGTGTGAACCACCACGCCCGGCCCCTTCCCACCTTCCATGACCTCCCAGTAGCTGCATAAATTGACCTTGGCAAAACATCTTGCGGGGACCAACAGGATGCTTGCTGTAGGAGCCCCAGTGAGGGCTGATGTGGGGAGGGAAGATTCTCAGAAGTCTCCGGGGAAGGTAACCCCTGAGCTGCATGAGGCCTGCGCCCTGGTGGCTCCTCTGGGACTCACCTGAGGCACAAGTCGGGGTGCCTCTGTTTCCCTCCCCCGGAGCAACAGGGCCACACTGTACCCTCGGCCCAGAGAGCCCAGTGTGGATTGGACACGTGCCAGCAGCTCCTGCTCTGCCTCCTGCAGGGACACACAGGCACAGTCCACTGACTCAGGTGCCCTGAGCAAAGGAGCTCTGGAGGCAGCTGGCACTCCAGGATCCAGGGGCCTGAGGGCTCCCACCCTCCTCTCATCACCCTCCCAGACCTCCCTACCTGAGCAGCATCAGGGCCCAGGACTGTCAAAGGTGAAGTTTTGTTCCTGTGGGCAGGGCTGGGGTCAACCATGATATTCCCATCTTCCCCTGCACTCCCCGCCCCACTCCCCTCCCCCCCACCCCCCACCCCAACACACACACAACGCCCATCCACCTGAGTCTCTAGAGTCCCAAAATGAAGCAAACAGAGGTTTGTGGGCCCCACCAGGTGTGTGGGGCTACAGCTGTCCTCAGGGCCTGAGAAAGGTAGACTGCATATCAGCTCTCATGAGGAAAACTGGCTCTGGGATTCCTGAGTTCTGCCCTCAAACTTTGCCTCAGTTTTCCAACCTAAGGTGGCCTAACCCTCCCCCTCTTCCAAGAGGCTGTCCTGGACTGCATTCCTTCTGAGTATAAATGGGGAGGGCATCTTACCTGAACCCCTCCCCGACTCCACTTCTACCACCACGGTCAGCATGGCATGTGGGTTGGGAGAGACCATGAGGGCCCCTCAAGGAGGCTGAGTTGCCTGGGCCAAACCAGCCCCTGCGCTCACCACCTCTCCACAGTCCATGCCCTCTATGCCTCTCAGCTTCCCCTCAATAATTCATGAATCTCATCTGAGGGCTAGGGAGGGGTGGATCTGGACCTCGTAACCTACTAAGGGAAGTGACATTCCCTTCTCTTGTGAGAGAACACTGCATAAGTTTCTTTTATTTTTTTCCTTTTATGAAAACTTTCAAACATGTATAACACTGGAGAGAATAGTATAATGAACCTCCAGGTACCCAGCTTCAGAAATTACCAAATTCTGGCCAGTCTTACTTCTTTTGTTCTCCTCCCATCCCCAGCGGATTATTTTGAAGCAAATCTCAGACATCCCAGTATTTTATCCATAACTAGTTCAGTATACCACAGTTAATTTTAGAACGTTTCCATCACTTCATAAGGAAATTTGGTTCCCTTTAGCTATTGCCTCCCTAACCCAAGCCCACTGCACCCTCCAACCCTAAGCAACCACTCTTCTATTTTCTGCCTTTACAGATTAGCCAATTCTGGACATTTCATATAAATAGAATTATACACTGTGTGGCCTTTTGTGTCTGTTTTTTTCCATTTAGCATTATATTTTCAGTGTTCATCTACGTTGTAGCATGTCTGAGTACTTCTTCCCTTTCTACTGTGGATAATGTTTCATAATAGAGTTCTGTCACCAACCTCCTGGAGTTTGGCCAAGTTTCACCATAAAGGGCATTGTCCTCCGTGAGACTGCACTTCTGAGAACAGTCTCAAGTTAAGAGGTCCCCAGGCCTTCCTCACTCCAGATGTCTACAGGTTTTGGTGTTCCACTACTCCTTCAGGCTTGACAATTCACTAGAACAGCTCGCAGAACTCAAGTAAATGCTACAGTTACTGTGTCTGACACTAATTCTCTCACACCAGCTGAGGGTCCTATGATTCAATTCAACTCTGATACTGACTACCTGGAGTTAGTGTCAGGTCCTGTGAGTTAAAATACAAGGTCCCCAACAAGACTGACCTTAATTCAAATGCCAGCTGCAAGTGGGATCACCAGGCTACTCACACATTTGTCTGACTTGGCTACAGATTCAGGGGTTTCCCATGACCCCACCCCAGATTCAGTAATTCACTTGAATGACTCGCAGAACTCAGAGAAGTGCTTACTATTACCTTTTTATTATAAAGGATACAAATGAATAGTCATATGAAGAGGAATAAAGGGAAAGGTTTGGAAAGGTCTTCGGTGCAGGAGCTTCTGTCCCTGTGGAGTCAGGGTCCATCACCCTCCTGGTATATCAGCGTCTTCACTAATTGGAAAGCTCCCTGAGGTTCATTGTCCAGAGTTTCCATGAAGGTTTCATTATGCAGGCATAATTGAGTAAATCACTGGCTGCATGATTGAACTCAATTCCAGCCCCATTCCCCTCCCTGAAGTCAGGGGGAGGGACTAAGAATGCCAACCCTCTAGTCACATGGATGGCCCTTCTCCATCTCATAGTCATCTAGAGGCCCTGCCAAGAATCACCTTGCAGAACAGTTATGCTGGTGGCCTTGAACTGACCCAGTTCTCTCTTTTTTGCTTGTAGTTCTCAAAAATAACTAGAATATTCTGTGAATGCAACATCCAGTGATAAGGAGCGACTGGCTGGAACAGCCTGGGCTCTGTTCCAGTCCCCCCTAGAAACAGGATGTCCTTCAACACTTTAGCCCAGCATGTCATGTTACCCCTGGGGTATAAAGCCCAGGGTGGGCTGCTATCCAGGGTCCCTCAGCTGCGGCGCAAGTGGAGTATGTACAAACAAAGCTTCATCTACCTTGGTAACTTTCCTGAGCCTTGGAAGACCAGCTCAACATGAATCCTAGGCTTCTGCTGTCCTTTGCTGTCTTTCTGTAAGTAATAAAACTACTTCATGTAATTTGTGTGAGGGTGTTGTGTCTCACCAGCCTCAGATAAGTTGGTAACCAGTGCAGAGTAAACCTGCCTTGCACAACTCATTAGCATAACAGGCTCCTATAATTCTAAAGATTTTTGAAGCTCTGTGCCAGGAACTGGGGTTGAAGACCAGACATATTCTTTATTATATCACAGGCCACCCCCTAGCCTTTTCAGCAAAAGGATCATACCTGTCTGATCATCCACATTTGGTGTAGCATTTATATAACAGATACAGCAATAGTACCAACATGAATATGCCTAATATTTGGAGAAGTCAGTGTGGGGTAGGGATAGGAGGTCTTAAATCCAATTTTGCAATACATTTGGCTATCAGTTTCAGTACAGTATTATAATCTTGCCAATAATGGCTGTATTATATCAAATTGAGGTAGATGTAATATGAAATATAAGAGTAATCAGTTCATTATCATATACTATGACCAAAATGTCTCCCACAGAAAGGCCACCCAGGTGTGCAGGCTTCCATTCAATCTTGTTAAATTCCAAAAGCAGGTGTGGTCTCAGCAAAATATGGCTTCATCCTTTCAGACCTCTGGTATAACCATATCATCCCTTGCTCTGGGTCTCTTTCAAAGTGTTAGCATAATATTGGATTTCCCTAATTGGGTTATTCATTCCATACCCTCAGCTATTATTCTTCATTCTCTCATTTATACCCAAACTTTTCTACCTTTGGAAGGGACATTAGGAGAGGCCACTGTGCTAGTCCAGATTGCTGGCAACAATAGTAGTTTAACAAGTGCCTCCCCTTCAGTCCACTCCAATTTATATAGATTAGGGCTATATAGCTACAGGACTAATGGACTATCTTAGCCACTGGATGATACAGCAGCATTTACTGTCAACTCAAATTTTGCCAGATGGGTTGAGGGCACAACTTAACCTATAGGGTCCTTAGAAATGCTGAAATAAAGATTTAAAGGTATAGTTACAATGTCTTGCCTAGGAATTATCTATGCTTCTGGCACCTGCAGATGTATCTCTAGTCCTGGAACCTCTGCATCAGATGGCAAAAAAGAAAGTTGAGGTGATGTGGGCAAGAATCATATAGTCATACCAACACCCTCCCTCAACCCCTCTCCCCTAGATTTTCCTAGAAAAATGGAGGAATCTCTCCAATGGGGATTCTCCCTTGGCCCCCTCATGGTGCATGTGAGCATACCCTCATGAAAACATTTAAACAAGTGCTTCATAACTTTATCCCCTCCCCCATTTTACTTGATTTTTAAATTTTATTTTCTTATTTTATTTGGTTTTTTTTTTTTAGAGACAGGTTCTTGTTTTGTTGCCCAGGCTGGAGTGCAGTGGCATGATATCTCACTGCAGCTTTGAACTCTTGCGCTAAAGTGATCCTCCCGCCTCGTCCTCCCAAAGTGCTGGGATTATAGGCATGAGCCACTGCACCCTCACTCACCTCATTTTAGACAATGAATGTTTCAAGTGCTCATTCCAATTCCCTATTAAACTGCTACTCTGAGGATGACAATGCAACGTGGTATGTCTGTTTGATGTGATATCTCTTTGTCCACTGTTGGACATCATGGGCTGTAAAGTGTGACTCTTGGTTTGAAGAAATGTAACTTGGTGGTCCAAATTAGTACAGTATCTTTTGTTCCAATAATTTAATAGTATTTTCAGCATTCGTATCTACCACTAGGTGTGCAAAGCCCAGTCCAAAGTAAGTGTCTATTCCTGGCCGGGTGCAGTGGCTTACGCCCGTAATCCCAGCACTTTGGGAGGCCAAGGCAGATGGATCACCTGAGGTCAAATTTTGAGACCAGCCTGGTCAACATGGTGAAACCCAGTCTCTATTAAAACTACAAAAGAATTAGTCAGGTGTGGTGGCAGGCGACTGTAATCCCAGCTACTCGGGAGGCTGAGACAGGAGAATCACTTGAACCCAGGAGGAGGAGGTAGCAGTGAGCGGAGATCACACCACTGCACTCCAGCCTGGGTGACAGACCAAGACTCCATCTCAAAAACAAAAAAACCAAAAAACCAAAGTAAGTGTCTATTCCTGTCAGACCCCATTTGTAGCCCCCAGGGCTGCCAGCATTTGTTCAATGTAATCTATCTACCAGCTATGTGTGAGGCCTTCCAACGGGGGAATGTGCCCCAGGGCCACCTGCATTCTCTGTCTCTCTTGCTGGCAGACAAAACAGTTCTTGTTGGCATTTTGTGCTTCAAAGGGTGCAAGAGGAATATGTCTAGATCTCTACATTGCCACAGTATTCTTAGGTCCACTCATTCCATGGACCCAGGTGGCCACCTCAAGTGAGCACACTGGGAAATTCACTCACTGGTGCCAATCACCTTCCAATCCAGGAAAGTGATTCTTCTATTGGGCATTGATATGTCCTACTTTAATCTATCCCTCAAATTTCCATAGTGATTTTCTTAGGGGATCCCTTTAAGAGGGCAGTTTTCTATTGCTCTTCAGCCTGACCATATGATCACGTCAGTATGCACCACCCATGAATCAGTAAAAACCCAAATGTAGTGGCAAACAGAATGCAATAGCCTATAAGGTAAGTTGTTTTTACCTTCTTAGCCTTCCAAACAAGATGCTGCACATTCACCTTGGAACTGCGATTATAAACCAAGAAGCTCTTTGCTGTTTATAGGACACTCTCCAGGTAGCAGTAGAATCTGACAGCTCCAGCCAGGTGCTGTGGCTCACGCCTATAATCCCAGCACTTTGGGAGGCCGAAGAGGGCGGATCACCTGAGGTCAGGAGTTTGAGACCAACCTGGTCAACATGGGGAAACCCCATCTCTACTAAAAATATAAAAATTAGCTGGGCATGGTGGTGCACACCTGTAATCCCAGCTAGTCGGGAGGCTGAGGCAGGAGAATCGCTGGAACCTGGGAGGCGGAGGTTACAGTGAGCAGTGAGCCAAGATCGCAACACTGCACTCCAGCCTGGGTGACAGAGCAAGGCTCCATCTCAAATAAAATATAAAATAAAATAAAATAAAATAAAATAAAATAAAATCTGGCAGCTCCTCAGGTGGTTCAAAAGTCAATTCTAGGGGAAAAAGTCTATCTGCTTGGAAATATGGTATCTCCTGGCATTCCCCCAGTGGTATGTTCCATCAGAAACAACTTCCATTTTGTTATGGAGCTCTTCCAGGCACTTCTCTCCCCATTGAATGGTTTCTCCAACATCATCCAAAATGTTATGGGTATTTTATGTTTAAGATTATTTTATATCTTTCAGTTATAGTGGAAGTTTTACTTAATGTCTGATAAGAAATAAGTAATTTCCCTGCAAATGGGAATTCTCTGGTCCAAAGTCCCAGCAGTTATTGCTGGGTGGCACTCACAGACTTTTGCCATAAGCTCCAGCCTATACTTCACACAGGGCTATTGTACAGAGAATTTTCCCTACTGGCACTTCAGCTTCTATTTTATACTGTTTGAAATTAACAATCAGTGTGACTTGGGCCATCTTATTTGTTCCCATTTTAGCACATCCAATTAATATTACCCATAGGGTGAATTTGTTTTGTTTTTTTTTTTTTTGAGACAGAGTCTTGCTCTGTCACTCAGGCTGGAGTACAGTGGCGCGATCTCGGCTCACTGCAACCTTCGCCTCCCGAGTTCAAGTGATTCTCCTGCCTCAGCCTCCTGAGTAGCAGGGTTACAGGCACCCGCCACTGTGCCCGGATAATTTTTGTATTTTTAGTAGAGACAGGGTTTCGTCATTTTGGCCAGCCTGGTCTCAAGCTCCTGACCTCATGATCCACCTGCCTCAGCCTCTCAAAAGTGCTGGGATTACAGGTGTGAACCAGTGGGCCTGGCCCCAAAGGGTGAATTTATGTGCCTTCTGTTTATAATACTAGGGAGGGGAAATGTTCCACGGTCAGATACAATATCCCCATACTACATTCAACGAAAAGAGATGCTATTCACACATACAAACTGTTCAAACATACGAATTTTAATCCAAACTTTTGTCACTTTAGTTTCATCAACCCTTGCATCCCTGACTGAAGCTTCCACTAGGACTTCACCAACAGATTTTCATTTTATAAATACTAGGTAGGGAAAGTGTGCCCCATTAAGACATAATATTCATTCTCTTAAAACATCCGTGTATAGGAGCTACAACCCCTTCACATAAATCCCATCTAAACACTCTATTTTTATCCCTTAATCCCATCCACCCTTGATTTCTATACACTTTTGTTCTAATTGTGGTCTTAGTGAGGGCTCACTAGCAGGGGACTACAGTGTATGTGGCTCCTATGTTAAGGAGTCCTAGAAATGTCCCTTTTCCACCCTGACAGTTTTTCTCACTGATGTGCATAAGGCCTTGGGTCTGCAATGGCTGTGGGGGTATGGGGTGGTGGTGGTAGTGAACCAAAGGAAGCTGACCCATTTGTCATCAATCCTTATACTGATTTGGTTATGGGACTATTGCCCCAGGTGATTCAAGGTAAGGTTTCTTGAATTCCTCCAAACAAGGTTGGATAAATCATATTTGTCCAGGGCCCTTCATGTTGGGACAACAGCAGGGGCTCCCTTTGGTCCACCTCAACCTCTCAGAGTACTGCTCTAAGACCGTTGTTTTGACCCCATTCACGTCAGCCTTATTCCATTTATTTTTTTGAGACAGAGTCTCGTTCTGTCACCCAGGCTGGGGTGCAGTGACACAATCTCAGAACTATGGTAATATAATGCTCCCTTCCTTATAAGGATGACGTAAAGCAGTGTTTCTCAAAGTGTATTCCCTGTGCCAGCAGTCTCAGCATCTCCTGATAATTGAATTAAAAGGCAGATTTCAGGCGTCACCATACCTGTTGAATCAGAAACTCTGGTTTCTGTGTTTTAAGACTTCTAGGAGATTCCAGTGGAGTCTAGACTTTGAGAACAACTGTTGATGAGATTAAGTGAGTTAATAATAAGCTTTAGGACAGTGCCTGGCACATACTAAGCAGTATATTCATGAATATTTTTAAGCGAATACAATAAAATATGGTCAACATATAGAAAGTTTAATTTAGGCAACAAGATGTTGCCCATGCTGTTCCCCCAAGAAATAAATCCTGCTTAATTCCTTGTCCAAAGGCATCAACATGGACTGCCAAACCCCTCATCATGTGGCTTCTGCCTTCCTTTCCTACTATTTCTATTCTCCATATACACTAGGTCTCCAACTTTTCTAGTACTCAGTATGAGAATTGCTTACTCACACCTCCAAGGCTTTGCCTATTCTGTTCCCTCTGCATGGTTCCTTCTCTTCCTTTTTAAAAAAGAACCTCTTTTCTCTCACTTCCTACACTTGCAATCTCCCGAATTCCTACATCTCCCTCAAAACCCAGCTCCAGTGTCACCTCTGTGATGACCTCACTGCTGTCCAGTCAGAGCCAGGCATTTGCTAGGCCTCAACACCGCCCTACACATCCCACTTATAGTACTTAGAGCAGTTTGTAACTGTTTACAGTTTCATTTCGTCTTTTTGAATTTCTTAATTGAGGTGAAATTCATGTTACATATAATTAGTCATTTTAAAGTGTGGCTGGGAGTGGTGGCTCACACCTGTAATCCCAGCACTTTTCAGAGGCTGAGGCACGTGGATCACTTGAGGTCAGGAGTTTGAGACCAGCCTAACCAACATAGCCAAACCCCATCTCTACAAAAATACAAAAAATTAGCCAGGCGTGGTGGCACACACCTATAATCCCAGCTACTTGGGAGGCTGAGGCAGGAGAATCGCTTGAACCTGGGAGGTGGAGGTTACGGTGAGCCAACATCATGCCACTGCACTCCAGCCTTGGCCATAGAGCAAAACTCTGTCTCTCTCACACACACACACAAACACACACACACAAAAAAAAAGGAAAGGAAAAAAGAAAAGAAAAATGGCCATGCGTGGTGGCTCACGCCTGTAATCCCAGCACTTTGGGAGGCCAAGGTGGGCGGATCACCTGAGGTCAGGAGTTTGAGACTAGCCTGGCCACATGGTGAAACCCCGTCTCTACTAATAATACAAAAATTAGCCAGGGTGAGCCGAGATAGTGCCGCTGCACTCCAGCCTGGGAAACAAGAGTGAAATTCTGTCTCAAAAAAAAAAAAGTGTATGATTCAGTGGTATTTAGTGTATTCGCACTGTTGTGCAACCATCACTTCTTTCTAGTTTCAAAACTTTTCCATCATGCCCAAAACACATGCCATACCCATTAAGTAATCACTTCCCATTCCTCTCTCTCCCCTCCCCAGGTGACCACTAAGCAGTTTTCTGTCTTTATGAATTTGCCTATTCTGGATATATTATATAAAAGAAGGCAAACAATAACAACATGTGACTTTCAGTGTTTGGCTTATTTTATTTTATTATTTTATTTTATTTTATTTTATTTTTGAAGCAGAGTTTCACTCCATTGCCCAGGCTGGAGTGCAGTGACGTGATCTTGGCTCACTGCAACCTGCACCTCCCAGGTTCAAGCGCTTTTCCTGCCTCAGCCTTCCAAGTAGCTGAGATTACAGGTGCTCGTCACCACACTCAGCTAATTTTTGTATTTTTAGTAGAAACAGGATTACACCATGTTGGCCAGGTTGGTCTCAAACTCCTGACCTCAGGTGATCTGCCCGCCTCGGCCTCCGAAAGTGCTGGGATCACAAGTGTGAGCCACTGTGCCTGGCCAGTGTCTGACTTCTTTTACTTAGCATTAGTTTAAAGTTCATCCAAGTTGTGGCATGTATCAATATTTGGGGTTTTTTTTTGCTGTATAATATTCCATTAAATGTTCATATCACAATTTATTTATCCATCATCTGTTGATGAGCATTTGGGTTATTTTCACCATTCGGTTATTATGAATACTGCTGCTATAAACATTTGTGTGCAAGTTTCTGTGTAGATATATGTTTTCATTTCTCTTGAGTATATACTAAGGAGTAGAATTGATGGGTCATATGGTAATTATATGTTTAACTTTTTGAGGAACTGCTAGCTGTTTCCAGAGTAGCTGCACCATTTTACTTTCCCAATAGCAAGGTATGAGAGTTCCTGTTTTTCCACATCCTCACCAACACTTGTTATTTTATTTAAAAAATTTATCATTATAGCAGTATGGTGAGTGTGTAGTGATATCTCATTGTGCCTTTAATTTGCGTTCCCTTTATGATCAATGATGTTGAACATCTTTTCATATGCTTGTTAGCCATTTGTATAGCCTATGTGGAGAAATAGCCATTCAAGTTGCTTGCCTTATTAAAAACTGGATTGAGACCAGCCTGGGCAACATAGCTACACCTTGTCTCTACTAAAAATCAAAACAATTAGCTGGGTGTGGTAGTGTGCTCCTGTAGTAACAGCACTCAGGAGGCTGAGGCAGGAGAATTGCTTGAGCCCAGGAGGTAGAGGCTGCAGTGAGCTGTGATCATCCCACTGCACTCCAGACTGGGCAACACAGTGAGATTCTGTCTCAAAAAAATAAATAAAAAATAAAATTGGATTGTCTTTGTTGTTGTTGAGTTGTAAAAGTTCTTTATATATACTGCATACTAGACCCTTATCAGATATATAATTTTCATAATTTTCTCCTATTCAAAGGCTGTCTTTTCACTTTCTTGATAGTGTCCTTTGATGCACCAAAGTTTTTAATCTCTATGAAGTCCAATTTATCACTTTTTTTTGTTGCTCATGCTTTTGGTGTCACATCTAAGAATTCATTGCCAAATCAGAGGTCATGAAGATTAATCCCTAGGTTTTCTTCTAACAGTTTCATAGCTTTAGTTCTGTTATTTAAGTTGTTAATCTATTTTGAGTTAATTTTTGTATATGGAGAGAGGTAATGGTCTAGTGTCATTTCTCTTTTTTTTTTTTTTTTGCATATTAGCTACCCAGTTTTCTCAGCATTATTTTTGAAGAGATTTCTTTTTTCCATTGAATAATCTTGGCTTCATTATCAAAAATCAGTTGGTTATAGATGTTTGGGTTATTTCCAGGCTCTAATCCTATACAGTTGTTCTGTGTCAATATTAAGTCTTCCAATGCATAAACATTGAAGGGATGTCTTTCCATTTATTTAGGTCTTCTTTAATTTATTTCAGCAATGTTTTCTAGTTTTCATTTTATAAGGTTTTAACCTCTTTGGTAATTGTATTCCAAGGAATTTTATTCTTTTTGAAAACATGTAAATGAAATTATTCTCTTAATTTCCTTTCTGGATTTTAAATTGCTATTGCATAGAAACAACTAATTTTTGTGTGTTGATCTTGTAGTCTGAAACTGCTTAATTTATTATCCCCAATAGTTTTTTTGTGAATTCTATGAGACTTTCTATTTATAGAATCATATCATATGCAAATACAATTTTACTTCTTCCTTTCCAAATTGGATGCCTTTATTTATTTATTTTTCTTGCCTAGTTTCTCTGGCTAAAACTTCTGGTACGGTAGTAAATATAAGTGGTAAAAGTGGCATCTTTAGGCCAGGTGTGGTGGTTCACGCCTGTAATCCTAGTGCTTTGGGAGGCTGAGGCGGGTGCATCACCTGAGGTCAGGAGTTCGAGACCAGCCTGACCAACACAGTGAAACCCCATTTCTACTAAAAATACAAAAATTAGCTGGGCATGGTGGTGGGTGCCTGTAATCCCAGCTACTTGGGAGGCTGAGGCAGGAGAATCGCTTGCATCCAGGAGGCAGAGGTTGCAGTGAGCTGAGATCTCGTCGTTGCACTCCAGCCTGGGTTACAGAGCGAGACTCTGTCTCAAAAAAAAACAAAACACACACACACACACACACACACACACACACACACACACACACACAAAGAAAGAAGATGTTTCCTCCTTTTCTGTTTTTTGAAAGAGTTTAAGTAAGATTGGCATTAAGTCTTTTTAATATTTGGTAGAATTCACCAGTGAAGCTATCTGGTCTTGAACTTTTTTTTGTTGTGAGATTTTTGGTTACTGATTCAATCTCTTGTTATAAATATGTTGTTGAGGCAGTTTTGGCAATAAGTGTGTCCTAGGAATTTGTCCATTTCATCTAGATTACCTAATTTGTTGGCATATCGTGTTCAAAATATTTTCTTTCAATCGTTTTAATTTCTGTAAGGTCAGTAGTAATGTTCCACTTTAATTAACCTTCCTTCTTCCTTCCCTCCCTCCCTCCCCCTTCCCCCCCTTCTTTTCCTTCCCTTTCCTTTCCTTTTCCTTTTCCCCTTCCTTCCTTCCTTCCTCCCTCTCTCTTTCTTTCCTCTTTTTTTTTTTTCCAGGGTCTCATTCTGTCACCCAGGCTGGAGTGCAGTGGTGTGCGGCCTTGAACTCCTGGGCTCAAGCACTCCTCCTGCCTTAGCCTCCCAAGTAGTTAGGACCACAGATGTGTGCCACCAGGCCTGGCTAAATAAACAAAAAAATTGTAGAGATGGGGTCTGTCTATGTTGCCCAGGCTGGTACTTTCATTTCTGATTTTAGTTATTTGTACTTTCTTTTTTTTCTCAGACTAAAGGTTTGTCAATTTTGTTGATCTTTTAAAAGAACCAACTCTTGGTTTTACCGATTTTCTATTTTTTCCATTCCTTATTTTGTTTATCTATGCTCTAATTTTTAATTTTAATTCTGGCAATATATACATAGTCATGCACCACATAATAATGTTTTGGTCAAACTTGAACAGTATAAACAAGGGTGGTCCCATTAGATTATAATGGAGCAGAAAAATCTCTATTGCCCAGCTGGGTGTGGTGGCTCACGCCTGTAATCCTAGCACTTTGGGAGGCCGAGGCAGGCAGATTGCCCAAGCTCAGGAGTTCGAGACCAACCTGGGCAACACGGTGAAACCCTGTCTCTACTAAAATACAAAAGAAATTAACTGGGCATGGTGGCATGCGCCTGTAGTCCCAGCTACTCGGGAGGCTGAAGATGACAGCTCCATGCTTATTAATTGCCCCTGAAGACCTTCCAGTGGGACAAGATGTGGGGGTGGAATACAACGATGTTGATGAGCTTGACTCTGTGTAGGCCCGGGCTAATGTGTGTGGTTTGTGTCTTAGTTTTTAACAAAATAGTTTAAAAAGTAAAAAAAAAAAATAATAATAATAATAATGGAAAAAACCTTATAGACTACTGTTTAAAATAAAATTTGCTATTTTGGCCATTTTTAAGTGTATAATAAATACAGTGGTATTAATTGCATTCACAATATTGTGCAACCATTGCTACTATTTACAATGCTTTTCATCATCCTAAACAGAAACTCTGTACCCATTATGCAATAACTCCCTGTCTCCTCTCCCTCTAGAACCCATTAACCTTTAATCTACTTACCATCTGACTAAGCTTACCTATTATAGATACTCAGCATAAGTGGAATCATACAATATTTGCCTTTTTGTGTCTGGCTTATTTCACTTAGCATAATGTTGTCAAGGTTTATCTATGTTGTAACATGTATCAGACGTCATTACTTTCTGTGGCTAAATAATATTCCGTTGTCTGTGTATACCACATTTTATGTATTCATTTATCCACTAGTGGACACTTGAATCATTTCCATGTTTTAGCTATAGTGTATAGTGTTGATATGAACATTTTGGTACAAAATTTTGTTTGGATATGCCTTTCCAATTCTTTTGGGTATATAATGAGGAGTACAATTATTGGATTATATGGTAAAATTAATTATATATTTAACTTTTTGACAAACTGCTAAATTATTTTCCACAGTGGCTGTACCATATCACATTCCCACCGAAAATTTATGAGGGTTCCTTCTTCTCCACCTTCTTGCCAACACTTGTTTCCAATTTTTTTTATTGTTGTTGATTAGTGCTATACTAGTGAGTGTGAAGTGGTATCTCATTGTGGCTTTTCTATTTTCTTTTTTTTTTTTTTCTGAGACAGGGTCTCTCTCTGTTGCCCAGGCTGGAGTGCAATGGCGCAATCTCGGTTCACTGCAACCTCCGCTTCCCAGGTTGAAGTGATTCTCCTGCCTCAGCCTCCCAAGTAGCTGGGATTACAGGCACTCACCACCAGGCCTGGCTAATTTTTGTATTTTTGGTAAAGACAGGGTTTCTCTATGTTGGCCAGGCTGGTCTCGAAATCCTGACCTGAAATGATCTGCCCGCCTCGGCCTCTCCAAGTGCTGGGATTACATGCGTGAGCCACTGCGCCCAGCCTCTCATTGTGTTTTTGGTTTGCATTACCTTAATGGCCAATGATTTTGAGCATCTTTTCTTATGTTTGTTAGTCATTTATTATAATTTCTTTGTGGCAATGTTCAGTCAAGTTCTTTGCCCAGGTTTTAATTTGCCTGTTTGTTTTTGGTATTTTACTAATGAATAATAATGTTGAGCATCTTTTCATGGACTTTCAGGCATTTGTGTGCCTTTGGAGAAATGGCTATTCAAGCCCTTTTCCCATATTTTTACTTGATTTGTTTGCCTTTTTGTTGCCGAGTTGTAGGAATCCTATATAAACTCTGGGTAGTAAACCATTACCAGGTATATAATTTGCAACATTTTCTCCCATTTTGTAGGTTGTCTTTTCACTTTATTTGGTAATGCCTTTTGATGCACAAAAGCTTTTAATTTTGAATTCCAGTTTATTATTATTTATTTTGTTGCTCAGGCTTTTGGAGTCATATCTAATAATCCACTGCTAAATCAAAGGCCACAAAGATTAGTTTCTGTGTTTTCTTCTAAGAGCTTTATGGTTTTGGCTCTTACATTTAGGTAATCAATTAATGTGGAATTAATTTTTGTATATGATTTGAGGTAAGGGTCCAACTTCATACATCTGCATATGGATATCCAGGTGTCCCTTTGCCATTAGTTGAAACTAGTGTTTCCTTACTGGATGTTCTTGACAACCTTGTCAAAATAAGTTTCCCATAGACATGTGGGTATATTTCTGAACTCTCACTTCTATTCCATTGATCTGTCTGCTTATCCTTATGCTACTACCACACTGTCTTAGTTACTGTTGCTTTGCAATAATGTTTTGAAATCAGGAAGTGTGAGTCCTCCAACTTTGCTCTTCTTTTACAAGGTTGTTTTATCTATTCTGCACCCATTGAACTTCTATATAAACTTTACAATTAGCTTGTCAATTTCTATAAAGAAACCAGCTAGGATTCTTATAAGACTTTCATTGAGATTGAAAAGGAGTAGCCATGGCTCTGTGCCACCCCATGACTGGGGTCTCAGCAAGGGCCCAGGTAATGATGGGGTAAGGAGAAAGCCCAGGCTCAGTCGCCACCACCATGGGCACCTCACCAAGAACACTGAGTTTGTGCAGACCTGGCCTGAAAGGGGTATGGCTTTGCCCCAAACGAGCGGCATGCCATGGAGTTGCTTGAGGTTTCTAAGGACAACTGGGCCCTCAAGTTCATCAAGAAAAGGGTGGGGACACACATCTGTGCCAACAGGAAGCAGGAGGAGCTGAGCAACATCCTGGCCGCCAAGAGGAAAGCAGCTGCCCACAAGGAATGAGCCACCCTCCCCTGTGAGCATAATAAAATCTTTATTTTATTATGGAACTTGTGGTCCTCCTCAGCAGCCTCCCTGGCATTGGAAAGGAGGGGAGGTCCAGTCTGTTCATCTGTTTGGGACCCACCCCCGGGCAGGACCACACCCTGTCCTGGATCCAAGCCCCCTACCTCGGGCATGGGGCAACAGGCATAGAAGCAAGTGCTGGAAATGATTTCTAATCATAATGCAATATCTCATACACACCAAAAAAAAAAGAATTTCATTGAATCTGTAGGTGAATTAGGGGAGAATTGTCATCTTGACAATCATAAGATCTATGAGCATGGGATATTATTCCATTTACTTAGATCTTCTTTAATTCCTTTCAACAACATTTTGTAGTTTTAAGAGTGTAAGTCTGCTCTTCTCTTCTTTTGTTATATTTGTTCCTAAACATTTTATTCTTTTTGCTGCTGTTGCAAGTGGAATTTTTTTCTTTTTTCTTTTTTTGAGACAGAGTCTCACTGTCACCCAGGATGGAATGCAGTGGTACTATCATAGCTCACTGCAACCTCAAGCCCCAGGGCTCAAGTGAGCCTCCCACCTCAGCCTCCCAAGTAACTGGGACTACAGGTGCAAGCCACCATGCCTGGCTAATTTTTTTTTTAAGTTTTGGTAGGAACAGTCTGGGCACAGTGGCTCACGCCCAGAATCCTAGCACTTTGGGAGGCTGAGGTGGGCGGATTGCCTGAGCTCAGGAGTTTGAGACCAGCCTGGGCAACATGGTGAAACCCCATTTCTACTAAAAAAAAAAAAAAAAAAAAAAAAGCCAGGCGTGGCAGCATGTGCCTGTAGTCCCAGCTACTCAGGAGGCTGAGGCAGGAGAATTGCTTGAACCCAGGAGATGGAGGTTGCAGTGAGCTGAGATCATGCCACTCCACTCCAGCCTGGCGACGGCACAAGACTCTGTCTCAAACAAACAAACAGAAAGTTTTAGTAGGAACAATGGTCTCCTTGTGTTGCCTAGGCTGGTCATGAACTTCAGGGCTGAAGCACTTCTCCCGCCTCAGCCAACCAAAGTGCTGGGATTACAGGCATGAGCTACCACACCTGCTCAGAGTTGTTTACTTAATTTAATTTTCAGAATGTGCATTCTAAGTGTATTGACATACAATAGATTTTTGTATATTGATTTTGTATTTTGCAATCTTGCTGAACTTGCTGATTAGTTTTCATGTATTTTAGTGAATCACTAGGAGTTTTTAATATATGTGATTATATAATCTGTGAATTGACATCATTTTACTTCCTGCTTTTCAACCTGGATGCCATTTATTTCTTTTACTAATTTTCATGGCAAGAACCTCTAGTACAATGTTGAATAGAGGTGGTGAGAAAATACATCCTTGTTTTGTTGCTGATCTTAAGGCAAAAGCAGTCTTTTACTATTAAGTATGATATAAACTGATTTTTTTTGGCAGATGTCCTTTACCATGCAAGAAAGTTCCCTTCCTTCCTTTTGTTGAGTGTTTTTTCGTGAGAGGTGTTGAATTTTGTCAAATGCTTCTTCTGCATTTATTTAAATAATCACGTGGTTTTTTATTTCTAATTCTATTTTTCTGATGTATTACATTAATTTTCAGATGTTAAACCTGTAAGAATTAAAGAGGAAAGAAACATGAAAGGCAGCTCAACAAAGACAGGTTTATTTTGGAGCATAAACCTGAGAGGGGCTTCTAACCAAGTTAGGTCAGAGCCACTCTCTCTTCCAGACTAAGAGTTTTTAAGGGTTCAGGGCAGGAGAGCTTATCATAGGCTCAGAATGTTTCTGTGTCTCTTTGTCTTGCTTATCTGGGAGGCACAGTTTTGTGTCTGTTCCCATACATCTTCCTGCAGCTACAGGCATACTTCCCATCACTCCCGCCACCCCCAGTCTGCTTTTAGCTTCCCTATCTCAGTGCACCTAAAGGAAAAGGAATGTGCTTATCAGGGCCCACTGTTTTACTGGGGCCTATTGTATGAGTGTGAAGTTTGGTGGTTACCCAGGAGATTTTCCCCTCTCCCTCTGTGCCTGAGCTGTCTTGTCTGTGTTTTACTGTCTGCGCTTTGTGGCTGCTTGTTGTTAGAATAGAAATGATTTCCTTGAAATGCATGAGGTTAGAAAAGGAGCTGGAACTTAAAGTGGCAGTGTTTGTCCAAGATGACAGTGCTCCTGCTCTGTCAAAACCATCATTGCACTCCTGGCATAAATCCCAATTGGTCATGGTGCATAATTATTTTTATATGTTGCTTGATTTGGTTTGCTAGTGTTTTGTTGAGGATTCTTGTGTCCATACTCATAAGACATATTGGTCTGTAGTTTTCTTTCCTTGTGATGTCTTTGCAGCCATTCTTTCTTAAACTTAACCACAAGATCAGACCTATCATACACAATATCATATGTAAAAAAGAATAAGCAATTTTTAGATAGCCTAAAAGATTCAAGTCAGTGTTCAATGTCTTCCATTACATGTGATTTTAAATGTTTTATAAAGAGCCTCCCATGATCTGGTAAATGAGGGGCTCTGAGCATTAGAAGAAGTGGGGTTTGTGTTGGAGAAAAGAAGACTGGATGGGAGAGAGCAAGTTTTTTTTGAGAGCAAAACTCTTGACTTAGTGTAGAACAACAACAAAAACACACTAATGTCATTTTGATTCCAGATGACAGAGCAGGAGCAAAAGAGGAAGTTTACAGGGAAACTGATTTGAGATCAGAAAAGGAAGTCCTACAACCACAACATTCCACTGTTTCAGCATAAAGTCTGTCACATCACACCAACCATCCGACCACAAAGTGCCATGTAGAAGTGGAGCCCTTGCATCTCTCAGTCCATTTCCCGCTCCTTGCCTCACTTCCTTCCCTGTTTAGGGCACATTATTCAGCCTTGCTTTATTAACACAACTTGCCCAATCTTTTTTTTTTTTTTTTTTTTTTTGAGACGGAGTCTCGCTCTTTCACCCAGGCCGGAGTGCAGTGGTGCTATCTCGGCTCACTGCAAGCTCCGCCTCCCGGGTTCACGCCATTCTCCTGCCTCAGCCTCCCGAGTAGCTGGGACTATAGGCGCCCGCCACGGCGCCCGGCTCATTTTTTGTATTGTTAGTAGAGACGGGGTTTCACCGTGTTAGCCAGGATGGTCTCGATCTCGCGACCTCGTGATCCACCCGCCTCGGCCTCCCAAAGTGCTGGGATTACAGGCGTGAGCCACCGCTCCAGGCCAACTTGCCCAATCTTAGGGCCTCTCTGAGGATGCCCTGCACCCCGACCTCCGACCTTGGTTGAATGAATCCTGTCCCCACACTGCTGGACAAAGTTGAAAACAAAAGATCACAATCCTTGAGACTGGAACCATGACACATAGTTTATGGTCTTCAAACTCAGTTCAGCAAATATTTTTACTTGACTTTAGTGAAGTAAAATACTATTCACTGTTTCCTCACTTTCCTTTTGGTCTAGTCCTCAGCCCACTCTTCAATCAATCAAATCAGTGAAGATTTATGGAACATTTGCCATGTACCAGGCACTGCTTCAGAGGCTGGAGATACAAAACTGAACAAGAGCAACACAATCTCTGGTCTCATGGAATTTTCAACCCAAAAAAGATACAAATAAAGAAGACAATTTCTGATAGAGATAAATGCTGTGAAGAAAATCATGCATGATGTTAGGATAGAAATGATGCCAGGAGGGGCCGGGCACGGTGGCTCATGCCTGTAATCCCAGCACTTTGGGAGGCTGAGGCAGGCCAATCACAAGGTCAAGAGCTCGAGAGCATCCTGGCCAACATGGTGAAACCCTGTCTCTACTAAAAATACAAAAATTAGCTGAGTGTGGTGGCATGCACCTGTAGTCC
The DNA here is from genome assembly GCF_000001405.40 of Homo sapiens. Taxonomy (NCBI): domain Eukaryota; kingdom Metazoa; phylum Chordata; class Mammalia; order Primates; family Hominidae; genus Homo; species Homo sapiens. The sequence continues at coordinate 140,613,273 of NC_000005.10, forward strand.
CAGCTACTTGGGAGGCTGAAGCAGGAAAATCGTTTGAACCTGAGAGGCAGAGGTTGCAGTGAGCCGAGATCGTGCCACTGTACTCCAGCCTGGCAACAGAGTGAGACTCTGACTAAAAAAAAAAAAAAAAAAAAAAAAAAAAAATGGTGGCAGGAGTAGCTCCTTTCAGATGGGGTGACATCTGAGTTGAATTCTAAACAGTGAGCCACACCTACCCATCAGCATCTTTGCCCAGAAACTTTGCCTTCCAGCAGAGTGAGACTACAAATTGACTGTTTCGGTTTTTACACTAAAACTAATCCCTCCACTTGTGAACTAGGTACCAGTCCCTTTTATCTACTCAAGAACATTGCTCCAGCAGGACTCCCTTTTCTCCTGTCTCACCAAGTTTTCCGTCTACTGTTTCTATCTTCATACAATCATGCTATTTCTATTATTATTATTATTTTTATTTTTAAATACAGTTGTGCCCAGCTGGAGCATAGTGGTGCAATCATAGTTCATTGCTCATTGTAACGTCAAACTCCTGGCCTTAAGCAATCCTCCTGTCTCAGCCTCCCAAAGCACAGGGATTACAGGCATGAGCCACTGCACCAGGCTCATCTCTCATCGTTTTTTTTTGTTGTTGTTGTTGTTGTTGTTTTGAGAAGGAGTCTCACTCTGTCGCCCAGGCTGGAGTGCAGTGGTGCGGTCTCGGCTCACTGCAACATCCGCCTCCCCGGTTCATGCCATTCTCCTGCCTCAGCCTCCTGAGTAGCTGGGACTACAGGCGCCCGTCACCATGCCCAGCTAATTTTTTTGTATTTTTAGTAGAGACAGGGTTTCACCGTTTTAGCCAGGATGTTCTGGATCTCCTGACCTTGTGATCCGCCTGCCTTGGCCTCCTGAAGTGCTGGGATTACAGGCGTGAGCCACTGAGCCCGGCCATCTCTCATCTTAAAAAACAACAAATGCGGCCAGGCACAGTAGCTCATGCCTGTAATCCCAGCACTTTGGGAGGTTGAGGAGGGCATATAACCTGAGGTCAGGAGTTCAAGACCAGCCTGACCAACATGGAGAAACCCCGTCTCTACTAAAAATACAGAATTAGCTGGGCGTGGTGGCACATGCCTGTAATCCCAGCTACTTGGGAGGCTGAAGCAGGAGAATTGCTTGAACCCGGGAAGCAGAGGTTGCAGTGAGCTGAGATCAAACCATTGTACTCCAGCCTGGGTGGGCAACAACAGCGAAACTCTGTTTTAAACAACAACAACAACAACAAATGTAACAGCATACTCACTGGTAAGAAATTGAAAGCTTTCCCTCTAAGGTCATGAACAAGGGAAGTACTTTCTTTCTTTCATTCCTTTTTTTTTTTCGAGACAGAGTCTCGCTCTGTCACCCAGGCTGGAGAGTGCAGTGGCACGATCTTGGCTCACTGCAAGCTCAGCCTCCCAGGTTCACGCCATTCTCCTGCCTCAGCCTCCCGAGTAGCTGGGACTACAGGCGCCCGCCACCACGCCTGGCTAATTTTTTGTATTTTTAGTAGAGACAGGGTTTCACCGTGTTAGCCAGGATGGTCTCGATTTCCTGCCAGCCTCGGCCTCCCAAAGTGCTGGGATTACAGGCATGAGCCACCTCGCCCAGCGGGAAGTACTTTCAATACTTCTTTTAACATAGCACTGTAAGTCCTAGCCAGAACAAGTAGGCAGGAAAAAGAAATAGAAGGCATCCAAATTGGAAAGGAAGAAGTAAAATTAATCTCCATTCGTAAATGACATGATCTTATATGTAGAAAACCCTAAAAATTCCAAAAAGCCTGTTATAACTAATAAACAAATTTAGTAAAGTTGCAGGATACAAAATCAACACTGAAAAATCACTGTTTCTATATATTAACCATGAACAATCTGAAAAGGATATTAAGAAAACAATTTCATTTACAATAGCATGAAAAAGAATAATAAAATACTTAGGAATAAACTTCACCAAGGAGACAAGACTTGTACAATGAAAACTACAAAATGTTTCTCAGAGAAATTAAAGATACAAATAAACAGAAAGTTAATCCATGTTCATTGGTAGTCTTAATATTTTTATGATATCAACACTCTCTAAAGTGATCTACAGATACAATGCATTTCTTAGCACAATTCAATGGCTTTTTTTTTCAGAAATGGAAAAATTCATTTCAAAATTCATATGGAACCTCAAGGGATCCTGAATGACCAAAACAATCTTGGGAAAAAAAAGAACCAAGTTGGAGATCTCATACATCCTGATTTCAAAACTTATCACAAAGTTGCAGTAATCAAAACAGTGTGGTACTAGCATAAAGACAGACACATAGACCAAGGAATAGAATAGAAATCTCAGAAATAAGCCCTCACATATGTGGTCAAATGATTTTGACAAAGGTGCCAAGACTATTCAATAGATAAAAGAAAGTCTTTTCATACTACGGCACTGGGGAAAATAGATATTCACCTGCAAAAGAATGAAGTTGGATCTTTACTTTATACCATATGTAAAAATTAACTAAAAATTGATCAAATTGCTATAAGAGCAAAAAGTATAAAACTCTTAGAAGAAAACATAAGGCTAGGTGCAGTGGCTCATGTGTGCAATCCCAGCTCTTTGGGAGGCCAAGGCAGATGGATCACGAGGTCAGGATTTCGAGACCAGCCTGGCCAACATGGCGAAACCCTGTCTCTAGTGAAAATACAAAAAATTAACCAGGCGTTATGGCAGGCACCTATAATCCCAGCTACTCAGGAGGCTGAGGCAGGAGAATCACTTGAACCCAGGAGGTGGAGGTTGCAGTGAGCCGAGGCCATGCCACTGCACTCCAGCCTGGGCAACAGAGCGAGACTCCATCTCAAGAAAAAAAAAAGAAGAAGAAAGAAAGCATAGTGAAAAAAAGCTTCATTAGATTTAGCAATAATTTCTTGGATATGGCACCACAACCAACAAAAGTAGAAACAGATAAAGGGACTACATTAAAATCTAAAACTTTTGTGGCCCAGGCATGGTGGCTCATGCCTTTAATTCCAGTACTTTGAGAGGCCAAGGCCAATGCGGGAGGATTGCTTGAGTTCAAGAGTTCAAGACCAGCCTGGGCAACATAGTAAACCATATCTCTACAAAAAAAATTTTAAAAATTAGCTGGGCATGGTGACACCGGCCTATAGCCCTAGCTACCTAGGAGGCTGAGGTGGGAGTAGTGCTTGAGCCCAGGAGTCTGAGGTTGCAGTGAGCTATGATCACGCCACTGCACTCCAACCTGAGTGACAGAGAGACCTTGTCTCTAAATAATAAAAACATTGAAAATTTAAAAAATAAATAAGACTCTGTGCATCAAAGGATGCAATCAGCAGAGTAAAAACGCAATGTATGGAATAGGAGAAAATATTTGCAACTCATATATCTGATAAAAGGTTAATAACTAGAATATATGAAGAACTCCTGCAACTCAATAACAGCAAAACAACATGATTAAAAAATGGGCAAAGGTCCAGTCATGGTGACTGATGCCTGTAATCACAGCACTTTGGGAGGCCAAGGCAAGTAGGTCATTTGAGCTCAGGAGTTTGAGACCAGCCTGGGTAACATGATGAACTCTATCTCTACAAAAAATAAATGTTAGGCAGGTGTGGTGACACGTACCTGTAGTCCCAACTACTCAGGAGGCTGAGACAGGAGGATCACTTGAGCCTGGGAGGTGGATGTTGCTGTGAGCCGAGATCATGCCACTGCACTCCAGTCTAGGCTACGAAGCCAAACCGTCTCAGGCAAAAAAAGAAAAAAAAAAAAGTCAAAGTACTTGAATAAACATTTCTCCAAAGAAGATATATAAATGACCAATAAGCACATGAAAGATACTCAAGGTCTTGGCTGGGTGCAGTGGCTAACACCTGTAGTCCCAGCACTTTGGGAGGCCAAGGTGGGCAGATCACTTTAGGTCAGGAGTTCAAGACCAGCCTGGCCAACATGGTGAAACCCCGTCTCTACTAAAAATACAAAAATTAGGCTGGGTGTGGTGGCTTACACCTGTAATCCCAGCAGTTTGGGAGGCTGAGGTGGGAGGATCACTTGAGGTCAGGAATTCGAGACCAGCCTGGCCAACATGGCAGAACCCCGTCTGTACTAAAAATTAGCCAAGTGTGGTAGTGCACACCTGTAATCCCAGCTATTAGGGAAGCTGAGGCAGAATTGCTTGAACGTAGAGGGCTGAGGTTGCATTTAGCCGAGATCGCACCCTGTACTCCAGCCTGGGCAACAGAGTGAGGCTTTGTCTCAAAAAAACAAAATAAATACAAATACAAATACAAAAATTAGCCGGTGTGGTGGTGCATGCCTGTAGTTTTAGCTACTCGGGAGGCTGAAGCAGGAGAATCGCTTGAACCCAGGATGCGGAGGTTGCAGTGAGTGGAGATGATGCTACTGCACTCTAGCCTGGGCAACAGAGTGAGTCTCTGTCAAAAAAAAAAAAAAAAACTCAAGGTCTCAAATCGTTAAGGAAATGCAAATGGAAACCACAATGAGATACCTCCTCACACTCATTATTATGGCTACTATTTTTTAAAACCCCAGAAAATAGCATGTGTTCAATATTGGCGATATTTGAACCATTGTGCACTGACAGTGGGAATGTAAAATGGTGCAGCTGTTATGCAAAACGGTACGAGCAAAAGGCTCAGAATAGCCAACATAATATTGAACGGGAAAAACAAAGTTGGAGGACTGACACTACCTGACTTCAAGATACTATAAAGCTACAGTAATCAAGACAGTATGGTATTGGTGAAGAAAATAGAACAATGGAACAGAATAGAGAGCCCAGAAACAGACTCACATATATATTGTCAACTGATCCTTGAAAAAGGAGCAAAGGTCGGGCCGCACGCGGTGGCTCACACCTGTAATCCCAGCACTTTGGAGGCTGAGGTGGATGGATCACTTGAGGTCAGGAGTTCGAAACCAGCCTGACCAACATGGCGAAACCCCATCTCTATTAAAAATACAAAATGAGCCAGGCGTGGTGGTGCATGCCTGTAATCCCAGCTATTTGGGAGGCTGAGACAAGAGAATTGTCTGAACCTGGGAGGTGGAGGTTGTGGTGAGCTGAGATCACACCATTGCACCACTCCAGCCTGGGCAACAAGAGTGAAACTCAAAAAAGAAAAAGAAAAAGGAGCAAAGACAATACAATAAAGAAGAGAGAGCTTTTTACTTTTTCTTTTTTTTTTAACTTTTATTTTAGGTTTGGGGGTATATGTGTAGGTTTGTTATATAGGTAAACAAGTGTCATGGGGGTTTGTTGTACATATTATTACATCACCCAGGTATTAAGCCCAGTACCCAATAGTTATCTTTTCTGCTACTCTCCCTCTTCCACCCTCCCCACTCAAGTAGACCCCAGTGTCCATCTTTTCCTTCTTTGTGTTCATAAGTTCTTATCATTTAGCTCCCAGAGAATTTTTTTCAACAAATGGTGCTGGAACAACTAGAAATCCACATGCAAAAACATGAATCTAGACACAGATTTTATACCCTTTGAAAAAAATTAACTCAAAATGGATAAGAGACCTAAAGGTAAAACTCAAAGCTATAAAGTTCTTAGACAATAACGCAGGAGAAAATCTAGATGACCTAGGGTTTGGCAATGAATTTTTAGATACCACACCAAAGGCAGAGTTCATAAAAGAAAGAATCGATAATCTAAATTTAAAATTTAAAAAGTCTCCTCTATGAAAGACATTGCCAAGAGAATGAAAAGAGAAGCCACAGACCAAGAGAATATGTCTGCAAAAGACTTACCTGATGAAGAACTGATGTGCAAAATATACAAAGAACTTTTAAAACTCAACAATAAAAAACAAGCAACTTGATTTGATTAAAAAATGGGCAAAGACTTTAATAGACACCTCACTGAGGAAAATATACAGATGGCAAATAAGCATATGAAAAAGTGCTCTACATGATGTTATTGACAGAGCAGGAGCACCATCATCTTGGACAAACACAGCTACTTTAAGTTCCAGCTCCCTTTCTAGCCTCATGCATTTCAAGGTAATCACTTCTCTTCTAACTACAAGCAGCCAGAAAAAAACAAACAATAAAACACAAATAAAACAGCTTGGGCACGGAGGAAGGTGGGGGGAAAGTCTCTTGGGTAACTGCCAAACTTTACCCTCATACAATGGTCCCCAGTAAAACAGTGGGCCTTAATAAGCATATTCTTTTCCTTTCAGGTGCAATAAGATAGGGAGGCTAAAAGCAGACTTGGGGGGTATGCCTGCAGCTGCAAAAAAATGTATAAAAACAAACACACAACTCTCCCTCCCAAATAAGCACAACAAAGAAAAAAAAAAGCAGTCCATGCCTCTAATAAACTCTCCCACCCTAAATCCTTAAAAACTCTTAGTCTGTAAAAAAGTGTGCCTCTAACCTAACTGGGCCAAAAGCTCCTCTTGGTTTGTTTTCTCCAAAATAAACCTGTCTTAACTGTCAAGCTGTCTTTCATGTTTCTTTCCTCTTTCTTTAATTATTACAGTTATCAGGAAAATGCAAATGAAAAGAACAATGAGATATCACTACACACCTTTTAGAATGCCCAAATCCAGAGTACTGACAACAACAAATGCTGGTGAGAATGTGGAGCAACAGGAACTCTCATTCATTGCTGGTGGAAATGCAAAATGGTATAGCCACTTTGGAAGACAGTTTGGCCGTTTCTTACAAAACTGATCATACTGTATTCTTACCTTAAGATCCAGCAACCACATTCCTTGGTATTTATCAAAGGAGTTGAAAACTTGCTCATGGGTGTTTACAGCAGCTTTATTCATAATTGCCAAAACTTGGGGGCAACTAAGATGTCCTTTAGTAGGTGAATGTATAAACTGTGGTATATCCAGACAATGGAATATTATTCAGTGCTAAAAACAAATGAACTATCAAGCCATCAAAAGACATGGAAAAAACTTAGATCCATATTACTAAGTGAAAGAAGCCAATCTTAAAATAATACATACTGTGTAATTCCAACTATATGACATTATGGAGAAGACAAAACTATATTGACAGTTTAAAAATTGGTGCTTGCTAAGGGTTGCGGGGAGGGAGGGATGAATAGACAGAGCACCGAAGCCTTTTAGGGCAGTGAAAATAGTCTGTATGATGATATAATGGTGGGTACATGTCATTATACATTTGTCCAAACCTAAAGGATATACCATACAAAGAGTGAATCCTAACATAAAACTATGAACTTTGAATGATAATGATGTGTCAGTGTAGGTTTGTCAATTGTAACAAATGTACTACTCTGGTGGGGGTTGTCGATAATGAGGGAGGCTATGCATGTGTCAGACCCAGGGGTATATGGAAAATCTCTGTGCTTTTCTCTCAATTTTGCTGTGAATCTAAAACTGCTCTTTTTAAAAAGTCTTAATGGGTGTATGTGTGCTAGGGAGGTTGGGGTGGGTGGCTCACGCCTGTAATCCCAGCACTTTGGGAGGCCAAGGCAGGAGGATCACTTGAGCCCAGGAGTTCGAGCCCAGCCTGGGCAACATAGTGAGACCTTGCCTCTACAAAAAAATTTCTTTAATTAGCCAGGCGTGGTGACATGCACCTGTAGTCCCAGCTACTTGGAAGGCTGAAGTGAGAGTACTGCTTGAGCCCAGGAGGTCGAGTCTACAGTCAGCTGAGATTGTGCCACTACACTCCAACCTGGGGGACAGAGTGAGAACCCATCTCAAAAAAAAAAAGTCTTTAATGAAAAGAAACCTAAAAATAGAATCACCATATGATCCAGCAATTTCACTCTGAATATATGCCCAAAAGACCTATCATCAGCATTTAACCCACTATTGGACCCACTGCCTCTCTTGGAATCAATTTCTTCACTTGGCTTCCAGGACATTTCTCTCTTCTGTTCTACTTCCTTCAAAGACCATTCCTTCTTAGTATCCTTTGCTGATTCCTCCCTGTTGCAGGAAGTCAGGGACCCCAAATGGAGGGACGGGCTGAAGCCGTGACAGAAGAACGTGGATTGTGAAGATTTCGTGGACATTTATTAGTTCCCCAAATTAATACTTTTATAATTTCTTATGCCTGTCTTTACTGCAATCTCTAAACATAAATTGTAAAGAGTTCATGGACGCTTATCACTTCCCCAGTCAATACCCTTGTGATTTCCTATGCCTGTCTTTACTTTAATCTCAATCCTGTCAGCTGAGGAGGATGTATGTTGCCTCAGGACTATGTGATAATTGCATTAACTGCACAAATTGTACAGCATGTGTGTTTGAGCAATATGAAATCCGGGCACCTTGAAAAAAGAACAGGATAACAGCAATTGTTCAGGGAATAAGAGAGATAACCTTAAACTCTGACCGCCGGTGAGCCGGGTGGAACAGAGCCATATTTCTCTTCTTTTAAAAGCAAATGGGAGAAATATTGCTGAATTCCTTTTCTCAGCAAGGAACATCCCTGAGAAAGAGAATGCACACCTGGGGGTGGGTCTCTGAACTGGACCCCCTGGGCGTGGCCATCTCTTATGGTTGAGGCTGTAGGAGTGAAATAGACCCCAGTCTCCCATAGCGCTCCCAGGCTTATTAGGAAGAGGAAATTTACGCCTAATAAATTTTGGTCAGACTGGTTGATCTCAAAACCCTGTCTCCTGATAAGATGTTATCAATGACAATGGTGCCCGAAACTTCATTAACTATTTTAATTTCGTCTCGGTCCTTGTGGTCCTGTGATCTCACCCTGCCTCCACTTGCCTTGTGATTTTCTATTACCTTGTAAAGTACTTGATGTCTGTGACCCACACCTATTCGCACACTCCCTCTCCTTTTGAAAATCCCTAATAAAAACTTGCTGGTTTTTGCAGCTTGTGGGGCATCACGGAACCTACCGACATGTGATGTCTCCCCTGGACACCCAGCTTTAAAATTTCTCTGTTTTGTACTGTCCCTTTGTTTCTCAAGCTGGCCGACGCTTAAGGAAAATAGAAAAGAATCAACGTGAATATCGGGGCAGATTCCCCGATACCTCCCCATTTTTGTGACTTCTTAATGTTGCAGTGTCCTGGGCTCAGTCCTCAGACATTAACAAAAAAATCTAGAAAATGAAGTAGCCCCTGCTATCTGCTCAAGTTTATTCCTCCAGCTGCTTTCCAGGGTCAGGATACACAGGAGTGGAGGTGTTAGGGGCTGGAAGTAGACTGTCACTGGCTGTAGTGTTGATGTTTTCAAGCTGCTGTTGCTTCTGCTGCTAAGAGAGCCATCTGCAAAAGGATGTTATACAAGAACAGTGAAAAGAAATTCAGAACTGTTATTCCAGATACATGGAAAGACTGTGTGAAGAATGTTACAGAAAGCGGTGGAAGGGAACAACGAAAATAAGAAATGTGCTAGAAGCTTGTACACCAGCTGGGTTCTCCTTACTGCCAGGGCTTTAGCTACAAAAAAAAAAAAAAAAAAGAAAGAAAAAAGAGAAAAAGGCTTCTGAGCAATGCATGGGGAAACGTTTTTGGACACCAAAAACTACAAGCAAGCATCTGACTAGAGGGACTGAAGAAATTTCTGGCTTTCTGTATGATTTTACTTTCTTTTTATGTATTTATATTTTATTTTTTAATAGAGACTGGGTCTTGCTGTGTTGCCCAGGCTGGTCTCGAACCCCTGGGTTCAAGTGATTCTCCCAGCTTGGTCTCTCAAAGTGCTGGGATAACAAGCATGAGCCACCATGTCTGGCTTTGATTTTGCTTTCTGCTTTGAATTCTCAAGGTATAACACAGATGTTCTGGAACAGGAATTAAAAGAAATTAAGGAGTGTGTAAGCAGAAACTAAGTTGTATGTAAGAAAACCCAGTTCCCCTTGAGAAAGAGAAAGAGCTGGAGTCCTTTAAAAACTAACTGCCTATTTTTCTATGGCTAGTGAGCCTTATCTCTCCTCCTTTCCCAGGCATTGTGAAGACCCTGTTTCCCTAGCTGTGCAGCTGCAAAGTCACTAGACAGATAAACTCAAGTTGCAAAACATGTTTTTCCTTGAAAAGTAAGAAATGATGTAATGCATGTCTCAATTAATTAAATAACTGTCTTTGTTTCTCACTTCTGTAGCATGCTTCCCCCTGTACAGATCTCCCCCACCCCACAAAATGCTTAAAAGGTAACTTAACTCTTTGTTCAGGGCTCAGTCCTTTGGATGTTAATCTGACTGGGCCAGTGCACCTAAATAATTAATAAATATCATCCTGAACCCCATCGGTCTCTCTGATTCCTTAAAAATCCCGCAACAGTTCAAGTTACAAAATAACATGTTTTAAGACAAATAATTAAGTTTAAGCCACAGGGCGAAATGTATCTATGCTCACATCTTTAGTGATTTCATCAAGTCTTATAACTTAGGCCTCAAACCATAGAGTCATCCCTGAGCCCACCTTTTTTCTCTTTTTTAAAAATTTAGTTGAATTTTTATACTTAAAACATTTTAAAAAAATAGAGATGGAGGGTCTCAGTATGTTGCCCAGGCTAGTCTCAAACTCCTGACCTCAAGTGATCCTCCTGCCTTGGCCTCCCAAAGTGCTGGGATTATAGGCATGAGCCACCTTGCCCAGCCATCCCTTTCTCATGTTCCACCCTTTATATGTAAAAATCCTGTGAGCTCTGTCTTCAAAAAATGCGCATAATTTGACCATTTCCCCCCACTTCTACTATCCTGATCCAACTGTCACCATGTTTTTGTGTGGGTTTTCTTAAACAGCTTTATATTGAGTTGTGATTCACAACAAATAAAATTCACCCTTTTAAAGTATTTAATTTAGGCTTGGCGTGGTGACTCATGCCTGTAATCCCAGCACTGTGGGAGGCTGAGGTGGGCAGATCACGAGGTCAGGAGTTTGAGACCAGCCTGACCAAAATGGTGAAACCCCGTCTCTACTAAAAATACAAAAATTAGCCAGGCCTGGTGGTGCCTGCCTGTAATCCCAGCTACTCAGGAGGCTGAAGCAGGAGAATCACTTGAACCTGGGAGGCGGAGGTTGCAGGAGCCGAGATCACACCTTTGCACTCCAGCCTGGGTAACAGAGTGAGACTCCATCTCAAAATAAATGAATAAATAAATAAATAAATAAAGTATTCAATTTAGTGGTGTTTATTATATTACCAGAGTTGTGTAACTATAACCGCGCTTTAATTTTAGAACATTTTTATCACCCCAAAAAGAAATTCTGTATCCCATTAGAGGTCATTCCCCTTGACCACCCCACTTCTAAGCAACCACAAATCTTTGTGTCTCTATCTATCATCATTTCTTTTTTTATTTTTATTTTTGAAACGGAGTCTCACTCTGTGATCTTGGCTCGCTGCACCTCTGCCTCCCAGGTTCAAGTGATTCTTGCACCTCAGCCTCCCGAGTAGCTGGGGCTAATTTTTTTTTGTATTTTCAGTAGAGACAGGGTTTTGCCATATTGGCCAGGCTGGTCTCGAACTCCTGACCTCAAGTGATCCACCCACTTTGGCCTCTCAAAATGCTGGTATTACAGGCATGAGTCACTGCACCCAACCTCACCATCATTTCTTTCTTTCTTTCTTTCTTTTTTTTTTTTTTTTGAGATGGAGTCCTGCTCTGTGCCCAGGCTAGAGTACAGTGGCATGATCTTGGCTCACTGCAACCTCTGCCTCCCAGGTACAAGTGATTCTTCTGCCTCAGCCTCCTGAGTAGCTGGGATTACAGGCGCTTGGCACCGCGCCTGGCTAATTTTCGTATTTTTAGTAGAAACGGGGTTTCACCGTCTTGGCCAGGCTGATCTCAAACTCCTGACCTCATAATACATCCGCCTTGGCCTCCCAAAGTGCCAGGATTACAGGCGTGAGTCACTGCACCCGGCCTCCATCATTTCTTGACTGGGTTATTGGTATAAATTCCCAACGAGTCTTCTAACTTACTCTCTATAGTTTACTTTCAACACAGCAGCTAATGTGATCCTTTAAAAATGGAAACCAGTTTATGTTACCCTTTGTCAGTATCCTCAGGTGGCTCTCTATTTCACCTGAGTGAAAACCAAGCTTCACAGTGGCCTGTGAGCCTTAAACAACAATTGAGGCCACTTGCTATCTCTCTGATATCATTGCCAATGTCTTCCAGGGCCTTTGTACTGGATGTTTCCTCTTCCTGGACTGCTCTTCCAGCAGATAACTACAAGGCTCACTCTCTCACCTCCCTTAAATCTTTGCTCAGAAGTCACCTCATGTGAGGTCTATTCTAACAACTATAAACTTGCAATCCTTCACCCTTATGCCCAGCAATCCTGACTGTTTTGGCTCAGCTCTATTTTCCCCACAGCACTTACCATCATCTAGCACTTTATACTTTCTTCTCCCCACTGCAATATGAACACTTTAAGAGCAGGAACTTTTGTCGCTTTGCTCACTATAAGTGCTTTGTCCTCAGCACTTCCAAAGTGCTTGTCAGGTAGTGGGAGCTCAATAAATAATTGTTAAATGGATGAATAAATTAATGACCAGAACATTCCAGGCAGAGGGAAGAACAAGAGGCAAAGGAAAGAATGGCTAGAATATGTTGGGGGTGATGTTGGTTTACAAGGTGGAGATGACAGTAGAGGAGGCATAGGGAGTTGCTGACCATGTCTCCCTATGTTCTCTGTCTCAAGTTCTAAGTTCTCTTCCTATTTCTCTGTCTCCTTTGAAGACCCTGCTTTCTCCATCCTGAAATGTTGACTGATGATTCCCAGTTTCCTTCTTTAGCACGGTCTCTTCTTTCTCCCCTCCTGGCCTGGGTGAACTTACTCATGGCTATTCATGGCTACGGTTTCCACAGGCATTTCTACACTGATGGCTCCCAAATTCTTATAGCCAGGCCAAACCTGTCCCCTAAGCTCTAGCCCCTATGGCTAACTGCCTACTGGACTGTCCACCTGTGAGTGGCTCTAAGCAACCTATGCCCAGTCTTCTTTTTTTTTTGAGATGGAGTCTTGCTCTATCACCCAGGCTGGAATGCAATGGTGTACTATTAATGTCAAACCCAATTCTTAATAAAACCTTATAGAAAAAGATATCCAATTTTAATCAGTTTGACCATAAGGTAAGAGTCTCATAAACCTTTTATTACCCTTTATATATTTTTTCTTTATTTTTTAAGACAGAATCTCACTTTGTCACCCTGGCTGGAGTGCAGTGGCATGCTTTCAGCTTACTGTAACTTCTGCCTCCTGGGTTCAAGTGATTCTCCTGGCTCAGCCTCCCAAGTGTCTGGGATTACAGGCATTGTATCCCATTAGAGGTCATTCCCCTTGACCACCCCACTTCTAAGCAGCCACAAATCTTTGTGTCTCTATCTATTATCATTTCTTTTTTTATTTTTATTTTTGAAACAGAGTCTCACTCTGTGATCTTGGCTTGCTGCACCTCTGCCACCATGCCACCATGTCATGCTAATTTTTTGTATGTTTAGTAGAGATGGGGTTTTGCCATGTTGCCCAGGCTGGTCTTGAACTCCTGACCTCAGGCAATCCTCCTGCCTTGGCCTCCCAAAGTGCTAGGATTACAGGCATGAGCCAAAGTGCCCAGCCTATATTTTACTGTTAAAGAGCAGATCAGTGCTCTAAGAAAACTCTATTGTGCTTTTATTCCAATGTTCAATTTATGGAAAAATTGAATACCCCTTTAACTTTAGCCAGTATGTCCACAGACAGAATTTATATTTCATAAACCTGCCACAACTTGCTCAAAGCTTCTACTTTTCCCTATCCAACTTAAAATAATACTTTAACCCCCTAAACTAGGCAAAAAAAAAATCCACATTCCTGTGCCTTCTTATAATCTTTTGCCAAAAACACATTCACTTTCCTTACGCACTTTCCATGTAAAACTGTTTCTCTACTAGTCTCAATTGCATATGTTACAATGTTACGTCTCAGCAACTTTTTTTTTTTTTTGGTGAAAAACCTGGTAAGTAAGCAATTTTAATTATGTACCAGGTGTGGAGCCTAGGACACCAGACAGAAGTGCAGATAAGGTCTGATCTTTCCAGCATAGCTAGAGGGCATGGCTAACTCCACATGTCTCTAGGCATTACCTAGAATCTAATGGTTCCAAAGCAGGTAAGTTGAACAATGATCATATCAAGGAAGCAGTTTATGTAGTTTAGTAAACTCAGTGTCTGACCTGCCTAATTTAGACCAAATGTATAAATTTTGAAGACATTTTTATTTTACCAATAATCTTTAAAACTGTCTTTATTTCCCAAGGATTACTAAAGTCATATGAACTAAAAGGCATTAAAGTTTTAATTTTTCTGACAAAATATTTAAGTGCTTTTTCTTTAAGCCAATTAATTAGAGCTCTTTTATATAAACATTACACACACACAACATATGTAAATAGACAGACAGAAGAAGATCCAGTTATTGTAAGCTTTTTCATTTGCCAGTTTTTACATTTTTCTTTTCTTTTTTTTTTTTGAGATTAGCCAGGTGTGGTGGCGGGCGCATGTAGTCCCAGCTACTCAGGAGGCTGAGGCAGGAGAATCACTTGAACCTGGGAGGCAGAGGTTGCAGTGAGTCAAGATTCTGCCACTGCACTCCAGCCTGGGTGACAGAGTGAGGCTCCATCTCAAAAAATAAAAAAAACAAGTAACATATCTGATTGCAATATGCTGTGAAGACAAGTAAAACAGAGAAAGGGAGCAGATATTGTTGTTGAGGATTGATATGTATACAGGTTGACTATCTTTTTTTTTTTTTTGAGACAGAGTTTCACTCTTGTTGCCCACGCTGGAGTGCAGTGGCGCAACCTCGGCTCACCACAACCTCCGCCTCCCAGATTCAAGTGATTCTCCTGCCTCAGCCTCTGGAGTAGCTGGGATTAGAGGCATGCGCCACCACACCCAGCTATATATATATATTTTTTCCCATTTTATGAAACCTATCACAACTTACACAGACCATCTATGACATGCTTGGATATTCTGACTTGTCCTATATTTCCCTCTTTCTTAGGTCTGTTTCTGTTCCCTGAAATGTAAACTTGTGACTAAGATACCTAACCTCCTGAAATTGCGGCCCAGCAGGTCTCAGTCTCATTTTATCCAGCCCCTGTTCAAGATGGAGTTGCTCTGATTTGAATGCCTCTGACAGATGCACTTTACGGCTTTTCTTTTCTTTTCTTTTTTTTTTGAGACAGAGTCTCACTCTGTCACCCAGGCTAGAGTGTAGTGGTGAGATCTCAGCTCACTGCAACCTCTACCTCCCAGGTTCAAGTGATTCTCCTGCCTCAGCCTCCCAAATAGCTGGGATTACAGGAGCACACCACCACATCTGGCTAATTTTTGTATTTGCAGTAGAGACAGGTTTCACCATGTTGGCCAGGCTGGTCTTGAAGTCTGGAGACCTCCAGTGAGCCACCCACCTCGGCCTTCCAAAGTGCTGAGATTACAGGCATGAGCCACCATGCCCAGCCATTTTATGGCTTTTCTTGGCATATCTGAATTGTGGGCATCACTATTCTTGTGCTGGGGGTCCATTATTAAGTAAAATAAGGGTTACTGAACACAGGCACTGCTATATGGTAACTGTTGATCTGACAACCCAGACAGCTCCTAAGTTACTAACGAGCTAGTAGTGCCTACAGTGTAGATACACTGTACAAAGGGATGATTCATATCCTGGATATGTGATGGGTTACAATCCAAACAGTTAAAACTTTAGGTTGGGTGCAGTGGCTTATGCCTGTAATCCCAGCACTTTGGGAGGCAGAGGCAGGTGGATTACCTGAGGTCAGGAATTCACAACTAGCCTGGCCAACATGGTGAAACCCTGTCTCTACTAAAAATACAAAAATTAGCAGGGTGTGGTAGTGCATGCCTGTAATCCCAGCTACTCAGAAGGCTGAGGCAGGAGCATCACTTGAACCCCAGATGCAGAAGTTGCAGTGAGCTGAGATCAAACCACTGCACTCCAGCCTAGGTGACAGAGAGAGACTCTGTCTCAAAAAACAAAACAAAACAAACAAAACCCAAAAAACTAAAAAAAATAATAATAATAAATAAATAAAATGTTGCAGTATTTGCACATAACCTACATACATCTCCCACATGCTTTAAATCATCTCTAGATTACTTATAATTCCTAATACAATGTAAATGCTATGTAAATAGTTGTTATACTATATTGTTTAGGGAATCATGACAAAAATATTGTATAAAGTTATCTTCAGGCTATTATCTAAAGTGTATATGAAACATAAATGAATTTTGTATTCAGACTTGGGTCCCATCCAAATCTATCTCATTATATATACGCAAATATTCCAAAATCTGAAAAAATCCAAAACTTCTGGTCTGGAGCATTTTGGATAAAGGATAGTCAACCTGGCTGGGTGTGGTGGCTCATGCCTGCAATCCCAGCACTTTGGGAGCCCGAGGCAGGCAGATCACCTGAGGTTGGGTGTTCAAGACCAGCCTGACCAACACGGAGAAACCCTGTCTCTACGAAAAATACAAAATTAGCCAGGTGTGGTGGTGCATGCCTATAATCCCAGCTACTTGGGAGGCTGAGGCAGGAGATTTGCTTGAACCTGGGAGGTGGAGGTTGCAGTGAGCTGAGATTGCGCCATTGCACTCCAGCCTGGGCAACAAGAGTGAAACTCTGCCTCAAAAAAAAAAAAAAAAGGATAGTCAACCTGTATAACATATCAATCCTCAACAATATCTGCTCCCTTTTTTTTTTGAGACGGAGTCTCACTCTTTCGCTCAGGCTGGAGTGCAGTGGCGTGATCTTGGCTCACTGCAACCTCTGCCTCCCAGGTTCTAGTGAGCAATTCTCCTGCCTCAGCCTCCTGAGTAGCTGGGATTACAGACACATGCCACCACACCCGGCTAATTTTTGTATTTTTAGTAGAGACAGGGTTTCATCATGTTAGCCAGGGTGGACTCGATCTCTTGACCTCGTGATCCGCCCACCTCAGCCTCCCAAAGTGCTGGGATTATAGGCATGAGCCACCACACCTGGCCCAGATATATTACTCTTTAAAAAAAATTTTTTTTTTTGCAATCAGATATGTTACATCACCACTACTGCCTTAGTCAGCTCAGGCTACCGTAATAAAATACCATAGACTGGTGGCTTAACCAACAGAAATTTATATATATTCTCACAGCTATTTCTCACACATAAAAAACTATCTTTTATGTGTTCCCCCGACCCCCACTGGATTGGAATTCCCTAAGGGCATGGATGTTTCTGATTCATCTTTGTATTTCAGGCTTTAGCACAAGGCCTGAGGTGAAATGTGGTTCTGTAACCATTTGATGAAGTGTGATCAGAGCTATTCAAGGGAAGAAAAAAACTGCCTTGAGATGATTAATTCTCTGATACTAGAAATCTCTCAACTGGCTGGTTGAAGGCCCCTTGGGGACATTCCAGTGAGTGTCCAGCTAATTTAACTGTTTTCTGACATATTTTGAGTCTGGTTCTGGTAATGTCTGTAACTCTCTTATCAATGTTAATTTCCATTCCCTATTCCTATCTGTGTGGCTCTGGACATTGGCCAGAGGCAGGTGCTGGGCCTATATGCCTCCTCCCACCTTTCTCCCATGCTCCCTGTGAGGCAGGCATCTAGCTCTCTGATGGATGTGGCTGCCTCCTCATTGAAATGAAGAAGGGGCTCAGAAGAAACAGCACCTCTTGATGGCTGATGCTGTAGGTCTCTGAGCTAATGTGGACTAGAGGACAAATCCTGTTTATTCTGAAGTTTTGAAGAGTCTGAGATGCTTTCCTATTTGCCAATCAGTCAGCCTGAAAAGGTTATCTGCATATGTGTTCTAACAGAACACAGGATCTCTAATTCAGAGACCGACTGTATCTTGCGTCAGTTCCCTAGGCCCAAATTTCCCATTATGTCGGGGAGTGACACAGTGAAAGCCTCCGGGTGAAGAGAGGTTTTACAAGAGAGGAACCCTAATATTATGAAACTCAGAGCTTGTGCAGGATAGGAGGCTGTCCCTCTTCCTTGAGTGGTAAGGGAGACAGACAGAGAGGGAGAGGGAGGGTGTGTGAGTGTGTGTGTGTGTGAGAGAGAGAAAGAATAAGGAAATAAGCAAATGGCTGTGGGTTTTATTACCTTTGAAAGGGAGCAGCTGGCTCTTGGGAAGTGCATAGGAGAGGAAATATTTTGTATCTTCCAAATATCATGCAAATACCTTTTAATCCAGATGCCAATAATCTGCTCAGAAAGCCCTGACTGCACACTCATTGTTTCTCCCATGCAGCCCTAGCCAGGAGTCCTTTCCTGGCTCCTTCTATCCCCGCAGTTCTTTTCTTGAGGAGGACAGATAGGGTTTCTTAGGGAGTTAGGATGAAGAAAGCCTAAGTATGATGAATTCCCCATCCAGCACTGTGCCCAGCACATAGCAGACATCCAATAAAGGTCTGTTAAATGAATGACACGGACCCGTTGTTTAAGATTTTAATAAAGGTGGGGCAAAGGGTTGAATTGGTCGAAAAGTCCTCAACGTCCTGACGGGACTCCCCTGAAGCCAAGGCAGTTTGAGTCCATTCATTATTCTGTCTTGGATCTTAGGCAAAGCCCCGGGCCCCTTGGAGCAGCACCAGGGTTCCCGACACCCCCACCGACAGGGTCGAACGTGCACAGGCTGGGACCACGCCGGAGTTCATTGAGCCCTCGTGGGGGAGGGCAGTTCCAGGGACCAGGAAGGGATTCCCGTCCAGTGTCAGGTTATCCACCTCGGGCAGCTCGTCAGGCTGCGGCGCCCTGTTCAGTCTGTTGCAGCTGAGATCGAGCACTCTGAGCTTGGCTGGCAGTCCTTTAGGCACCTGTTCCAGCCCAGCGAACGACAGATTGAGGGAGTTCAGGGCGCTGGACCACATGCATCTCGGAGCGCTAGGGTTTACGGTGGCGCGCAGCGAGTTGTGGCTGAGGTCTAGGCTGTGGGGCTGCACACCTGCCGCCGCCAGTGCGGCGCACACGCCTGTGGGCGTCTCCATTCCTGTGTTGCGCAGCGCTAGATTCTGGATGGCCGGGAACTTGTGGGGACAGAGAGCCGCCATCAGTCCGCGTTCGCCCAGTCCAGGATTGTCAGACAGGTCTAGGCTGGTAAGGGCCGGGAAGGCGCGAACCTGTTCGCAGGAAAAGGCAGGCGAGTGTGCTTGGGCAATGCTCAGTACCTTGAGGCCTGGCTTGAGCCACTGCTGCAGCTCGGCGAGCCAAGAACGCCCTGTCGCCCACGACACGTTGCGTAGGCGCAAGCTGGAAAGTGCAAGTCCTGTGGCTTCCAGAGGCAGCGGAGGCATGGTGCCGGTTATCTTTAGGTCCTCGAGCGTCAGTTCCTTGAGGCGGGAGTACGCTAGCACACGCAGGGCGCCTACCAGTAGCTGAGCAGGAACCTGTGCGGCTCCCACTGTGAGCCGCCGCACGCGGAGAGCCTTGACCGTGTCAGCATACTGCCGCGGGTCGGCGTCCGCATCGACGCGCTTTAGAAACGGCTCTAGGTTGAGACCGCCGGCATGGATCTCCACCTCTACTGCAGACACACACTGGAAGGCTTCGGACCAGTCGGGCTGAGGTTCGGAGAAGTTGCAGACGCAGCGGAAATCTTCATCGTCCAGCTCACAAGGTTCTGGCGTGGTCGCAGAGACGTGCACCAGCGGCAGCAGCAGCAGCAACAAGCAGGACGCGCGCTCCTGGGGAGAGAGCAGAGGTCTAGGAGGCCCCATCCAACCCCTGTGGCTCCCGAGTGGCACGCGTTCGACCCCAAGACCCTACACTCACCATGGTCGATAAGTCTTCCGAACCTCTGAGCTCCGGACAGGCTCTGGAAGTGCTTTAGCTTCTTTCCTACACAGCGGCACCCGCCGGCTTCCAGGCTTCACACTTGTGAACTCTTCGGCTGCCTCTGACAGTTTATGTAATCCTGGGATGTCATTCAGTTCCCTCCTCTGTGAACCCTGATCACCTCCCCACCTCTCTTCCTCCGAGCCAGCCCCCTTCCTTTCCTGGAAATATTGCAATGAAGGATGTTTCAGGGAGGGGGACCGTAACAGGAAGGATTCTGCAGGGCATCTAGGGTTCTGTGTCTCCTGGCAGTGTCCTGATGACTCAGGCGCCCCAGGCGGTGAATGCCCTGTTGACTCGGGAGCCTAAGCCTTCTCTGGTGGGTGTGGGAAAAGGATGATCCTCAGTGCCTTAGGCCAGTACCATACTCTGCACTATCCAACCCCCCAATCCCCCTACCTTATATCCCAGAGAATCTACTTGATTCATTTCTTTGACTTCTTCCTTGTCTTGGTTTATGTTGATCTCCTGCCACCAAATCCAAGTCCCTGAATATCCTCAGATATTTAACTGCATGTTTTGTGGAAGAGATTGTGAACCTCATCTGTTGGCACCAAGGGGGGTAGAATTAGGTTCAAGAAAAGGAAGTTGGTCTAAAGAAAAATTCCCCCTTCCTTTTTTTTTCCTTGCTCCTTTGATTAAGTAATAACTTTCTTTCTTTTTTTTTTTTTTTTTTGAGATAGAGTCTTGCTCTGTTGCTCAGGCTGGAGTAGAGTGCCATGATCTCGGCTCACTGCAACCTCCGCCTCCTGGGTTCAAGCAATTCTCTGCCTCAGCCTCCCGAGTAGCTGGGATTACAAGTGCCCACCACCACACCCAGCTAATTTTTGTATTTTTTAGTAGAGACAGGTTTTCATCATCTTGGCCAGGCTGGTCTTGAACTCCTGACCTTGTGATCCACCCGCCTCGGCCTCCCAAAGTGCTGGGATTACAGGCGTGAGCCACTGTGCCTGGCAGTACTAACTTTCTTAAAAGTGGATGTATTTAACAGAGACACATTGGCCAAGTCTCTGGGTCACTTACACTATCCATTTTCTGTCCTGAAATTGTGAAGCAAGGTATTTTGAATCAGTTTTCCCACTTGCACGTTGCTCTCTCCTGCCCTCCCCTCAGTACAATCTCTGTGCCCTAGGAAGGAAGGGATGGGACTATGTTGAATGAGGATTAATTAGTAACTCACCAGTTTCGCAAAAAACAGACAAAAACAGAAAACAAAACAAAATGAAAAAAACAGCAAACAAAACAAAACAAAAAAACAACAAATGTCCCAGAGAATAAGGAGCTACGCATTTACAACAGCCCTCACAGGTCCACATCCCTAGACCTCTGGGGAAAGAACTATATGAAAGTCTTTTTTTTTTTTTTTTTTTTTGAGACTGAGTTTGGCTCTGTTGCCCAGGCTGGAGTGCAGTGGCGTGATCTTGGCTCACTGCAACCTCCGCCTCCCAAGTTCAAGCAATTCTCTTGCCTCAGATTCCTGAGTAGCTGGGATTACAGGAGCCCACCACCATGCCCGGCTAATTTTTGTAGTTTTAGTAGAGACAGAGTTTCACTATGTTGACCAGGCACTCCTGACCTCAGGTGATCCGCCCGCCTTGGCCTCTCAAAGTGCTGGGATTACAGGCGAGAGCCACCACACCCGGCCTGAAAGTCTTTTTTACTTTTATTTATTTATTTGAGACGGAGTTTTGTTCTTGTTGCCCAGGCTGGGCGCGATCTCAGCTCACTGCAATCTCCGCCTCCCAGGTTCCAGCAATTCTCCTGCCTCAGCTTCCCGAGCGGCTGGGATTACAGGCATGTGCCACTACACCCGGCTAATTTTGTATTTTTAGTAGAGATGGGGTTTCTCCATGTTGGTCAGGCTGGTCTCGAACTCCCGACCTCAGGTGATTCACCTGCCTCGGCCTCCCAAAGTGCTGGGATTACAGGCATGAGCCACCGTGCCCGGCAGAAAGTCTTTTTTAAATTCCCACTTCCTCTTTAATTGAGAAAGAAGTAGCTGCAGATTTGTCCCCAATCCAAACAAGAAGGCTCATCACTGCCCCCTGCGGGTCCTGTTGGGCATACCCCAATGCACTGGGCCATGCCCTGGTGCCATGCCAGGCCTCTGTGATATCCCTGAGGACCAAGATATGATTATATCTGACTCAAAGTCAGATAGCCAGTCTTGGAATCCCAGCTTTACGACTGAGGTTATGAGACTTGGGCCTCCCTTCTGTAAAATGGAGATGATAGTATTACCTGTTTGTGAGTAAAGTCTTTGGCACAGAAACACATCTTTTTAGTGTGGTCTTGATGACTAGTCTTCTTTCTCAGAGTCTCTGCTTTCAGAGAACTCAGGCCACTGAAGTCTGACACCTCATCATCTTAGGGGAGGCACTCTGGGTGGGGAGTTCCAAGTTAAGAGGGGCAGTGATGGTTCTGCAAAGATCTCCAACTCACAGCTTGATTCAACAAATGTCTATCATTTGTCTACCGAGTACTAGGGTTGGTAGAAAGCCCTGGGACACAGACATGACAAAGACAAGTCCCTGAAGTGCTCCAGGAGGTGGGTAGAGCAAACATGAACCCAGAACTTCCGTCCATAGTGCAGAGGGCTCTTAAAAGAAGAGAAACCAAAGGCTTGTGTTGTTGGGGGAGAGGGGTGGAGGGGAGGAACATGGTCTGGAGAAAGGAACAGCCAGCCCTGTACAAGACAGGACATGGGGCTGGTTCTTACAGGGTTAACAGTGTTGCTAGACAGGTAGATACAGAAAGGCAATTTGGGCAGCTGTAGCTGTCTGAGCAGACACTGGGCAGAATATAGCTTTTGGCTGGGAACTTTTTTCATCTTCCCCACCTGGAGCACATGTGGGTTTTGTTGTTGTTGTTATTGTTGTTGTTTTAGATGGAGTTTCACTCTTGTTGCCCAGGCTGGAGTGCAATGATGCAATCTTGGCTCATCGCAACCTCCACCTCCTGGGTTCAAGCGAGTCTCCTGCCTCAGTCTCCTGAGTAGCTGGGATTACAAGCACGTGCCACCACACCTGGTTAATTTTGCATTTTTAGTAGAGACGGGGTTTCACCATGTTGGTCATGCTGGTCTCGAACTCCTGACCTCAGGTGATCCACCTGCCTCCATCTCCCAAAGTGCTGGGATTATAGGCATGAGCCACCTTGCTGGGCCAAGTGTGGGTCTTAGAAGCTAGCCTGGGTTAGGTGCAGTGGCTCATGCCAGTAATTCTAGCACTTTGGGAGGCCAAGCTGAAAGGATCATTTAAGGCTGAGTTCCAGGCTGTGATAAGCCATGATTGCACTACTGCACTGCAGCGTGGGCAACCGAGCAAGACCCTGGCTCAAAAAAAAAAATAAATAAATAAAATAAAAATAAAAAAGTTTTTCTTGGGGAAATAAGAAAATAAATTTTTTTTAATTAAAAAATTAAAAAAAGAAGCCAGACAGTTGCATGAGGAAGGGCTCAAGATCCAGGCCCTATCCCTGGCCAGAGCATGGTGCACAGCAGGTACTCAGTAAATGGCTCTCCAGGGGCTGGATGGATACTGGGAGAGAAGATATGGAGGATGGAATGATGGCCTGTAGATATTTTAACATGCTGTTTTGTGGAAGAGATTGCAGACTTCATTGATTAACTCCAAGGGGTAGAATTAAGTTCAAGGGAAAGAAATTGGTTTTAAGAATAACCTTTTTCCTAGATTTGTACTTAATTGAACCTTTGCCTAAGTTATATGGCTTTTTAAAAATTAGAGGTTTCCTGTAAAAATTCTTAGGTGCCACCGGGACCCTAATCTTCTGGAGCTGCCAAGGGGGTCTGGGAGGAGACAACATCAAATAATTACACTATAACTTAATGATAGCTGTGAAAAGGGTTGTGAAGAAGCTGGGTCATTGGTACAATGGTTCTGAGTAGGTGACACTGGACTTGACATGTTGAGAATGGTGTTGAGGGAAGGATGCTGGTAGAAAGAAAAGGGAAGGATGCAGGCAGAGAAAACAGCTTGTGCGAGAGCCTCCCCCAAGAGTGGGAGTAGGGTGGAGGAGAAAAAGAACAGGGCTTGTTGACAAAGAGAAGGTCCCAGAAGAGGTGAGTCCAGATTGGAGAGGTATGCAGGGGTTAGACCATGTAGGGCTAAGTCGGCCACAATTCCAATTTTGAATGTGAGGAACACGGTTTTTTATTCACTAGTGTTTCCTCAGTGCCTAGTAGACTAGTGGCACTCCACATTTGGTGAAAGATTTTATCCTAAAAATTATGGGAATTCAGTTTTATGCAGAGAAGTGAAATAATGATATCTTTCTCATTTTCATCACATATAAAATGAGAATAATGGTCATTGTGGTGAACATTCTGTAAAGCAAAAATAAAATTCTAAGGCCGCCCCCCACAACCATCTGAATGGACTTCCTCCTCAGCCAGGGCTCTTTCAAAATTAAACCCGAGTGACCGTTTCAGGCCATGATGGGAAGTAGGGGTTGAACGTGCCTCATTATACCTCTCTACCGTTAACATCAACACAGACTTTAAGTTTGATAAGAAACATTTTACAACCCATTCTCTCTGAAGCCTAGGATTTGAAGGTTTCCTCTGCAAATAAGAACTTGGGTCTCCACAATCCTTTATCTTAACCCAGACATTCCTTTCTATTGATTTCAGGTCTTTAGAGAAACTCAACCAATTGTCAACCAGAAAAATTTAAAATCTACCTATAAGCTGGAAGCCCCCCACCGCCCCACTTCGAGTTGTCCCGCCTTTCTGTTGTCCCACAAACCAATGTCTTTCTCTCTTTCCCCCTCCCCTCTCTTCCCTTCCTCCTTTCCTCTTTTCTTTTCTTTCTTTCTTTTCTCCCTTTCTTTCTTTCTTTCTTTCTTCCTTCCTTTCTTTCTTTTCTTTCTCTTAGGAATAACGCTCAAAATCCTAAGGGAAATTGAACACTCGAACAAAGGATTATTAGCAAAGCAATTTTACTTCTGCTCAGAGGGGTGTCTGCTTGGCCAGTCGCCATGAGAGCACACCTGAACAAAGGGGCACGAGAGCCTTTATTCCTGACGCAAGTCCTGCCCCTGTACCCTTTCCCCATTGGCCGGGGTCGGGTCATACAATCTGAACTAATCCCGGTTGGCTAAACATTTGATTTTTTTAGGTAATGTGGGCACGTAAAAGAAAGTGGAGAGGAAAGGGGAAGGGGTGCCTGTAATGAACTAGAAAGTTAGTCCTCTTTCCAAATAATGAAAGGAATGTGAGCTGGTACTGATAACGTCTGGTACTGATAACGTCTTGTACTGTGGCGTGCCTCGGCATCTAACGAAGGCAAAAAGGAGAAAAAGGAAAACAAAAGTGTGTGTGGGGGGGAGTACTATGAATTAAAGAATAAAAGATTGATCTAATTATTTGAAGAGAAACCTCATCATATCCCAGATTTCTTTCTTTCTTTCTTTCTTTTTTTTTTTTTTGAGACGGAGTTTCGCTCTTGTACCCCAGGCAATGGGGCGCGATCTCGGCCCACTGCAATCTCCGCCTCCCGGGTTCAAACGATTCTCCTGCCTCAGGCTCCCGAGTAGCTGGGATTACAGGCACCCACCACTACTCCCGGCTAATTTTTGTATTTTTAGTAAAGATGGGGTTTCACCATGTTGGCCAGGCTGGTCTCAAATTCCTGACCTCAGCTGATCCACCCGCCCAGGCCTCCCAAAGTGCTGGGATTACAGGCATGAGCCACCAGGCCCGGCCCAACCAGTGTATTTCTTGAATGAACTGAAGTCTCATATCTCCCTAAAATATGTAAAACCAAGCTGTACCGGACCACCTTGGGCACATGTTCTCAGGACCTCCTGAGGGCTGTGTCAAGGGCCATGGTCACTCATATTTGGCTCAGAATAAGTCTCTTCAAATATTTTACAGAGTTGGACTCTTTTCGTTGACAATTCAATGACGCTTCAAGCGTTTTTGGCAGCTCTCATCAGTGGGATCCGCATTAATAGTGAAACGGCATCATGGCGCTTCCCGCAGTTCGGGATTGTTTTGAACTTTCATCTAGAGCGTATTGTGGGTGGGGAAGTTGTGTTTGCTGAGTAGATTGTGACACTGCTGGCTTGGGTCACTCGAGGTCAGGGATGAGAGACTTTTTTTCCTAGAATTGGTAAGACAGGAAATCAATCAGAGGCAGAGCGACGCCTCTGGCTCTGGTCTAGTGGTGCAGCGTCTCTAGCCCTCGCCCCGCCCACCGTCCCCGCGAGGCGTCCACTCGCCGAGCCCCGCCCTCACCCAGCACCCACCCCGCTCCTCGCGCCCTCCCCGCCTGTTCCCGCCCTGTGCTGAGGCTGCGCAGTCGGTGCCATCTTCTACGCCCCTGGGAGCGTTGTGGCTGCTGTTTCCTTCGGCTTTCCTCCTCCTGCTCCACCATGTGGAGCCGACGGCAGGGCCGCCTCAGGCCCACGGTCTGCGGGGTGGAGGAGCTACGGCGCCGCCGGCGGGAGCGGGAGGCAGGTGTGGGCGGCCGAGGGAGCGCGGGGGTATATGGCGGTCGGGGATAAGTTGAGACCCCAGGCTCGGAGCCGCGGGTTCTGGGTTGTGGTCGTCCTTCCCACGCTCAGCCGGCTCCTCTGCCCCCAGCACTGCGGAAGGCGCGGAGGGAGCAGCA
Source organism: Homo sapiens (assembly GCF_000001405.40). Classification (NCBI taxonomy): domain Eukaryota; kingdom Metazoa; phylum Chordata; class Mammalia; order Primates; family Hominidae; genus Homo; species Homo sapiens. The sequence continues at coordinate 140,639,767 of NC_000005.10, forward strand.
GCTGGTCAGCAAGAGGCTGCTGAGAAACGACGCCCCAGAGGAAGCTGGAGAGGGATGTGTGGCTGCGATCCTCGGGGAAACCGAGGTGAGGGGGCAAGGTAGGGTGCGCTGGAGTCCACGCCCGCTGGCGCCAGACTCCCGGGAGTACTCGAGGTCTGCCCCAAACCTGAACGCAATCCACTCTACACTTCCACGCATCCAGTGGGTCAAGCCAGAAACAGGGGAATCATCCTGCACAACTCTTTGACCCACAACCCCATATCGATCCATCATCAAGTCCTAGTTGTTTACCTCCTGAAGAGCTTTGGAGTCTTTACATGCCTCACCATCGAAGCTGCCACCACCACCTCCTCTCTGGATACTACTGCAGTCTCCTAAAAGGTCACCCTGCATCTATGCTTGTCACCGTCACTACGTCCTTTAAAAACACGTGGAGACCAAAATCTTTCCTGTGCCTTGCAAAGCATAGCATGGTCTAGCCTCTTCCTAACTCAAATTTTATCAGTTTTCTCATCCTACCCACCGTCCTCTTTTTAGTTCCTGCAACGATATATCGGATTTGTGTCTCAAGCCCTTGGCATTCGCTACGTCTAACGTTCGTTTCTTTTGGTATTCTGTCTTGAGAGCCTATTTTTTTTCTTTTCTTTTCTTTTTTTTTTTTTGAGACTCTCGCTCTGTCGCCAGGCTGGAGTGCAGTGGCATGATCTCGGCTCACTGCAACATCCGCCTCCCGGGTTCAAGCGATTCTCCTGCCTCAGCCTCCCGAGTAGCAGGGATTACAGGCGCGCGCCACCACTAATTTTTGTATTTTAAGTAGAGGCGGGGTTTCATCATGTTTGTCAGGCTGGTCTGGAACACCTGGCCTCATGATCCACCCGCCTTGGCCTCCCAAAGTGCTGGGATTACAGGCGTGAGCCACTGTGCCCGGCCACCTACTTGTTTCTTGTAGAATATTAATCATTATCTAATGGTTTGTCTATTGTTATTTCTCCAACTAGACTTTAATTGCAGGAAAACCTAGATCCTGTGTTGTCATTGAAAACCCGGTTGCCTGCACATTATCTGGCATATAGTTAAGTACTCAGTGTTTATTGAATGAGTGAATGAAAGGATTTATTCAGTAAGCATTGAGTATCCCCTGTATTTGTATTATGTTTACGTACATAGTTTACCGTACATACCATGTTGACATATATATTATCAACTTATTCCTAGGTCATACTATTCCATTGTATGCTTACTTTATGCCAGGACACTGTGCTGGTCACTGAGGTACACAAAGATGAAAGGATAGAGTCCTTTTCTTTGAGGTGCTCACAGCCCGGTGAAGAAGACAGATGTCACAAGGGAAGGAAACATGAGGAACAAGAGAAACTCCTAAGTCTCTCAAAAAGAGCTAACTTCCCAGAGGAAATGAGGAGCAGAAACCTGAAGAGAGTGGGAAGCTGGAGAGGGTATCCAGGCAGAAGAAATAGCATGTGCAAAAGCTCGGAAATGTAAAAAAAAGAAAAAGAAAAAGCTCATGTTAGGCTGGTTGTTGTTAGAGTGTAGGTTGCATGGGGAGAATGGCTAGAGGAGTAGGTTTTGCCAGGCTGAGAGGTTTAAATATCCTTGAAAGAACCCTGTATGAAGGCAGGATAGATATTGTTATTCTCATTTTCAGGTGAGGAAACTTAGGTTCAGGTCCCATATGGAGTAAGTGGCAGGTATGGTATTAGAACTCAGTTCTGATTCTCTGTCCACTCCACTGCAAGGTAGATGCTTATTAGTTGCATTAGTGTGAATGACAAGTTCTGAAGGTGTGATATTGGAAGGCTCACAGGTGAAGTGGGCAGAGAGAGACTTAGGACTTGCTTTCTGTGAACCGTGTGTTCTCCTTTCCCTGCCCTGAACTCCAGGTGCAGCAGTTCCTGCGGCAAGCCCAGCGGGGGACAGAGGAAAAGGAGAGAGAGGGGGCTCTGGTCAGCCTTCGTCGAGGCTTGCAGCACCCTGAAACACAGCAAACCTTCATCCGGTCAGTGTGGATGGTGTGGTGGAGGGAGGAGTTGGGGCTCTGAGGGATGGACCACAAGCTAAGCAGGGCTCTGGTACTCACTCACATAGGCTGGAGGGCAGCATGCGGACCCTGGTCGGGCTCCTGACCAGCAACCAGGCCCTGCTGCAGCTTGAGGCGGCTCGGTGCCTGCATGAGCTCTCTCACTCCGAGCAGTCCACTGTTGCTGAGGCCTGCCTGCCAGCCACTTCTTACCTCCTCACCTACCTCTCCAGTCACAGCTCAGACTTCATAGTAAGCCCTGTCCCTTCCTATCTTGTTCTTGGTTTAGATTTTAAAATTGTGCTTTTGGGACCAGTTTGAGCTGGCAGGTAGGAGGAAGAAAACATGTTTGCCCTTATGCCTACAGCCATGGCTACACCCATCATCTCCCCACCCTCTTGTGAGCCGCAAGGATAGCTGCTCCAGCGTCCCCATCACCTCCCCTCCCCATCTCCCCACACGCAGCCTGGCATGAAACAGGCCAAGCCCAGTGCTTTTGTTGCCTGTTCTCAGGAGCTGTGTCTGTATACACTGGGTAACCTGATCGTGGAGAGTGAGGCTGTGAGAAGGCAGCTCCTGCCACAGGGCATTGTTCCAGCCTTGGCTGCCTGCATCCAGGTGACTCCTTTCTTCCTCCCTGGGCAACCCTTCCTTTGCTCCTCCCCACATGCTCCATCTACTTTGGTTAGGTAGCTCCAGCCTCTGCCCTGTGCCAAGGGGCTGAAAGTCTCTGAAGACCTGATGACCCAGCTTCCAGTCAGATCCTTACCCTGTCTACTTCCAGTCCCCCCATGTGGCTGTGCTGGAAGCTCTCGGATATGCCTTGTCCCAGCTTCTACAGGCTGAGGAAGCTCCAGAGAAGATCATTCCGTGAGTAAAATTGTCTTTAGATGTGCAGCCAGAGGTGACCCACTCAGTAGTATAGCTCCCGGATGCCTGAATGATTTCCAAAGCTGTTGCACATTTTAAATTCATGTGTCTGGCTAGGAAGGGCTTTGGGTTTGGACACTTTCCCATCTGGGCAGGGCTTTGGGTTTGGACACTCTCCCACCTGCTATCAGGGTTTGGTAAGAACCACTGGCATCTTCGTGGTTCCTACTTACAGCCCTGCTTCTGCCAGCAGCTCCATCTTGGCCTCCACTCTCCCTCAGCACATGCTACAAATGTTGCAACCTGGCCCAAAGCTCAACCCTGGGGTCGCTGTGGAGTTTGCCTGGTGCCTTCATTACATCATCTGCAGGTAACAGGGCAATTGGGAAAGTACCACAGATCTTCCCTGGGGCTCCCTTCCATGACATTCAACTCTTTGAACTTGTGTCTGGAATTGCTATAGTGAGTTTTCCTCCCTCCACTGTCTTCTCTTTTTGGAGCCCAGGAGACCCACAGACCTTAGCTGTTTCTCTTTTTTTTTGAGACAGTCTCACTCTGTCACCCAGGCTGGATGGAGTACAGTGGTGCGATCTCAGCTCACTGCAACCTCTGCCTCCCGGGTTCAAGCGATTCTCCTGCCTCAGCCTCCTGAGTAGCTGAGACTACAGATGCGTGCCACTATGCCCGGCTAATTTTTGTATTTCTAATAGAGACGGAGTTTCGCCATGTTGGCCAGGCTGGTCTCAAACTCCTGACCTCAGGTGATCCACCCACCTCAGCCTCCCAAAGTGCTGGGATTACAGGCATAAGCCACCACGCCTAGGCAACTGCTTCTCTTCTTAAAGGTGGAATTGACTATATACCTAGGGACTGCTTGCTTCCTGTTGCCCAGCCAGGTCAGCAATCCTCTGCTCATTGGCCATGGGGCTCTGTCTACTCTGGGGTTGCTGCTGTTGGACTTGGCTGGGGCTGTCCAGAAAACCGAGGATGCAGGACTGGAGCTGGTAGGTGAAGATGTCAGGTGAAATTCTGGGAGATGTTTCTTGATACTCTGGAATGCAGGTAACCTCTTCCTTCTTACACCTGACCCCCCAATTTGTCTTTGCAGCTGGCATGCCCCGTGCTTCGATGTCTAAGCAACCTGCTAACTGAGGCAGCAGTGGAGACTGTGGGAGGGCAAATGCAGCTCAGAGATGAGCGTGTTGTGGCAGCCTTATTTATCCTTCTGCAGTTCTTTTTCCAGAAACAGCCCAGTCTGCTCCCTGAGGGCCTTTGGCTCCTCAACAACCTCACTGGTACGCACCATAATCTGCCCAGGCCTGGACATTTGGATAATGGGGATATTTCCTCATGGCCTAGGCTGAGGTGGGTAGTATTGACAGGGGTGGTGGGGGAAAGCAGTTTTTCACCCTGGTACTTCTCTTCCAGCAAACAGTCCTAGTTTCTGTACCTCCTTGCTCTCCCTGGATCTGATTGAGCCTCTCTTACAGCTGTTGCCAGTATCTAACGTGGTGAGCGTAATGGTATGTATTGGGGTTACTTGAATCCAAGATCTGGTAGTCGGATTGTATGGGACAGCAGTCCTGAGCCCTCAGATGTACCCTTAGTTGAGAGCCAGCAGGTGGTGGTGTGTGGCCTCAGGGCCCAACCAATCTAGGTGTGTGTCCCTTAAACTGGATTATTTATCCTTGGACAAATCAACTAACCACCTTAAGCTTCAGTCTCCTCACTTATAACTGAGGATAATCTTGCATCATAGGGTAGTTGTAGGAGTATGAGAACATGTATGTAGAAGAGCTTGGCATGGTGCCTGGGCATGTGGTCACCATGTCATATATTTTAGCTATTGTTATGATCTTTGTGTTTCATTCTTTGTAGACTATATATGTGTCTATCTGCAGGTGCTCACAGTTCTGTGCAATGTTGCAGAAAAGGGTCCTGCTTACTGCCAGCGGCTGTGGCCAGGGCCCCTGCTTCCCGCCTTGCTGCACACACTAGCCTTTTCTGACACTGAAGTAGTAGGCCAGAGTTTGGAGCTGCTGCATCTGCTGTTCCTGTATCAGCCAGAGGTATAGGTTTCTGGCCCACATCCTCAGTCACCCCTGTTCTGAAGCCACACAGTGGCTCCCTTCCCATCCAGTCCTAACTATAGTTGTTTCTCTGGGCCTGGCTAACCTATATAGGTTCCATGTCAGAAACTTCATCCTCTTGTTGGGGAATGCACCCTCTGGAGTAGGCTGACCCATGAGGCTGTGGGAATTGAGTCTTAGGACACAGAGACCAGGTGTGTTGAATTTTCTTCCCTGCCCCTAGGCTGTTCAGGTCTTCCTGCAGCAGTCAGGGCTGCAAGCCCTGGAAAGGCATCAGGAAGAGGCCCAGCTCCAGGATCGTGTGTATGCTCTCCAGCAGACAGCTCTTCAAGGGTGATCTTGTTTCTCAATGTCACTCATTCCCCTCTCTCTTAACATCAAGCTTGTTTGTCCAGTAGAGCCTTTGGAGATTTAGGACCATAATGAGGTCTCATGTTCTCTGCTCCCACACCTAAGCCAAGACCTTTGGGTCCCAGCTCCTCCCCTTCCACTCAGCACTATCCAGGCAGGAGGACCAAAAGGGACTCAGTGTGGTCTACTTACTCTGGGGCCCTAGAATCCCTGCCCCCCCGCCACCCTTCATGTTTGCTTCAGCAGCTGGTAGCTTTTGATGAGACAGAATAAAGTTTTATTTTTATATTAAGCTACTTTGCCTCAGTGGTTGCACAGTAAGGGGTAGAGGGTAGATGAGGACAAGAACACCCTGAGAAAGTATTTTACAGCACAAGCTTTATGAGGAATAGGAGAACACATTTTTTTCACATTATACTAAGTCCAGCAGAGCCCAGGCTCTGGGGCTGTTGCTCTTAATCCTCAGTGGAGGCTTCAGGCTTTACCACTTAGAACGTTCTCCAGGGCTCTGGTTACCTGATCAGCACTGAAGTTGTTCAAAGGGACATTCGTCTCTTGGCCAAATGCTGAAGAGAGAGAGGGAGGTGTCTTTAACTATTCTGCACCCTGGAGGCTACCAAAGTAAAATAAAAGATCTTTGTCTTTATCTTAGTCTTGTTAAGACAGGAAGAGTATTAAAGAGATATGATCAAAATACATTTGGTATGCCTAGAATTAATACAATAGGTCTCAAACACATCTAGGAAGCCCAAGTCCAAATAGAATTTTGGCTGATTCTGGATGGCCGCAATGGGTTGTTTCAGGGAAGCTTTCGGGGGCACTGTAGGCATTTATTATTAACTACGGTGAGCAATGTATTGCATGGGTCCAGCCTCAGCTGGGAGCCCATTCTCTCTCTTTTTTTTTTTTTTTTTTTGAGACGGAGTCTCGCTCTGTCACCCAGGCTGGAGTGTGGTGGCACGATCTCCACTCACTGCAACCTCCACCTCCTGGGTTCAAGCAATTCTCCTGCCTCAGCCTCCTGAGTAGCTGGGATTACAGGTGCCCGCCACCACACCCGGCTAATTTTTGTATGTTTAGTAGAGACGGGGTTTTACCATGTTGGCCAGGCTGGTCTTGAACTCCTGACCTCAGGTGATCCACCTGCTTCAGCCTCCCAAAGTGCTGGGATTACAGGCGTGAACCACCGCACCCAGCTGGGTACCCATTCTCTAGGCTCCCATAGGCTATCTAACATAATACCCAGCACAATACACTAAAGTTACTCGTGTCTATCTCCTCCTGTAGTCTACTGGCTTTTGGAAGGAGAAGCTTTTTTCCTTCTCCAATTATTAGTGCATGTCTAATGTCTACTGTGTCTCACAGATATCTACTCTGAGAACCAATCTGCTTAAGGTGGTCACTCTCCTCCACCTCCTCCCGTCATTCCCAGGGCACCATATAGTTAAAAGCTGTGATTAAAATCCTGTTATTCAGTATGTATAAACATTTATTGCATACCTACAATGTGTTAGGCAACATGATAGGAAAATTTCATTTTGCAATACATTGCCATGCCAGTCTTAGAGGGGTAAGTGCATTCTAGGAAGGGGAATAAATGTAAAGGCTCAATCCTGTTAAACTCTAGCTGCATCTAAAGTTGCAGCTAGAGTTTAACAATAGTGCAAAACAAAGTTTTGATTCCGTTTTCTAATCTCTACAGTGAGAAAAGAAGAACACGCTTCCTCCTAACTAATGAAGATTAAATGAGTTAGGCAGGGAAGCACTCAGCACAGGGCCCAGCTCTATGTGCAAAATTACTGAGATTCTCACACACTACCTGGACTGACACTGGCTACACGTTATTTGGAGAAACTATATTGACTAACTTCTCTCCTGTCTGAAGCCCATTCTTAACTACAAAAACGTCAGCTCCTGGTCCCTACGCAGGATTCGGTCAGCCTGCATACTTATGTTGCCCGGAATACAACGCATCATATAACCCTGCGAATATAAATTTCTTCATGGAAACAAGATCAACAGCAAGGCTAAAGTCCGAGTTCTAGTTTCTCCACGGGTTTCTGCACGACCTTGGGCGGTCCCTTCTCTTCTCAAACCCTTGTTCCCCTACCGGAGCCCCAGACCCCTGGCGTCCCGCACTCACCGTAGCGGGCCCAGAGCTTGGGCTGCACATCGGAGCATTCGCGGATTAGGATGGGTAGGTCGGGATTCGCCTTCTTCAGCTCCACGTAGCGTTTCTCAATGAAGTCCCTGCGGGGCCGGAGAGAGCGCCGCGCGTGCTGTGGGCGGGGGCTTCCCTCAACTTCAGGGAGGTCGAGGTCGTGACCCTGGCGTCCCGAAGCCCGCCCGCCTCACCACGCCGCGCCTCACCTGACGCCCTGGCTGCCGGGCGAGCGCTGACATAAGTGGATGCGAATCTCACGCAGGCCCAGCTTTGCCCCGACTCCTCGACTTGCTGCGGCCGCCGCCATCCTTGTTAATATCGAAGTCGCCAATTCCAGGTCTTCAGGCCAAGTGCTCCGGTCTGACCAACCGCGGACCCTAAAGCCTAGCCCATAGGCTGCATGAGGCAGGGGCGGGGTAAAGCTTGGCCAATGATATAAAAGTATTGTAGGACCGCTGCGAGGTCAATTTCTTTGCGCTCGGGGTTGGTCGGAGGGAAAAACAGGAAGCGGAAAGGCTGCGAACGCAAAGCAGTGTGGGTTGATTCTGAGGTGCACTGTGGGAAAGAGCTTGTCGCTGCGGTGTTGCTGTTGGAGACTCGATTGTTGGTGACAGCGAAAGAACGATAACAAAATGCCGGAGCGAGATAGTAAGGCTCAGGCCATCCGTTATTTCTTCCCCATGGCACTTGGGGCACTTGGCGCATTATTGTAGCTTCTGAGCTTAAGCCGGGTGTGTGTGTGTGTGTGTGTGTGTGTGTGTGTGTGTGTATGTATGTATGTGTGACGCTTGAGCCCGGAGAAGCCACAGGGTCCTAAGTGAGGCCGACAGCTCCAAACTCCGTCCCCAGTCCTCACTCCTACTCCAAGTGATGATGGGCGGCTTTTGTGCGTGGATCGCTTTCCCCCAGTCCTGTCCCCATACTTAATCCTGGGTTGCGCGTATTTATCTTTTACGTAGTATTTTAGACGTGATCTTCCGGAAGTCTTCTCTGATCCTCCAGCGCAGGATTAGGGTCCTCTGCTTTGTGCTCCCACAGCTTCTTGTAGTTTCCTATTTCAGCACTTATTACATTGTGTTGACACTGTCGCTGTTCTAACTTTTGTTCTGTATTGTTCACTACTATATCTCAAATTTTTGCATAGGATCTGACACGTAAGAGACTGATTAAATTAACGTCAATTTTTTTTGTCAGGTGAGCCGTTCTCCAACCCTTTGGCCCCCGATGGCCACGATGTGGATGATCCTCACTCCTTCCACCAGTGAGTATTTTGTGCTAGGACCATGGAAATGAGTTGGGCAATGAATAGAAAAGTGGTGGTGATGGTGAAAGAATTCTGAATGTCTTGTCATCAAGGATGGTAAAAAATTATACCCGCTGGCCCTTTATCTCTGTGAGCCTTAACTGGATCAGGCCAAGTGCATAAGGGTATTAGAAGGGAAATTCCTGCAGGAAAGGTGTTAAGTTTTTTTTTTTTTTTATACGTGTTGTGTAATTACACATTATATAGGAATTACTTCTTCCAATAGCAAATTAAAACATAGGAAATAAGGGTAAAATCATCTTTTTATTTTTTTTGAGACTGAGTTTCGCTCTTGTTGCTCAGGCTGGAATGCAGTGGTGCGATCTCGGCTCACCACAACCTCCGCCTCCCGGGTTCAAGCAATTCTCCTGCCTCAGCCTTCCGAGTAGCTGGGATTACAGGCATGTTCCACTACGCCCGGCTAATTTTGTATTTTTAGTAGAGATGGGGTTTCTCCATGTTGATCAGGCTGGTCTTGAAATCCCGACTTCAGGTGATCCACCCGCCTCTGCCTCCCAAAGTGGTGGGAGTACAGGCGTGAGCCACCGTGCCTGGCCCCCGATAAAATCATCTTTGATAACATCCCCAATTCCAGTCCATTTCTTTTTTTTTTTCTTTTCTTTTCTTTTCTTTCTTTTTTTTTTTTTTTGAGACGGAGTCTCACTGTTACCCAGGCTGGAGTGCAGTGATGCAATCTTGGCTCACTGCAACCTCTGCCTCCTGAGTTCAAGCGGTTCTCCTGCCTCAGCCTCCCAAGTAGCTGGGACTACAGGCATGTGCCACCATGCACGACTGATTTTTTTTTTTGTATTTTTAGTAGAGACAGGGTTTCACTGTGTTCGTCAGGCTGGTCTTGAACTCCTGGCCTGAAGTGATCCACCCGCCTCAGCCTCCTAAAGTGCTGGCATTACAGGCGTGAGCCACCGTGCCCAGCCTCAGTCCTTTTCTTAGAAGTAACCACAGTTACCTTTTTTGGCATATCTTTTCCTCCCGTTGCCCAGGCTGGAGTTCAATGGCATTATTTCTGCTCACAGCAACCTTTGCCTCCTGGGCTCAAGCAATTCTTCTGCCTCAGTTTCCCCAGTAGCTGGGATTACAGGCATGCCCCACCATGCTTGGCTAATTTTTGTATTAGTAGAGACAGGGTTTCGCTATGTTGGCCAGGCTGGTCTTGAACTCCTGACCTCAAATGATCTGCCCGTCTCGGCGGCCCAAAGTGCTGGGATTACAGGCGTGAGCCACTGCGCCTGGCCCTCCTACTCTTTTTTAAATGCATTTATACACATACATGCATATCTGAGGAAAACACAACATTGCTTTGTGATTTAAAATATTTGAGTTAAATGATATTATGCTGTATATATCATTTTTGCAACTTGCTTCTTTTTAAACCCTGCTCAGTGTTTCTGAGATTATCTTTCAGAGCAGTGACAAGCATTCCCTCCTTGGCTAAACTTTAGTCAGGTTCCCCAAAGAGTCCCATTTTTCAGCAGGACTCATCCGTGGCCTGCTGAGCACAGTTTTAACAAAGAAATCAACCACCGCTCCACCCCCATACCTAACCAAGTTGCTTTTAGTAATTTTCTATAAATTCTCACTTGTCCCTGTTGTATTCGGAATTAAGTTCAGTCTCTCTACTCTATTACAATGGTCTTGACTCTTGTTACAGTAGTCTTCAATAAAGTCTTCCTTGGGGAGAAGAGGAACTTGATTAGATATCAAGTTGGATTGGATATCAAGAGTGGGAAAACTTTCTGTGAACTGACTTAGGATTCCTTTTTAAAACTGAGGTCAGCAGGCCAAGGAAGAGCCCTAGTCAGAAGAGAGCTTTAAAGGAGTCTGACTTTAATTTGATCAAGAGAGGAGTCTTTGTTAGTGTACCAATTAAAATAATCTCTTGTACCATTAGTGCTGTCTTTCCCTCTTTGGGAAACACCATCATAGTTTAGTCAGTCTCCAGCTAATAAACGCTTAGTCTGTTTCAGACTGATTCTTTTCTTTTTTTTATTTTTTTGAGACAGAGTCTTGCTCTTTTTGCCCAGGCTGGAGTGTAATACCTAGATCTCGGCTCACTGCAAACTCCGCCTCCCAGGTTCAAGCGATTTTCCTGCCTCAGCCTCCTGAGTAGCTAGGATTACAGGCGCCCACCACAACGCCCAGCTAATTTTTTTGTATTTTTAGTAGAGATGGGATATCACCATGTTGGCCATGCTGGTCTTGAACTCCTGACCTCGGGTGATCCGCCTGCGTCAGCCTCCCAAAGTGCGGCGATTATAGGTGTGAGCCACTGCACCCGGCCAGACTGATTATTTTCAAGGCTATAACTGAATTAAATTTACAGGCCTTCTTATATACATATGTCAGTAATGGACCAGGCTAAATATAAATAAATGGAGTTGCTGGCTCATAGGATATATATACTTAAATTTTAACAAATACTGCAAAATTGCCCTTCAAATTGGTTATACTGGTTTACATTCTCATCAGCATTATATGAGAGAGTCCCCTTCCCAAATTCTCACTCACACTTGATTTATCAAACTTTCTGGTAGTTAACACTCTGATGCATTAAAAGTGGCATGGCATATCTGGTCGGGCGTGGTGGCTTACACCTATAATCCCAGCACTTTGGGAGGCTGAGGTGGGCAGATCACCTGAGGTCAGAAGTTTGGGACCAGCCTGGCCAACACCTCTAATAAAAATACAAAAATTAGCTGGGTGTGTTGGCGGGCACCTGTATTCCCAGCTACTTGTGAGGCTGAGGCAGGAGAATTACTTGAACCCAGGAGGCAGAGGTTGCAGTGGGCTGAGATCATGCCACTGCACTCCAGCCGGGGCAACAGAGGGAGACTCTGTCTTAAAAAAAAAAAAAAAAAGCTGGGTGCGGTGGCTCATCCCTATAATCCCAGCACTTTGGGAGGCCGAGGTGGGTGGATCACAAGGTCAGGAGTTCAAGACCAGCCTGGCCAATATGGGTGACAGTGAGACTCCGTCTCAAAAAAAAAAAAACAGTGTCATATCTTTGTTTTAATTTGTATTTCCCTGATTTCTGTTAATTTAATCATGATTTTTACTTGTTCCTTTTTCATTTCTTATTGAGTCCTAATATTTAAAATCTTTGCCTTTTCTTCTAGATCAAAACTCACCAATGAAGACTTCAGGAAACTTCTCATGACCCCCAGGGCTGCACCTACCTCTGCACCACCTTCTAAGTCACGTCACCATGAGTAAGTCTTTGGGTGATCCAACCTGTCTCCCAACTTGTTTCTTGCTCCTTCCTATTTCTTTCTACTAAGTAGAATGACTTTTAATAGTCCCTCAGGTATTTATGATACTCTCTAAAGTTTGAGAACTGCCCACCTACAAATATTGGTGTGGATTTCTGCTTGATTGAAAGTGTTACTTTGATCAGTATTCTAGGTCTTTCTAAAAATCCTCAAGGAGACTTCTTGGGGTTTCTGGGGCTGTGGCAATATTTTGCTATCAGTGAATTTCTCGTCTCTTCTAGGATGCCAAGGGAGTACAATGAGGATGAAGACCCAGCTGCACGAAGGAGGAAAAAGAAAAGGTGAAGGAAGGGTGAAGGGTTTTAGATTTTAAGGTGGATAGTGTTTAGGGGAAAGAAGTAGGGGCTAATTATGAAGCTAGAAACTAAGATTTTGTCTTGAGGCTCTCTACTTTCTTAATGAAACAGAGTGATACTTAGAGTGGCAGTAGAGGGCTTTGGAATAGGCCTATCTATATTTTAATCTCATCTTCGCTAGTTTCTTGGTGGATAACCTAGACATTTGCTTAGCCTCTCTAATCCACAGATAGAATGGAGATACAGTAGCAATAATAACTTTTATCAGGATGTCATGAGGATCAGCTGTGAAAGTACATGTAGGCATTTAGCACCAATGCCTGGCATATGGTAACCACCCAATAAATCTTGACGGCCATCATCATTATTATATCATCATCGTTATTTATATGATACGAAAGTTTCAGGACCTGGTACTTGGCTTTTCCTTTATTCTGAGAGTGGACCAGCAAATAATACGTTCTTTTCAGCTGAAATTTAGAAGGTGGTAAAAATTCAGAAGATTTTCTGATTTTTGTGTGGAAAAGTCTTATATCTATAGAGAATTGGTAGAGTTGGGTGGTATTAAAAAGTTCTGAAGTGACAGATGGAGTGTCCCAAGTTGGCACTGGAAAAGTATATCTATAAGCTGGAAGAAGTTGTAGTTCTGATTTTGAGTAACTACGAAGAGGTGGCCAGCAGTTCTATCAGGACAGACATGAGCTTTTCCCCATAGAGAGTAGGTTGGAGATGTAGGGAAGCAAGCAGGAACAGTTCTGTTGACCTTGAGGTAGCAGCTGATGAGCCTTATACATTTGCCTTTCTCTGGTCACAGTTATTATGCCAAGCTACGCCAACAAGAAATTGAGAGAGAGAGAGAGCTAGCAGAGAAGTACCGGGATCGTGCCAAGGAACGGAGAGATGGAGTGAACAAAGATTATGAAGAAACCGAGCTTATCAGCACCACAGCTAACTATAGGGCTGTTGGCCCCACTGCTGAGGCGTGAGTACTGAGGGAACAGGGCATGGTTCCCTCAGCATCCGAGAGTCATGCAAATACAATGTGAACTCTTCCTCTTACTTTCCTGCCCTGGAGCCTACAATAAGCGATTTCAGAGGCATTTGCCACCCACAAAGGGCTGTTCTTTTTTTTTTTTTTTTTTGAGATGGAGTCTCGCTCTGTCACCCAGGCTGGACTGCAGTGGCACGATCTTGGCTCATGGCAAGCTCCGCCTCCCAGGTTCATGCCATTCTCCTGCCTCAGCCTCCCGAGTAGCTGGGACTACAGGCGCCCGCCACCACGCCCGGCTAATTTTTTGTATTTTTAGTAGAGACAGGGTTTCACCGTGTTAGCCAGGCTGGTCTCGATCTGACCTCATGATCCACCCGCCTCGGCCTGCTGAAGTGCTGGGATTACAGGCGTGAGCCACCGCACCTGGCCCCCCAACCCCCTTTCCCCCACCCCCTTTTTTTTTTTTTGGAGACAGAGTCTTGCTCTTGTTGCCCAGGCTGGAGTGCAGTAGCGCGATCTCAGCTCACTGCAGCCTCCGCCTCCCATGTTCAGGCGATTCTCTTGCCTCAGCCTCCCGAGTAGCTGGGACTACAGGCGCCCACCACCATGCCCAGCTAATTTTTGTATTTTTAGTAGAGATGGGGTTTCACCATATCCACCAGGCTGGTCTCAAACTCCTGACCTTGTGATCTGTCCGCCTTGACCTCCCAGAGTACTGGGATTACAGGCGTGATCCACCACGCCTGGACAGTACTGTTCTTATGTGGCCTCTTTCATTATACAGGGACAAATCAGCTGCAGAGAAGAGAAGACAGTTGATCCAGGAGTCCAAATTCTTGGGTGGTGACATGGAACACACCCATTTGGTGAAAGGCTTGGATTTTGCTCTGCTTCAAAAGGTGAGTCCTGGTGGTCAGGTGGGGAGTAATACTGTCGTGCTGAATGCTCTTGTATGGGTCTGGCAAGATGAGGAGGGAGATTCCTGAGAGTTCAGACTGAGTAGAAGAAGGGCTAAAGATGGCCCCTCTGAAAAGCTGATTGCTACTCATCCTTCAAGTATCAGGCCAAATTTTATTTCCTTGGAGAAACCTTCCCTGATCACCCAGGTGTGGTTAAGCACTTCCCTTCACCTCCTGCTTCCTGTACCTTTGCATAGCCCTTCTGTTTCATTTACCACAGCAGTTATTGTACTTTGTTGAAATTGTTTAATTTGTCTGTCTCATCTGCTATAAGCTCCATTAGAGTAAGAACAATATCTGTCATGTTTAATATTATATTCTTAGTTCCTGGTACAGTGTGGTGTAGTGGATGTTCAATAAATATATAAAATGAGTGTCCTAACCCTGCTTGCTTTCCTGTTAGGTACGAGCTGAGATTGCCAGCAAAGAGAAAGAGGAAGAGGAACTGATGGAAAAGCCCCAGAAAGAAACCAAGTAAGTAAATATTATGGAAAGGTTGAGAATTTAGAAAGGTGGGACCTAAAGTTAGAGCACATTTAGCAAAAATAAAACTTTTTTGTCTTTTCAGGAAAGATGAGGATCCTGAAAATAAAATTGAATTTAAAACACGTCTGGGTGAGTACAGTTTCTATACTAGTGACTATGCATTCTGGATGAATTGTACGGAATTTAATGCTCTGGGAAGGATATGCTTCTCCTTTCCCCCAACCTCCTTTCTTCTTTCTTTCTTTTTGAGACAGTGTCTCACTTAATCGCCCAGGCTGGAGTGCAGTGGTGTGATCATGGCTCAGTGCAGCCTTGACCTCCTGGACTCAGCCTCTTGTGTAGCTGGCACCACAGGCATGTGCCACCATACCTAGCTAATTTTTTTTTTTATTTTTTGCAGAGATGGGGTTCTCTGTGTATTGCCCAGGCCGGTCTCAAACTCCTGGGCTCAAGTGATCCTCCTGCCTTGACCTCCCAAAGAGCTGGGATTCTTTCTTGCCCCCAAAACAACTAACTCCCATAAAATACTCTAATAAGACTCAGACATAGATTTAATTATTTCATATGTCATTTATGTCTCCTCAGGTAGATTGAAAGATTTTTCAGTTTGGGGCTTATGAGTTAAAAGAAGTAACATGGTTAGTGATTAAAAGTTCAAAACTTGGAGTCAGAGAGACCTGAGTTTAAACCTTGATGATGAAACAGCACTAAGTGTATGATTTTAGGCAACTGACTTTGCTGTTTGTTCATCTGTAAAAATTGGGTTACTATTTACCACATGACTTTATTGTAGGGATGAAGAAAAATGAAATCTATAACATGCCTATCATATTGAGCAGGTAGTAGAGCTGTTTTTTCCATCATCATCAATATTACCTTAAACTTCATCCTTCTTCCTCACAGGACTTAATACAATACAGGTGCATAGTGCCCTTGAAGAGGCAATGTAGAAGAGTGGACAGGAGCCCAGGCTTTGGAGTTACATGGCCTGGTTCCATTCTTTGCTCCATTACTTAGTAGATACATGACTTTAGGTAAATTACTTAAATCTCAGCCATAGTATTCTTATCAGTAAAAAGGATAATAATATCCACTTCATAGGGCTGTTGCAAAGATTAAATGACGCAAAGCTTGCATAGCACTTGGCATGGTGGCTAGCACAGAGTAAGCACATAAGTGACAGCTGTTCTTGTAGATCCTGGCTACTTGCTGCTCTTCTCCTTATTGTAGGCCGCAATGTTTACCGAATGCTTTTTAAGAGCAAAGCATATGAGCGGAATGAGTTGTTCCTGCCGGGCCGCATGGCCTATGTGGTAGACCTGGATGATGAGTATGCTGACACAGATATCCCCACCACTCTTATCCGCAGCAAGGCTGATTGCCCCACCATGGAGGTGAGTGAATGGAATCCTGAGAGCCTATCATGTGAGCCTCAAGCCTGGGAATCAGCCTGGCCTCTGCCCCGTGTCCCTTGTCCACCATGTCACCAAGTGCTGTTCACTTTTACCTCCTAAATCTCAACTGAATCCATTCACTTTTCCACTTTTTCACCAATAACATTCCAGTCTAAGCTATAATCATTTGCTGGAACTATTAACTTACTATTTTTTTAGAGACCAAGTCTCACTCTGTCACCCAGGATGGAGTGCAGTGGTGCTATCTTGGCTCACTGCAAACTCCGCCTCCCAGGTTCAAACGATTCTCCTGCCGCAGCCTTCCAAGTAGCTGGGACTACAGGCATTCATCACCACACCTGGTTAATTTTTTTATTTTTAGTAGAGATTGGGTTTTACCACGTTGGCTAGGCTATTCCTGACCTCAAGTGATCCATCCGCCTTGGCCTCCCAAAGTACTGGGATTACAGGCATGAGCCACTGCGCCAGTCCTCTGGAGCTATTAAAAAGGCTTCTAATTGGTTTCCGCACTTCCACTCTGGTTTCCGCACTTCCACTCTGATTTGTTATTATATCTTGTTATTGAGGTGTTATTCACATGCCATATAATTCATCCTTTAAAGAGAATTTTTTTAAAAATTTTTGTGGATATATAGTAGGTATATATATTTATGAGGTACATGAGATGTTTTGATACAGGCATATAATGCATAATAATCACATCATGGAAAATGGGGTATCCATCCCGTTAAACATTTATCTTTTGTGTTACAAACAATCCATTTATACTCTTTTAGTTGTTTTAGAATGTATAAATTATTACTGCCTATAGTCACCCTGTTGTGCTATCATGTAGTAGGCCTTATTCATTCTTTCTATTTTTTTGGTACCTATTAACCACCCCTACCTCCCCTACCCTTCTAAAATATACAGTTTGGCTGGGTGCAGTGGCTCACACCTGTAATCCCAGCACTTTGGGAGGCTGAGGTGTGAGGATCACTTGAGGTTAGGAGTTCAATACCAGGTGGGCCAACATTGTAAAACCTGATCTCTACTAAAAATTAGCCAGGCGTGGCGGCATGTGCCCGTAATCCCAGTTACTCGGAAGGCTGAGGCATGAGAATTGCTTGAACCCAGAAGGTGGAGGTTGCAGTGAGCCAAGATCGTGCCACTGCATTCTAGCCTGGGCGACAGAATGAGACTCTGTCTCCAAATAAATAAATAAAATGTAAATTTTTGTCTCACTACAGTTTAGAAGCTTTTAGTAGTATCTCATTCTTAGGATAAAGAGCAAAATCTTTACCATGACTTTGAGCCTCTGCAACATCTGGCCTTTCTAGAATGTTCTAGACTCCTGACTTTCTTGAATGGTCTTGATTCATTTTGATGCAGGGCTTTTGTGCAGGCTGTTTTATCTCTGGAATATCCTTTCACAGCACTTCGTTTCCCTCCCTTCACCTACTGTATTGTAATTCAGTCTTTAGTTTGTTAAGTGAATGAATGAATAAATGAAGAGATTTCTGCTGAGTGGTTTAACATTCTTGTTTCTTGGTATTTTCAGGCCCAGACCACACTGACCACAAATGACATTGTCATTAGCAAGCTGACCCAGATCCTTTCATACCTGAGGCAGGGAACCCGTAACAAGAAGCTTAAGAAGAAGGATAAAGGTACCTGGAGGGTTAGAGAGAGAAGCCTTACCCACAGAGGACGTTTGGGGATAAAACCAAGGTCTCCTGGAGCTTTCTGTCTCCAGAATATTGAGAGGCTCCTGGGAAGCAGAGAAAAATGGGAGTACTGGAGCATTGGCAAGGAGACAGTTACAGCCAGATTCTGTCTCCTTAACCTACCTAAGAAGCAGTGGTCAGGTCTGAAGCATGAGGGATGGAGAGTGGGTAGCTTATGTCCTATTTATTTATTTTTTTTAAAAGAGATTTTTTGGTGAAAACCAGAAAACCTAGACAGATTCTAAAAAGGCTCTAATACTTGACCGACATTTTATTTTATTTTATTTATTTATTTTTTGAGACGGAGTCTCGCTCTGTCACCCAGGCTGGAGTACAGTGGTGCGATGTCTGCTCACTGCAACCTCTGCCTCCCGGGGTCAAGCGATTCTTCTGCCTCAGCCTCCCAAGTAGGCACTATAGGCACTATAGGCACGCATCACCACGCCTGGCTAATTTTTGTATTTTCAGTAGAGATGGGGTTTCACTGTATTGGCCTGGCTGGCCTCGAACTCCTGACCTTATGATGTGCCCACCTCGGCCTCCCAAAGTGCTGGGATTACAGGCATGAGCCACTCTTCCTGGCCTTATTTTATTATTTTTATTTATTTATTTATTTTGAGACGAGTCTCGTTTTGTCGCCCAGGCTGGAGTGCAGTGATGCCATCTCGGCTCACTGCAACCTCTGCCTCCTGGGTTTAAGCAATTCTCTTGCCTCAGCCTCCTGAGTAGCTGGGATTACAGGCACCTGCCATCACACCCGGCTAATTTTTTTGTACTTTTAGTAGAGATGGGGTTTCACCATGTTAGCCAGGCTGGTCTCAAACTCCTGACCTCAAGTGATCCGCCCGCCTTGGCCTCCCGAAGTGCTGGGATTACAGGCGTGAGCCACCGCACCCAGCCTTGACCCACGTTTTAAACAGAAGATGTTTAAAAGGGCATTAAGAGCTGGAGAGGATGGTGAAGTTCAGTGGAAATTAACTGAGGAGTATGTTCCTGACTCCTCTCTTTAAATTTCAGGGAAGCTGGAAGAGAAGAAACCTCCTGAGGCTGACATGAAGTATGTATCCTAGCCCCTGGCATCTGATCAGAGGGAGGGGGTCTGTACATTTCTTGTGTCTGGCATTTTGGGGAGGTGCTGACATGAGAATCTGGAGAAATGGTCAGGGGGAGTGAAGGTGTATGTGTGAATTTGGCCAGCTAGTGATCTCCATTTTCCCAGTATTTTTGAAGACATTGGGGATTACGTACCCTCCACAACCAAGACACCTCGGGACAAGGAGCGGGAGAGATATCGGGAACGGGAGCGTGATCGGGAAAGAGACAGAGACCGTGACCGAGAGCGAGAGCGAGAACGAGATCGGGAACGAGAGCGAGAGCGGGACCGAGAGAGAGAAGAGGAAAAGAAGAGACACAGCTACTTTGAGAAGCCAAAAGTAGATGATGAGGTGAGATGTGGGCCCTTAGTACCAGGTGATGGAGTTGCCCCTCTCTGGAAATGTGAGCAAGGTTGGGTAAGGAATTGTTTCAAACTTGGGGGAGGGATGAGTAGGAATCTCTCATGGTAACACTAACTTCACATTTTGTGTTCTTTCCAGCCCATGGACGTTGACAAAGGTGAGTTGTACACACAGCATCTCACAGTTGCTCTAGCAGTCCTGCTTTCCCCTGGTAGGGCTCAGAGCTGGCAACGGTGGGATTGGGGGACCTCCTGGTTCTGGGTTCTTGTAAGAACTGTGTCTTGCTTTATTGAATAGGTGGAGTTCCCTCCACCTTCCTGGGCCATGGCAGGGCATATTTGCTCTTAGATATAATTCCTGTGGCCCTGGGGTTCTGAGGAGGTGAGGTAGAGGTCAAGTATGGAATGTTCTGGATACCCTACCCTCATCTCAACCAGAGTGACTCATTAATTGGAGTTTGTTTAAAACTTTGTTAGACAAAAGGGTTCTATGCCTTAAAAATGTTTTTTAAGTGTGTTGTGGGGAGGAGGTTGTGAGAGCCTCAGTTCAAGGTCTGGGCTGAGTTCTCTTTTCTCCTAGGACCTGGGTCTACCAAGGAGTTGATCAAGTCCATCAATGAAAAGTTTGCTGGGTCTGCTGGCTGGGAAGGCACAGAATCATATCCTTTATTTTAATACGTTCCTGGGTTCCAGAGAACTGGTCTCTTTACTCCAACCCCCCCTGCCTCCCTGCTCCCTCCTACCCTGCCCCTCTCCTTCCCTTTTACGCTGAATTTTGACAGAATGAAACCATCCCTTGTTCCTTCCCAGAGCACCCATAACAGCTCACAGCCCACTCAGAATTTTCATGTTGGGGCTTCTAGCCCTTGGCCCCCTCCTGGCTGAAGCTTTACAGCAATAGGTAGAATCCTGTGTAGTGTTTTCTTTAACATAGCATATGCTGAAGAAGCCAGAAGACAAAAAGCAGCTGGGAGATTTCTTTGGCATGTCCAACAGTTATGCAGAGTGCTACCCAGCCACGTATGTGAAACCTGGTTAAGGAAGGGAGGCTGGGATGATTGGGAAACAAGTTGGGGGTGAAATGGAAATTTGATTCGCTAAGTCCCAGGGCTACTTCTTTTTTTTTTTTTTTTTTTTTTGGAGACAGAGTCTCACTCTGTCACCCAGGCTGGAATGCAATGGTATAATCTCTGCTCGCTGCAATCTCCATCTCCCGGGTTCAAGCGATTCTCCTGCCTCACCCTCCCAAGTAGCTGGGATTATAGGCATGCATCACCACACCTGGCTAGTTTTTGTATTTTTAGTAGAGATGAGGTTTCACCATGTTGGTGAGGCTGGTCTTGAACTCCTGACCTCAGGTAATCTGCCCTCCTCAGCCTCCAAAAGTGCGGGGATTACAGGAGTGAGCCACTGCGCCTGGCCCAAGGCTACTTCTTACTTGGATGAACTATTTTATTAGGCTCTAAGTGGGAGGTCTAGGGGGTGGTCATTCCTATGCAGATAACCTCTTAGTCGGGTAGGTTTCCAGATGAAGCATAGGGTCAGGGTATGCAACATCTGTTTAACTCTTGCTTCTCCTTAGGATGGATGACATGGCTGTGGATAGTGATGAGGAGGTGGATTATAGCAAAATGGACCAGGTATGTAGTTAGAAGGATGGTGGGCGCCTTTGGGCAGTTATTATTTGTTTTACATGTATCTCCTTCCCCACTCCTAAAAAATCTATCTCATTTACTGGGCCCCACCCTCCTTTAGCTGCAGCAGTAGAAACAGCAGCATTGAGGGTCATGAGCAGCTTAACTATTTCAGAGTCTTTGCACAAGATCAAATGACATAGGGTCAAAAATCTATTTTTTACTTCCTATAGCAAAGTGCCAGGCTTTGATTCCCATGGTAGGCAGTAAGCAAGCATCAATGCATAAGTAGAAAGGGCAGAAAAAATTGCAGTCTTTGGAAAATAACTAAATTTTATTCTAGCCAGGATTGAAGTTTTCCTCTAAGTCTTAAGCAAAATTAAAAAGAAAAAAACCACTAATGCCACTAATAGTGAAGAAGTCTGTGTTCTTCCCCTGAGTTCACTGTATTGAAATAGCATGGTTTAATCTTGGAGCCTTGTTTAATCCTGCCTCTACTGTTTATTAGTTTTGTGAACTTGCCAAGTTCTTTCACTGTTTATGCCTCAGTTTCCTCATCAGGAAAATGGAGAGAAATATAGTTCCCTCTTCATAGATTTTATGAGAATTAAGTGAGATATGCATTTAGTGTACAGAATAATGCCTGTCACATAGTAAGTATGTAATAAGCATTTATTATTACTTATCAGGGTATGATTTATGAATTGTGGAACCTGGGATTATGGGAGAGTCTGGCTTCAATCAAGGGCTGAAATTCCATTTCCACTGACATCTCTTCCTTCCCCATCCCCCGATTCTGTCCTGCAACAGGGTAACAAGAAGGGGCCCTTAGGCCGTTGGGACTTTGATACCCAGGAAGAATACAGCGAGTATATGAACAACAAAGAAGCTTTGCCCAAGTGAGTCGGTACTGAATATGGGCAGGGTGTGAGGAGGGGTGTGGGGATTTGGTGGAATAGTGCATATAAGGTTAGAGGGTGTGGTCTGGCTGAGATGTTCCCCACTAAGTTCTTTGCCCACAGGACTCTGGGAAAACCTCGCCACTGCTATGCAATCTCTGATGCATTCTTTCCCAACTGCTTTTTTCAGGGCTGCATTCCAGTATGGTATCAAAATGTCTGAAGGGCGGAAAACCAGGCGCTTCAAGGAAACCAATGACAAAGCAGAGCTTGATCGCCAGTGGAAGAAGATTAGTGCAGTAAGTAGGATGGCCCCTTGGGTGGGAGGGTTTCAGCTGGGAGAAGACATTAGCCTGCAGATTCAGGAACAGGCAAGGGGCTGGAGAGCCATGGAAATGAGAGGTCAGCCTTGGGCCTCAGGTGAGCTTAGATGGGCAGCTTGGTGATAGACTATCCTGTTGTTTTTGCAGATCATTGAGAAGAGGAAGAAGATGGAAGCTGATGGGTGAGCGGCATTATTCTTCCTCTGTGGGACTGGTGGGAATTGCTTAGTGTATTGATCTTATACTGACCCATTTCTCCTTCCATTGCAGGGTTGAAGTCAAAAGACCAAAATACTAATCACTAGTTACAACCAGAGATGCTCCACAAGGATATGCTCCCCACTGTTTTCTTTCTACAATTTCCAAAGGTTGCAAGATGTTTTTTTGTGGATGAATATAAAATTTTATTGTGTAATTACTTGGTTCCATTAAAATTGGTTAACTTGCTATTTTCTTTGTTGAGCATGTCCCCTCCAGTGCCCTTGAAGCACCAAGAACACTAATTCCACTGGTTGTGTAAAATCACATGCAGAAAGTCATCAGTCCTTTCCTGAGCTGTGGTTCTAGATTCCTAGACAGTAAGGATGCTCTCTAGCCAGTGTGCCCAGTAGAGAAGAGAATAATGATCCTCACTGATGGGCAAGAGGTGGATAGAGGAATGTAAGTATGATTGGTCTCAAATGTCAGACTCATTCCGGCCCATCTTCAGGCCTAGTCCCTGGGGAAAGATTTCCTGGGGATTGCTGTCAGCCTGATGGGCTGCTAATCTGATCTCCAGGCTATGAAGGACTGGGCTCTGGATGAAGGCATCTAATGAAAATCACTTATGGGTGGGAACCAAAACCTTTTATGAGTTTATGTACTATGAGCTTTATTAATGTTGAGTACAAATCACTGTCTCCTTGGCTAAAGGTGTAACCTTAGGGAAGTGCTTTGGGTTTAGAGCTGATATAGTGTGGCCCTGCAGGTACAGGAATTCCTATCCTAGACCAGAAGGGTTTGGTGCCCTTCATCACCCTGAAACATTTGCCAAGGCCCAGAATAGGTCTGTTGACCTTTGAATCACACCATTCCCTTCCCTTTTCTTCCCTTCTGCTCATTACCAGCACTTTGGCCTGGTGCTCATCATTAGGTGTCACTACTGCTTCCTGGCTGGATGCCACGCTGCCACTGTCTACCCTGAGCCCAAGATTTGTGGCCTCACCAGATCCAAGAAAGCTAGAAAGTCACCTTAGCCATTACCTTGTCTTTGATTATATTCACCTTGGTAGGACAGGTTTTTGTGAGGAAGCCAGTATTGTGCATGGCATGTAAGAGGCTGAAATTGGGCCTTGCTGCAATAGCACCTAGAATGGCTAATTTCAGACAAATGACACCATGGTTCTATGGATGTAGGTAGGCAGTCCCAATTATTAAAAATGGTCACAGAGACATGGCACAGGTGAAGACATCTGGAGAGTCACTAAAAGCAAGACCTGGAGATTGTGGGTTTGAAATTCAGTTTCTGAGGCCAGGCTCGATGGCTCATGCCCACAGTCTCAGTGCTTTGGGAGGCCAAAGCAGGAGAGTCTCTTGAGGCCAGGAGTTCATGAGTCTATAGCTATGCAGGAGGATCGAACCGAAGAGTTCAAGGCTGTAGTGAGCTATGATCACACCACTGCATTCTGAGCCTGGGTGACAGAGCAAGACCTTGATTTAAAAAAAGAAATTCAGGGGCTGGGCGCCGTGGCTCACGCCTATAATCCTAGCACTTTGGGAGGCTGAGGTGGGAAGACACGTCAAGAGTTCAAGGCCAGCCTGGGCAACATACTGAGTCCTCGTTTCTACAAAATATACAAAAATTGGCCAGGTGCGGTGGCTCACGCCTGTAGTCCCAGCACTTTGGGAGGCCAAGGCGGGCGGATCACGAGGTCAGGAGTTTGAGACCAGCCTGGCCAACATGGTGAAACCCTGTTTCTACTAAAGATACAAAAAATTAGCTGGGCGTGGTGGCATGCGCCTCTAGTCCCATCTACTCGGTAGGCTGAGGCAGGAAAATCTCTTGAACCCGGGAGACGGAGGTTGCAGTGAGCCGAGATCGCACCATTGCACTCCAGCCAGGGCGAGACTCCGTCTCAATAAATAAATAAAAATTAGCCAGGCGTGGTGCCGCGTGCCTGTAGTTCCAGCTACTCGGAGGATCGCTTGAGCCGAGCGGTGATCGTGCCACTGCACTCCAGCCTGCGCGACAGCGCAAGACCCTGTCTCAAAACAAAGCAAAACAAAAAAGAAAAAAAAATTCTTGGTAACTGAGCACTGCTTGTCCAGCCCATTGAGTTTCTGTAGACAAATTGTAGGAACTGGCACAGCAAACTGGCCACAAAGACGTTAGGGGCGTGGACACCAGCTGCTTGAGCTGCCTGCTGTCCCAGACTCCCGTATGTCATCGCGCAGCGTGGGATTTTGCGGCTTCCTGACAGCCCAGGCTGTCGCTTGACTTGATCTTGGGTTTCACCAAGCCACGAAGGACTAGCGTCCCTCTCTCCTATCCCAAGGGCATTAAGCCTGTCTGGATGAAGTAGGAGAGGAAAGATTTACACGCAGTTCTCAACTTTACGTGACGTGACTAGGGAGGGAATTGACGGTCGCACCGTCTACCTAGCCCAAACGGGGTCACAGCAGGACAAGGAAGTAGCCGATCTCCCAGATGCGGTCTCTTCGCTCCGCTCCACCCGCACCAGCAGCGGCCCACCCACCTCTCCTGTAAGAGGAAGAACGTCCCGGAGACACTTCCGGCCCCGCCCCCCGAGGCGGAAGCGGAGTGCCAGGCTACTCCTCCCGCAGTGTGGGTGGTTCCGAGGCTGACTACCCTGCGGCGGCGCGGCTCGCAGTCCTTCTCAGCATGGACCGCACTTGTGAGGAGAGGCCCGCTGAGGATGGGAGCGACGAGGAGGACCCAGACTCCATGGAAGCCCCAACCCGGATCCGGGACACTCCGGAAGACATCGTGCTGGAAGCTCCGGCTAGTGGGCTGGCGTTCCATCCGGCCCGTGACCTACTGGCTGCAGGGGACGTGGACGGGGACGTGTTCGTGTGAGAGCGGGGCAGGGCCGGGGCGCCGGGTCTGGAAGCTTCCCGGGGGTGGACCTGGGAACAGGAGAGATGAGAGAAAGTTGCAGGGAGACAAATTTTGCAAGATTCTTTGGGTCCAATTTATTCAGTAACATTCGGCTCTTCTATCACACCAATCTGTTGAAAGAACTGGAATGTCGTGACAGAGCCCAGATACCGTAGTAGGCCAAAAAGCCCTTTAAGGCCTTGTTATTTCCCACCGATTATTATTTATTTACTTACCTATTTATTTTTGAGACGGAGTCTCGCTCTGTCGCCGAGGCTGGAGTGCAGTGGCGCGATCTGGGCTCACTGCAACCTCCCCCTTCCGGGTTCAAGCAGTTCTCTTCCTCAGCCTCCCGAGTAGCTGGGATTATAAGCGCCCGCCACCACGCCCGGCTAATTTTTTTTGTATTTGTAGTAGAGACGGGGTTTCACCATCTTGGCCAGGCTGGTCTTGAACTCCTGACCTCGTGATCCACCTGCCTTCCTCCCAGAGTGCTGGGATTACAGGCGTAAACCACCGTGCCCGGACTCCTACCGGATTATTATATTGTGCCCGAGACAGGCTCAGCAGGCCCCTTTAAGTGATTTTTCAAACCACAAATCTTGGCTCACGCCTGTAATACCCGCACTTTGGGAGGCCGAGGTGGGCGGGTCACCTGAGGTTGGAGCTCGAGACCAGCCTGTTCAACATGGTGAAACCCCGTCTCTACTAAAAATACAAAAATTAGCCCGGTGTGGTGGCGCGGGCCTGTAATCCCAGCTACACGGGAGGCTGAGGCAGAAGAATCACTTGGATTCGGGCGGTGGAGGTTGCAGTGAGCCAAGATCGTGCCACTGCACTCCAGCTTGGACAATAGAGTGAGACACTCCCTTGATTAAAACCCTTCAATGGTCTGCTTTTAGGATTTAGTACAAATTTCTCAATCCTGCCTTCAACGCCCTGACCATCTGTGCTCATTCATCCATACCTTTTAAAAATACGTCTTGGGCCGGGCGTGGTGGCTCATGCCTGTAATCCCAGCACTTTGGGAGACCAAGGTGGGGTATCACCTGAGGTCAGGAGTTGGAGACCAGCCTGGCCAACATGGTGAAATCCTGTCTCTACTAAAAATAGAAAAATTAGCTGGGTGTGGTGGCGGGCACCTGTAATCCCAGCTTCTCGGGAGGCTGAGGCAGGAGAATCGCTTGAACCTGGGAGGTGGAGGTGGCAGTGAGCCGAGATCGTGCCATTGCACTCCAGCCTGGGCAACAAGAGCAAAACTCCATCTCAAAAAAAAATCTCGAAACCTCAGCCCATTTGCATGTGCTATTCTGTCCGGAAAACTCCTTTCCCCTCACTTTTACCTACTATCTCTGAGTTTCCAGGATCTCTTCCCTCTTCCTCTCTCCCCAGACTAAAATTGGTTACCTGTTAGATGCTGCCATGGCACCAGGTGCCATGGTACCTTTCCCTTAATAATGAATGGTTGGTAACCATATGTCCATTTGTGTAATTATTTGAATGCTGTCTCCTTCACTAATGTTTTTCAAACGTCTTTGACCTTGCCTCACAGAGAAATACCTTTTACATTATATATGATGCTCTGTGATACAATTGCTGATTTTATTCTATTATTGTGTACATGTACACAAAATGCTGATCGTAGCTTACTAGTCCGTTATATGACTAGAATGTGAAAAAACACTGTTCTGGAGTGTAATCTGTCATCGGTTTTGTTCTCTATTTTATCTCCAACCTCTAGTCTAGGGTAGATGCTCAACACATGTTTGATTTTGAACAAAAGATACAGGTTAGAGGCAGTGGAAAAGTTGAAGATGTTATGCTTATCAGATTTACTTAATGAATTTAAACCTCAACCCCTCATTAGCTGTAATGGCCTTGAGCGTGTTAACTTCTGTATTTTCATCTTTGAAAGGGGGAATTATACCTACCCTTGCAGAGGGGACAAGTTTGCAGTACAGCACCTAAGCAGCTCTTCAACAAATGTAGGTTCCCTTCTACTACTATCCATATTTATGGTGCCAGGCACTTGGGAGTTGCCCTAGACATCCACCTTTCTTCACATTCCACACAACTTTGTTGCTTCCCTTGTCTTAAAAAAGGTTCTGGAGGAAAATTCTTGGTTCTCCCCTTCCCCACCCTCAGCCATGACTATTGTGAAAAGGTTCCTTTTCCGAGGATTAAATTCAAACTTCTGCTTGGCTCATGTGGTCTCATGCCCACCCCAGCCCATCTTTCTAGATTCAGTCATGCTACTCTCCTGCTACAAGGAACCCTCCTCATTCCTTATCTCTGCTGCCTCCAGTATCTGGCCCTTGCTCTCTGCCAGGCAAATTCTACTCTTGTATGATCCAACCCACATGTCACCACCTTAGCTTTCCAGGGCTCTCTTCTCCCTTCCCAAGTATTCATTCAATTTGTGAATGTTTATTAAGCTACTTTTTCACGTTCAGCACTGGGATAGAGAAAATGAGCAGGCTCAGTTCTGCCTACCTGGAACTCACTGGCAATTAAGCATGTATTCATTCTGCCCTTTTTGAGGATCTGCTCTGAGGCAGGCACTTGGGGGTATTCCATAAACAGTACTCACCTCAAAGTTGTTTACAGGCTGGTGCCTCTCCCCCACCTCCATTTTGATCTTGCCTCTTTTTCAGCACGTACTCTCAATGTACTGTAATTAATTGTGGCTTTCTCTAGCTCCTGCAGACCTGAAGTGCAAGAGCCTGCTCTACCTTACTGATTTTTAGATTTCTAACTTCTGGGGCTGGTCTTTTGTCATTGATGTAACAAATATCTCCTCCACAGTGGTCCAGACCCAATCTTTGTCCAGGCTGGGGCTTTCAAAGATGATAAAGAGGGGTTGGGTGGGATCACAAAGAAATCTTGCGCAAATATACCTTGAACTAACATATATTGAAAAAAGCAGGACCTAACATTTCAAACTCACTGAAAATGGAGAAATGAGATGGTAAACTTTTTGGGCTTAGAGGTGTAGAAGCAGGAACTCTTAGGTAGGTGGGAAGGCTGCTCTGTCTAGTTGGTCTCTGCACTCAATGCAACCCAGGCTGGGTCTGGAGTCATTTACCCTCCTTGCCCTCTCCCCAGCTTTTCCTACTCTTGCCAAGAGGGAGAAACCAAGGAGCTCTGGTCATCAGGTCACCATCTCAAGGCCTGCCGAGCTGTGGCCTTCTCTGAAGATGGGCAGAGTGAGTACTGGGGAAGACAACCAGCAATGTGGTGGAAGGGAGCAGTGAGCAGCACCATGACCTGGGCACCTTTTCCCCAGAGCTCATTACTGTCTCCAAGGACAAAGCCATCCATGTTCTAGATGTGGAGCAGGGCCAACTGGAAAGACGTGTTTCCAAGGCTCATGGGTAAGGAGAGCAGCCAATTCTGTGTATGTGCATGGAGGTGAAGGGTAAGGACCAGGAGGTCCCCACTGGGACAGAGATGCTCCAAGAAGTTCTACATCTGTGTCTCTAGTGCCCCCATCAATAGTCTTCTGCTGGTGGATGAGAATGTTCTGGCCACTGGGGATGACACAGGTGGTATCTGTCTCTGGGACCAGCGGAAGGAGGGCCCCTTAATGGATATGAGGCAACATGAAGAGTACATCGCAGACATG
This sequence comes from Homo sapiens, assembly GCF_000001405.40. Taxonomy (NCBI): domain Eukaryota; kingdom Metazoa; phylum Chordata; class Mammalia; order Primates; family Hominidae; genus Homo; species Homo sapiens. The sequence continues at coordinate 140,668,754 of NC_000005.10, forward strand.
GCTCTGGATCCAGCCAAAAAGCTGCTGCTGACAGCCAGGTACAACTTCAAAGCTGCCTTGCCTCCCCTCCCCTCCCTGTGTGAAATGTCTTCCTCAAATAGACCTTGCGTCTAAGCCTACTGCTCTACTCTCTACAGCGGGGATGGCTGCCTTGGCATCTTCAACATTAAGAGGCGTCGGTTTGAGCTGCTCTCAGAACCTCAGTCTGGGGACCTGACCTCTGTCACTCTCATGAAAGTACAGCTGGTTATGGTGGGATGGAGGGGTGTGTGCTGGGGGCTTAGTCTGAGGCAGCTTCCACATTGTTTTCTCTATTTCCCTGCAGTGGGGGAAGAAGGTAGCCTGTGGCTCCAGTGAAGGTACCATCTACCTCTTCAATTGGAATGGCTTTGGGGCCACAAGTGACCGCTTTGCCCTGAGAGCTGAATCTATCGACTGCATGGTTCCAGTCACCGAGAGTCTGCTGTGTACTGGCTCCACTGATGGAGTCATCAGGTGAGGGAAGCCTGGACAGCCCTTAGGTCACAGGAAGGGCAGACCCAGCTAGCCAGTACTCAACACTGTTCTTTCCCTGCCCAGGGCTGTGAACATCCTACCGAACCGAGTGGTGGGCAGTGTGGGCCAGCACACTGGGGAGCCTGTGGAGGAGCTGGCCCTCTCCCACTGTGGCCGCTTCCTGGCCAGTAGTGGCCATGACCAGCGCCTCAAGTTTTGGGACATGGCCCAGCTGCGAGCTGTGGTGGTGGATGACTACCGTCGGCGCAAAAAAAAGGGAGGACCACTGCGGGCTCTGAGCAGCAAGACTTGGAGCACCGATGACTTCTTCGCAGGACTGAGGGAAGAGGGAGAAGACTCCATGGCTCAGGAAGAAAAGGAGGAGACTGGGGATGACAGTGACTGAAGGAATGAATTGAATCTTGAGACGGGTCCTCACCAGGCAAGAGTCTTGCTTATTGGGCTGCATCCCCAGAGAGGATATGAATTATTTTTTGAAAAGACAGGGTTTTGCCATCGTCCAGGCTGGAGTGCGCTGGCTTGATCTTGGCTCACTGCAGCCTCAATGTCCCCAGGCTCAGATTGTCCTTCCACCTTAGCCTCTGGAGCAGCTGGGACTACAGGTGTGCACTACCACACCAGGCCAATTTTTGTTTTTTTTTTTTGGTAGAAACGGGTCTGTTTTGCCCAGGCTGGTCTTCAACTCCTGGACTCAAATGATCCACCTGCCTCTGCTTCCCAAAGTGCTGGGATTACAGGCACGAGCCACCACACCTGGCCAAAAAAATTTATATTTTTTGAGACAAGGTCTCACTCTGTCACCCAGGCTGGAGTACAGTGGGTTGATCATGGCTCACTGCATCCTTGACTTCCTGGGCTCAAGTGATCCACCTCAGCCTGCCTGGTAGCTGAGACTTAACAGGCATCTGCCACCATGCTTGACTAATTTTTGTGATTTTTTTTTGGTAGAGACCAGGGGTTTCACTATGTTGACCAAGCTGGTCTTGGAACTCCTGGGCTCAAGTGATCCTCCTGCCTTGGCCTCCCAAAATGCTGGGATTACAGGCATGAGCCACTGTGCCTGGCTGGATATGAAATTTTTTTTTTTTTTTTTTTTGAGACAGGGTTTCGCTCTTGTTGCCAGGGCTGGAGTGCAATGGCGTGATCTTGGCTCACTGCAACCTCCGCCTCCCGGGTTCAAGCAATTCTCCTGCCTCAGCCTCCCAAGTAGCTGGGATTACAGGTGTCTGCCACCATGCCAGGCTAATTTTTGTATTTTCAGTAGAGACGGGGTTTCTCCATGCTGGCCAGGCTGGTCTCGAACTCCTGACCTCAGGTGATCCACCCGCCTCAGCCTCCCAAAGTGCTGGGATTACAGGCAAAAGCCAACACACCCGGCCTGGATATGAATTTATAATACCCTACAGTGCAACACAAGAAGATGCACTCAAAGCACTGATGTGAGGAAGTACTTGCCCCGTAGCAGCTATTCACTCTACCAGTGTAAACAAACTCTAAGCTAGGGCAAGACAGCACAGACACAAGTATATACTAACCAGGGGTTTAATATAAATACAACCAGCATAGAAAGACCCAAAACTATACAGAAACCAAAACCAGAATGCCATGTGGTGGAGGCAAAGGGCAGAATTTCTGACCCCTTTGGCTCAGCTGCCCTTCCCCACAAATAAAAACCAACAAAGAGGACAAATCAGGACAATAAAGAAGATTCATGCTAAGCTGTGGCAGAGGGGGGAAGGTATGATCGGGTGGGGGTGGGACAAGGAACGGCCATGGAAGATCACTGGGTCAGGTTGGACCCTGGGCTGGGAGCGGGAGGGCAAGGCCCCTCACCACAACTTAACCCAAACCTAAGCTGCCCCCAGGTGCCATAGGTCCCTGTCCCAGCAGGGAGGCTGATGGGCCTGGGCCCATGCCCCTCCCCACCTTTGGGGGTCAGAAAGTGGCCACCCAGGCCTGCTGGGATGGGGCCTGACACAGGCTCTGCATGCCCATTCAGGGTGCCTGTGGAGAAAGAATGGAGTCACTGTTTAACCATGGTACCTGCCTCAGCCCCAGCAGACCACAGGAGGTTGGCCCCAGACTCACTGAGTGCCTGCAGCAGCCGTACAGACACAGCATCCTTGGCCACCTCATGCCCATCCCGGCCATCTAGGGTCAGCACAACCCAGATGAGGCCGCTGAAGGGCACCGGATGCCCAGGAATCACCACCTGGTACCAGAAGCGGTGCCAGCCAGCAGGTCCTATGCCCAAACACTTGGTGAGGAACACAGGGCTGCCCAGCTTCATTCGTTGGCACAGCAACTGCAGGGTAGCCCGAGCCCCTTGGAACCCTAACTTGTCCCTTGCCAAAGCCAACTGGCTGCCCTCTGGCTGTGGGGACCGCAAGAAGGGACCCACAAGCTGCTGGCGAAGTCGCTGCTTCAGGTCTGGCTTGAGCCACTCCACAGCCACCTGCTCTCCACAGAGGTGTGACTGCCCTGTAGGAAAAATGCAAAGACAAGGGCAGGTCTAAACCCTGGGCCCAAGCCTCCAGGTGGTGAGCCCTTTGGAGCTACACAGTCCTGTTATTTGTAGCCTTCCCATTTCCTGGTAGTGTGACCATGGGTAAGAAAAGACAATGAAGCCTTCAGCCTCCATTATTTGCAAAGGGAGTATAACACACTGCTACCTTACAAGTTTCCTTGGAGAAGTACTGGTTAATTGCAGGCTTTGTCTGCCTCATAACCATCATAATGGCTAATCTTTACTGGGAAAACTTGCTGTAAGTCAGTCAGTGTGCTAAGTACCGTACACCCATTATGTTACTTAATTCTCATAACAGTCTGAGGAAACAGATTCTATAGTAGTAAAAAGCTCAGTTGGATTCCCTTGAGCAAATCAATTTCTCTAACAGTTTCCTCATAGCTTGAGGGTCCTGTGCCTATTTTGCGGTGTGGGGGTGGGGGAAGGTTGAGAATTAAGTCAGGAGGTAATGCTCGGGAAGTGTCACAAATTTAGGTAAGCGGTGGTGGTAGCACCATTGGAAGTTTTAAAAATCTGAGATCAAATAGTAAAAGGTTGCAAATTCTGGCATGTTTGACTCTAAGATCTTGTAACTTTAACAGCTATGCTCAGTATAAAGTGCCGGGCAGAACGCGTTTGGCCCCAACCAGCACCCCCGCCCCAGCCTACCTTCCACCAGGGCCTTTTTGGCCATGGCAGCGGCCCGGTGCGAGCTGAATTTGAGCAGAGCGATCTGCCCGGGCGCCGGTCCGGGGCTGGGCAGCAGCCGCGCCTCCTGCAAGCCGGGACCCAGCGGCTGCAGCGCGAGCAGCAGCGCGCTGCGGGTCAGATTCGGCGGCAGGCCGTCAACGCTCAGCTCACACTTCTCGGTGCTGCGGCACACGAGCAGCGGGCAGGACGGCCGCAGCGGATGGTTGTGCAGCGTGGCGATGGCGGCCTGCGCGCCGCGCCTCGAGCTGTAGCGGGCATAGGCGAAGCCGCGGTTCAGGCCGCTGAAGGTCATCATCAGGCGGAACTCGTAGAGGCGGCCCACGCGCTGGAACAGCGGGATAAGCTGGTGCTCGTACACGTCCTGAGGCAGCCGCCCGATGAACACCTCTGACCCAGCTGGCGGCGGGCTGCCCACCCAGCCTGTGGGAAGAGGGTATGCAAGGCCACCGTCAGGCGACGCTTTCGAATTCTGAGCCCACGGACCCAGCGCGCGGGGGTGGGAGGCGATGTGAACAAAGGTCTGTGAAATGGGTTTACACCCGTACCCTGGGTGGTTGGCATAATTAGGTGACTGCGCTAACAAGGGGGCTGGCACAGAGTAGGTACACCTTGAGATTGGCCCCCTCCCTCGACGGGGCGGGTGGACGTGGAGCCACAGTTCCTCCTTTGCTGGGGGGTATAAATCCGGGTAGTTCGCAGTTTCTGACAGTGAAGGCTCGGAGCAGCCCCTCCCCCAAAGGGGGCTGGTGTAGCCGGACAGGCGGAGGGGCTGGGACTACCGTACCTGGGGGTGGCCCGCCATACTTCCTCTGCCCGTTCACCTGCACCAGGCGGATGCCTGTCTCCCTGACCCACGCCTCCAGCGCCGCCTTGTTCTCTGGATTCACCCTCTCACACCACAGCTGAGAGGGAAAGGAAGGTTGGAATGGCGGATCGCCAAGCGCGCCCCCACCTCTCCTGTGGTACTGGGGTCCCTAAAGCCGACCCCCGCTCCGGCGGGGCTCGCCGGCCCCCAAGTCGCCAGCCGCTTACCTCACAATCCCGCTTGGACTGCATGGCTCTCCAGCTGGCCCCCTCGTACCCTCTTTATAACTTCCTCCCCACCGGCCTCTGGAAGCTTCCCTACCCCTCCACCCCGCAAGCTCTCATTGGCTCTGAGCGCGACCCCGCCTCCCAGGGGGGTGGAGGTATCCACTGCACGTGCGCCGCCCGGGCTTCGCTCAGACCTTCAGGTGAAAGCTGCAAAGTCGCGGGTGCGTATGTACGGGGGCTGCCTCCCGAGGAGGAGCTCCCAAGCCGCAGGGTGGACGCTGGAGACAAGAACCTCAGGGTCACAAGTTTACTGTTTTTCTCCCTTTTCCATCCCTACATTGGTCTGCTGGGGAAGGCGGGGCTAGGCATCACTGACACACGCAGACTCCGTGGTTGAGGCATTTTATTGGACCTTTGGCAATTGGTGGTGGGGAGGCATCTGCTCCAACTGGTGCGGGGCCCTGCAGATGGGACCATCTCAGGCTGGGTCCTTGTAGCCCAGGAGCACAGACTGGACTAAGCCTCCTGGGCCTTGTATGAAAAAGGTGTTGTACCTGGCCGTTTTTGCCAGTAATAATCAATAAAATAACCATAATAAAAATCAAAGGCTCTGTTCTGACCACTCTTCAGGTCTTCCGCTGAAACGGAAAAGTGCAAAGCAATTGAAGTACATATGCAGTTTGTCTTAACCTCAAATAGTGCCAGTCCCACTTCCTTTCCTCTGATAGTTTGTTCAGTTCAGCAGATGCAGAGGGGCTGGCCTGTTCTCCTTTTGATTTCCTCCACAAGGTCTTCTCTTCGGACATCCACCTGGCCAGGATGGGAGAAGAAGGTGGTATAAGCATCTTCCATTCCACTGCTCCCCGAGTGCCTAGTTTCCTCTAGCCCTCTAGGCATCAGGCTTGTCTCAGCTGGGAGCAGGAACCTAATTAAACACCTCAGGCTAGAGTGTGCCTCTTGGGGGAGCCAACAAACCATAAGGTATATGCAGGGATGGAGATCTCACCCTACTAAGACCACAGTAACAGGTTAAGCCCTCAAGGCTTTTATGAGTTGTACTAATATCAATGCCAGGCTTTTTCTCAGGTCTTGAATGGGCATGGGCCTGCCAAAATGGCATACATTCTCTGTCCCTTAGCCTTCCTGCCCACCTCCCTCACCTCTTCCCTGCTCGTCACTGAACGGAGCTTGATGACCCCATCCTTGAGTTCCTGCTCGCCGATGATAGCCACCAGTGGGATGCCTGCCTCCTCACAGTACTGTAACTGGTTCAGTAGCTTTGGGTTCTTCTTGTACAGCAGCTCAGCCTGCAGGGGACAAGAGCAGAAGATGAAGGCTGGCTTCTGCTGTCCTCAGGGACAGAGGGTGTCCAAGCTGGCACCCTGTTCTTAGCTCTACTTTTGAGAAGTAATGGCAGGATCCATTATGGGTGAGCTTTTATTCAGTTTGTGTCCAGCACACCTAAGTTTGCTGCCACCCTGGGGCTTGCCTCCCATACCTTGATCCCAGCATCCCACAGTTCTGAGACAAGCTTTAGTCTTTCCTCTAGCAGCTTCTTCTGTGCAGATGCCACAAGCACCTGTGTCTCCGTGGTCCGTATCTTCTCCTCCAAAGCCTGGGGAAGGGGCAGATAAAAGAGAGCTGGGCTAACACCTTCAAGGAGCAAACAAAGCAGGCTCTAGTCGGGATTTTGAGACCAGGCCCAACTCAGCTCTACCAGGGCAGGGGCCCTGTCTTCTCATCTAGCACCTTGGGCATAAAGGTAGCTTTTAGTAGATATGAGGACTGAACTGACTGACTTGTACATAGGACGTATCAGAATAAATAACTTAGGGCAAGAGTAAAGGTAGCTTTTTTACAGTAACTTCAAGCTTATCTCCATGTAGTACCTTTTTTTTTTTTTTGAGACAGGGTCTCTGTCATCCAGGCTGAAGTGCCGTGGTGTGATCACTGCAGCTTCGACCTCCCAAGCTCAAGTGATCCTCCCACCTCAGCCTCCTGACTACAGGCACACACCACCATACTCAGCTAATTTAAAAAAAAAAAAAAATTTTTTTTTTTAATCTGTAGAGACAGGGTCTCATCATGTTGCCCAGGCTGGTCCATGTAGTACCTTAAGGGTCCACCAAAGCATTCACACAGAAGTACTACTATGAGCCCACCCCAATTAGATCACCCTTGACAGTTTTAGTCCCCACTTACTATCTACCCATTTATGACACTGTGCCTCTCACACTTCAGTTACAGGGCACAGGCGTGTATATGGGTGTGGGGAAAGGAGAATGCTGCTGCTGCTTCCCTTGTCTTTTTCAGGAAAACTATTTTCATAGTTCTTAGAATGTAAGATGCCTACTGGAAAAATGATCTCAACTGGGAAATGGGTGGTTTCCACCCTAGAGAAAAGGCATAGGACTGTGGGGAGGTTGCCAGAGCATTTCCCAGAAGATGAAATGCAACCAGCCACTTAAGACCAGCAGCAACAAAGGAGGGCTTGAGGCTACAAGAGGCTTCCTTGGTGTTACTCTAGGTGCTAGAGAGTCACGGTAGCCATCTGAGGGATCCCAGGGCCTCAGACACATGCTTCCCATTTAGAGACAGTATTGCAGTGTGGTTAGTGGCAAGACTTTGGAGTCAGACTGCCTGGATTCAAATTCTGACCCTACCACTTACAAGTTTCATGGCCTTAAGCAAATTATTTGATCTATAATGCTTCAGTGTTCTCATCTGGAAAATGCAATTAATAAAATTAGCTACTCTCACAGGGCTGTAGTAACAATTATATTTTGATAATGCATGAAAAGCACCAAGCACAGTGCCTGGCACAAGGCAGTAAAATGTTAAGTATTCCGTATCATGAGGAAGATCTAAGTCTTGGATACACCAGCCCAGGTTTGTGACAGCCCTGAAGGAAGTAGAGACCCAGAGCAGAGGATTGAGTGCAGAAAGATTATGGATTAAAGATCCATAAAACTTACATATAATGGGGTAGAAATCTGTGAAAAAGAGCAATAATCTTTTCTCCATTTCTGTGAGATGCTCCCTGCCCAAAGCAGCACCACTTGCTCCCTTGGAGATCAGATAGCTTAGGTGCCACCACCTGCTCAGACTATCTTCTACCTACCTCCTAGGACCTACCTCTAGTCTCTGTTCCACGATGGAGAAAATCCGCTCCACCCCAATGCTGAGCCCCACACATGGCACCTTGCGCCCTTTGGGGTCGAACATGCCCACTAGCCCATCATAGCGTCCTCCAGCAGCCACACTGCCCACACCCAGGGGCTCTTCCCCTGCCTGGGCTGGGGTCTGTAGCAGCACTGCCTCATAGATCACCCCAGTGTAGTAATCCAGCCCTCGAGCAAGGCTCAGGTCAAAGGAGATCTGTGGAGATAAGAAAATGGTCAGTGCCAGATTAAGATCAGGGACCTGAAGCCCCAGAGCTCAGAAGGGATCCCGTCCCCAACTTGACTCACTTTGTCATCAATGCCAAATAGGGTCAGGTACTCAAAGAGCAACTTCAGGTCTCCCAGGCCCTCCAAGGCCTGCTTGTTTTGGGATAGTTTAGGATCCTGGAGCAGCTGTTCCACCAGGGATACCCCACCTGGGGAGACAGACTTGTGAGTGAGGCTGACAAGGAAACAAAAAAGGTAAGGAGGGTTGACCTTCTTGCCTGGACTCTAGTCGCCCATGCATGTGTGTGTACATATGCATAGACACACTCACTCCCCTACATACATAACACAGAACAGTTTCAACTTTAGGACTGAGGGCAGTGGGACGGCTGCTGGGGAGGCTTGGTTCTGTTCCTCACCATGTTGCTGGACATAGTCCCCAATGCGGTCAGCCACCTCAGGTGCAAGGCCCTTCTCTCCCACCATCTCATTCTTCACCTCTTCCCAGGACACCTAGGCAGACAGACACCAGTCAGGGACCCCTGGGCAGCTTCCGCACCACAGAGCAAGTGTGTACTGTCCTCGGGGAACCGTTTTAGAGCAGTAGCTGCCCATGAGCCTACATCCTGGGGCTAACCTTCCTCTGGTGGGTATAGAGGCATGCACCTCTCTCTCTCTCAATCTTGTTTTCCATTTCCCAAGGCAGGGTGGGATCTGGGAAAAGAAGTCAAGTACTTGGGTTGTTACCTTGTCCAGCTTGTCTACTGAGGAGCAGATGGTACGGAACTTGCTGTCAGAAACACCACAGATAGCAAACATCCCATCTAGAATGCGTCGATCGTTTACCTGCAAGGAACCAATGCATAGTGAGGGGGGAATCTCTTTTCTTACATGACCTGCAATAGTCATGGTCACTTAGGCTACTGGTCCCTCTGCACAAGGATCTTCTCTTGTGAGAGGCCAGGCCCAACTTTGCCCTCCCAGCCTTGTCAGCTCTGACCTTGACCAGGAAGTCGCCTATCTGAAGTGAACTCAGGATCTCGCACATGATCTTCAGGCACTCTGCATCAGGGATCATGGGATCAAAGTTCCCAGCAATGTCAAAATCCTGCAGGGAGAGGGTTAGCCAGCGGTCTTCAGGGATTCACCTTTCTGAAGGGGGGACTCTGGGAGCTCTGTCCTCTAGGAAGGCCTGGTTGCACTCAAGCATAGAATTTCTCTTTCATTTTCTGATCATCAGCCCAGAGGTAAACCCCGGCATCTTTGGGCTTCTCACCAGTTTTGGTTTCCTTTCCATCTACTGGGCTATTCCTTCATTTTCTACTTCATCATCTTCTTAACTCCTCCTACTGGATGGGGTGATTATATGGCTTTAGTGCTTAGCCATTTTCCCTATTCATCCAGAAGCCCTGGCATCAGTCTGGATGATTTGATGTATCAAAGCTAATTTCCTTATTCTCTGCTGTGATCCTATCACTGTGGTTTAAAATAAAGAGCACTGGACCAAGAGTTCTAGTCCTGACTTTGCCTTTCTTATCCCTATGATCTCTTCATGGGCTGGGTATCAAGTTTACTCATATGTAAAATGAAGAGACTTTATTCTCCTCCCCCACCACAGGGATTTTGTGAAATCTGCATGAAAACACCATAGAAGAGGCTGGGTGCGGTGGCTCACGCCTGTAATCCCAGCACTTTGGGAGGCCGAGGCAGGCGGATCATGAGACCAGGAGTTCGAGACCAGCCTGGCCAACATGGTAAAACCCCGTCTCTACTAAAAATACAAAAAATTAGCCGGGCATAGTGGCAGGCGCCTGTAATCCCAGCTACTCAGGTGGCTGAGGCAGAAGAATCGTTTGAACCCAGGAGGCAGAGGTTGCAGTGAGCCAAGACTGCACCACTGCACTCCAGCTTGGGCAACAGAGCGAGACTCCGTCTCAAAAAAACAAAAAACAAACAAAAAAACCACCATAGAAACCCTAAGAGCATTATCTGGGTCATCCAATTTGCTCAGGACACCGTGAGTACTCAATAGATTCTGCTGGCTTGAGAGAGCCCCAAGTAACTCATCCTGCCCCACGGTTTCCCAACACTCACACACTGGTAGAATTCCCGGTATCGGCCACGGGTCATGGCTGGGTTATCCCGCCGATATACCTTTGCTATGTGGTAGCGTTTAATGTTGGTCAGTTTATTCATTGCCAAATACCGAGCAAAAGGAACCTGATGACAAAGAGTTAAGGAGAAAGCCCCTCCTATCACTGTCTGCAAGTTGATTATCATCACCAACAGAAGCTGGGGTCTAACCCCTCCCTATGTGGGTAAAACTGCCACCCATAAGATTAATAGCACTTACAAACATCAGAAAGCATCAGCTGTGCTACCACATGAGGTAGCTGAAGGCTCAAAAAAGATTAAGGCACCTTTCCCTTTTGTAGTGTTGACTGGACTTTTTTGAGCATGGCAAGGGGCTGGGCAGGTTGGCCACAGACCAGAAAAAGGCGACCAGAAAAAGGCCCCCATATGGGATTTCTAAGCAGATGATTCTCTGTGTAGCTTGGAGACAAGGGAAATGTGTTGCTAGTCCATTAAGAAGAATTTTGTTCACTGGACAGGGCAGGGGAGAGGTATTCTGGAGCCAGGGGATGACTGTAGAGTTGGAACTGGGCCCTGACATCAAGCTGAGGTCTCACTCAGGATTCAGAAGATTTCTAAGGATGTGTATGCTCTGTTTAGCCAAAGTTCCACTCCTGGTTTAGAGAAATAATTCCCCTAATCGCCAAAGGCCTCATATTTGATCCTACCTACTCTACCATTCTTAAACCTGAGCCAAGTGAGTGCCAATCCATCCAAAGTCTCAAGAGCCCAAGTTTAGAAAGATACAGTGAGGTCATAGCGAAGGGACAGGAGCTCCCCGCCCTGGTCCTTCAGGTCATAGATAAGCTTGGAGTCTTCCCCATACTTTCCCATCAGTGTTTCCTGGAGAAAACATAAATAAATGTGGTCATAATAATAAACATAACAATTTAAAAGGAAGTTTTGAAAACAAACATGACTGATTCCAACTTGTCTACATTTCCCTCTGCTCTTTATCCCAATTCTTAGGTGTCTGATGTAGTTATCATTAAAAGGAAACACCAATTTTGTGTTTTTTTCTATTTTGATTTTGTAACAGAGCTGAAGTATTTTTCTTACACATTTTCCTCTTAAAAATCTTTTTTTTCTTCAGACTTCTCAGCATGAAGTTTGTTTTTTTTTTTTGAAATGGAGTCTCGCTCTGTCACCAGGCTGGAGTGCAGTGGCGTGATCTCGGCTCACTGCAACCTCTGACTCCGGGGTTCAAGAGATTCTCCTGCCTCAGCCTCCAGAGTGGCTGCGACTACAGGCGGGTGCCACCATGCCCGGCTAAGTTTTGTATTTTTAGTAGAGACAGGGTTTCACCATGTTGGCCAGGATAGTCTCGATCTCTTGACCTCGTGATCTGCCCGCTTCAGCCTCCCAAAGTACTGGGATTACAAGTGCGAGCCACAGCGCCCGGCCTGAAGTGTTTTTAAAAGATGCATAAATTCCAGTGAGAAGAAGCTCTGTACTTACTTCCTCCCTCATGTTATACTGTTAGGTGTTTAGGTTATTCTAATTTAAAAAAAAATTTTTTTAGGCCAGGCATAGCGGCTCACGCCTGTAATCCCAGCACTTTGGGAGGCCAAGGCGGATGGATCACCTGAGGTCAGGAGTTCGTGACCAGCCTGGCCAACATGGTGAAACCCTGTCTCTACTAAAAATACAAAATTAGCTGGGGGAGCTGGTAGGCATCTAATCCCAGCTATTCGGAGGCTTAGGCAGGAGAATCGCTTGAACCCGGGAGGCAGAGGGTGCAGTGAGCAGAGATCGCACCATTGCACTCCAGCCTGGGTGACGAGAGTGAAACTCTGTCTCAAAAAAAAAAAAATTCCCCATAACATTTCAATATCTAATATTTAGGTATATAGCTCTTTTTTTTTTTAAAAAAAAGTATTTTTCTTGATGATAAACTACTAGGAATAGGTTATCAGACCAATAAACATAAATGTTTTTTGATGCCTGAGATTCGAATAATGTCAAAAGTAAAAACTGGGGAATGTCTTAAGGGCATTACAGCAGTCCTTGCCCTGTGATGTCTATCATCGGTAATAGCATATTTCACTTACCAGGTTGGCAAAGATTAAAAAGCCTGAAACTTCCCAGTATGCAGTATCAGAAACAGTAACACACTAGTGTTACGGGCTGAACTGTGTCCCCCTGGCCCCACCCTCCCCAATTCATTTGTTTAAGTCCTAACTCCCAGTAACCTCTGAACATGTCTACATTTGGTGATAGGGTCTTTAAAGAGATGATTAAGCTAACATGAGGTCTCCAAGTTGGGCTCTGATCCAATATGTTGTTGTAAGAAGAGAAAATTTAGATAGGGACAGAGGGAAGACGATGTAAAGACAAAGGGAGGCTGGGCGCGGTGGCTCATGCCTGTAATTCCAGCACTTTGGGAGGCTGGGGTGGGCGAATCACTGGAGGCCAGGAATTCAAGACCACCAACCTGGTCAACATGGTGAAACCTCGTCTCTACTAAAAATAGAAAAATTAGCCAGGTGTGGTGGCACACGTGTTGTAATCCCAGCTACTTAGGAGACTGAGGCAGGAGAATCGCTTGAACCTGGGAGGTGGAGTTGCAGTGAGATGAGATGGTGCCACTGCACTCCAGCCCAGGCAACAGAGCGAGACTCTGTCTCAATTAAAAAAAAAACAAAGGGAGATGATGGCCATCTACAAGCCATGGAGAGAGGCCTGGAACAGATCCTTCCTTATGGCCTTCAGAAAGAACTAGGCCTGCCAACATGTTATGTCAACTTCCAGCCTCTGGAACTGTGAGAAAATAAATTTCTGTTGTTTAGACTACCTAGTCTATGGTACTTTGTTATGGTAGCCCTAGCAAACTAATACAGTAGGTAAAAACAGTCTCATAAATATGTACAATTAAATATCAATAAAAAGAGACATTGATGAAGGAAACAACAGATAATTTCAGACAGTTTTATAGCCTAAAGGCAATAAACTAGCTCATTGTGATAAGAGAGAGAACAGCTACTTTAAAGAAGGTAGTTGGAGAAGATTACTTGAGGAGTGGCATTTTAGCTGAGCTCTGAAATTAAAATCTGGCTGGCTGGACGTGGTGGCTCATGCCTGTAATGTCAGCACTTTGGGAGGCTGAGGAAGGAGGACCACTTGAGGCCAGGGGTTCGTTCGCAAGCAGCCTGGGCAACATAGCAAGACCTCTGTCTCTATTTGTATTTTTTTTTTTTAAAAAGGAATTAAAATCTGCAGTCTCTAGTATAATCTGAAATAAATCATGCAAAGAGCTAAGGAAAGGGAGTTCAGGAAAGGGGAAGAGCAAGAACAAAGGTGTGGAGGTACAAACACACTGACTATGTTCCAAGAGTAGGAAGAAGACCAGAGTAGCATAGTGGGCAAGAGGAAAAATAGCATGAGATGAGGTAGGAGAGGCAGTGGCCAGATCACCTAGGGCTCTGTAAACCTGAGTAAAGAGTTTGGGTTGTACTATAAGTGCAGTGGGAATCACTGGGTTTGAAGCAGGTAGTAATGCAATCTGGGTTGGCTGGTTTGTTTTAGAGACAGGGGCTTGCTACATTGCCCAGACTGGAGTATGGTGGCTATTCACAGGCACCATCATAGCACACTACAGCCTTGAACTCCTCGGATCCAGTGATCTTTCTGCTTCAGCCTCCTGAGAAGCAGGAACTACAGATGTGCCCAGTTGCAATCTAGTTTTTAATAGCAAAGAACTACTAACAACTTCAGAGTCCATCAATAGGAGAGTGGTTGCATATTTATGTACGTATGGTTTGCATGAATCTAGAAAACATTCCAAGTACAGATGCCACGCAATACAATGTAGAGAGGACCCAGAACAATTACCATTCCAAAGAATGGCTCTCTTTTGGAATCTGCTGGCCACAACCAAGATAATAAAAGACAGGGCCTCTCCCTCCAAGCCATTCTTGTCCCCCTTCTTATTGGAGCAAAGACTGGTCTGTGTCCACAACAGGAGTGGGCCCTTTGGACCCTCACTCTCTTGTTGTCATCTTCTTTGTTATTCAAATGCCCACTCATCTACCATGTAGTTTCTTCTTGCCCATTCCTCACCTTTAGTTCAAATACAGGTGTATCAATGACTTCTGCACCGTGGCGCTTGAAGCAACGGATGATTACGTCAAACACCTTCTCGCGAACTGCCATCTGCCGGGGACTATAGTCTCTTGTGCCCTTGGAGTTGAAATCAGCCAGAGAACCAGAAATGAGGTTTGAAAACCAAGAACAATATGTTTTGGAAATATAAAAGGATGACCTCAATAATGAAAAAGCAAATCCTGCTCTAAACAGATTTTCCTACAGGCCACTGAGTTTTAAAACAAGTACAAATAATTCCCTATTAATTCCCACACCCATTTGCTATCTGCCTTCCAAACTCCATTCCCTTTTAAGTTTGGGTCTATTTTCTAAAATTCTTAGAACTCTTTTCTTTAAGCCATTTTTCTAAACACTCTCTCTCAGATAACAGAACATTTCCTGGCCTAATAACAAACACCTACCTGAGGCCAGGCACAGTGGCTCACGCCTGTAATCCCAGCACTTCGGGAGGCCAAGGCAGATGGATTGCCTGAGGTCAGGGGTTCGAGACCAGCCTGGCCAACATGGTGAAACCTCGTCTCTACTAAAAATACAGAAATTAGCCGGGTGCGACGACACGCCCCTTGTAGTCCCAGCTACTTGGGAGGCTGATGCATGAGGATCCTTGAACCTGGGAGGTGGAGGTTGCAGTGAGCCGAGATTGTGCCACTGCACTCCAGCCTGGGCAACAGAGTGAGACTGTCTCAATAAAACAAACAAATGGTGGTGGCAGGTGCCTGTAATCCCAGCTACTCAGGAGGCTCAAGGCAGGGAGAATCACTTGAACCTGGGAGGCGGAGGTTGCAGTGAGCCAAGATTGCACCACTGCACTCCAGACTGAGAGACAGAGCGAGACTCTGTCTCAAAAACAAAACAAACCAACCAGCCGGGCGCGGTGGCTCACACCTGTAATGCCAGCACTTGGGGAGGCCGAGGCGGGCGGATCACGAAGTCAGGAGATCAAGACCATCCTGGCGAACACTGTGAAACCCCGTCTCTACTAAAAATACAAAAAAATTAGCCGGGCGTGGTGGCAGGTGCCTGTAGTCCCAGCTACTTGGGAGGCTGAGGCAGGAGAATGGCGTGAACCCGGCAGGTGGAGCTTGCAGTGAGCTGAGATAGTGCCACTGCACTCCAGCCTGGGAGACAGAGCAAGACTCTGTCAAAACAAAAACAAAAACAAAAACAAACCCAACCAAACAAACAAAAATAATAACAACAAAAAAATACCTACATGATTATAGGCAATATAACCAACTCAAACTGGCTCAACTAATTGAATTCCAAATTTTATAAGCAACGTTTCTCTCCCAATATAACTTTTCTTTTAAATCTTAGTTACAACTGTTTGTTCTCTAATTTGTTTCTGGTAACAACTCTATGACATAGGCTAGGCAGATAAATTTTACAGATGAAGTACAGGATGTTGAGAAGTTAAGTCATTTCTTAAGGCCATTCAGCATGTTCGTGGCAGTCAGGACTAGAACTGTGTTGTCCTTCCAGGTCAGAGCTTCCAATCTGGGCTTTTATACCCTACTCCAAAGTCTTTGGTTTCAGGACCTCTTTACACTCTTACTATGTATTCAAGACCCCAAAGTGGATTATACCTATCAATATTTACTGTATTAGAATTAGAACGGCAAAAATTTTAAAATATTTATTCATTTAACAAATAACATATGTTAACACAAATAATATATCTATTATATGTTAACGCAAATAATATTTTAGAAAAAGGTAACTGTTTTCCAAAACAATTTAGTGAGAAGAGTGGCACTGATTTACATCTTTGCAAATCTTTAATGTCTGACTGAATAGAAGACAGCAGGATTCTCATATGTGATTTTTGCATTCAATCTGTCGTGATATGTCGTGCTGGTTGAAGTATATAACGAAAATCTAACCTTACACAGATATGTAGTTGTAAAAGGAAGAGTATTTTAACAAACTTTTCAGCTAACTGTGGATATTTTTCTTTGGTACTACATCAGAATCCAACAAGTGGTTGTTTCTTAAAGATTGGTTGCAATGTGGAATTTGAAAGCTAGATCAATGAACTTAAAAAAAAAAAAAAAGAACAATTAGTCTCTCACTTATCTAGTACCTAGAATAGTCAAATCCATAGAGACAGAAAGTAGAAAGTAGGATAGCAGTTACCAGGGGCTGGAGGGAGGGTGAAGTGGGGAGTTATTGTTTAATGGGTACAGAGTTTCAATTGGGGATGATGAAAAAATTCTGGAGGTGGATAATGGTGATGGTTATGAGTATGAATGTACTTCATGTTACTGAACTGTACACTTAAAAATCATTAAAATGGGCTGGGCGTGGTGGCTCACACCTGTAATCCCAGCACTTTGGGAGGCCAAGGCAGGTGGATCACGGGGTCAAGAGATCGAGACTATCCTGGCCAACATGGTGAAACCCCATCTCTACTAAAAAATACAAAAATTAGCTGGGCGTGGTGGCACACACCTGTAGTCCCAGCTACCTGGGACGCTGAGGCAGGAGAATTGCTTGAACCCAGGAGGTGGAGGCTGCAGTGAGCCAAGGTCATGCCACTGCACTCCAGCCTGGTGACAGAGTGAGACTCTGTCTCAAAAAAAAAAAAAAATCATTAAAATGGTAAATTTTATGTTACGTATATTTTCCTACAAAAAAAAATCCACTACTGTATTTTGTACTTTGAATGAATGGATCCTTTGCCTGTGCATGATTTCATAACAGGTCTTTCAAATGTTGATACATTTCATTATACAATATCAGGAAGCCTTATTTATTTACATCACTTCAGATCTCATCAAGAAAGTCTTTTTTTTTTTTTTTTGAGATGGAGTCTCGCTCTGTCACCCAGGCTGAAGTGCAGTGGTGTGATCTCGGCTCACTGCAACCTCCACCTCCCAGGTTCAAATAATTCTCCTGCCTCAGCCTCCTGAGTAACTGGGACTACATACAGGCGCGTGCCACCACGCCCGGCAAATTTTTTGTATTTTTAGTAGAGACGGGGTTCCACCATGTTAGCCAGGATGGTCTTGATCTCCTGACCTCATGATCCACTTGCCTCTGCTTCCCAAAGTGCTTGGATTACAGGCATGAGCCACCTTGCCTGGCCTGTTTTTATTTGTTTGTTTGTTTTTGAGATGGAGTCTCACTCTGTCACCCAGGCTGGAGTACAGTGGCGTGTTCTCGGCTCACTGCAACCTCCACCTCCCAGGTTCAAACGATTCTCCTGCCTCAGCCTCCCAAGGAGCTGGGATTACAGACGTGAGCTACCATACCTGGCTAAATTTTTATTTTTAGTAGAGACAGCGTTTCACCATGTTGGCTAGGCTGGTCTCAAACTCCCGACCTCAGGTGATCCGCCCACCTTGGTCTCTCAAAGTGCTGGGATTACAGGCGTAAGCCACCACACCCAGTAGAAAACTCTTTAATTATTGGGAAGCTGTCAAGCTTATGATGGAAGATGCAAGTTTTCTAAAATTCTTTTTTTTTTTTTTTTGAGATGTAGTTTCACTCGTTGCCTAGGCTGGAGTGCAATGACGCGATCTCGGCTCACCACAACCTCTGCTTCCCAGGTTCAAGCGATTCTTGTGCCTTAGCTTCCCTAGTAGCTGGCATTACAAGCATGCGCCACCACGCCCAGCTAATTTTTAGTAGAGATGGGGTTTCTCTATGTTGGTCAGGTTGGTCTCAAACTCCCGACCTCAGGTGATCCGCCCGCCTTGGTCTCCCAAAGTGCTGGGATTATAGGCTTGAGCCACCATGCCCTGACTAAGTTTTCTAAAATTCTAACTTTCACCTGAATACTTGAATTTTTTCACTGCCTACAAGTACTGTCAGATGTTTTCCTTGAGGTGACGAGGCTCACTTCGTTTATTGTTGTAAAAATGTCTGCCAAATATTTAAGTTTGAAAAACCATAATTTATCTTTCAGTTGTTAATTCAAATAAAACAAGATGTTCTATGAAAAAAGTAGCTAGATCAGCTTGCAACTTGAACAATGGCATAAGCATTTTCCCTACCTTGGCGTGCAGAAGTGCTTTATGTGTACTTCCCATTTTGTCATAGCAAATATTTAAAAATAGGGTCCTCAAGGGTCAAGATTCAATAAAATCAGTAAGTTTTTGGCCAGGCATGGTGGCTCAGCCTAGCACTTTGGGAGGCCAAGGTGGGCAGATTGCCTGAGCTCAAGAGTTCCAAACCAGCCTGGGCAACATGGTGAAACATGTTGTAGGTTTCTTGTATGTTTTTTGTATTTCTGTAAAAATACAAAAAATTAGCTGCATGTGGTGGTACCCGCCTGTAATCCCAGATACTCAGGAGGCTGAGGCACAATAATTGCTTGAACCCGGGAAGTGGAGGCTGCAGTGAGCCAAGATCGTGACACTGAACTCCAGCCTGGGCAACAGAGTGAGATTCTGTCTCCAAAGAAACCCCAAAACAAACAAAGTTTTACCATTTTATCAATGACATAGTTAAGTAAAACTGAATTTTTTAAATTAATTAATTAATTAATTTATTTATTTACTTACTGTGAGTGCATGGCAGTGAAGAACACACTGGCTATTAGTACAGTTTAGTGTCACTGTCTTAATGTATGCTAAGGCACCAGCAGTTCTACTCACCAGCGCTTTTGTGCCTTCAGTGCAAATGTTAACACAACGAAAAAGGCAGATAATGTCTTAGAATTATTATAGAAGGGCCAGGCGCAGTGGCTCACGCCTGTAATCCCAGCACTTTAGGAGGCCGAGGTGGGAGGATCACTTGAGGCCAGGAATTCAAGACCAGCGCAGCCAACACGGTGAAACCCCATCTGTACTAAAAATACAAAAAATTAGCTAGGTGCGGTGGCACATCCCTGTAGTCCCAGCTACTCGGAAGGCTGAGGCAGGACAATCGCTTGAACCCGGGAGGCGGAGGTTGCAGTGAGCTGAGATCACGCCACTGCACTCCAGCCTGGGCGACAGAGCAAGACTCCGTCTCAAACAAAACAAAACAAAACAAAACAAAACAAAACAAAACAAAAGAATTATTATAGAAATAGTTTTGACCATGAAGATCCCTTGAAAGAGTCTTGTCCCCACAATACTGAGTTTTCTATTGTTAATACTAAAATGGATATTAACTCTCTAGCATAATCTTAACACTATAGTATGGAAATTTTCAAAGACACAATATAGAGAATAGTATTACAGGTCACCATTTATCCATTACCCAGCTTCAACAACCATTAACATCTGCTATTCTTATTTCATTTAAGCCCTGACATGTTTTTCTTACATATTTTTAAATAAATCCCAGACGTCATATCATTTCATCCATAAATACTTCAGTATGAATCTCTAACTCATACGGACATTTAAAAAACCCCAAAGACTCTATCTTTATTATAACTAACAAAACTAACAGCAACTCCTTAATATTATCTAATGCTAAGCCATGGTCAGTTTTCCCCAGTTGCCTCAATAATATCTTTTTATGGTTGATTTATTTGAATCAGCTTCAGAATGAAGTCTATGCGTTGTAATCAGCTGATATGTCTATTTAATCTACAATAGTTTCCTTCCCTCCCCAACTTTTTTTTTTTATTTTAAAAAGGTCATTTATTAACTGAGGAAATTGGGCCATTTGTCCTAAAAAAAAATTTTCACATTCTAGATTTGGTGAACAATATGCTTGATGTGCCATCTAACATGTTCCTCCATCTCTAGTATTTCCTGTAAACTGATAGTTAGTCCAAAGATCTGATTAGATTCAAGTTCAATTTACTTGGCAAGAATACTTCCCAGGTGGTGCTGTGTACTTCTTCTTGCATCACATCAGCAGGAACATAATGTCTAGTTGTCCTACTTTTAGTGATGTTAAAACTGATCACTAGTGAGGACAGACTGATCCATCATAAATTCCACAGTAAGCTTTTCATCTAATAGTTTGAAAAATCATTGATGATCACCACTTTGGGATTTTACACTGTCTCTTTAACCTTCAAAAATTAGTTATATGTAGAAAGAAACAGCTCAATGAATTTAGGATCCCAAAGAATTAACCTTAACACAAGGAAAACAGACCATCTCCCCTCTCCTTTGGAATTCAATTTCAAATACATGTATTAAATAGAATCATCCCTCAGTATCCACAGGAGATTTGTTCTGGGCCCCATGTGAATACCAAAAATCCATGGATGCTCAAGCCCTTGACATAAAATTATATGCACATCCTCCTATATACTTTAAATAGTCTCTAGAGTGTTTATAATGCCTTAGACAATGTAAAGGCTATGTAAATAGTTGCTATACTATATTTTTTATTTGAAATTTTTATTGTTAGATTTCAAAAGGTTTTTATTTGTTTGTTTGTTTTTAGAGATAGGGACTCACTATGTTGCTCAGGCTGGTCTCAAGCTCCTGGGCTCAAATGATCCTCCCCTTGTGGCCTCCCAAAGTGCTGGGATTACAGGTGTAAGCCACCACACTCAGCCAGATTTTTTTTCTTAATCGTTTCTTTTCCCCTGAATGGTTTTGATCCACAGTTGGTTGAATCTGTGAATGTGGGACCTTGGGATATGGAGGGCTGACTATACCTATTTAGGCATCTAGTCTCAGTCTCAGGGTAAATAAACGACATAAATAACTACTTAAAGTTGGTGTAATAACAAATATGTATGAAGTGCCAAGAGCACCTAGATGAAGGGGTAAACAGTTCTGTTTATAGAACTTACAGAAAGTGGAACTGAACTGGAGGATGAGCTCAGAATCTCCAACCTCATTCCACTCTACTCTCCTTAACTTAGTTCTAGCCATGTAGATCATCCTCTAGTTCCTCAAAACTACCAAAGTTCTTTCCCACTTTAGGGTTTCCATACTCTACCTGGACCTATCTTTGTCACACTTGTCCTCTGGCTATCTCCTACTCATTCATTAGATCAGTTAGTATATCACTTCCTCAGTTAGCCTTTCTCAGACTCCCCAGTTCTCCCTTATTTTTCTCAGAGCAACCTTAATTTCTTTATATCATTTTTCACAATATGTAATTACATAACCACATGTGGTGGCCGGGTGCGGTGGCACACGTCTGTAATCCCAGCACTTTGGGAGACTGAGGCGGGCAGATCACTTGAGGTCAGAAGTTCAAGACCATCCTGGCCAATATGGTGAAACCCCGTCTCTACTAAAAATACAAAAATTAGCTGGGCATGGTGGTGGGCACCTGTAGTCCCAGCTACTCAGGAGGCTGAAGCAGGAGAATCGCTTGAACCCAGGAGGCAGCGGCTGCAGTGAGCCAAGATGTGCCACTGCACTCCAGCCTGTGCAACAGAGGATACTCTGTTTAAAAAAAAAACAAAAAAATCTGTGTGGGATTATTTGTTCTAAGTCTCTCTCCTTCAGTAGAATGTAAGCTCCATGAGGGTAGGCTATATTGTCCACCATGGTATATATTCAGTGCTTTGTATAGTGCTAGAGACATAGCGCTAAATACACATTTATTGAATGAACGAAGGAGTAGCAGCAGCAGGCTGACTCCCCTGATCACCCAGCTGGCCTAGTTTCTGCCATCACTTTGCCATCCCAGAATGACTCAGGTAGAGTCCAGTCCAGCCCAGCGCCCAGAGCGACTGTCCTCTCCTCTGCAGCATTTCAGATCCTCCTCAATGACCTGGTTTAGGGAGGCAGACATAAGCGCCCCGTGAGTAGAGTTAGAGACTTTCTCAGTGGCTCCCTACAGGAATGATATTACCTTGGGGGTTTTGAGCACAAATTTCTGTTTGCTTTCATCAGGACCCAGCTGTGCCTTCAGTTTCAGGAGTTTCGCCACCTCCTCCTCGATCTGTGGAGGGAAAGAAGGCGCTGAGCTATCCATCTGTCACTCTCCTCCCTCCCCCGCCATTCATTCAATATTCCTCCCTCATCACATCTCTCTGCTCAGGCCTAGCTTTGTTTCTCTCGGGACCCACCCCGGATGTCTCCCCACGCAGCCCACTCTCCTCCCTACAAGACTGGTCGCTTCCCTCACATCTCTACCCTATGTCCCGAACACCCTGGCTTTACGTCCTCCCAGGCTTTGCCTTGGCCCTCTCCCCTGCTGCCTAAATCTCACCAGCTCGGCGCTGGCCTTCTGCTGCTTGAGGCCTCGCACGCGCTCTCCCTGAAGTTTCACCAGCTCCTCCAGCGCCGCACGCTCTGCCATCCCGGCTGTCCACTTGAGCCGCCTGCTGTCTCGACCTGCGGTGGTTGCCCCAGCCTCAGCAAGGATGACTTCCGGCTATCGAGTCGCTGGGTCGCACGCCTAGAGAGCCTCCGCCGAGCACAAAAATTATTTCCGGCTCCTCCCGGAAGTGCCGAAGCTGGCTACTAAGGGAACTTGGGAGGATCCCACCTCAGCCTTCGTGACTAGTGAGGTGCGCAAACGCCCGAGTTTTCCCTGGTGCGCGGGTTCCGCCTTTGCAGTGCCCTCCACCCTTCCTGGTGTCTGACCCGCCTCCTTCCCAGGCCTTTTGTTCCTGTCCCGGAAAGCCGGCGTCCTGCCGCGCGATGCCCCTGCTCGGACTTCTTCCCAGGAGGGCCTGGGCTTCGCTGCTCAGCCAGCTCCTGCGACCGCCCTGCGCTTCGTGCACCGGGGCGGTCCGTTGCCAAAGCCAGGTGAGCGAGACAGAATTATCTCTGGTCTGTCCCAGCAGGGTCTCCAGATCTGAACGCATAGCCTCGCGGCCTGTATTCCAGTAGTGTTACAATCGGTTTTTATCGAGTGCCCACTATGTACTGACACTGAACTAAGCGATTTGGATGCCTGGTCATTTAATCCTTGGAGCAATCTTGAGAGGTTGGAGTTTTGATTTCCATTCTGCAGTTGAGGAAACGGAGGCTGCAAGATTAAATGAATGACTTATACACGGATATGTAGTAAGGGAGTATTTTAATTCATATCCACACTTTTTCCTGAAACTCTTGGACTCAAACAGTAACATTTTTAAGCGAAATATATGAATATTCCTAGTAAATGAGATGACTAAAGATCAGAAGTAGACTGAGTTCATCTTAGAATTTACCTCAAAATGAATCTCAGAAAAACATTTTCAGATGTCAGAGAGTTTTGGATTTTGGAATTGCAGATAAGGGATTGTGTACTTGAACTTGGACTTCTCTTAGGGCAGATAATCGCCATAGTATGGAACCACCACATCCTCTATTTTTGGAAGGGCATACAGCGTGCTGGTAATGTCACTGATTAAGTTTTGCCTTACTTCGGAAAGATTCTAATGCTCTCTTAGCAGATGCTTTGTGCTATCGTGAACAATAGGGCACAGATCTTTTATTGATATTCAATCACAGCATCTTATCAGTCTGAGTTTTTTAGCTCATTCAAGAAATCCATATCTTATCATTCCACAGGCTTGTTCTGTGTCCTTGAGCTGGTTCCCTTGTCTTCAAGTTACAGTTTTCCTCTCTCTAAACCTGATAACCAGTGCTACCTTATTAAAAATTATTATTTTTTTGTCCGGGCACAGTGGCTCATGCCTGTAATCCCATCACTTTGGGAGGCCAAGGGGGGTGGATCACCTGAGGTCAGGAGTTTGAGACCAGCCTGACCTGTATGGCGAAACCCCGTATCTACTAAAAATACAAAAATTAGCCGGGCGTGGTGGCATGTGCCTGTAATCCCAGCTACTCGGGAGGCAGAGACAGGAGAATCGCTTGAACCCGGGAGGCGGAGGTTGCAGGAGCTGAGATCGTGCCACTGCACTCCAGCCTGGGCGACAGAGTAAGACTCTATCTGAAAAAAAAAAAAAAATTATTTTTGCTCTTTCAGTAGGAACGGTGACCTGGAGAAGATCACCATAATCCCTACCCCTGAATGGTTGGTGTTGGTAGTGGTGGGTTGTTCAGTGCCTTCATTATTCTCAGATTCTTAAAGTATTTGAGAATATTAAAAATGCGGCTGAGCTCGGTGGCTCATGTCTGTAATCCCAGCACTTTGGGAGGCTGAAGCGGTTGGATCACGAGGTCAGGAGTTCAAGAGCAGCCTGGCCAACATGGTGAAACCCCATCTCTACTAAAAATACAAAAATTAGCTGGGCGTGGTGGTGGCGCGCCTGTAGTCCCAGCTACTCGGGAGGCTAAGGCAGGAGAATTGCTTGAACCAGGAGGCAGAGATTGCAGTGAGCCGTGATTGTGCCACTGTACTCCAGCCTGGGCAACAGACCGAGACTCTGTCTCAAAAAAAAAAAAAAAAATCCATATACAGTGAGGAAGCTTGTGTGGTGAAGACCTGACCTCATATATATTACACGTGTAATTGTAAATACAACATAGATTCTTTGGGGTGGGACTGAGATTGGGATAGATGAAATGGTGCTTTGGCTTCCTGTTGCTCAGGGTGAAGAGTCTTTGCAGGTTGGTGGTCAACAGGGTCAGAGATGCCACAGGTCTGGCCAGTGTCCAGAGAAGCCACATCTCACATTCATTCTTCTGCCAGGTTGCAGAGGCAGTGTTAACATCCCAACTGAAAGCACA
Organism: Homo sapiens; assembly: GCF_000001405.40. Lineage (NCBI taxonomy): Eukaryota > Metazoa > Chordata > Mammalia > Primates > Hominidae > Homo > Homo sapiens. Next base: position 140,693,629 of record NC_000005.10, read on the forward strand.
TCAAGAGAAACCAAATTTTATTATCAAGACCCCAAAGGTAATACTTTTTGCCTACCCTATCCCATTAGAGTGCCTTGGAGGACTGACCTCTGCCTTGCATGTCTCTCTGACCCCTTTTAATGTTCTTTACAGTAAATTTTAAAAATATATACTATTCTTGAGATACTAGGTGCGGCTCAGAGTCATTTGAACTCAGTAGATTTCAGCTCCAGACCTGAGATTACATAATAAGTGTAGTTTAACTCCTTGTCTGAAATGGACTTATTTTTTGTTTTTGTTTTCACTATGGCTGCTTTTGGTTTCCAGGGTACCAGGGATCTTAGTCCTCAGCATATGGTTGTGAGGGAGAAAATTCTTGATTTGGTTATCAGCTGCTTTAAACGTCATGGAGCAAAGGGGATGGACACCCCAGCATTTGAGCTGAAGGTAAGGGGAGAAGAAAGAGTACGTGCAACCTCACTCACTTCTTCAATGGCGTTCAGTGTCCCAAAGGGCTTCTCATCTGTGTTTTGGAGTCATGCTTTCAACTGTGGCTCATTCTGTTTGACCCCTATAGGAAACCCTGACTGAGAAGTATGGAGAGGACTCTGGGCTCATGTATGATCTGAAGGATCAAGGTGGAGAGCTGTTGTCCCTCCGCTATGACCTTACTGTATCCTTTTGAGTACTGGAGCCTGACCTGTCTCTTTCCAAATCCAGCGGGCTTTCTCTGACAAAAGTGGAGAACGTGACTTTGGGATCTTAGAGGTCCATTGCCTATACTTCTAGTTTCTCCCAGAAGGCAGTTCTGCTACGGAAGCCTGGCCTGGAGCCCTGTCATTTAACTCTAGTGTGTATCATAATCCTTTGGGGGAGCTTGCAGAAGCACAGACATTTGGCTGCAGTCCCAGAGATTCTTAGCTAATTCTGTAGCTGGAATGGGGCTCAATAATTTGTATTAAAAAATTGTTTTTTTTGGCCAGACACGTGGCTCACGCCTGTAATCCAAGCCCTTTGGGAGGCTGAGGCAGGTGGATCACCTGAGGTCAGGAGTTCAAGACCAGCCTGGCCAATATAGTGAAACCCCATCTCTACTCAGCTCCTGCTGAGCTCTGGGGCTCTCAGGTTCTGAGTCTAGTTTGGGACTGACTGTCACCTTGTCTCCACAGATCTCTTTTGACGTAAAAAGTTAGCTGGCTGTGGTGGCAGGTGCCTGTAATCCCAGCTACTAGGGAGGCTGAGGCAGGAGAATCACTTGAACCCAGGAGGCAGAGGTTGCAGTGAGCCGAGATTGCGCCATTGCACTCCAGCCTGGGTGACAAGAGCAAAACTCTGTCTCAAAAAAAAAATTTTTTTTGTGGAGATGGGTGTCTTTGTTGCCCAGGCTGGTTGTAAACTCATCGTTTCAAGTGATCCTCCCATCTTGGCCTCCTAAAGTGCTGGGGTTACGGGTGTGAGCCACTGCATCTGGCCTACAGTCTGCATTTTAAACAAGCATCGTGGGTAATTAAGATGCATGTAGTCCTTTCCCTGCACTTTCAGAACCAGTAGCTTAGAAGTTGTTAGGCAAATCCAAGTTCTGAAGCTTGACTATTTTGAGATGGTTCGGAATCGATCTGAATGGGCAGAAAGACCTGAAGTTAGTTCTTGGGTCACTTCTATCTCTACTTGCCTTGCTTTCTGCTGAACTTTTAGTTTTGCTAGGTGAGATTCCTTCATTTGACACTATTCAATATATATTGAATTCCAAGCACTGCTAGGCCTTGGGGATAGTGGAAAAAAGGGAAGGTCCTTGTTCTTACCCTAGTGGATGAGATCCAGGCCCAGTCCTCCCTAATGTCTGTATACTGGGCCTAATCTTTGGATGCAGTATCCCTCTTCCTTAACCCATTTATGTGAGGTTCCCTTTGCTCGTTATCTGGCCATGAATAAGGTGAAGAAGATGAAACGTTATCATGTTGGAAAGGTGTGGCGGCGAGAGAGCCCAACCATAGTCCAAGGCCGTTATAGGGAGTTCTGCCAGTGTGTAAGTGACCTGATGGGAGCAGCACAGTTTGATAGTTCTAGGGGCCACAACCTTGAAACTGGCTGGATAATGGATGTTTTTTCCCATCTTTTTCTTTGCTGTAGGATTTTGACATTGCTGGTCAGTTTGACCCTATGATCCCCGATGCAGAGTGTTTGAAGATCATGTGTGAAATCCTAAGTGGATTGCAGTTGGGAGACTTTCTCATTAAGGTGAGGCCAGGGCTGAGAACTGTGGGAGAAGTCTGGATTTGGCCTAATACTGTTTATGCAAGTCCCAAACTTGGGTGACTCCAACCCTTAAGCCTGCAACTGTAGGACTTTCCTAGTAAAGCTGTTGTATTTCCTATATGTCTGTACTCTTCCTGTGAAATTTCCATCCTTTTTGTGTGTCAGGAAAGTAGGTACTGCCATTGTTTTGAGTGGAAGGGCATTGACAAGCACTTGGGTCACTGACATTGAGTTCTCAGGTAAATGACCGGCGGATTGTGGATGGGATGTTTGCTGTCTGTGGTGTTCCTGAAAGCAAGTTCCGTGCCATCTGCTCCTCCATAGATAAACTAGACAAGGTAACAAAGAAGACATACTTCAGTAGACCCTATCTAGCTTCTGCCCTGCCCTCAAATCCATACCACTAGTGAAAAATAAGGAGATTGTGGCTGGAAGTGGGCTATTTTGGGGTGGAAGGTAAGGAGGCATACTCTGAAGGAAGATCTGAGTCATGCTATACAGTGGGGATTGTGACTGGATTTCTTAAGCTGTCTCTGACTTTGCTGAGTATACAGTTAGCTACTTGTGATGTATATACTGAATGGAAGTTGAGTTGTCCTTTTTCAGTTTGAGAAAGAAAGATCTTGGGGCTGGGCTAATGTTTGGGTGTTTATGCAGATGGCTTGGAAAGATGTGAGACATGAGATGGTGGTGAAGAAAGGCCTGGCTCCTGAGGTGGCTGATCGAATTGGGGACTATGTCCAGTGTCATGGTAAGAACCAGGGTTTTCAGAGCTGTGATAGAACCAGGCTGAAGGTGACATGTGCTCAAATTCTACCTCTGAAACAACTCTTTTCTGTAGATATGCTAAGCTCCAGGGCCTGTCCTGAATTTAATTTCTCTTTTACTTATTGTAACGACTTTGTGTCTTCAGATGGCAAAGCTAGAGGCAAAGGAGGAGGGTCTTGTCATGTGAGACTGGGATCTTTTTTTTTTTTTTTTTTTTTTAAAGAAAATGAGGAAGACTAGCTAGAGCACATTAGGGATAATTTTGAATGAAACACATGTGAGTGAACAGCAGAGACTTTATTTCTCTCCAGGTGGGGTATCCCTAGTAGAGCAAATGTTTCAGGATCCCAGACTATCCCAGAACAAGCAGGCCCTGGAGGGCCTGGGAGACCTAAAGCTGCTATTTGAATACCTGACTTTATTTGGAATTGCTGATAAGGTAAGCTGAATTGCAAATGGACCTCCTGCTGAGCTCTAGGGCTCTCAGGGTCCCGAGTCTAGTTTGGGACTGACTGTAATCTTGTCCCCACAGATCTCCTTTGACCTCAGCCTGGCTCGGGGCCTAGACTACTATACAGGAGTGATCTATGAAGCAGTGCTGCTGCAGACCCCAACTCAGGCTGGGGAGGAGCCCCTGAATGTGGGCAGTGTGGCTGCTGGTGGGCGCTATGATGGGCTGGTGGGCATGTTTGACCCCAAGGGCCACAAGGTGCCATGTGTGGGACTCAGCATTGGGGTTGAGCGAATCTTCTACATTGTGGAGCAGAGGATGAAGGTAGGTCCTAGATAGGTGTGAGGTGGGGCTGGAGACCTAAAAACCCTCCTGTTTCTGGAGGTGTAGTTGGAGTGGTTTTCTGATGATTCTTTTTGTCTTGATTTTTGGAATTGCTGGTGGAAAGGAGGTTTTTATTAGTTTTACTTTCTTCTCTCTTATTAGACCAAAGGTGAGAAGGTGCGGACTACAGAGACTCAAGTGTTTGTGGCCACACCACAGAAGAACTTTCTCCAAGAACGGTTGAAGCTTATTGCAGAGCTTTGGGATTCTGGAATCAAGGTATGGTGGAGCTGATATCTGAGCCATCTGGGTATGTGTGGAATTTAGGACCCAGGGCTATATCTATCTTATGTCTGGGGTGGAACTCAAAACCTTTTTAGTCTGCTAGCTACTACTGGCTACTAGATTGGCTTTTTAGGGTAGGCGGACTAGCCACTTATCTCTGGCTTTCTTGGATATCCATGTTCCTGAGGTTTGTTGCTGTGTTCACTTCTAAGTCCCTTACTCTGTCTTGATCCTTTTCAGGCAGAGATGCTATACAAGAACAACCCCAAACTATTAACCCAGCTGCACTATTGTGAGAGCACAGGCATTCCACTGGTGGTCATTATTGGTGAGCAAGAACTGAAAGAAGGGGTCATCAAGATCCGTTCAGTGGCCAGCAGAGAGGAGGTGAGTGGCGGCAGCAGAAATAGAAGGGACGAAGTATTTCTGCCTTTCCCAGATTCTGTAAGAAATATGCATCTTCTGGCTGAGAAATTATCTTCATGGTTAATAGTGGTAGAGATGAACAAACACTCACTCAAGATGACCATTGCTGCCTGTGAGTATTGACTGGGTGGCCAGAAGAAAGACAAATGAAATCCGAATGGGTATTTTGAGACTAATCAACATAATAGACATAGATCAGGTGTTTGAATCCCTTTCATCTTGAGGGTATACATTCTTCAGGTCAACCCACACTACTCCTTTCTGGTTGTATAAGTAATGGGAGAAGATGCAGAGTAAAACAAATCTGGAAAAACAGTGGCTAAGGAGTTAGTATCACTTTCTAGTTTATCACATGAGGATTCTCTTATGTTTCAGGTGGCCATTAAACGGGAAAATTTTGTGGCTGAAATTCAGAAGCGACTGTCTGAGTCTTGATCCTTGCCTGATTCCCATCTGCTGCTCTTTGTAGAAAAGGTTTCCTCTAGAACTGAATTCCTCTGGAATTGAGTGATGGACTTCACAACAACTAGCCAGGAAGGGTGACAAGTACCTTCTGCCTCCTCCATTCTTCCTGGGTGCAGAACTGTAGAAGACCCTGAGGACTCCTGGGCTAGTGTGAGCAGCTATTCTGCATGGGTGCAGATGGCTGGATGTGAAAGAGACATGCTCTAGCTGCAGAGGCAAATTTGAAGTGCCACGGAACGTTGTCAAGAGGTAGTGAGATTGTTGCTGTGAGCAAGGCTCTGGGAGAGTCACCTCAGGCTCAGGATTCTGAACCATTGAGATCAGAAACCAGATACTTAGCCTTCTACTGTAGCTACGGAACCAGATTCTGGTGAATTTGTCCACAATCAGCCATTGGCCTGTCTGGGGAGTTTTTGGAAGACAGCAAAGAGGGGCAATGGCTGCTTTCAGCTTTGAGGACAGATGCTATCCTAAGGGCATGGCAGTACCCATGTTGATTTGACATCTCTCTAGCCCATCCATTGCTTACAGTAGAAGAGTGGGGCTGTATGCTTGATAATCTTGAACATTGAACTTAATAGATGACTTGACAAGGTAGAGATCTGATATTTTGAGATTTTGGAGACCATTTCCTGTGCCAGAATCACTGCTCTATTCCATACCGTGCCATGGAGGCTGTTTTAGAAGTGGTTGGATAACATGTTAAATAAAATATTAAGTGTAGTAGTTTGGGTAATTTGTTATTGTTATCAAGGGCTTTGTTTGCATAGACCATAGAAAATGCTTGAGTGTACATTGGAGAATTCTGTGAGGTAGAAGTAACCTCCCTGGGATGATGCTTCTGTATTCAGTGATGAGCAGCCACAGTTTCTCCCTCTTTCCCTGTCTCCTCAAGAGGTAGTTTTTTTGTTTGTTTGTTTTTAGACGGAGTCTTGCTCTGTCACCCAGGCTAGAGTGCAGTGGCGTGATCTCGGCTCACTGCAACCTCCGCCTCTCAGGTTCAAGAGATTCTCCTGCTTCAGCCTCCCGAGTAGCCAGCTAATTTTTGTATTTTTAGTAGAGACAGGGTTTCACCATCTTGGCCAGGCTGGTCTCAAACTCCTGACCTCATAATCCACCCACCTCAGCCTCCCAAAGTGCTGGGATTACAGGCATGAGCCACTGTGCCCGGCCAAGAGGTAGTTTTGTTGCTAAAAATCAACATATAGTGAGCCGGTATGCCACAGTGCTTCACTCTAGAGTGTTGTTGATGACTGGCCTTTCCAAATCCAATTATGCTGATTAAATTATGTTCTACTATAAAGTTCCCCAGATGATGGAAAAATAAGTGAACCAAAGGGTGGTAGCATTGCTTCAAGGAAAAGAGCCCAAGTGCAAAACATGCTTTTTATATGTGCGTCGGGAAGGGTGCCTCTGTTGCAAACGTTTCAGTGTAGTTTAGGGTCATATCCCTAGTGCATGCAGGTGAATGAGAGGCATCTAGACCCCCTAATGGCGCTTCGGCCTTAAAAAAGGTTTAGAAATTCTTGGCAGTGGACGCAAAGTTGCTAGACTAGATCAGAGACCACTGTTTTGCGAACCTCAGTTTCCTTGTTTGTAAAATAGTTGAACTAAATCTTGACCCTTTAATGCTTGTTTTGAAATCCAAGGCAAAAAACAATTGCAAGCGCCCTTACTTCCGTGTTGCTTCATACTCCTCTTGCGCCTGCGCTGTCTCCTTGGAGCAGAGGCGGGGCCAACAAGCCTGTTTTAGAAACCCTCCAGTCCTTAGCTCGTTTAGAACACAAGACTCCAAGCTTATTGGAGGGCTATCTTGCCTTACGGCTCCAAGCCGCTTTTTACGGCGTTTTTCAGCTCGCCATTCACTTCGCTGTGAAGATGGCGTCGGGCAGCGGGGTAGGTGTTGTGTCTGAGGAGGAGGTTTTGCGGGGTGGGGAATGGTTTTTCAGACCTGAATAGAGACAAACTCCTGCACCCGACTGGCTTCCCGATATCTCCTCGAGATCCCAGGGTTCAGGTTCAAGAACTCCCCAGTAATAGGCCTTGGCAGAGGGTCAGTAGAATCGCGGAGGTTTCTCGGGTTGGGGTCTTGAGGCTACCTCAGTCTTCTCGTACAGTCCAAAGAGGCTTTGCTTTCAAAACGTCCTGTAGACACCTGGACCGCGAGGGCGCGGTTCCCTGCTTCTCTAGGGGCCCAGACACGGCGACGGATCTTGACGCTTTTTCCTCCCCACAGACAAAAAACTTGGACTTTCGCCGAAAGTGGGACAAAGATGAATATGAGAAACTCGCCGAGAAGAGGCTCACGGAAGAGAGAGAAAAGAAAGATGGTGGGTGCTAACTACATCAAGGGCTAAGGGTATCACAGAGGCGATGCGATGATGGAGAGCGGGTGGGAGTTGAAGTGCGCTGCCTTCCCACGCGGTGTAAGCTCTGGCAGAGTGCTGCTTCCCTGGGCCTAGGTTTCTGCATTTACAAAATGAGAGCGAGGAGGTGGGATGAAGTAAGTAGTTTTGAGATGCTCTTCAGCTCTATTTCACTCTGCTTCCTTGCCCACCCTTTGCTTGGCTCGTTTAATGCTTTCCTGAAGTACAGAGAAGATAACGGCATCCTTAGTAGTGACAGAGAAGTTAAGTAGAGTATTTTGCTGCTGTGCATTACCGCTATCAGTGACCCCCCTCTTTCCCTTGAAATTTCTTAAGGGAGAGAACATTCCTGGCCCAATCAAGACCCTCCCATATAGTCTGAGAAAAGCCGGGGAACTTTGCAGGATCTGTGATTGTTTCAGCTAGAGCTTAGTAGTGCTGTTTCTCTGTGCCTTGTACATCAGGGAGTTGGTGCTTCTCTCCTGTTTAAGAGATTGCATAAAGAAATGTTTTATTTTGTCATCTGTTTCAAACGTGTACATTCTTCTTTCCCTTTACCTCCAGGCCACCTTGCACTCACTAACTCTTTCATTTTTTATGTAACATGTAAAATAAATAGTGCTTGACATGTAACAGGCATTTCCTAGATGTTGGTCCCCTTTTATAAATTTGCCCAGCTCTCAGAAGGTTCCTTTCCGTTATGCCTAGGGTATCTGCCTGAAAGCATTCTTGAATGTCCTTGCTCCCGTTTTGAAAAAGTTGCTTCTAGTAATTCTTCAGAAATTCTCCCCCACAATTCAGTTAATCAATGAATATAAAACATACTGTTTTTAGATTTGCTGGCTTTAAAGTGGAGAAAAGCTGTAGAGTTGAGGATTGCTTATGATTTCTTCCTGTGTTGAGATTCTCCCCAGCTGCTACTTTAAGTGTCTGTTGTGTCCTTTCAGGAATGATTTTGAAATGAGTAAGACCTGAATTTTGGATTTCATGCATTTTTTTTCCTTTCTGGTTGAGGAACTATAATATTGAAGGGACTTCCTTCCCCATTATGTTTCAGGAAAACCAGTGCAGCCTGTCAAGCGAGAGCTTTTACGGCATAGGGACTACAAGGTGGACTTGGAATCCAAGCTTGGGAAGACAATTGTCATTACCAAGACAACCCCTCAATCTGAGATGGGAGGGTGAGTTGCTTATCATTTTTCCTCTGCAGCCAAGAATGCATCTAATAAGCCACCTATTTTGGTTTTAGGAAGTGTTAAGGAAGGTCCTTGGCCCCAGGATTACGTCCTTCTTGCCTGTAATTCTATCTTTATATTTGTTTTTCTGTGTCTCCCAAGGTCTCAAGTTGACATGATAGTGTCTCTAGGAGTGGTCACTCAGTGGGTTTCTTCATGTTATTAGCATTGGCTGGGCACAGTGGCTCACGCCTGTATTCCCAGCACTTTGGGAGGCCAAGGCAGGAGGATTGCTTGAGCCCAGGAATTCAAGACCAGCCTGGGTAACACAGTGAGACCCTGTCTCAATTAAAAAAACCAAAACAAACAAAAATCATACTATGAGCACTACAGCTACTACTCAATATAGTTTTTAAATTTTTTATTGCCATTGTACTTGTTATCAATTCTGATTTACTATTAATATTTTAAAAGGGATTATTTGATCTGTCAGAAGAAGAAATGAAGGAAAGGACTACTGAGGAGATTTCTAGGAGAGAAATTAGGTGGAGCTAGAATAGAGCCTAGGAGTTGTTAATGGTGAAGAAGAGGGGTTTGAGGTTCCAGACTAGCTGCAAAGGCTGTAGTTGTTATGGATGCCTGATTGTACACCTTCTTCCAAGACTATAACCTATAGGAAGAAGGGTCCTACAAGAGCTTGTCACCCTTTTGCCCCCCACTGCTTCTCTGTCCAGTTAGGTTTTCTGGCAGGAGAGCAACACAGATAGCAATGAGTGACACTTCTCTGAGCTGCTTAGTAAACCCACTGTTGTCCATTCCTGTCTGTATTAGTTATCTATTGTTATGTAAATTAACAAATTAACCTAAAGCTTAGCAGCATAAACTACACCACTCACAGTTTCTTTGGGTAAGGAATCTGGGAGTGGCTTACCTAGGTGGTTCTGGCTCAGGGTCTTCATGAAGCTGCAATCAAGGAGTTGGCAAGGTAGGTCTGCATTCATATGAATCTTAAGTGGGGCTGGAAGATCTGCTTCCAAGCTCTCTCACATGCCTGTGGTTTGGAAGCCTAAGTTCTTTGCCCCATAGACCTTTCTTTTTTCTTTTTCTTTTTTCTTTTCTTTTTTTTTTTTTTTCTGAGACAGAGTTTCACTCTTCTTGCCCAGGATGAAATGCAATGGTATGATCTCGGCTCACCACAGCCTCGCCTCCTGGGTTCAAGCGATTCTCCTGCCTCAGCCTCCCAAGTAGCTGGGATTACAGGCATGCACCACCTGATTTTTTTGTATTTTTAGTAGAGACGGGGTTTCTCCGTGTTGGTCAGGCTAGTCTCGAACTCCCGACCTCAGGTGATCCGCCCGCCTCGGCCTCCCAAAGTGCTGGGATTACAGGCGTGAGCCACCATGCCCGGCCACCCCATAGACCTTTCTATAAGACTGCTCACAATAAAGCAACTGGCTTCCCCAGAGCAAGTAACCCAAACAAAGACAGAAGGCATGGTTTTTAAAATAACCTAATTTTGGAAGATACTACTTTTGA